>NC_000012.12:24584650-25209650 GCF_000001405.40 Homo sapiens
TTGAACAGTAGGATATAAATAACTCCCATAAGCTTAGCGTTCCAATAATGGAACACTAGGCATAAATGGGTTATTCAATTGTGAAGATGAATGCCATCTGACAGTTGGCTCACATTGAACACCTGTGGAGATTAAGGACAAGGACAACTATCTTGATGGGCTTGGACAAACTGGGGCGGGGCAGCTCATGTTTCCGGAGCCAGGAGAACAAGTGAGTGGCTAAAACCTCCTGTTTTCTGTTAAACATTCCGTCCCTGTCTGAGATATCAATATGTACAGATAACCTTTGTTGAGTGTTTACCAGGTGCTAGGCACATACTAGTGTTTTCCTTAATGTATTTAATCTTCATAATTATGAAATGGGTGCTATTATTATCCCCATCTTATAGATGAGGCAACTGAAGTTCAGGGATAAAGTAATAAAATTGCCTGGGGTCACCCAAACACTAAAAAAAAAAAAAAAGAGAAGCCACGCAGTTCAAACCTGTATTGTTCAAATGTCAACTGTGTATCAATAATTCCTTAAATGTGAATCGTCTAAATACACCAATAAAAGACACTATTGTCATAGTGGATAATGACAAGATACAACTATATGTTATCTACAAGAAACCCACTTTAAACTTAAACACTCAGGTTAAGAGTAAAGGGATAGAAAAAGATATATCATGCTAAAAGTAATCAAAAGAAAGCTGGAGTAGCTAAATGAATTTCAGACAAAGCCAACTACAGAATGAGCAACATTATCAGGAATAAAAAGGGGTACCACATAAGGATAAAGGGAACAATTCTCCAAGAAGACAACAATCGTAAACATGGAAGCATTACCAAGAGTGTCAAAATACATGAAAGAAGACTAATAAAAATGAAAAGAGAACTAGACAAATCCATTGTTAGAGGCGGGACTTCACCATCCCTGTGTCAATGTTATGGGTGGAGACTTCACCATCCCTTTGATAGAGCCAGTGGGCAAAAAAATCAAGGCTATAGATGACCTGAGCAGTATTATCAATCACCTTGATCTAATGACATCTATAGATTACTCCATTCAACAGCAGAATATACATTCATCTCAAGCTTCTGAGGAACATTTACCAAGACAGACCACATTTTCACCATAAAACACCCTCAACAAATTTAAGAACACGAAAATTATACAAAGTATGTTCTCCAACCACGGTTTAATTAAAGTAGAAATCAATAGGAAAGATGTCTAGAAAATTCACAAATATTTGGAAATATAAATATTAAAAAGCATAATTCTAAATAATCCATGGGCCAAAGAAGAAGTTTCAAGAGAAATTTAAAAACATTTCAAACTAAATGAGAATAAAATTATAATTTACTAAAATTTGTGGGGTGTAGCAAAGAAATGTTTGGAAGAAAATGTATAGCATTAAATGCGTATGTTGTAAAAGAAAAATATCTAAAATGTGATACTTCAGCTTACCTTAGAAAATTAGAGAGGAGAAACTTAAGCCTAAAACAAGCAAAAAAGTTAATATTTCATCAGAAATAAAGTTAACAGAAAAAAAAAATAACAAATAAATACTATTAAAAAACTATATGCCAATAGATTGGATAACTTAGATGAAATGAACCATTTTTTCATGGAAAACACAGACTACCAAAACACATACCAGGAGATATAGATAGCCTGAATAGCCTTAGAGCCAGTAAAGAAATTGGATCAATAATTATTAATCTTTTAAAAAAGAAAGCAGGAGGCCCAGATGGTTTCATTGGTGAATTCTACCAAACATTGAAGGAAGAAAGAACACCAGTTCTCCACAATCTCCTTTAGAAGCAGAGGGAATACTTCCTAACTCATTCCATGAGGCGTCGCCCTAATACTAAAACCAGATGGAGACATTACAAGAAAAGAAAGTGACAGACCACTTTCTCTTATGAACAAAGACAGACAAAAAATCCTCAACAAAATATTAGAAAATCAAATCCAACAATGTATAAAAAGAATTATATCCCATGTCCAGGTAGGATTTATTCTAATTACACAAAGCTAATTTAACATTCAAAACTCTATCAATGTAATCTGTCACATTAACAGGCTGAAAAAATATCATATGATCATATCAACTAATATAGAAATATATTCTACAGAACCCATAGTTAAAACAGAGCATAATGTGGAAAATACCTTACAAGTTTTAAAATCATAATTTAGTTTTAGGCCTCTTAATCAAAAGTGGATGGTGAATTTATTTTCAGTTATCACAAGAGCTTTACAACTGACTTTTGAAATTAACATAGTCTACATATCTAAATACATGCTAAAATGTTAATTTCGTCTGTTTTTATTATTATAAAATTGTGTCTTGTGTGTTTTCTAATATTTGGAGGTATATAACCTCTTTCAGAATCTGATAAAAGCTATGGACCAAAAAAGGTAAACACACAAAGAATGTGCTCATATTATTTCAGAGTTCTGATTTAATTTTACTCTTTTACAACAATTTAGATCAGTGGTCACATCCCTTATTATTGTATCCCATTTTGCTTTAGGACAAAAATCACAATATCTTACTATTGTGTTGAGACTCTGATTTTTTAAGGAATCAGTCCTTCAAAAAATGTAAGAATTTTACATTTAATTTATGATTTTACTCCATAGCTTAATCAAGGTTAAAATGCAAGAAAGGAAATTGAGAAGAAAAAAACCCTGTAATAACTAAAAAGATTAGCTAAATTATATGTTCATCTAAAGGAGCAAATATTATAAAGTCCTGGTCTTAAATTCATGCATATATTCATTCATTCATTCTGCTAATGCTATGACTAATACTAAACCACTTTGGGCTTGCTTTGGTTTAGGCACATGTACTTCTTCTGTACCTGGATACTACTAATGTCTCCTCAAAACCTCATTATTTATGCTTATTTTGGGTATGTGAGTCAAGAATTGAAACTTATTTGTAAAGAGGAAAGAAAATTGTTTTGATCAATTATCAGAGATTCTAACAAATAAACTACCGAGAAGTTGTTGAGGGGGATTCTCTGTATTACCTTAATTAGTAGTAACTTAATTATTTCAGTGAGGATAAAGCAAAGGGGCACGTAACGTAGCCCAGGGAACTGTCTGCTGAGCTCAGATTTGAAGGAGATAAGCACACTTCACAAAAAGAGGAGATAAGAATGAATACCAAAGAATGACATGAATATGTGAAAACACTGTCCAAAAATATAAAAGTCCAGAATAAGTAGAGATTATTGGCAAAGGAAAAAACCTTGAAGCCAACCAAATAAGATTTTTAGCTACTTAGCAGAAAAATAAAAAGGAAGAATTAGGTCTCTTGTTTAAGATAATTTACATAATTTTTACAGAAGAGAGGGTGGTAGGCCAATGACATCATTCCTATACTGTTTCTATCTTTCTATTAAGAATAGTCTTACAGGCCGGGTGCTGTGGCTCACGCCCATAATCCCAGCATTTTGGGAGGCCGAGGCTGGTGAATCACAAGGTCAGGAGATCGAGACCATCCTGGCTAACACGGTGAAACCCTGTCTCTACTAAAAATACAAAAAATTAGCTGGACGTGGTGGCAGGTGCTTGTAGTCCCAGCTACTCAGGAGGCTGAAGCAGAGGAATGGCATGAACCCGGGAGGCAGAGCTTGCAGTGAGCTGAGATTGTGGCACTGCACTCCAACCTGGGCAACAGATAGAGACTCCGTCTCAAAAAACAAACAAACAAAAAAAATAGTCTTACAAAGCTGGAAAGTGTAGAGTAAACGTGGCCAAAAGGCAGTTGAAGTCCGAAATATGCAGAAATAACAAGAGATTACCTATTGCACTAAAATAATCCAGACCTTCCCATTCAGATAAATCACATCCCAGGGTACTGTAATAACTTATGGATGACCTACTAAATTATAGTTACCCCATGGTGGTTCCAGGACTCTGTCCCCCAAAAGTACCAAAATTCATGGACGCTCAAGTTCCTTATATAAAATGGCTTGGTATTTACAAATGGCCTACACACATCCTCCCATATACTTTAAATCATCTCTACATTATTTATAATACCTAACACAATATAATGCTATGTAAATAGTTGTTATTCTGTATTTTTAGAGAATAATAACAAGAAAAAAGTTTTCATACATGTTCAGTACAGATGCAACCATCCATTTATTTTTCTGAATATTTAGGATGGTTGAATCCACCGATGTAAAACCCATGGATAAGGAGGACAGACTGTCGCATTAGTAATCTCCAGAAATCATGATGATCTATATGTGCCTATCTGTAAAGATCTCTAATGCATGTCTTCAAGTGAAATAGGACTGAAGATGGATTGTATGATCTCATGTATGTAAAAAAGTAATAATATACATATATATTAATCTATATTTATTTAAAAATAACTAGAAGGATTATATCAGTATTCACCACTGGTGTTATTCAAAATATAAAAACGAGTCTGGGCATAGTGGCTCACACCTGTAATTCCAGCATTTTTGGAGGCCAAGGCAGGCAGATTGCTTGAGCTCAAGAGTTCAAGACCAGCCTGGGAAATACAATGAAATCCTGTTTCTACAAAAAGTACAAAAACTAGCTGAGTGTGGTGGTGCACGCCTGTGGTCCCAGCTACTTGGGAGACTGAGGTGGGAGGATTGGTTCAGCCCGGAAGGTGAAGGCTGTAGGGAGCCGAGATCACACCATTGCACTTCAGCCTGGGTGACAGAGCAAGACCTTGTCTGAAAAAAAATTATATATAATGTATGTATATATATATATTTATATAATATATAAATGAAAGGTAAATATGTATAAAAATGAAAGCAAAAACAATAATGAGGCATCTGTGTAACAGAAAAGCATGGAGAATGATAAAATGGAGGTAAGAGGAAATGCTCAATTAGACAAATAGTAAAGTCCCTTTCCCTTTGAAGATTATGTACACACACACATACCCCTATGTATAAGCAGGATGCAGTGCAAAATTAAAAAGTTTGCTCCATGTTCAAAAATTACTAAGAATTTTAATCCTGATACAGCATAGAATTAAACCAAGAGTGGGGTCCTGCTATGCATGTGGCCCTGTGCAACTGCACAGGTTGCATATCCATGATATGCTTAATATCCCAAATCCCTGCATATATACACATACACATACATGAATACACATAGTTATATACACATGTATGCAAAGGTGTTCAGTATATATTACCTTCTTCTCTAAAGGTATAATCTTTGCATATATATATACACAAATGTATACCTATATATATTTCTTGTGTGCAAAGACTATCTTTAGAGAAGAAGGTAATGTATATCATACATCTGGAGGTCCATTTTTGAATGCTATTGCCCTGTGATCCAAATATTTTGTACTCATTGCTTCCCCCACTAGCCTGGATGCATCATCCCTCCCTGTCTTCTTATCCAGAACGTCTCTTCCGATTGCCCATAACTCATATTTTCAGAGTCGTAGCTCCCCCTTGTAGTACTGTTTATATTTTAATAGCAAACATCAGAAGCAATGATAAAAAACACTCTAAGTTAATTAATGGGGTGCAAATTATATGTGAGGAGTTTGTCATAAGATTGAAATCAAGACCTATGTATTTACCTCTTCTCTTCTACATTTTCCCAAGGTAACATTACTACTGACGAGAAATAAACATTTTCTAGGTACTTATTACGCTATAACTGCACTCCCGTCTTAGCTGGCAGAGTGTGAATAAATTCTAAGCCTTCTTCATAGCTTCTGTATCACGCTGAGGGATGACAAATAAATTAATTAATTAATGCCAAGCTCTGTACCGCTAGGGAATTTTGAAAGAAGACCCATTGCAGACTGTCCAGATGAAACATAAGCTTTTATAACAAATGAGTTCCAACTGCCTGGATTGGAAGGTACCTAAATCTTAAAATGAAGCAAAGCATCATCTATTAAATAATTACTCTGTGTTAATCACTATACATGCATGTTTTCAGTTAATCTTCCTAATAATCCTGAATTAATTTCTATTAATATTTTTATTTTATAGAAGATGAAACTGAGGAAAAAAGCCGTTACATATTTTGTCAGTTTCACATAGACTAAATTTTGGATCCAATTTGTTTGACTTGAGAAAATGTAAATTTACTGACCAGATTATACTGTTTCCTGGGCCTTAAATATTATCTAATACCTTTATCGTTTTGAGGAATCCCTTAACACCTAACCCAGTGGTTTTCCAAGCCTGTCCTTGAATTTCTACTATTGGGGAATGAACTCCTGTAAACTAATTCTAAGTTCAGACAGACAGTATTTCTTTATATTGAGCCAATATCTATTTCCTTGTAACATCAATTTATTAGCTCTAGCTTTACCATTCATGAGAACATGTCTGATTTCTTTTCCATTTAATAGCCCTTCAGATATTTGATGAATAAATTGAGCTAACTCTCATTGCCTATGACCCTTCTCTTCTATAGGTAATATTTCAGGTACAACTCATGGGGAATCGTTTTGAATTTCCTTACTCAAGGATTATTCCCTTTCAAATGTAGTCTAGTTTCTCAATGTTTCCCAGATCCTCAGAACTGAATGTAACACACCAGAATTGTTCCAGCCAGCTCTGGGAGCAAGACAATCACTTCCCTCATTCAAGCCATTACAAGTCTATTACCACATTCAAAAGGGCCATTAGCTTTCTCAGCAGCCACATCATATTGCTGGGTTTTATTGAAATAAAAATCCATGAACCTTTGTTATTCAGGTGCCAATAAGCCATGCTCCTTTCAGTTGACAGGAATGCAGCTGTGCGTGTGTTTGTATGTGTCTGTGTGTGTCAGAGAAAGAGAGAGAGATCCAAGGGTTATGATCTAAATTTACCTACATAAGTTTCATGCTGTTAGATTTGGCCCTTCTTTTCACGTGTTAGAGTTCTTGGTTTTGGCTTTTGCGGATGTTAATTCCATCATACATGGATTTCTCTCTACTCCCAAAATAATACTCACATGCAAATTTGATGAGCATTCCTTTATATCTTCATCTAAGTCTCCGACAAATAATGATAAACTAGACAAGACAGAACCCTTTGGCTTGCCTCTAGAGATCATCTTCTAGGTTGACACAAGTACTTTAACATTAGTTTTCGGACATACAACTAATAATCTATAAAAATACAAGAGTATGTAGCCTATAGTTCTTAATTCTCTCTAATGGTATTCATGAAAGACAAGAAGGAGACAGAGGAGAAAATGATGGTTTATTCCTGGAAAGTGGTCTCTTGACAGCACAGCTGATTTACAGGTTTTCAAGTCAGGAGAGTTGAGCAGCCCTTCCACAGCTCCCTAGGAAAGTAGGTTTTCCCTCTTTGAAGTTGAATTGAAAACAAACTTGAGCCATCAGCTCAGATTTTCTTTGTTCTTCATTAGTTTTGGAAACAAAACAATAAAATTCTTCAGCAAACCACCTCCTATCTTTCCCCTACACATACAAAATCTGTGTTAGGAAGCAGAGTCATAAGTAAGGTTTATTTTCAAGATCATCCAAATTTATTTTGTATTTCATCCCATTTACCAGTGTATTATGAGCAATAAGCCACTAAACTAGGCAGGGAGCTAAAATGAGGAAGCAAGTTCTTGGCTTACACAACTGCCCATCAAGCAGTGACCTAGGACTCTAGGCAAGTGTCACAGAATTTTGAAGATGAATTAAAAGTGTTACTTACCTGTGGTTGTTTCCTGGTTGGCTAATGCCTCAACACTTCCTGAAGGAAGGAAAAAGAAGTCTCCCAGTCTACATAAAGCCAATGATAGGAGATTCAGTATTCTCTATCCTTCCCTGTGTAATTTGGGAAGAAAAAAATGCTGTCTGGAGCAATTCAGAAAGAGCCACCAGACAATAAAATACAAATTATTTGTCATAAATTTTAAAAAATGTTCCTTACACTTTACTCTTGTCATGGTATATCATATGAACCCGTGTTTTAAAGACTTTTATTCTAGCCCATGTTTCCTCCCTAGAACTTATCTTTGCCACACCATCCCAGTAAGCAGAGATTTGGTTTGTTTCTATTTTGTGTGTGTGCGTGTGTGTGTGTGTGTATGCACATTGGTGCATGCTCTCACTGCTTCCTCTCCGTAGCCCTGTCTGCTTCCCTCACTCCAGTTGATTTGATGCTTCTTTTGCTGTAATTGTTGGCCAGCTCTGCACCTTGGCTCTCCTGAGAAGAAGAGCAGGTGAATCCTTATCTGTGCTCCCAGGGTGACTGGTGACATCTGCACCACCACCAGCAGCAACAGATAAATCCCCTGGGCGCATAGGTGGGGAGGAGAGAAGGGAGGGGTCTGTTATTCTTCACACCTCCTCAATCTATTTCTATTTTTTCATCACCTGCTTTTTTTTTTCTACTCCACTTCTCTTCAATTTTTCAGCCTTGCTCTTTTTTCTCTTTTAAGTGTTTAATTCCCTTTTTGCTGTTTCATAAAAACTGGCTTCTCCTGCCTCTTTTTGTTTTTCATTTGTTTGTTTGGTTTTTGAAACAAAGTCTCGCTCTTGTCCTCTAGGCTGGAGTGCAGTGGTGCGATCTCAGCTCACTGCAACCTCCACCTCCTGGGTTCAAGCGATTCTCGCCTCAGCCTCCTGAGTAGCTGGGATTATAGGCACCTGCCACCATGCCCGGCTATTTTGTATTTTTAGTAGAGATGGGGTTTTCACCACATTGGCCAGGCTGGTCTTGAACTCCTGACCTCAGGTGATCCGCCCACCTCGACCTCCCAAAGTGCTGGGATTGCAGGCATGAGCCACCACGCCTGGCCTGTTTGTTTTGAGACAGGGTCTCACTCTGTCGCCCATGCTGGAGTGCGGTGGCACGATCATGGCTCATTGAAGCCTCGACCTCCCTGGGCTCAGGTGATTCTCCCACCTCACCCTCCCAAGTAGCAGGGACTATGGGCGTATGCCACCACACCTGGTTAATTTTTTGTTTTGTGTTTTTGTAGAGACAGAGTTTCACTGTGTTGCCCAGTCTAGTCTCAAACTTCTGGGCTCAAGTGATCGCCCACCTCAGCCTCCCAAAGTTCTTATTTGCTGTCTCACCATCCTATCTATGTCTTCAGACAACTTTCTTCTCCAATCTGTATCATCTCCTTTCTTCTGTGTAGTCTGCAGGCTCTCACATTCGTCCTTTCCTGTTCAATCACCAAATTGTGTACATTCGCTCATCTTCAGTCACTGGCTTTTTGGTTCACAAATGTCGTTTTTCTTCTATTCTTATTAGTAAGTTTATTCTTGGATGAAAGTTTAGGAATTCATATTCAGTACATTGGAAACTTTGACAAAGCCATAAAAGATACACTACCATCTAGGGCTGCCGGATTTAGTAAAACAAAACAAAACAATGTTAATTTCTGACTTTTAAAAACGAATGATTTTTTAGTATAAGCATGCCCCATCAGTACTTTTGTAGTAAAAATTTATGTCATTTATCTGAAATTCAAATTTAGCTAGGTTTTCTATATTTTATGTGGCAACCCTACCACTACTACATTTGGTCACGTTCTCTGTTAATAAACAAATACTTACCAAATCCACACCGTACACATGAATAGCATAGTAGGCAATGTGAAAGACATCACATGTGTATAAAATCAATGCCTGCCCTCAAAGAATTCATAACGTAGAGGGTTAAGAATTTTTGAAAAAGTAATAAAGAATCAGAAAACAATGCAAAATAGCATATAATTAAATGTTTAACTGGTTCTAATTATAAGTCTAATATAAGTTCAGGTATTAATCTGGGTGGAAGAGCTCAGAAATTGCTCCCAGAGTAGAAGATGTGCTCTGGGTTGAAGGGGCAGAGTCCATGCTCCGAAGTGGGAAAAGAATTGTTCCCAGGTATTCTCCCATGCTTTCTTGCCTCTGACTTTTGATGCTATTCCTTTCTCCAGAAACAATCTTACCTGGACTTTAATGACACATACCTCTTGGGGGAGATCTCCCCTCTTTAAACACTCTATCTCACTTTCAATTTCCATGTTGATCGTACTCTACATTGATGTTCTGGCTAATTTTGGACATATCTCCTCGGGAATTATCTGCTTTTTGACAGAAAATGTTATGTCTGTACCGAGTGAAACTCCACAAACTTTGATGAAATTGAATGAGTTCATGAGTCCCAGACTGTTTCTGAATCTTCAATGATTGTTCTTTCATCTATTGATACACACACCTATCAGCACATGCACACACACACACACACACCCCAACGTGACCACAACTATGACTTTCACCATTAGGCTTCTTATAGGCAGAGATGGACATTTTTCTTCTGTGCATTCATGGCTTCCAATATCTCTGATATATACAGGTGTGCTATTACACTGCAATTATTTGGACACACATTAATTCCTTCCACTGTCCTGGGAACTTGCTGCCCTTTGTAGTCACTGTGTTTTCTCAGTTAAGTGTTGAAAAACAGAGTGGAAAAAAATCTCTCTAGGAGAAAAAAAAAGGATCTTTTTTTACATTTCCACTGTTTGTTGTTATATTAATTAAAGTAAATCATGCACTATAAATAACCATTATAATGTGTATTGAAGATCCTATTTATAGTAAAATAAATTATAGATTACATATAGATGACATGAAATGTGCATGTCATCTATGCATTATTTTTGGTTGCATATAATTTAACTTCCCAGTTATTATAAAACCTTCATTTGAGTTATCACCTCAGTATAATTTATTTTAATGTATATAGTACGAAAATATGTTACTCAGTTTTAAAATAACTGTATTTTTATGGTAATATTCAAGAAAACAATACTTATTTATAGGGTTTGGATCTGTTTGGGATTATTGTTTTGTAAATATTCGTTCTTGTCTATAGCAAAAATTTTTTCATGATGCTGAAAGTCCTTTCTACAAGCCTTTGTTAGCTGTATTTGGAAGATCTCCAGGCAGCACAAATTACTAAGAAACAACACAGGACTTCAAAAGCATGTTTATTTTCACTATAATATGGAATTCACTGTCACACATAGGTATTTTGAGGCCTTAACTCTCACTCATACAATAGGGGGTGTTCCTGTAAAAAGTTGTAATAATTTACCATAATTTTCTTCTTTTGTCTCCAAAGAATTTTTAATAGTATGCCTTCTAGGGGTGGAAAGCAAGAAGAAAAACCTAGTCAGGTACAATTAACTCCTCATGCAATGCAGTGATGCTCCACCAGGGCTGCAGATTAAAGTCGATGCAGAATTTTTAAAAAATTTCCGTGCTGCAACCACTCCAGACCTGCTGAATTCACATTGCTACAGGGGGCCCTCTAGGCATCAATAATTTCAAAAGTTATATGGTGAGTCTGGTACTCACCCATATGAAACCACTACTGCAGCTTTTACTCAAGGGAAATAATCTTTAGGAACCAGAAGTATGTTTTATTTGAGAAAGTAATTAGAATTATGAAAAATATGGTTGATGCAACATACGTGCTTTTTACAAATTATATCTCTTCTTTTCAACAGAACTAATTATTCTGCATTTTGATTAGGCTTCTTCTTATTCATAGAAATAGCTAAACAACTGACCTAATAGCACAGTTAATTATAATCATGAAATTTCATCAATTTGGCTACTGGTTATTTCTAACCAATTATTTTGATTATCTTTTAACAACTAAATAGGATTAGCTATTCTGCAATTCAAACTATTTTTCAGTAGGTTTAAAGAAAAAAACATTCTTGTCTTATTGACTTGGAATTTATTAAAAGAAAAATCATTACCATGATAAACAGTGATAATTATATATTTATATGTAATAAATCAACTCTGCAGTATGTTATTGATCTTCACATATCCCAATCCTTGTACTACTAATCACCTATGTTATATCACATTTCATTTATGTATTTATGATATTTATTATAAACTTCTATAAATCTATTTAATTCTCCCAATATTTCCTAAATATATCTTAAGAAAATAAAAAAGAGATGACCTTCTTCCTTACTGAACGAAACAGACAACAATCCAATTATCAACCCTAATACATTGAAATCAATCACATAAAAAATTGCATAGTATTTTTTGGAATGGTCATGGAAAGCATTACTTTATACAAATTCTCCTCTCACAACTAAAACAAATTTACCCATCTTTACAACCGTGGATTTGGCAAATTTTAGTATCAACAAGAACAACAAATCCTTCTGATCTTTGTGTCACAAATGTTTTCAAAACAACTTTTATGGATGATTTTGGCATCCATTGTATTATATAGTATTTAATTGACCTCATTTCAAAATAAACAAGGTCACTGTGAATTTAAATCATGTCTGGATAATTCCATGGTGTTTTAGGATGGAAGAACATTACCCCCTCTAGTGGATAAAGGCAAAATACATGTCCTTGATGGGTTGAAAAGACAGACTGGGTTTCCTTAAACCATCATCCCCTCTTAAGAGGTTGATGGATTAATTTCCTTACAACATACTTCATTCCAAGCATATTGTTCAGAAAAAGGTGCAATGTCACACATATTTCTTGTATTAAGATGTAAGAATGGTACTTGAAATTGAACACAATGCAATAAGGGAAATGTAATTTGTGCCAGGAGTTCTGTCTCATATTGAAAAGAATGGACTTACAGGACCTCAACCTAAAATGGTTACTTCTAGTGATCAAAGCACCATGCAAGGCATGTTCTTTCTAATCAAGAAAAAGAAAATATACGGAGAAATCAAATTCACATTTCCTCAACTAAGAATGTTTAATTATTAGGTAAACTTGAAATACGGCTTTAAAAATTCAGTTGAATGAGCTAGCCTTTGGACCACAGCATCTTTGTTTATTTAGGAAGTTGTTTAAAGTCCATTATTTATACTTTTCTATAAAAGAAACACATTTGTTTTTAGTTAATAACATAATATATGATATATATGTGTATATGTATCTACACACACACGCACAAATTTGGGAACTGGTTTATTTTCTGGAATTTATCTATCAGCAAATGGTCCATTAAGTTCTGCTCAAATATGAAGATTTAAGGTCATTCAACCCACTGTGATGATTGGCTTTAACTTCAGATAAGTAGAATAAACACATCCCTGCTCAAGTATAAACTAGTTTTGCTTTCCCTATTGTAAATCATCAAAGCCACGTTCTCAAAGCCAGTGTCTGATGAGCGTCTGTCACTATTGCGTCTATTGTGTTTATCACTAGTGAAGTGATGGCATCCTCAGTTACCTCATCACTAATAGACATTGTAAAAATATGCTGTATATGGTTTTGAATTACCCTTGATATTTTCCCCTTCATTAGGCCAACTTTGTTTGACCTATTTAATACACTTAAAAACATTTGCAAAGAGGAAATATCTGTATTTGTACCTACTTATACATACTCTGAGGCAGCCCACATAAGTGAGGCTTATCTCATGTTCTTGGTATCCCTCTTTATTTTCACGTGCATGGCTGTTATCCAATAGGCAAAAAGTTTGGGGGGCAAGATTTTAAGCTCCTTTCATGGAAAAGTAAAATCGTCAGCCAATCACATAAGCTGTATATCAAAATAAATCTGGAAATACTTACAAAGCAATTAATACCTTTATTAACTACCACAAGAGAACATGTTATAATTCACAAAATCATTTACACCTTAGAAGAACTTAAAATGTAGTTGGAGAAAATACTAAGATTGCGTCAACTAGAAGATTTAGTATCAGGAACAAACAGACAAATATATACATTTCTATAGTTGTCAAATAGCAAAGTATTTACAAATTATTGCCTCAGTTTCTTTATCTGTAAAGTGAAAATAAGATCTACTTATGTCACAGAATTTTTGGAAAGTTTTAATAAGACATGTTATTAAAACCAGCAAAGTGTTTGGCATACAACATGAAGTCAATAAATACTGATTTACTTGATCCTCACAAAAACCCTATATGGTTGAGAGGTTAGATATGATAAAACTTAATTTTACAGTAGAAAATCAGACTCAGAGAAGTTTTAAGATCGGTCAGAAGCTACATAAAGCTCAAATTTGTAGCTATGTATGCGTTTGTAAAACCATTATGAGCCATATAGGGAAGGAGAAAAATGAAGAGTGATTTAGAAGTGGTGAGTAAACAATTTTGACTGAAACAGAAGCCTTAAAATGAGTGGCTATACATAAAAAGATGGCAAAATAGACATGGACAATTTTTATTTATTTATTTATTTTTATTTATTATACTTTAAGTTCTGGGATATATATGCAGAACATGTAGGTTTGTTACATAGGTATACATGTGCCATGGTGGTTTGCTGCACCCATCAACCCGTCATCTACATTAGGTATTTCTCCTAATGTTATCCCTCCCCTAGCCTCCACCCCCGCCGACAGGCCCCGGTGTGTGATGTTCACCTCCTTGTGTCCATGTGTTCTCATTGTTCAACCCCCACTTATGAGTGAGAACGTGCCGTGTTCGGATTTCTGTTTCTGTGTTAGTTTGCTGAGAATGATAGTTTCCAGCTTCATCCATGTCCTAGCAAAGGACATGAACTCATCCTTTTTTCATGGCTGCTTAGTATTCCATGGTGTATATGTGCCAGATTTTCTTTATCCAGTCTATCATTGATGGGCATCTGGGTTGGTTCCAAGTCTTTGCTATTGTGTACAGTGCTGCAATAAACATACATGTGTACCATGCTAAGGAGTTAGGATTTTCTCTGAAGCTCAGCAGGGTCAAAGGCCTGTGGCAGCACAAATTGTAATTGAGGTACAAGAAGGGTCTGAAGCTAAGTTTTAGAAGTCTTTACATTGCACCAAAAGTGTGAACAACATGATCAAAATGATACTATAGTGGCAGTTTTCAGAAGGGTTAGGAAGGCAAAAAACACTGACAGCAGGGAAATAAGTTGGTAATATATTAACTTAGAATGAGATGGCACACAGGGAAGAACAACAGGATTGTAAAAGGAGACTGAAAACAAAAAAACGTGGTCAATAATGCAATATGGGACGTGAGAATGAGATTGGAATGTATAGGAAGGTGATTTTGAGGTTTCAGGTCTTGTGTTTGTAACCACTTAACAAAATTAGAGGAGTTGGTTTGATCAAGATGATGAAATTCTCAACTTTAGACTTGCTGAACACGTACATCTTAGTATGTTGAGCATTTTCTCCATGAAACTAACTGGATTCTGCCACTAAAGCATTTAGTGCATAACATTTTTTAAATGCTAATGAAAATTTGTTCTCAACCAATGAAATGACTCTAGAGAATCCTGTATTTCCGAAGTCGACTTCCCTTTTTCAAGGCAGCTTTTGCATACTTCACCAGTTGTGGTTGGGGTTGGACACCTGTGGGGACCACCATTGCCAGTTTTAGGCAAAGCTGTGAAGTAGCAGAGTCGGATTTGGCAAATGTCTTTTCCCTTTCCTGTGCCTCTTTCCCTGCTTTGGGTACTACTACCAGCTTGGTATTCTGCTGCTAACCGGAGGTGGCCACTCAAGGACACTCCTCAAGATTTTCACCACATAGAAGCATGCATGACATGTAGATGGTGGTCTATAAATTTCAGTGGTAGGCATAAAAGAGGTGAGTGAATGAATGAAAAAAATTAATGAATGAATAAAACATCTGACAATTCATATGCTTGAAGATGTTGAGTAATTTGGGCATCCCTCTCTAAATTATTTGTGTTAAAAACATTCATCTGAAGATGTACACTAATAGAAGGAATTATTACTGGCAGATTTCACATGACAATGAAGACTGAATTTAGAGAGCAAGAGCCTCTATTCCAACTTTAAAGCACATGATAAAGACAATCATCTCCACCCAAGAGTTGACTCCTTTTGACAGAGGTCCTCATTTTGTTTGATGCCACCCATTATTTAGCCATTGTTGGGGAAATGAAATTATATTACATAAAAATAAAATTGTGTCTAATGGGTAGCAGCAGCTACCTAAAATATGGCCTAAAATATGGTTCCACTGTCAATAACTCTCTTTACCATATGCAATCTGAGTAGCCACGGTCTGATGTAAATGTCAGTTTTCACCGTGCCTTCCTAGTATGCTGGGAGATTCCACTCACCAGAGTTGCCAAATAGCATAGCCCAGGACCGTCAATATGACAATTTAATTTGGGCTTCTGTTGCTTCTGTTAGTCATTGACGAGAGAGCCTTGACTAAAAATGGAACCAAGTCTCAAGTTCTGTTAGTAGCACTGTACAGAAATAAATTATATAATGTTCATGGTGGCTGATTTTTATTGCTTTGAAGCAAACATGTTAATAATGTTTCTTTTAATCAGTGATGAATAGATGCATAATAAATATTTGGAAACAGTTCTAATGGAGAGCCAGGTATTTCCATTTCTCTGACTCCCTCTAATTTTTGATTTGTGACTGGAATTCTTGAGAGTGACTTAGTTTCCAGTCCTACTTGAATAATGGCTTTTTTTTTTCAGAGTTTGGGTGCTTCTGCTTGTGGCTGTGCATGTGGCTAAGAACAGGAAACACTGTTGAGGGGACGGAAAGAGCATTAATCAAGTGTTCTGAATCACCAAAGAATTTGAATGAAATGTTGCTGTTAGTTATGCCAGATTTTAATGGCATTCCCTGGATGACTATGTAGTTGTTATTACTCATATCCTTGGTTAAAATGATGAGTTTGTGTATATAAAAAAAACTATACATGTAATTTTAGTATCCAAACATGTATGAGTGTGGATTTTGAGTGCAAAAATAAGAATGGTAAAGTATGCATTATGTGAGTCTCATAACTCACAAAGTGCCAATGCATCAGACTCCAAGATGTGACTGCTAAGTTAAAGAACAACATGCTTAGACAATAAGTACAACATTATGTTTATTCATTAATTTGTATTTTAAATATGTTTAATAGAACAGGGTATTTTTGTAAGTATCTTCAAGTACAACAAACCATTAATAAATAAAATCACAATCATAAATATTAAAATACACATTCTCAATAGGTTTTAATACCCTTTACAAATGTACAGTTTTGGCCAGGTGCGGTGGCTCACTCCTGTAATCCCAGTACTTTGGGAGGCCGAGGCGGGCGGATCACGAGGTCAGGAGATTGAGAACAACCTGGCTAACACGGTGAAACCCTGTCTCTACTAAAAATACAAAAAAAAAAAAAAAAAAAAAAAAAAATTAGCCGGGCGTGGTGGCGGGCGCCTGTAGTCCCAGCTACCTGGGGAGGCTGAGGCAGGAGAATGGCATCAACCTGGGAGGCAGAACTTGCAATGAGCTGAGATCGCGTCACTGCACTCCAGCCTGGGCGACAGAGCGAGATTCCGTCTCAAAAAAAAAAAAAAAAGTACAGTTTTATTTAATTGGTGCCTATTTTGATATCTGAAGCCTTATATTTTTGATATCTAACCGTGTGACAAATCTTGGAGAAGGAGTAACTGAAGTTCCTATTACTTGCCAAGAATAGCAAGTTTAATGGATTTCAGAAAATAAATAAATAAAATAATAAAACTTGAAGTTTGATGTCATTCAACTTGTTTTACAAGGAAATTTAGGCCTCAAGTTTGTGTACTCCAGTAGATATATATATATATATATATATAGAGAGAGAGAGAGAGAGAGAGAGAGAGAGAGAGAGACTCCAAAACCATAGATGGATTTATGTATTTAAAAATAATTTTAAAATTTTGTTTATGAGTATTAATTCCTTTAAAATTACAAAGCAACCTAGTTCTTCACGGAATCAAATACTCAATAGAACATA
Source organism: Homo sapiens (assembly GCF_000001405.40). NCBI lineage: Eukaryota > Metazoa > Chordata > Mammalia > Primates > Hominidae > Homo > Homo sapiens. The sequence continues at coordinate 24,602,366 of NC_000012.12, forward strand.
TTTAATATCATTTCACATGGGACTCACCTATTAAAAACTTCAGTGTTTAAGTGTTGTTTATAATCACATCTCTTGGAGGTTCTCAGTGTCAACGCCCCAAGGTTCACATCTCGTTTTGTTTTATTTATTTATTTATTATTTATTTATTTATTTTTTTGAGACGGAGTCTTGCTCTGTAGCCCAGGCTGGAGTGCGGTGGCGCGATCTCGGCTCACTGCAAGCTCCGCCTCCCGGGTTCACGCCATTCTCCTGCCTCAGCCTCCCAAGTAGCTGGGACTGCAGGTGCCCGCCACCGCACTCGGCTAATTTTTTTTTGTATTTTTAGTAGAGACAGGGTTTCACCGTGGTCTTGATCTCCTGACCTCGTGATCCACCCGCCTCGGCCTCCCAAAGTGCTGGGATTACAGGCGTGAGCCACCGCGCCCGGCCTGTTGTTTTATTATAGAAACAGAAATAGAGATCCTTTATTTATGTTGAAATCTCCTAATCAGGACCCCTTGCCACAATAAACAATGAGGTGCGTAAGTAAGAAAGAAAAAGTCTATGTAAAGAGACAAATATAATTATCTACATTGCAAGTTTACTTTTAAAAGAGCCTGAAATATAAAATGGCAAATAATAAAAATAAATATAACAAATAATAAAAATGCTTTTCAGTTTTATGTCTGGTTAAGTGTGAGAAATATATATATATATGAAGTAAAAATAGGTGTGAAGAAATGAAAACATAAGCAACGTTAGAGATCCCCTAATGTAGGGGAGGACCTAGAAAAAAGACGGAAGGGGTGATCAACCTGCATTAACAGACTTTCAGGGAATAATATTCTAATTATATTGTTTTAGGATGTTGCTGAGATTTTAAAATCACATTGCAAATTTATAACCTTGAACATAAACAGGTAGCTACATCTAAGTATTTTTCCACCCAGATTAACTAGTTCTGAGAGAACTGGAGGCTAGGACTTGCTCACAGAACTGAAGTTCCTTATTCCTCTTACTAGAAAAACAAACAAACAAACAAACAAAAAAAGATGGTCCAATCTTTGGCCTGGAAGTTGGAATTAAGCTCATGCAAACCTGAAAATGTTGCTTTCTCTCATCATTAGGTAGCCTAAGGCAAAGGGAGAGAAAGTTCACCTTATATGTGCCTTTTCCTTAAGTACTATCTCCCCTGCAGCAGGATGACTTTGCGTTGAATATCTAGGTGCATCATTGTGTTGTTAATTTCTCCGTTTTCTCCTCTGTGGCCACTGTACTTTGGTATAGGGCTGTCAGAAAGAAAAACACACGGCATGGGCTTAGCATCTGGCTGAAGCCTAAATAAGCAGCACTGCCAGACATCAGAATATATCATTACTGTGATAGTTATGTTTAAATGTGTGGTGGTGCCATTGAAGTTAAGCTCAAAGTTAGCTATGAAAATACTGTGCAGAAAAGGTTGAAATATTGACATTTCTAAAAAAAAAAATCTAGTAGAACTGTACCTCCAGTAGTCTTCAGAATTATTTTAATTAGCTTTACCTACTTCCTAATTTGCTAGCTGCCTATTTCTTATTTTATTATACCAGATATTTTTAAACTAGGCTCTATTTAAAGCATCAAGATAGGCAAAGAGTGGAAAATCATTACCGGAACGCTTGGTTGTGGAAAAAAAAAAAAGATTTGCATCTTCTATTTTTCTTATTTCTTCCTTCAAGGGATAGTGTTAACAACTTTTCAGAAATTCTAATAATGTTCCTGGCCAATTCAGGGTTGATAGGGTATGGTAACTATTTTATGGATCATAGAATAAGGAAATCTCATGTTTTCCCATGGGACTTCATGCCCATTTTAAAAACAAAGTAGAAAAAGTGTCTTTTAAATGGACATGGTATTGAAAGAAACCAATTTCCACCTCTAAAAGTTATAACTGAAAAAATATCACCACCAAACCATGGTCAGACATTTTGGATGTGGCTCCTCTGTCAACTCTTGTTCCGAACGGCAGTCTGGTATTTTTCTACCCTTCTGCTCAACAGTTTCAGTGAAGGCAGATGTTTTCATAATGTACCTAAAGAAACTAATTTATTACACTCCATGCTTTAATTTTTTTTTTTTTTTTTTTTTTTTTTTTTTTTTTTTTGAGATGGAGTCTCGCTCTGTCGCCCAGGCTGGAGTGCAGTGGCGCGATCTCGGCTCACTGCAAGCTCCACCTCCCGGGTTCACGCCATTCTCCTCCCTCAGCCTCCAGAGTAGCTGGGACTACAGGCGGCCGCTACCACGCCCAGCTAATTTTTTGTATTTTTAGTAGAGACGGGGTTTCACCGTGTTAGCCAGGATGGTCTCGATCTCCTGACCTCGTGATCCGGCTGTCTCGGCCTCCCAAAGTGCTGGGATTACAGGCGTGAGCCACCGCGCCCAGCCCCATGCTTTAATTTTTAAAATGTCGGCTGGGCATGGTGGCCCCAACCAGTAATCCCAGCACTTTGGGAGGCTGAGATGGGAGGATCACTTGAGCACAGGAATTTGAGACCAGCTTGGGCAACATAGCGAGACCCTGTGTCCTCAAAAAAGAAAAAAAATAGCTGGATGTGGTGGTGTATGCCTGTAGTCCCAGCTACTTAGGAGGATGAGGTGGGAGGATCACTTGATTCCAGGAGGTTGGGGCCATGGTGAGCCATGTTCATGCCATTGCACTCCAGTCTGGGTGACAGTGAGGTTCGTATCCAGTCTGGATACATTATGAAAACATCTATCCTCACTGAAACTGTTGAGCAAAAGGGTAGAAAATACTAGACTGCCATTCGGAACAGGAATTGGCAAAGCAGCCACATCCAGAATGACTGACCATGGTTTATTGTCTCAAAAAAAAAAGTAAAAAAAAAAAAAGTCTTAGCATTAATTCTTCAACCATTGACATGGTCTAGATTCATAACCACTTGTTATCATATGTAATAGGTTATATTATTCTCCCCAACTATGGTTCTCATGTATTATAAATTCATGCTCCCCCACCCCCAAAGTTCATGTCCTTTGCCTTATAACTTCCCATGCCTCACTAGGCGGAATATACCACCCTGTCACATTGTTAGGTTGCTTAAATGATTTGATTTGACCAATAGAATGTGAATAAGTGTGCTGCACTTCTGAGCAGAAGCTGTAAATGCATTTGGATGGTTCAGTTTGGGCTCTTATGTTCATGTCTCTGTCACGAGAACAGCACCCCAGATAAGGGCAGCTCTTTTAGCCTGGGCGCCTTAGCCTTGGTTGTGAAGATACGTAGAGCAAAACTGAACAGACCTAAACAAAGTTCACTAGAGCCATTATTAACTGACACACCCATGAGCCAAAAATAAATGTCTGATGCTGAAAGCCACTGAGACTTAGGGGATGTATGTTACCCCAGCAAAAATGATTAATCAACCATAACCACTGAAAGAAAAAAAAAGAATTAGTGACTCAAGTTTGTTTGTAGAAAGAATGGAGAAATGTGGCATTGCAAATTGGGGTAGAGATGAGAAGAAAATGAAGCTAGACAAAGCTTTGATATACATTTCAATGGCATATTCTCCTACTCACACTTGGAACATTGGACACTATATTAATTTTCTACTGCTATTTAAAAATTACCCCCAAACTTAGCAGTTTAAAATAATCAATATTTATTACATCACGGTTTCTGTGGACCAGGAATCCAGGTGTGGCTTAGCTGCGTGTCTTTGGCTCAAGGTCTCTCATGAGGTTGCAGTCCAGCTGTCAGCCAGGGCTGTGGTCTCATCAGACTGGGGTTGAAGGGAGAGGATCTATTTTCAAACTCATTCACGTGGTTGTTGCAGGCATTGGTCTTTTGCCACATGAACTTCTCCATAAGACTACCTTACAAGATGGCAGCTGTTCTCCGTCAGGGTTTGTGATCCATGAGAGAGCAACACAAAACACTCAAGATGGAAGCTGCAGTCTTATAATCTAATCTTAAAAGTGATAACCCATTCATTCTGTCATATTCTATTCATTAGAAGTCAGTCAATAAGTCCAATCCACCCTCAAGGGGAGGGGATTACACAGGTACATGAATATCAGGAGGCTGGAATCATTGGGATCATCTTAGAGGCTGCCTCCCAGAGACACAGCACTTGAACTCTCTGAGCTGCAATTTCTCAACTTGTAAAATGATGTTATTGTACCTCCCCTGCTTGCCTAACAGAATTCTTACAGGGTCAAAGGAGAAAGTATATTTACATATATAAGCCATAGCATATATGCACAACTATACGTATATTCTATAAAGCACTATACAAATTTAGATGCTTTTGTTAGTCTGGGTTTTCTGAGAAGTAAAAGCCCAGATGGGATTAAAGGTACAAGGACTGTTTTAAGGGAAATGTCTGTGAGAGGAAATAAGGTGGGAGCTGGCACAGATGAGGGTGGGGTAGGGGGAAGTGTAGTGGCTGGGAGAACCGTGAGACACCATTGATCCTAATGTGAGACAGAGGCGGAAGGAGTGTTGACTGGAAGCTTACTAGACCACCATGCCATCTAAGGAAAGTGGCAAGGCTTTTCGGGGCATCCCCAAACCAAAGCAGCCCATCAAAGGAGTTTCAAATCTCCCAGGAAAGGGTCTGTCTTAGTATTCCTGCCACACTCAGTCATTGGATGAGAGCAGCCCGGGGGAGATGGGGCCTTGGTGCAAACATAGTGATTCATTCTATCTCTTTTGTAGATCCCATTCTCATTTTCTTTGCTTGAGTTCTATCTTGGTGTCATTTCTAATATTTCTAGTTCTTCTTGAACATGGGCCATCCTGAAACCTTTGCCAGGGACTCTGCTGAAAATGTGAATTTCCTGCCAGTGCTTCTGCTCTGCCTGTTGGAACACCCTAAACCCAGGCTGAACCTCTTTGGGTTTGACTGCTGGACTGTACCACCTCCTACTGACTATTGTCACACCCTCCAGGACCAGACTTCCTCCCGCACCTGCATTTGGGTCTATTATTCCAGGGATCAATTTCATCCCAAGGTTGGTTTTCATTCTAGATCGGGGATCTAGGCACCCTCTCAGGCTACTCCAACCAGTAGTTGTTAATAACAGTTGGAGCCAGACTTCTCAGGTTCTAATCCTTGGTCTGCCACTGCTACAGTTTGGATGTGGTTGGTTTGTCCCCAACAAACTCATGTGAAATTTCATGCCTGATGTGGTGGTGCTGGGAGGTGGGCCTAGCAGAAGGTGTTTGAGTTATGGGGGCAAATTCCTCAAGTGGCTTTAGTGCTGTTTTGCAGTAGTGAGCGAGGGAAACGCCTCAGGTCTTTTTCTCTCTGCTCATGTCTGCTTCCCTTTTGGCCTTCTCTGCCATATTGTGGCACAGCACAAAAGGCGTCACCAGAAGCCAGGGCCATGCCCTTGAACTTGTCAGCCTGCAGAACCATGAGCTAAATAAACCTCTTTTCTTTATAAATTATGCAGTCTCAAGGTAGTCTCTTGTAGCAACATGAAATGGACTAATACAGTCACTTTCAAACTCTGTGACCTTTGGTGAGTTATTTAAACTCTCTGTGTCATTGTAAAATGGAGATGACAATAGTACCTATCTCATAAAATATTTTGTTTTGTAAAGTGCTAAGACAGTACTAGGCACATAGAAATCATTCTATAAATGTTAACCATTTTTATTATTCAGCTTCTTGAAGACTTCTCAATGTACAAACTAAAATATGCTGTACCATTTTGAGTCCTGTGGCAACTCTGATTGATGTCAATCTTTCAAGTTGGCATAAGAAAATAAATAATTTCAGAGAGAGAAAGAGAGAACATTTTTCTTAGGTACATTGATGCAACTTCTAAAGGCCTTATTAGTTTAATCCCAGGCTGTTTGTGCTTATTTACTAACTCTGTTTTGGACTCTGAGGCTAGTTGGCTTGATCCTCATCTATTTTCTCAGTCTTGGCTGGATTACTATATTGGCTAGATGTTTCACATGATTTGCTGCCGGGTCCTGCTACCAAGCTTTGCCTCCTAAAGTCAAGTTCCAAATACCAGGTCCTGGAGCTGAGCTCAGCTCAATCCCAGTCAGACAGATTGGAGTAGGCAGGAATTGGGGAACTACAGTGCTCATTTTTAGGTGTTTTTGTTTGTGCCATTTGGTCCCTTCTTCTTTTGCTTTCACAATAACTTTATTTTCTTAATTGCCTTGTTACTGCCTGAAATAGGACCATCAATAAAGAACAGTGGTGTAGGGTTTTGTCTGGAAAAGATGGAGGTGCTTTTGCTGGTCCAATTTGTTACTGCTGTTTTATTTTATATTATACCTGTTCCCAAAGGCACAAATTCAGTATTGTATTTAGGTTTTGTGGGCACTGAATGGAGAGGTTTAATTAAGAACGCTTTTCAGAAACAGCCTTGTAGCATAACATAGAACTTCCATTGCTTCCTTCTCACTCAGAGTTGTGGTTCTCCCCACCCCTCCTTTTATCACTTCATTATCTCAAGCCAAAAGTTGATTTGGTCAATTTCCTGTTTGAGTGTAAGCCAATCTCTTGAAGTTATTTCAGCATTGTGGCACTTAAAACACAAGGTTTCCCTGTTAAATTTCCACCATTTTAACACTTCATCTATTGTTTCTTTTTTTCCTAATGACAAGCACCAATGAATATTTTCAAGTCTACCACTTAATATAACCCCATGTGTTTTTGATACCCTAAACTCCACTAGTCTGTGTTGATAGTGACTAATCCTCAGAACTGTTAAAACATTCTGTGCAAATAGAGGTACATCAGAAGAATTTTTTATGTGAAAATTTTATTTAGGGAGCCGCTTTCTTTCCTGTATTTGCTTATTCAACCTTTCCATTTCAACTTGTTTTGAAATACTGTCAAACGACATAAATCAGAGTTTCCTTTTTCAGTTTTATTAACCTAGCCTGATAAAATGGCACCAAAATTGTTGATTTAACATTCCCAAGAGTAGCTATCTTTGATATAAAAACACCTAAACTTTTGTCAATTTCAGAGCTGTACAGAAAAGTCATTTTGTTCAATCTCCTTGTTATATTTTTGGGGAAACTGAGTGTGAGAGAAGTTATGTGAGTTGGCGAAGATCATGCATTTAGTTAGTGAGACTATGGTATTTTTTAGTTTTTATTTCTAATTATTATAAGTACATAATATTTCTGTATATTTAGGGGCTACACGTAATGTTTTCATATAGGTGTATAACGTATAATGATCAAATCAGGATAATTGGGGTGTCCACTACCTCAAACCTTTATTATTTCTTTGTGTTAGAAACCTTCCAATTCCATTCTTTTAGTTATTTTTAAATACACAATAAATTATGTAAGCTATAGTCACCTATTGTGCTACCAAATACTGGATCTTATTCATTCGATCTAACTATTTTTTTACCCATTCACTGTCTCCACTTTATCCTCCCCCACCCCACTACTCTTCTCAGCCTCTGGCAACTGTCATTCCACTCTCTATCTCCATTTCAATTTTTTTTTAGCTCCCACATATGAGTGAGAGCATATTTGATAACATAGTGTCCTCCAGTTCCATCATGTTGTTGCAAGTGACAGGGTTTTATTTTTTATGGCTAAATAATATTCCATTGTATACATGTATCACATTTTCTTTATCCATTCATCCACTGATGGACGCTTAGGTTGCTTCTATATCTTGGCTATTGTGAATAGCACTATAATAAATACAGGAGTGGAGCGGTCTCTTTGAAATACTGATTTATTTTCTTTTGGATATATGCCCAGAAGTGGGGTGCTGGATCATATGGTAATTCTATTTTGAGTTTTTTGAGGAACCTCTATACTGCTCTCCATAGTGGTTGTACTAATTTACATTCCTACCAACAGTGGCGAGGATTCTCCTTTCTCCTCATCCCTACAGCACTTGTTATTGTCTGTCTTTTGGATATAAGCCATTTTAGCTGGGGTGAAATGATATCTCAGTGTAGTTTTGATTTGCATTTCTCTGATGATTAGTGCTATTGAGTGTTTTTTCATATATCTTTTGTCCATGTGTATATTGTCTCTTGAGAAATATCTAGTCCAGATCTTTAGCTCATTTTAAAATTGGATTATTTGTTTTTTTTTCCCACTGAGCTTTTTGAGCTTCTAGTATATCCTGATTCATTAGCCCCTTGTCAGATGACTGGTTTGCAAATATTTTCTCCAATTCTGTAGGCTGTCTCTTTACTTTCTTTTACTTCCTTCACTGTGCAGTTTTTTAGCTTGATGTGATCCCATTCCTCCATTTCTCCTTGTTTCCTGTGCTTTTGAAGTCTTACTCAAGAAATGTTTGCCCAGAACAACGTCCTGGAGTGTTCCCCTGATGTTTTCTTCTAGTAGTCTTATAGTTCCAGGTCTTTATATTTAAGTTTTTAATCCATTTTGGTTTGATTTTTGTGTATGGTGAGAGTTAGAGGTCTAGTTTCATTCTTCAGCATGTGGACACCCAGTTTTCTCAGCACCATGACAATGGTATTTTTCAGTATTGTGGCATGCTATCTCCCTCAACGTAGAACATGACAGTGTCTACACTAGTCTCTTTAATTCCCTTCCTCACTGATTTTGTTTTTCAATTCAGGAAATTTAATTTTATTTAAGCATAATTTTCAACCAGTAAAATTAACTAAATTTTATAAAATTTGATAATCCTTGACCAATGTGTACAGTTAGGTGACCACCATCCTAATTGAAATATAGAACATTTTCATCACTCCAAAAAGTCCCCTCATGCCCCTTTTGCAGTCAACCCTCTTTCTCTATACCCTGACTCATGGTAGCCACTGTTCTGATTTCTCTGACTATATTTTGCCTTTTCCAGAATTAAAAAAAAAATGGTATCCTGCAGTGTATATTTTTTAACATCTGGCTTTTTTCCACCCATATTATATATATTGGTAGTTTGTTCCTTTTTCTTATTGAGTAATATCCTATTGTATAAATACACTATAATTTGTTTATCTATTTTCCAGCTGATGAAACTGGTTTTCAGTTTCTGACCATTATAAATAAAGGAGCTACAAACATTTATATAAGTAGTTATGTGGTTATATGCTTTCAATTCTCTTCAGTAAAAACTTAGGTGTGTAATTCCTGGGTCATATATTAAGCATATGCTTATCTTTGTAAAAAAAACTGTCTCATTGTTTTTCAAATTGGTTGTAGCATTTTTCTTTCCCCCCAGCTGTGTATAAGAGTTCCGGTTGCTCCATATTCTTGCCAACACTTGGTATGGTCATTCTTTATTAATAATTTAGCCATTTCAACTGGTGTGTAGTAGTATGCCATTGTGTTTTAAATTTCTGCAATGAATAATGACATTGGGCATAATTTCATGTACATTTTTCCATTGGCATGTTTTCCTTGGGGAAATATTTATTCTAATCTTTTGCACATTTAACGAAATTGAGCTGTTTGCCTTCTTATTATTAGGATTTAAGAACTCTGTATTCTAGATTTCGGTTCTTTATTGAATACATGATTTTTAAACATTTTCCCCCAGTCTGTGGTTTGACTTTTCATTTTCTCAACAATGTCTTTCAAAAAGAACAAAAGACTTTAATTTAGATGAAATCTAATTTATAAATTTTTCATTTATGATTTGTGATGTTTATATCCTAAGGAATCTTTGCTTAACTCAAGGTCACAAAAAATTCTCTAATGTTTTCTTCTAGAATTTTTGTAGTTTTAGGTTTTATGTTTGTGTCTATGATCCACTTTGAGTTAACTTTTTAGTGTGGTTTTGAGTCAATTTTGAAACTTTACTCTTCTCATCACATCCCTTCCCTCTGCTGATTCTATCATCTGCTTCATTTACTTCTTGGATCAGTCTCTTTCTCTGATTATGCAACTTCCAGGTGACAGATACTTTATAAATATATCGCTGAAAGGTTGCTGTAGATGGTTTCTGCAAGTGATCAAATTATTCTCCCTTCAAAAAGTTCATTGTAACTGGGAGAGTGACTACAGCAAGATGGTGGAATGGGAATTTCCAATGCTCTTCCTCTCACAGAAACATCAATCTGAACAACCATTCACATATAAAAATACCTTCACAAGAGCTAAGGAATTCAGGACAGTGGTTACAGCAGATGGGTGGAACACAGAAATAAGAAAAGATACATTGAAGAGGTAGAAAGGACAGTTTTACATTACTCATGTAATTCCTCCCCCAACCCAAGCCCATACAGTGTGGACTGACATGCCCTCCATTCGGGGAAGGAGAGTAAAATAATATCCAGCTTTTCTACACACTATCTTAATCTTACCAGGTCTGCCCCAGAGAACCCTAGTGCCAGGCTGAAACCTGTGGCCCCAGGCTCCAGGCCCACCCCAATTCCCAGCCAGTCCCCACAACTCCAGGCTCTAGACAGCCCCCACAGACCCAGGTTCCAGGACATCTCCAACAACCCAGGTGCCAGGCTGGCCTCTGTGGATCCAGGCACCAGGCCCACCTGCCCATTGACCCATGCACCAAGCCACAGTCCAAGGATTCCAGCAGCATGTGCCTATGGGTGGACCCTGCATTTGATTTGCTTGTATTTTGTAGATGGAATCTCTGAATTGAATGATTGGTGAAGGGCTTTCCTTATTGAAGTCTGTCTGCAAAGACTAGAAGAGGTGCCTACTTCTTAAAATGCACAGACACCAATGCAAGCCCACAAGAATCTCAAATAAGCAGAGAAACATGATACTACAAAAATAATGGAATAAAGCACAAATACCCAACTCAAAAGAAATGAAGATCTATAAACTGCCTGACAAGTAATTTAAAGTAATCATTTTAGAGAAGCTCAGTGAGCTGTAAGAGAACACAGACAAATGACTAAAGAGACTAAGGAAAACAACACATGAACAAAATGAAAAATTCAAAGATATTGAAACCATAATCAAGACTCTAACAAAAATTCTGAAGAACACAGTGATCTAGAAGAAATGAATACATTCCTAGAAACATACAACCTACAAAGACCTAATCATGAAGAAATAGAAAATCTGAACAAACCAATAATGAGTATGGAAATTGAATCTGTATCCAAAAACCTCCCAACAAAGAAAAACCCAGGACCTGATAGCTTCACTAATTAATTCTAATAAATATTTAAAGAAGGAATAATGCCAATGCTTCTCAAATTCTTCCAAAAAGTTGAAGAAGAGGAAGCACTTTCAAACTCATTTTATCAGGCCAGCATTACCCTGATACCAAAGCTAGAGGAGAACACTACAAGCTAAAAAATTTACAGGTCCATATTCCTGATGAACATTAGAACAAAAATCCTCAACAAAATACTAGCAAATCAAATGCAATAGCACATTGAAAGGATCATACACCATGATCATATGCAATTTATCCCTGAGATGCAAGGATAGTTCAACAAGTTGAAATCAATAAATGTAATGTACCACATTGCCAGGAGGAGGATAAAAAACATGATAATCTTAACAGATGCAGAAAAAGCATGATTTGACAAAACTCAACATGTTTTCATGATTAAAAAAAACTCTCAACAAATTAGGTATAGAAGAAATATACATTATTCCTTCTATATACTCAGCATTATGAAGGCCATATATGAAAAGCCCACTACTAACAGTATACTCAATGGTAAAAGCTGAAACCTGAAAGCTTTTCCTATAAGACCAGGGGCAAGACAAAGATGCTTACTCTTGCACTTCTATTTAGCATAGCACTGGAAGTCCTAGACTGAGCAATTAGGCAACATAGAGAAATAAAGGCATCCAAATTGGAAAGAAAGAAGTAAAATTGTCTCTGTCTGCAGATGACATGATCTTAAATATAGAAAACTCTAAAGACTCCATCTGAAAACTCTTAGAACTGATAAATGAATTCAGTTAAGTTGCAGGGTACAGAATCAACATACAAAAATTGTCTGTGGTTTTATTCACTAAAAACAAACTATTTGAAAAAGAAATTAAGAAAAATCTATTTACAATAGCATCAAAAATAATAAAATACATAGGAATAAAATTTTTCCAAAGAGGTAAAAGATCTGTATACTGAAAACTATAAAATGCTGATGAAAGAAATTAAAGAAAGACACAAGTAAATGGAAAGATATTTTATGTTCATGGATTGGCAGAATTAATATATAAAATGTTCATACTACTCCAAATCATCTACAGATTGAATGCAATCTTATCAAAATTCCAATGGCATTTTCCACAGAAATAGAAAAACAATTCTGAAATTCATACAGAACCACAAAAGACCCCAAATAGCCTAAGCGATTTTGAGCAAGAAGAACAAAACTGGAGGAGTGACACAGCCTGATCTCAAACGGTACTAAAAAGCTACAGTAACAAAACAGTATAATACTGACATAAAAGCAGATATAAAGGCCAATGCAACAGAATAGAGACTCCAGAAATAAATCCACACACTTATTGTCAATTGATTGTTGACAAATTTACCAAGAATGCACAATGGGGAAATGATAGTCTCTTCAACAAATGCAGTTGAAACACTGGATATTCACATGCAGAAGAATGAAATTAAACCCTTATCTCACACCACATACAAAAAATAACTCCAAATGAATTAAAGACTTAAACATAAGATCTGAAGCTTTAAAACTACTAGAAGAAAACATAGGGGAAAATCTTTATTACATTGGTCTTGGCAATGCTTATTTGGTTATTACCCCAAAAGCACAGCTAACAAAAGCAAAAATAGACAAATGAAATTACATCCAAATAAAAACTTCTGCACAGAAAAGAAAACAATCAATAGAGTGAAGAATAGAATGGGAGAAAATAATTGCAAACCACATATCTGATAAGAGGTAAACATTCAAAACGTATAAGAAACTCAACTCAATAGGAAGAAAACAAGTAACTTTATAAAAAATAGGCAAATGAACTGGATATAGAATTCTCAAAAACAGGCATACGAATGGCTAACAAGTGCAAGACAGTCCCAGCTTGCAATGGTTCAACTTTTGATTTTTCAACTTTATGATGGTACAAAAGCAATACACATTCAGTAGAGACTGTACTTAGAATTTTGAATTTTGATGTGAAATTCTTTATAATAACTTTATTATAAAATAAGCTTTGTGTTAAATAATTTTGCCCAACTGAAGGCTAACGTCAGTGTTCTGATCACATTTAAGGTAGACGAAGCTAAGCTATGATGTCTGGCAGATTACATGTATTAAAAGCATTTTCAAGTCACAATATTTTCAACTTACGACGAATTTATCGGAAGAGAATTCCATTATAAGTCGAGGAGGCCCTGTATATGATAAAAATTCTTCACATCACTAATCGTCAGGAAACTGCAAATCAAAACCATAATGAGATTTTATGTCATCTGTTAAAATGGCTATTCTCAAAAAGACAAAAGACAACAAGTATGGACTAGGATGTAGAGAAAAGGGAACCCTTGTACACTCTTGGTAAGATTTTATATTGATACAATTATTATGGAAAACAATACAGAGGTTCCTTAAAAATTAAAAATAAAACTAACATAGAATTCAGCAACCTTAGGTGCTACTTGTGAAAGCTGAAGCTTTGAGAATTCCGTGCAGCCTTATCCCCTTGATCTTGTTCAGAATCTTTTGTCCCTCAGTGGAAGACTAAACTGAAAAAAGTGGGAATGCCCTTTATACAGGCATGGAAGTTTTGCAATATAGGCCAGGCATACCTTTCTTATCATAAGTAAAAAGAGAGAGAATGTCCTCCCTGAGTCAGTGAGAAGGAATCTACATCCTAGCACACAGCGTGGTGCCCTTACAAGATATTCAGTTTTATAATCTGCGTTCTGACATAAGGAGGAGTTCATGAATCCATAGTGGGTGTCCCATCTTTTGGGGAAAGTGGTACTAACTGTACTCCTGTCCCAACTTTGGTTGCTACAGCTCAGGCAGTTTCTCTTGGTGAGGTGAGAGCCATGATCACAGCCACAGTGAGCTGCAGTAAGAGAAGAAGCAATCACTTAGAAGATGGCAGGGAGCAGCTCGCTCACCTAGAGGGACTTCTCAACAGCTTACCCATGGAGAGGATTATGCCTAGTGTCAACAAAACAAACTGAGCAAACACTGGATTTGAGAAATGTGAAATGGGTGGTTTACTTAGTGCAAGATTGTTTTCTGAAGCAAACTGAGAACAGGTCTGTATTTCTTTTTAAGCCCACCATACCTCTCAGAACTGGGAGAACTGTGATGAAGTACTTGTTTCATGTACTTTGCAACAATTTTCTATCACTGGATTCTCAAACCTTAATGAATCTGCTTGGACCGACAAATAAAAATGTAAAGCAGGTAAGAAGATTTTGTTGAAACAAAATAAGAAAACCAGATTTAATCTGCAGAACCATAAATTTACATATAGCTTTCTAGGACACTATCATATCGAATGAAAATACGTGGAGCAACCTCAACAGATCTTATATTTTTTTAAGAAAGACACTCGAATGCAGGAATCATGTTCTCAGCTTCTCCTCTGACCATCACTCCCAAGCACTTTGAAAGTTCAATAAATATTACTAATCTCCCTTGAGGTATACTGATCATAAGCATAGATTGTTACCGAATCCAGAGAAAATGGAGATTGACTATTCCTAAACTTCAGTATTCATACATTGCTATTTTTCTGTCTCTCCATTGGAATTATTTACATTCAGGTAATTCTATCTGAAAATAATGGATGCTCCTAAAACATGATACTAATACAAATTCCCTTCCAAGGAAACTGAACTCCAGCCTGTGCAGCTGAGTGAAGAAGAAATTCTTGCCATTTGAATGATTAGGAACTAATATTCTTCACCTAACTGGACCTTAGCCAATATAATTATTTAGGGCAAGATTGTATCCCTTCTTTCACATTGGTTTTATTGTGAGCCAAGGGGAAAAAAACATTATTCTAAACTCTTCAGCACTTTCCCTTTTAAAATAGTGAGACCATGTCAGAGTGAAAATAGCATGAATTAATAAAAGTTATACAGACAATAACACCAGATTTGTATAGACATATATAAAAATAATCACCACCCCAAAAAACAGTATCAATCAGAGAGGTTAACATTAATATATTTGAATGTTGAGATTTAGCAAACCATGGATCTATGGAATTAAAGCCATATAGCATCTCCAGAAGTTGTTTCATTTTATTGTTCCAAGTTAGGCTGCAAAAAGACAGAGGGATTAATTAAGTCCTATATTGGACAAGACTAGAACATGAATTAAAAGGCTCCTAACTGTAAATCCACGAGGAGCACTTACCAGCTGAAGGTCACGCTGCTGGTCACACAGCTTCGTTACTCACTTTAAACTGTAACCTAACTAGACGGTGGTGAGTCAGGTTTGTTTCCTTTCCCTTCTCCTCTGGCATCCCTGGGGGGCTTCTCAATTCAAAGAAACTCCAGGAGAAACAGGCCACTTACTGTGAATAATCTGAAACAATCTATAAGTTCAAAAGCAGTTGAAATTCCTAGAAGAGATTGAATGTTATAAGAAGAAACGGGTTAGTATTTTAAAGACAAAACTGCCCTTGTTTAATATCAAGAGAGTATTAGCGGGACACAGGTTTTACTGTAACTTTCATTATTTATTTAACTGTCTATATTCACTCTACACTTCAGGAAATGGAACCCATGCATTCACAGTCCAAGTAAATTTTAAAACAGTCTTTTTTCTTTCTTTTATGTCTTTCTTTTTTCTTTTTTTCGAAGGTAACAATAGCAGCGTCTGTACGTGGTAGTTTTCTACTTATGCCACAAATAGGCCAAATACACAGTATGCTTTCTTAGAACACCTAGACAAATTCAGTCTATTTCTCCAGGAGGGCAAGATGATGTGTATTAAGACACATTTCTTTAATGCCAATGCAGGAAATTTGTAAGGTATCAGAAATAAGAAGAGTGTTATACATGATGGCTGTAGGGAAAGAAAAAGGAATTGTTTTTTGCACCAGACTATTATAACTTAAATATTTTGTTTCAAATATATCATCTCTTAAAAAATTGTGATAACACCCTGCTGAGCCTCAAATCTACTTCCAGTTGTAGAGACAGACAATTGCATGTTTGGAACTTCTTTCAAAAAACTTTGGCTTCCAGGAACACCATGAAAATTTTACCCCCACAGGAATTAACATCTTTGAAAACATATCATCATTGAAAGAGAGAAAGGAGAGAAAATGTCACATTCTATATTTATTTTAAAATTTGTATAATGAAAATACTGTTTCTCAAGACAACACATGGAACTCAAAAAAAGTTACATGCAAGTAGAAGCCAAATCAGAGAAATATGTCAAATTTAATTCATCTCAATTCTAATATATATTGAGCTCTTTACTTTGTAAAAAGCAATGTTAGTGGAAAGGCAAGTAAAATACAATAGCTTCTCTCAAAGAGTTTATAATCTCATTGAAGTATATAAATGCTAATAATAAATCAAAATGCTAATTTTACAGAAATGTAAAAAAGTATTTAAGAATGTAAAGGAGAGATTTTTCCATCTAATTGGGTGTATCAGAAAAAGCTCTAAAGACTGAGCAGTAATTTACAGGATACATGGGATTTCAACATGCAAAAATAACAAACGGGGCCTGGATCAGGGGAGAATGAGCAAGTGACCAATGGGAAAAATTCTGTTTAGAAACAGGGCGGAGTCAGTCTAGTTTGGTTGCCAGAGGATAGAGAGATTAAGCGTGGAGAAATAACTGTAAAGGTATTTGGGACCAAATCTGGCTTTGAACATCTTTTCACAGAGTTTGGCCTACCTCAGTGGGTCATCTAGAGCCTGTGTTTGAGGCAATCTCATGGAAAGCCATTATCTCCTGTGCATAGAATATTCCAGACTGGGTATGGAGGCATCCAGTTTGGGGGCTGTTAGAAGAGCCTTGGAGTAAGATAAAAAATGGCATGAAATAGGGTGATGATGATAAAATAGGTGGGTCTAAATGATCTTGTGTAGGTAACATTGGTAAAAGTTTGCAGCTAGTAGACATGGGAGGCAAGAATAAAGGAGAGGTTTAGCAAGCAGTTGTGAAAGTGAGTCTGGAGCCTGGGGAGAAGGGTAAAGCGAATCAGGTAAAACTTTCTCCATATAAAACATATGTTTTCTTTAGGAATCTTGTTTTCCATCTGAATATTCCATCAGAGGTTATTATATAGCAGCATGAAGCAACCTGAATGCTGCACAACATGGGTTTTTTAATGAATCTTCTCGTGATTGGTAGTCTATTGATAGTATAGATTGACTTCATACATGAAGCTTTTATCAAAATTATGGATTTGGCTTTGTAACTTTACCACAAGGTCATGGAAAGAAATTGTAATTTTTCCTTTTTACCTTCATGTCATTGTGAGCGTGATTATTTTAGGATATATGACAAAAATAGCTTATTTTAACAACTATTAACTTGAAACACTCCCAGATGCGCTCTGTCTTAAGATACAGTGTGAGATCTAAAATGCAAATCTCATGTTTTTTTTTCTTTTCTTTTCTTTTTTATTATACTTTAAGTTCTAGGGTACACGTGCACAACGTCCAGGTTTGTTACATAGGTATGCATGTGTCATGTTGGTTTGCAGCACCCATCAACTCGTCATTTACATTAGCTATTGCTCCTAATGCTATCCATCCCCCAGCCTCCCACTCCCCGACAGGCATGGGTGTGTGATGTTCCCCACCCTGTGTCCATGTGTTCTCATTGTTCGGTTCCCACCTATGAGTGAGAACATGCCGTGTTTGGTTTTCTGTCCTTGTGATAGTTCGCTGAGAATGATGGTTTCCAGCTTCATCCATGTCCCTGCAAAGGACATGAACTCATCCTTTTTTATGGCTGCATAGTATTCCAGGGTGTATATGTGCCACATTTTCTTAATCCAGTCTAACATTGATGGGCATTTGGGTTGGTTCCAAGTCTTTGCTATTGTGAATAGTGCTGCAGTAAACATACGTGTGCATGTGTCTTTATAGTAGAATGATTTATAATCCTTTGGGTATATACCCAGTAATGAGATCGCTGCATCAAATGGTATTTCTAGTTTAGATCCTTGCGGAATCACCACACTGTCTTCCACAATGGTTAAACTAATTTATGCTCCCACCAACAGGGTGAAAGCATTCCTATTTCTCCACATCCTCTCCAGCATCTGTTGTTTCCTGACTTTTTAATGATCGCCATTCTAACTGGCAT
Organism: Homo sapiens; assembly: GCF_000001405.40. Classification (NCBI taxonomy): domain Eukaryota; kingdom Metazoa; phylum Chordata; class Mammalia; order Primates; family Hominidae; genus Homo; species Homo sapiens. Next base: position 24,620,528 of record NC_000012.12, read on the forward strand.
GAGATGGTATCTCATTGTGGTTTTGATTTGCATTTCTCTGATGACCAGTGATGATGAGCATTTTTGCATGTGTCTGTTGGCTGAATAAATGTCTTCTTTTGCGAAGTGTCTGTTCATATCCTTTGCCCACTTTTTGATGGGGTTGTTTTTTTTCTTGTAAATTTATTTAAGTTCTTTGTAGATTCTGGATATTAGTCCTTTGTCAGATGGGTATACTGCAAAAATTTTCTCCCATTCTGTAGGTTACCTGTTCACGCTGATGATAGTTTCTTTTGCTGTGCAGAAGCTCTTTGGTTTAATTAGATCCCATTTGTCAATTTTGGCTTTTGTTGCCATTACTTTTGGTGTTTTAGACATGAATTCTTTGCCCAGGCCTATGTCCTCAATGGTATTGCCTAGGTTTTTTTCTAGGGTTTTTATGGTTTTAAGTCTTATATTTAAGTCTTTAATCCATCTTGAGTTAATTTTTGTATAAGGGGTAAGGAAGGGATCCAGTTTCAGCTTTCTATATATGGCTAGTCAGTTTTCCCAGCACCACTTATTTATTGAATAGGGAATCCTTTCCCCATTTCTTGTTTTTGTCAGGTTTGTCAAAGATCAGATGGTTGTAGATGTGTGGCGTTATTTCTGAGGGCTCTGTTCTGTTCCATTGGTCTATATGTCTGTTTTGGTACCAGTACCATGCTGTTTTGGTTACTGTAGCCTTGTAGTATAGTTTGAAGTCAGGTAGCATGATGCCTCCAGCTTTGTTCTTTTTGCTTAGGATTGTCTTGGCTATACAGGCTCTTTTTTGGTTCCATATGACCTTTTAAGTAGTTTTTTCCAATTCTGTAAAGAAAGTCATTGGTAGCTTGATGGGGATGGCATTGAATCTACAAATTACCTTGGGCAATATGGCCATTTTCACGATATTGATTCTTTCTATCCGTGAGCATGGAATGTTCCTCCATTTGTTTGTGTCCTCTTTTATTTCGTTGAGCAGTGGTTTGTAGTTCTCCTTGAAGAGGTCATTCACATCCCTTGTAAGTGGGATTCCTAGGTATTTTATTCTCTTTGTAGCAATTGTGAATGGGAGTTCACTCATGATTTGGCTCTCTATTTGTCTGTTATTGGTGTATAGGAATGCTTGTGATTTTTGCACATTTATTTTCTGTCCTGAGACTTTGCTGAAGTTGCTTATCAGCTTTAGGAGATTTTGGGCTGAGACGATGGGGTTTTCTAAATACACAATCATGTCATCTGCAAAGAGGGACAATTTGACTTCCTCTTTTCCTAATTGAATACCCTTTATTTCTCTCTCTTGTCTGGTTGCCCTAGCCAGAACTTTCAACACTATGTTGAATAGGAGTGGTGAGAGAGGGCGTCCTTGTCTTGTGCCAGTTTTCAAAGGGAATGCTTCCAGTTTTTGTCCATTCAGTATGATATTGGCTGTGGGTTTGTCATAAATAGCTCTTATTATTTTGAGATATGTTCCATCAATACCTAATTTATTGAGAGTTTTTAGCATGAAGCGCTGTTGAATTTTGTCAAAGGCCTTTTCTGCATGTATTGAGATAATCATGTGGTTTTTGTCATTGGTTCTGTTTTTGTGATGGGTCACGTTTATTGATCTGCGTATATTGAACCAGCCTAGCCTCCCAGGGATGAAGCCGACTTGATCATGGTGGATAAGTTTTTGATGTGCTGCTAGATTTGGTTTGTCAGTATTTTATTGAGGATTTTCGCATCGATGTTCATCAGGGATATTGGTCTAAAATTCTCTTTTTTGTTGTGTCTCTGCCAGGCTTTGGTGTCAGGATGATGCTGGCCTCATAAAATGAGTTAGGGAGGATTCCCTCTTTTCTATTGATTGGAATAATTTCAGAAGGAATGGTACCAGCTCCTCTTTGTACCTCTAGTAGAATTTGGCTGTGAATTTGTCCAGTCCCGGACTTTTTTTGGTTGGTAGGCTATTAATTATTGCCTCAATTTCAGAACCTGTTATTGGTCTATTCAGAGATTCAACTTCTTCCTGGTTTAGTCTTGGGAGGGTGTATGTGTCTGGGAATTTATCCATTTCTTCTAGATTTTCTAGTTTATTTGCTGAGAGGTGTTTATAGCAACCTCTGAAGGTAGTTTGTATTTCTGTGGGATCAGTGGTGATATCCCCTTTATCATTTTTTATCGTATCTATTCGATTCTTCTCTCTTTTCTTATTAGTCTTGCTAGCAGTCTATTTTGTTGATCTTTTCAAAAAACCAGCTCCTAGATTCATTGATTTTTTGAAGGGATTTTTATGTCTCTATCTCCTTCAGTTCTGCTCTGATCTCAGTTGTTTCTTGCCTTTTGCTAGCTTTTAAATGTGTTTGCTCTTGCTTCTCTAGTTCTTTAAATTGTGATGTTAGGGTGTCGATTTTAGATCTTTCCTGCTTTCTCTTGTGGGCATTTAGTGCTATAAATTTCCCTCTACACACTGCTTTGAATATGTCCCAGAGATTCTGGTATGTTGTGTCTTTTTTCTCATTGGTTTCAAAGAACATCTTTATTTCTGCCTTCATTTTGTTATTTACCCATAGTCATTCAGGGGCAGGTTGTTCAGTTTCCATGTAGTTGTGCAGTTTTGAGTGAGTTTCTTAATCCTGAGTTCTAATTTGATTACACTGTGATCTGAGAGACAATTTATTGTGATTTCTGTTCTTTTACATTTGCTGAGGAGTGTTTTACTTCCACTTATGTGGTCAATTTTAGAATAAGTGTGATGTCGTGCTGAAAAGAATGTATATTCTGTTGATTTGTGGTGGAGAGTTCTGTAGAGGTCTATTAGGTCTGCTTGGTGCAGAGCTGAGTTCAGGTCCTGGATATCCTTGTTAACCTTCTGTCTCATTGATCTGTCTTATATTGGCAGTGTGGTGTTAAAGTCTCCCATTATTATTATGTGGGAGTCTAAGTCTCTTTGTAGGTCTCTAAGGACTTGCTTTATGAATCTGGGTGCTCCTGTACACGTGAGATGGGTCTCCTGAATACAGCACACTGATGGGTCTTGACTCTTTATCCAATTTCCCATTCTGTGTCTTTTAACTGGAGCATTTAGCCCATTTACATTTAAGGTTAATATTGTTACATGTGAATTTGATCCTGGCATTATGATGTTAGCTGGTTATTTTGCCCATTAATTGATGCAGTTTCTTCATGGCCTTTACTTCAATGGTCTTTACAATTTGGGATGTTTTTGCAGTGGCTGGTACTGGATGTTCCTTTCCTTGTTTAGTGCTTCCTTCAGGAGCTCTTGTAAGGCAGACCTGGTGGTAACAAAATCTCTCAGCATTTGCTTGTCTGTAAAGGATTTTATTTCTCCTTCGCTTACAAAGCTTAGTTTGGCTGGATATGAAATTCCGGGTTGAAAATTCTTTTCTTTAAGAATGTTGAATATTGGCTCCCACTCTCTTCTGGCTTGTAGGGTTTCTGCTGAGAGAACTGCTGTTAGTCTGATGGGCTTCCCTTTGTGGGTAACCCGACCTTTCTCTCTGGCTGCCCTTAACATTTTTTCCTTCATTTCAACCTTGGTGAATCTGATGGTTATGTGTCTTGGGGTTGCTATCTTGAGGAGTATCTTTGTGGTGTTCTCTGTATTTCCTGAATTTGAATGTTGTCCTGCCTTGCTAGGTTGGGGAAGTTCTCCTGGATAATATGCTGAATAGTATTTTCCAACTTGGCTCCATTCTCCCCGTCACTTTCAGGTACACCAATCAAACATAGATTTGGTCTTTTCACATAGTCCCATATTTCTTGGAGGCTTAGTTGGTTTCTTTTTATTCTTTTTTCTCTAATCTCACCTTCTTGCTTTATTTCATTAATTTGATCTTCAATCACTGATATCCTTTCTTCCACTTGATCAAATTGGCTACTGAAGCTTGTGCATGTGTCACAAAGTTATCATGCTGTGGTTTTCAGTTCCATCAGGTCAATTAAGGTCTTCTCTACACTGGTTATTCTAGTTAGCCATTCGTGTAACCTTTTTTCAAGGTTTTTATCTCCCTTGCGACGGGTTAGAACATGCTCCTTTAGCTGGGAGAAGTTTGTTATTACCAACCTTCTGAAGCCTACTTCTGTCAACTCGTCAAAGTCATTCTCCACCCAGTTTTGTTCCGTTGCTGGCGAGGAGCTGTGATCCTTTGGAGGAGAAGTGGCACTCTGGCTTTTGGAATTTTCAGCTTTTCTGTTCTGGTTTCTCCCTATCTTTGTGATTTTATCTACCTTTGGTCTTTGATGTTGGTGACCTAGAGATGGGGTTTTGGTGTGGATGTTCTTTTTGTTGATGTTGATGCTATTCCTTTCTGTTCGTTCATTTTCCTTCTAACAGTCAGGTCCCTCAGCTGCAGGTCTGTTGGAGTTTGCTGGAGATCCACTCCAGACCCTGTTTGCCTGGATACCACCAGTGGAGGCTGCAGAACAGCAAATATTGCTGCCTGATCCTTCCTCTGGAAGTCTCTTTTCAGAAAGGCACCAGCCTATATGAGGTGTCTATCAGCCCCTGCTAGGAGGTATCTCCCAGTCAGGCTGCACGAGGGTCAGGGACTCACTTGAAGAGGCAGTCTGTCTGTTCTCAGAGCTCAAATGCTGTGCTTGGAGAACCACTGCTGTCTTCAGAGCTGTCAGACAGAGACATTTAAGTTTGCAGAAGTTTCTGCTGCCTTTTGTTCAGCTATGCCCTGCCCACAGAGGTGGAGTCTACAGGTGTTAGGCCTTGCGGTATTGTGGTGGGCTCCACTCAGTTCAAGCTTCCTGGCCACTTTGTTTACCTACTCAAGCCTCAACAATGGTGGACACCCCTCCCCCCGCCAGGCTGCAGCCTAGCAGGTTGATGTCAGACTGCTGCACTAGCAGTGAGCTAGGCTCTGTTGGCCTGGGATCCACAGAGCCAGGCATGGGAGGGAATGCCCTGGTCTGCTGGTTGCTAAGACCATGAGAAAAATGCAGTATTTGGGTGGAAGTGTACCATTTCTCCAGGTACAGTCTGTCACGGCTTCCCTTGGCTAGGAAAGGGAAATACCACTACCCCTTGCACTTCCTGGGTGAGGCGACATCCCCCACCTGCTTTGGCTTGCCCTTCATGGGCTGCACCCACTGTCCAACCAGTCCCAGTGAGATTAACCAGGTGCCACAGTTGGAAATGCAGAAATCACCTGTCTTCTGCATTGATCTCACTGGGAGCTGCAGACCAGAGCTGTTCCTATTTGGCCATCTTGGAAGTGACTCCAATTGCATGGTTTTAATACCAGCTTTTCTTTTGCTGACTGGCATAGGGAAGACCCTGGCTGGCTATCTCTCTTACATGCTTAATGATAACTTTTCAAAAATTGGGTTTCTAGATATTATTCTTCTGACTTTGTGGTTTACTAGGGTGAGGGAGTATAGTTTGACAAAGGTTATTCTTCAACACAGTGCAGTTCTCAAGCATTTTAATAATTAAAAATTAATTTCAATGAACAAACACCTCTTTTAAAATGCAAGTACACCTTTGGAGAATTAGTTTTATCAGGCATTTATATCTTCATATGAATTAACCTAATGACCTAATGTGTCAGGCCTAGCTGATATAGTGGAAGTAGAAATTTTAGTGGGTGAGGAGCTAAAGCAGAACTAATTGATTTTAGCATATAAGACAAGAGACAGGTCTAGGTAGGAAACAGGAAAGCAGAGAAATAGAGGGATCCGAGAAGCTAAGGAGGGAAGGAAACAAGAGGAAAGAGAAAAGAACACAAGGAAAAGTGTGAAGTCTCCTAAAATGCATTTTACTCTCATCTGTTTTTCTCTCTGTGTAAATGGATTGTAGTTGAACTGGTTACTTGCCATAGTACATAGCATGAATATCCCATTTTTAGGTAGAGAATTTAACCAGGAATGTTAAGATGGGCTTATCGTCAAAAAGAGGGTTATAACAAGTATTATCTAAGAAACACAATGTTGGCAGTTAGTCTCCAACATTTTGGAGAGAAATTAAAAAAAAATCTGTGCAGCAGGCTAATTTATTTAGTGATGTATGTAGGCTTGCAGGATACAATTATTGTCTGACGGCACAGCAGGGGCCCATGTTACTGAGGCAACATCCATGGGGACTCCTGAGGTTAACCTATGGCAAGAGGGATGCCTAGGACACCTCATCAAACATTTTAAACATTTTTCAGGCTTTGATAATCCTTGTTGTGTGTTCCAGAACAGAGTGCTAAGGTCTCTGGCAAACATTGTTCAACTGTTTCACGGGGAAAAACCTTTCAGTAGCTACATGTGCAAATGGGTTTTCTCTTATTTAGACAAGAGTAAATTCTGTTAGACTTCCTAATTTTCATAATGGAATATTTATTTTCCTACCTGTTTATTTAGTGTCCAGAGGATCTGCCTGCAAATCAGCAATAAAGTTACTATCATTCCAGGCTTTCATTAGTGAGAATAACTTACTTGTCTCATACTCTGTGCCTATTAAAAGCCTTGGTGGGAGAAATGGCTTGTAGGGACATTCACTTGAAGGACAATCTATGAAGTCATTCCTATAAAAATTCCCAAAATCTCTGAGTTTATTATTACCAACAGATGACCACGTATTTGGAACATGTCACCTCTGCCTTCAACAGAATGACCTACTTTGGATTGGATTTTACTGTAAGGATTTTAGCTTTCAACAAAGTCACCTAAAGCATGGGGCTCCTCTAGGGGCTGTGTAATTGTGTGCATGAGAACATCATTCATTCTTCTGCCCTTAAGAACCTGTTACTGATGTTTATGTTCTTGCTTCTATTGATCACGTCTGGCAGAAATACGTATTTTCACATTTGCACCATTTAGTAGAGAAAGGAAGTTCCCTTTGCTAAGAATTCTTTTTGTTCCAGTTTTGGATTATTTGAGAACTGAATAGTACTCTAGAAACCATCTGGTAAGCTTGTTTCTAGTCTGAGTTCCTGGAAACCATTTGGTAAGCTTGTTTCCAGTCTGAGTTGCATAGCCAATAATTATGTGACCTTCAGCAAATTATTTAATGCTCTACCTCAACTCATTCTTTAAAAAATTTTATTGTAAGAATTTTTCAAGGCCAAGGCAGGCAGAGCACAAGGTCAGGAGTTTGAGACCAGCCTGGCCAACATGGTGAAACCTGTCTCTACTAAAAACACAAAAATTAGCCAGGCATGGTGGCACACACCTGTAATCCCAGCTACTGGTGAGGCTGAGGCAGGAGAATCGCTTGAACCCAGGAGGTGGAGGTTGCAGTGAGCCAAGATCGCACCACTGCACTCCAGCCTGGATGACAGAGCAAGACTCCACCTCAAAAAAAAAAAAAAAAAATTCACATTACTTATTGAAAAAATTACAAAACAGAAAATTGTGAAGAAAAAAATCCAAGTGACGGATGATTGATGCAACTGTCCATTTTACTATGTGTTATGAATATCAATAAGTTATTCCATTTTTTAACAAATTGCTAATTTGCTAGAGAAAATTTTTATCTCAAGTTGGCTTTTTTTTAAAGGCTATTTTTTAGAGCGCTTTTAAGGTCACAGCAAAATTGGTCAACAAGTACAGAGATTTCCCTTTGCCTCCACACATGCACAACTCCCCCATTATCAACATACCCCACCATTGACACATCATTATCACAGAGTCCATAGTTTACATTGGGATTCATTGTTGGTGTTGTACATTCTATGGGTTTTCATAAATGTATACTGACATGTATCCACCATTATAGTATCATACAGAATAATTTCCCTGCCCTAAAAATCATCTGTGCTCTCTCTATTCATCCTTCCCTCCTCCTAACACATACTGATCTTTTTAATATCTCCATAGTTTGCCTTTTCCAAGATGTTGTATAGTTGGAACCATACAGTATGTGGCCTTTTCAGATTGGCTTCTTCTGCTTAGTAATACGCATTTAGGGCTCCTCCCTGCTTTTCATGGCTTTATAGCTCATTTCTTTTTAGCACTGAATAAGATTTCATTGTCTGGATGTACCACAGTTTATTTATTCATTCAACAACTAAAGGACAATTTGGTTGCTTCCAAGTTTTGGCAATTATGAATTTGGATGCTATAAACATCCCTGTGCAGGTTTTTGCATGGACATACGTTTTTAACTCATGTGGGTAAGTATCAAGGGGTGCAATTGGTAAGAGTATGTTTAGTTTAGTACGAAACTGCCAAACTGTCTTCCAAAGTGGCTGTACCATTTTGCACTCTCACCCACAGTGAATGAGAGTTCCTGTTTCTCCACATCCCTGCCAGCAGTTGGTGGTGTCAGTGTTTTGAATTTTGGCTATTCTAATAGGTGTGTAGTGGTATTTCATTTTTGTTTTAATTTGCAAGTCCCTAATGACATATTATGTTAAACATCTTTTTATAGGTTTATTTACCGTCTATATATCTTCTTTGGTGAGCTGTCCAGGTCTTCCGCCTATCTTTAAATGGAGTTGTTAGTTTTCTTACAGTTGGATTTTAAGGATTCTTGTATATTTTAGTTAAGAATCATTTATCAGATATATCGTTTGCAAATATTTGTGGTTTGTCTTCTCATCCTCTCGACATATCTTTTGTAGAGTAGAAGTTTTTAACTTTAATACAATTGTACTTACCAATTGTTTCTTTCATGAATTGTGCCTTTGGTGTTGTATTTAAAAAGTCATTGCCACGCCCAATACAAATGGTCATCCAGATTTTTTCTAATGTCATCTTCTAGGAGTTTTATACATATATACATTTTACATTTAGGTATATGATCTATTTTGAGTGAAGTTTTTATAAAGGCTATAAGTCCTGTGTTTAGATTATTATTTTTTTTCTTTTTCAGCATTTGCTGAAAATACTATCTTGGCTCCACTGTATTGCGTTTCCTCCTTTGTGGAAGATCGGTTGACTATGTTCATGTAGGACTATTTCTGAGTTTTCTATTCTGTTCAATTGATTTATTTGTTTATTCTTTGGACAATACAACACTGTCTGGATTAGTGTACCTATTTAGTAGCTTTGATGTCAGGTAGTGTTAGTTCTCTGTTCTTCTCTTTCAATATTGTGTTGACTATTATGGGTATTTTGCCTTTCTATATAAACTTTAGAATCAGTTTGTTGATATCCACAAAATAATTTGCAGGAATTTTGATTGAGACTATGTTGAATCTACAGATAAATTTGGGAAAAACTGACATCTTGAAAATGTTGAGTTTTCCAATCCATGACCATAGAATATCTCTCTATTTGTTTAGCTCTTCTTAAACCTTTCATCAGAGTTTTCTAGTTTTCCTTATGTAGATCTTGCAAATATTTTGTTAGATTTACACCTAAGTGTTTCGTTTTTATGGGTGCCAATGTAAATTATAATATGCCTTTAACTTCAAAGTTTACTTGCTTATTGCTAGTATATAGGAAAGCAGTTGACTTTTGTATATTAGCTTTGTATCCTGCAACCTTAATATAATTGCTTATTAGTTCCTGGATTTTTTGTTGATATTTTCAGATTTTCCACATAGACAATCATGTCATCTTCAAATACTTTTTAATGTTTTCCTTCCCAATATGAATGCCTTTTATCTTTTTTCTTATTTTCTTATTCTTTTCTTTTTTTTTTCATTACCTCAAGCCATTTTTACCAGACAGTTTGTAGTATCTAATGAAATGATATGGGAAATGGCTTTTAAAACAACGAAGTGTGGAGTCTTTATGTTAGGATGGGAAATTGCCAATAGTTACTGCATCTCCCTCTTCTAATTTTATATAAAAGTATTCAGGCAGGCACACAGAACCACACAAGATCATGACAACTCTGAATACCAAGACTATTGACTTTTTAATGACTAATGTAGTAGAACAAAATTAATATTTGTTGAACTAAGTAATGATTAATAACTAGTAAGATCTTGTGTAAAATTACCGTTAACCACATTGATCTCTGAAACAGCTGAGCTAAGCCAGAAGATGAAAAGAGATTTCACTCGGTCCCCTACACACCCAACCCTACCATGAAATAGAGCTTGAGAATGACAACCATCTCTCCCAGAACACCCTCCACCCATCTCCTGGGACTGATTTCTGATAAGGTCACACTCTATTCTATCAGCAGCCCTCTTCCTACATTTTTTTGAAGTCTACAATTACTAGTACTGCAGCTCAGCCCAGAGGGGAAGGAGGGCAGTACAGCATTGCATTCTGAAAAATGAAGTTGTCAGAGACAGGGAGTGCCCTGCAAACAATGCATTCTGAGTTTTATATTTACTTTATATTCTTCTGATGGAAAATGATGGCAAATGTTTCATGCTACCCTGAGAGAAACTCTTCATACCATGCTAAGAGGCAGTAGGAGTAGGAGATTTCTGTCCAGCAGAGCCATGTTTGCATGTTTCTGTTATATATTTAAAATGCACACACACACAAAACTAACCAGGGGCTGTGCACAAACACCTGCCATTCTGTTAAGATCTGAGAAGATTCTAGCAATCCCCAAATGACGAATGAAGAATACTGAAGTAAATCTGCATGCCCCATGCATTGGCAAATAGCATGTTAGGGTTACTCCACATTTCTGAGAAATGGTAAGTGGGTGGTGGGAGGAAAACCAACAGGAGTTTCTATGGTAGTTAATTCCTGAAACATTGTAATAAATGCAATTGACCGGTCTCTTTCCTTGTGTTGGGAAAAAAGCAAAAAGAATCATGAATGGCACAATGATGATCATTCACTACCTCATTAACTTTGGATGCAAGTTGCCATATCGATAGAAATTATTTTTAGGAAGATAAAAGTTGGCATTTAGCCAAAGGCTGCCCCTTAATTTGGATGTGCTCACTTGTATGATACTTAACCTTTCATGAGTGCATTGGGGGCATATTTCCCACAGCATGGTATCCCAGAAGCTCGGTGCCCTCCAGAATGACTGTCTATAGATCTGGCTGCATTAACTCAGAAATGAACTCTACTCTCAGGTATCCAAAATGAAGCTCTATCATGTAGATAAATAGTGAGCTAAATGTGTAAAAGCCCATTATTCAAGTAATATCAATATTTCCCAACTAAGTGCCCTTTTCTGCACTGCAGGCAACCTTGATAAAAGCATTTCTTTTTTTTTAATCAAAAAAATCATTTGAAAGTACGAAAATTTAGATATGATTCTCTGACATTAGATGCTGTACATTATGTTCCCTCCTTAAGAAATAGGTATTTTTATCCCAGCATATATGCATAGAACAATGTTCTAAACAATTTTGTTTTATATTTGGGAGGTATATTGTACCCATTTAGAGCTAACATGTGAATTCATTCTTAGTCAAATGAGGAAGTTTCATAATCTTAATAAGCTCATCTCAGATGCAATTTTAGAAAAACACATGGCCCTTCTCAAATCTTACGTCTGCTTTTAATTTTGAAAGGTGAGAAGGTCAAGAAAATCTAGGTCATATAAAATACTTGCTGATGTGGCTGCATTTTGCCTTAAATGTTACCACTGTTTAATAGTTTTCTTGTTTTCATTCCCCACCTTTACCCCGCATATCTGTTCTCTTCTATGCTTTCTTTCACTGTGCACCCATGGTTCCCCCACAATTTTTTCTGCATGCATTTTTATCTTTTTGCCTTGTTTTTGCTTGTTTGTTTTGTTTGTTTGCTCTTCTCTTTCCAATGTATCCATATGCATGTGGCGAAGCATATATATGTGTGTGTTAATATATGCATATATGTATATGTGCATCTGTAAATCTTTGTCTATTTAAAAAATATGTATGCATGTGTATGGTTGGTTTGGGGATATGGTATGTAGATATTAGGCTCTGTAAGGACACTTGGGGAATGGAATAATTGTAGTTATTGTCTGAATGCTTGATGGATTTAAAATGTGTGACATGATGGAACAAGTCATCTTGGAATTTTCTCTCTTTCCATTGCCTTTTAAAGTGCAGAGTAAGGAATCTTTTTATGTGCCAAACTTTGGCAGAATGTTGAAGCATTATGACCATAGTTATTCACAGCTTCATGTAGGAAGACTTCCTATATAGTCTTCCTATTCAACAACTTTAAGAAAAAGATCAGTGATCAAACACAATCTATTCATTATGAAATGAATCATTCATTTAGATGTTCTCACTGACTTGATACATCATAAATATTTGGGAAGCTACATCGGTGATGTCATTTCTCCAGATATTTAAAACTCCCCAGAAGGGAGGAACTATGTGAAGATGATTCTGCTGTGCTTTCAGGAATCACTTCTACTAAAAATGTTTCTACTATTTTAAGTGATCTTTTAAAAAAACAGTTTATTTTAATTTTTGTGGGTACATTGTAGGTATATATATTTATGGGGTACATGAGATGCTCTTATTTTAAGTTATCTTGAGGCAAGTGATAATATTTTTCTTGACCTTGTAAGGAGACAGTTCATAAAGAGTTTCTAGAAATTATTTTCTTCAACTACATTTTCAGTTCTTTGAAAGTATAAATTGATTTTTAAAGAAAAATTTTAATGTTGATTTAAAAACGGTAAAGCTCTGTGACCACTACAAATATTGATTAATAAAGAATGCAAAATATATAACAGGATTTGTTATAGTTTAGGACAAACTGATCCAAAAATTCACAAAAAAAGAGACAATGTAAAAGAATAGCCAAGAAAATTTTAAGAAAAAATAATACTGGGCATTTGCCTTATTGTATACCAATGCAAAATTTTAAATATAGGCATTTAAGTAGTGTAATTTGAGCAAAGAGACAAACTCATACCTATGGGATAGAATAGAGAGACCAGAAAGAGATACACATACGTAGACATTTAGAAATGGCTGCATTTGCAATCAGGAGAAATTAGGCAATAAACTAGTGTTTGGAAACTGAAAATTTGGATAAAAAGTTGTTAGACACCTACGTAAAATACACAAAAAAATGGAAATGGATTAAACAACTAAATAATAAATAATGAAAATATTAGAAGAATGTGGAGGAAATATTATTATAATCTTGGTATGGTGAAGGTTTAATAAGGCAAGACCCAAATTCAGAAGCAATGAAATTAACCACAGATTTGGGTACATAAAAATGTTAAATGTTTATATGCTCCAACACCATAATTCAAGGAAAAAGAGAAATAACAGACCAGGCAAAAATGATAAAATTATATAACCAACAAGGGGTTAAAATTCACAAGCAATAATAAAAAGGCAGTACAGTAGAAATATGAGAAAAGGACAGATATAAGCAAGTCATAGCATATGTATGTGTATAATAACAAAGTAATGTATTCATATAATGACAAAAACAAATCATTATTAGTAATCACGGAAATTCAAGTAAACTAATACAGGCACATACACATATATTGCCAGAGTGTCAGAAATTTTAAAAGTTATACTATCTAGTGTTGACAAAGACAGATATACACACTAACACTCATACAGTATAGGTAAAGTGGTTAGCATTTTGGGTAGATTTTTTGTTGTATTTTTAAAATTGAATTACTCTACTTTAAAATTTATCTTACAAAAATACATGTATATGTACTCAGATATGAATGTGCAAAGATATTCATTTCAACATGGCTTATAATAGTGAAAACCAACAAATCACACAAGTATTTATATTAAGAGGAATGATTAAATAGATTATAGTTTACAGTATATTCACAGAATTGGAAGTATAATGTGTCAGTTAGAAAGAATGGGGATGTATATATTCTGAACATTTAGCAATCTCCTAGATATATTGGTGAAAAAAATTAAATTGCAGAGTAATACAGTCTGAGAAAAACAACTTTTACTTTTATGCATGTGTGTATGTACATGCACATGCACATACACACAAGCACACACACACATATATAAATTCCATTAAAAGGATAAACTCCACACTGTTAGTAGCAATTGCTCCTTGGGAAGGAAAGTGAGAAATGGGAGTAGAGAGAGAAAGAGGTGATTTGGGACAGAAGTGATGGAAGTGATGGAGTTCTTTCATTTTTAGTCCAAGTATTTCTGTGAATTTTTTTTGCAATATGCATATATTTTCATTACTTACTTAAATTTAAAACAATACATTTGTTGCCAAAAATTCAAAATCTCATGAACAGTCTTATCAGTCATGTTTTACCAACTGCTTATGTTCCAACCTGTAGTAGAAAAGTTAATGCTCACACTGAAGCTGAACTAAATACCAAAAAGACTGTCCAAGTTGTGGTTTATTCATGCAACTCCTAGAGCATTAAAAGTCTTATTTTGTTGCCATCACCAAGTCTTGAAATCACAATGCCTGATGTTATTTTCTAGTTTCAGACACGATGCTATATCATGTCATTAATATCCAATTGTTATTATCCATACATTTAAGAATTACTCCATTGCTTTATTCAAAAAGTGCTTTTCACTTCTTATACAAATTATACTTGTTAGGATTTTAAGGAGCTTTTTTTTAAATCTGTCTTCACCTAATAAATTTAAAATTATTTCTATTGTTTGAGATCGAACAGGTGTAATCTCTCCTTATTATATATAGCATATTAACCAAAGTTAAAAAAAAAAAAAAAGCAAGACTGGGGAGGAGGTAGAATAGGTAGTATCTAGAACAGAGATTTCCAATCATTTTCTAAAGAGAGATCAACTTTCATTTTCTAAATTCTTGTGACAACTAGTATAAGAATATAAACTCTATCTATCAAAGGAAGGAGCACTAGGGGTGGAGGTAGAGATAGAGTGACAGGAAGGGCCTCTTTCCTCTCAGCAAGATGGCCTTCGAAGTGAAAGAAGTGAGTGCCTAGTCAAAAACTGTGTTTATGCTATGGAAACCAGCCTGAGTGTCAATTCCTGATCTCCATGTTGGGAGGTGAACTCAGAGCATTACTGACCATTTAAGGGACCGCTGAGGTGAACGAGCTAGAAAAATTTGGCCTCATATTCAACGAAGTGGAGACTTCTTGAAGGCAAAGATTTTGAATGATAATGAAATACCATTATACCATTCATGTAAATGAATAAATGAAAGAACCAATATATTCTGAAGCCTCACAAAATAGTTGAATCAATTGTTATTATGTTAATTCCATGATTTGCCAAAGGCAAAAAAGAAGATCTGAGGAGGATGCAGAATGTTAAACTGGGTTCACCAATATTTTCCTGATGAAACGCCATAATTGATATCCTAAAAGTCTTATGAGTGATTTTTCAGTTGTATTTTTGGGGGCTCCTAGAACATTTATGTCCTTAGTGGGCAAAATTTTGCAAATTATACAATTCATTCTTCTTCCTGAAATATAGTTATCTGGAGTCATGAATGTTTTATCAAACTAGGAGTATTCATTTGTTTTCCACTACTAATAAGCCTGGTCAACCTAATTCTGATGTCTTGCTAAAATTCTCAAGAATAATATAGACTTACTATCTAGGGATGGTTTATAAAGTATACTCTTCCCTCAAAGCCCCTAATTGCTTTTGCATACATATTTGTCCTTTTGTAATTCATGGCTTATATCTCTCTCTTCTCCTTTCATACAGTACAGCCTCTGTCTATTTAAACAGAAAGAGCTTTAATGTAAGTCAGAGCCAGGCCTTGAGAGTCAGGGGGAAGGCAAATCTCCCGAAGTTCAAAATCAATTTGGTTGCTATTAACAGCCTAGCTCTTGTACCAGTTTCAGCACTTCATGCTGAAGCTTAGAGCTTTTTTTTCTTATCTGTAGCCACTTATTTTGTCCCAGAGTATGTTGAGGGTCCCAAAGACATGACCCAGAATCAAGTGCTGGGGAGGTACTGAACTTTTATAGCCTGAGACTAAACACAAACTTGAAAGTAAATTTCATCATTAAAGCTAGAAGAAATGACAATAGGATTCCTGCTTCTTTTAAGAGCCAACACGAGAACACCCACTGGCAGTGAACACCGGGTATTGAAGATTTTTTCCCTTTTAACAAAGGTCATCTTCTTTATCCAACTGCCTCTTTTTGTGGTAAGACAAAAATCGACTCAGCTCACACAAGATTTACTTTATGTTTCTCTTGAATAATAGAGTTTAATGTACGCAATGGAAGCCTCATTTGCTATTCCTGAAACAAATTACTGTTTGTGATTTTAAAGCTGTTCTGATTTTACCAGTAATAAGTAGATTGTTGGATATATTTTGAGGTTTATGATGCATTTCTCCCAGAGTTAGAAAGTTTATTTTCATGAGTTCCGAGACTTCCGGTTTATTACACCCATGAAGTAGTTCTTATTATGAAAATATTTGATAGACATAAACCAAGGCACTAGAAATTTACTTCCTGATATCATATAAAAGCAACAGGAAATTTGAAAGTAAAACTCAGTTTTAATAACTTAGTCAACCATAATAAGTGAGTCGTTGAAAAACAAAAGCTGCAAGGAAAGAACGATGGAATTAATAGAATTGCAGTTATTTGATTGAGAAACACAGAAAGCATGACATGCTTTTGTCACAGGCTGATAACCACACAGGACCCATTTTTACTATGGTCCGAGCTATTGCTGAAAACTACTAAGACTCTTCTTACCAGAAGGATGGCAAAATTAATTAGAAAGACATTTTAGCTTAGAGGATAGGAAATTACCCATTTAATTTGACTTCATTTTGCACCAACTCAAAGTCAGAATATAGATAAGCCTCAGTAAGTCTCCTATGTTGTGAATCATTAGTTCCATGGTTCCCTTCAAGTTCTAGTAGGCAGACTTTCTTAGTTAATTAGGGAGACACCCCTAACCTAGAGAGAAAGATTGTGTATTGTAGTTAGATACTAAGAACTTCCCAGTTACCACTGTGCTACACTATTGATGGGAGTGTGAATCTGGAATGAACTTTCAGAAGTAATTTTGCAACAGCAACAATAATAACATCAATGGAACTCTTACCAAGTGCTAGGAAATTTGCTAAACATTACCTTCATTGTCACATATAATCCTCAAAACTACCCTATTAGTTTAATGCTAGAATTTTTAAGCACTTTACATATGAAGGAACTGAGGCTCAGTGGGTTTGATTTTCCCAAATTCACATAATGAGCAGGTGGCAAAAATGGGATGTGAAGTCATATGTGTCAGGCTTTAACATCTGTGTTCTTAATCTGTCAATATAGATCCAGATTTAAGCAGCTCACATCTCTTGCCTCAGAAATTCGGATTCTGGGACTCTATTCTAATGAAACAGCCTTCAGTACTTGTGATAAAATGAAATTTAAATTTTGGAGAGTTCTTAGATTCCCCTCCATTGTAAAAAGAATTTTGTCAATCACAACTCAATCCCTGTCCCCAATCTCTGAGATGAGTCTATTTTGGCCAGAATGCTAATGTTAGGCAGAATCTGAGCATGTCAAGAAAAGTCAAGAACTAAAGGTTGGCAGGAAAGTGGAGAGGGACAAAGAGACTGGCAGAGAGTAACAGCCATGTGACTTTTAGATAAAGCAGAGATGGGGAGTACTGAAAATTTTGGGGGGATATTAGCAAAAGGAAGTCTGGAGACTTTAGGATTTGAGAATTAGGAAGGAGAGAGATATGAAAGTATGAGGAATAAGATGAATGAAACTTTTTAATGTGTTGATAAGACTGTGATTCTTAAAGCATCAGCATCAACTGGCCATGTGTTAGAAAAGCAAATTCCCAGGCTCCACCACAGGTCTACTGAATCAGAATATCTGGTGAGGGAGTAGGGGACAGCAATCAGGATTTTCACAAGCCTGTGCACACTCAGGTTTGAGAAGGAATGCTTTGAGACAAGAATAAAGAACAGAACACTTTTCCAATTATATTTTTATGTTAATACTCTGCCCCTTTAAATGTGCACAGCTCTGGGACCAAACTGTGTGGTCACAACTTCAACAGGGTTATACACATAAACCTTTCTAGAAGTGCATCATTTCATCAGGTAAACCTACAAAACATCCAACTGCGTGTGAATGATTAGGTGGATAATGCTATAACCTATTCAATAAAATATAATAAAGCCATTAAAATAAGTTTTTATCACATTTTAGGAGGAAAAAAGCAAGGTATAAAATCATATGTGCATATAAGTAGATTTATTTATATGTTATAGAAACTTAGCAGAGAAAAAGACCCCAGTTAGTATCAAAATATTACATATAGTTATCTTTAGATATTTGAAATATGGGTTATTTTCTACACTTCCATTTCTTCTTATATTTATTTTTGAGTTTCTTACATTTTCTATAATGAGTATGTACTAATTTGATTTTTTTAAATGTGATTTTTCTAAAATAGTTACACAAACACTCCCTAGAACAATGCTTCCTCCTGGTTGTCTCTAGGCAGGGACTGAAAGTCTCAAAATGAGATTCAACAACAACTTCAGATTTTGAATCTTTCAGTCCCTGCCTAAGGAGTCCCTGCCTAAAGAAGAAGATTGTAAATTATTTCCCAAGAAATGCTGAGATGCTGGCTTTGCCCTTTTATCACCTTTTCTTACAATTTGCTTATAATAATGCCATATTGTTCAGTTAGAATTGGGTTCAGCTGCACATTACAGAAACCCCCCCAATAGTAGTTAATTAAATTGGTTTATTGCCCTCTCATATAAGAGAAGTAGAAAAGCAGATAATGAGTAAACTCTTCACTTAGAAATCACACAAAACAATTCTGCTTGCATCTCATTAGCCAGAATTTCACCGTGTACCTGCATTTAGCCACAAAGAAGTTGGAAAATGTAGTCCACTAGCTGGATACCTTGTCCTCCTTGAAACACTTGAGCTCTGTCACTAAGAAAGGGAGGATAGACACCAGGTAGCATCTAGCCATCTCTATCTAAAGTACCCCGAAGAAAGGTAAAAACAAATAATGAAGAGCTAAGGTGCTCTTTCTGCTTTTACACTATCTCTGGAGGGAGGAAAGTACAGGAGTGTAATGGAGAGGGGATGACTGTGCTTATGAATAAGACCTCTACTTAACTTGACAAATTAATTCAGCTGAACAAATTATTAGTTGATGCAAATTTGGTAATCCTAGATGTACCTATGTAATTTTTATACATAAAAATTTACTCTGAAGTTTTTTTCTCTGTTTCCCTTGAAATCTGCACTTCCTTTCATGTTATCTTTCCTACATGAAAAGTATACAGTTTATTTTGCAGGTACCAGCATTAGTCAGGATAGGAATGAATGTTTCAATTCCAAAATCCCTATATGCATCTTAAGGTATGTGCAAGTCAGACAACAACAAAAGACAGGGAAAGGCTCTAGAGATAGGAGAGGTCACCTTTTCCTTAACTGCATATAACCTTGATGGCTGCATGCAAGCTAGCTAAGTGCTCTACAGAACTTGGGTTTCTGAGATACTTTTGGAAATTTTTGTATTTCCCAAAAAACCACTATAGGACTTCCTAGGGTCATGACCTCAATTTTGAATAAGACGACATTAGTCATTATTCTAAATAGAACTCTGGTAGCCTATCTTGCACCTAGTTAGACATTTAATTACAAAGATTAAACTACAAGGAATAAATCTATGTGGAACAATGGATATGACAGTAAGTTACAGTTTTTGAGAAGATACTATCTCCCAGCTAAAACCCAATATAAAGGCCAGTATTCAAGAGAATATTCTCCTTGAAAAATGCAGTACATGAAGTCAATGACTACTCTAAAATATCATTCCAGACATCAGAGTGTCACACACGTGAAAAAAAACTCAAAGCAATAGGTTACTTAAAGGAAATATATGGAATTTTCTAGTGGATTGGGGAGAAAATTGTGCTACTTTGTATTTTCAAGGGGATAAGCGAGTAGAAGTTGGATCATGCATGAAAAGATTGTCTAGTAGCCTTAAATTATCAACTCATGAGTTTTTTGAATTTTAGTTTCCTTGATACTGTCAAAATTATTTCAGAAAATTATGCCAAGTATCAGAAAATAGACAAATGGCACTTTCAGTTTGTACCATCTTCTGCATATGCAGGGCTATTTCCTTAGTAAGTTCCTTAATGCTTTTTCCAACTGAAAATGATTCTAACAAAACAGTTTTTGCAACACTTCTTGGCATACTGTTTCACAGTCGAATCTGAAAATTTATCTGAGATTAAAGCGAGAATTTCTGCACCATATTCAAAAATTATCTCAGAGCAGATTATTGACCAAAATATAAAATTGGAACCTATAAAATGATGAGAAGGAAATATAGGAGAAAACATTTGTGACCTTAGATTAGGCAAATGTTTCTTAGACGTGACACCAAAAGCACAATCCATAAGAAAACCAAATGGTAAATTGGACTATATCAAAATTTAAAACTTTTATTCATTAAAAAATGCTGTTAACAGAATGAAAAGACAAGGCAGAGACTTGGTGAAAATATTTGCTAAACATATATCTGATAAAGAACTTGTATTCAGAATTGATATATCAATAATAAGAAAACAGTAAAAGTAAAGTTAGACAAAATATTTAAACATGCATTTCACCAAAGAAGATATACAGATGGCAAATAAGCAGTAGAAAGGAGGCTTATATGATTAGTTCTTAAAGAAATATAAACTAAAGTCACAATGAGGTACTATTATATACCCATTACAATGGCTAAAATTAAAAAGACTGACTATACCAAGTATTGGAGAGGATATGGAGGAATTGTAATTCTTATAATGGTGGAAATGTAAAATGGCATAATCCCTTTGGAAAACAATTGGGCAGTGTCTTAAAAAGTTAATCCAGCCATTCCATTTTATTTCTAGATATTTACCCAAGAGAAATAAAAGCATATGTCCATATAAAGACTAATACACAAATGTTCATAGCAGTTTTATTTGTAATAGTCAAAGTCTGGAAAAAACCTAAATATTCATCAACAGGTGAATGGATAAACAAACTGGTATATTCATCCTATGAAACACTACTCAGCAATAAAAAGGAATGAACTACTGATATGACGTGAATGAATCTCAAAATAATTGAGTGAAAGGACACATAATGTGTGGTTGAATTTCAATACAATTACAGGAAATGAAAGCTAATCTTTCATGAGAGAAAACACATCAATGATTGCCTAGAAAAAGGGGACAGGGTGGGGAGGGGCAGGAGAAGAAAACTATAGAGGCGGGGGAAAATTTTGGCAATGATTGTACACCTATTATCTTGATTATGGTGATGGTTACATGGGCATTCCTATATCTGAAAACTCATCGAATCATACACTTTAATATGTGCAATTTATTGTATGTCATCAGTATGATAAAATTGTTTAAAAAAGTAAAGTGAGAGTTTCTCCTTCTGATTGGCTGCTCTATCATCTTAATATTGCTGTATTTGTTGATATTCACCCTTCTTGTACAACCTTTCAATGTTAAATTGCAAAAGATTTTCCAAGTTTAATTTATTACAAACATTCTCATTTAAAAAAAATTTATCTTATATCAGCTCTACTGTATAAATAAGAAACAGACGTTACTACTATACAAATGGAAGAAACAGAAGCTTACATGTGGCTATGAGGATTAATGAGACTATGTTTTTGTAAACTCTAAAGTGCTATACAAATGAGAAATTGCATTGTGATTACTATAATTAATGACCATTAGCATAATTGTTATCATTTCTAGCCTTTAAACAGTTACAGGTTTTCATTAACCAATAGCAGCAACACTATAAATTCTTAGCTGGCAGGAACTATGCTTTATATTTCTTTGTTTCTTTTTTGAATCTCTCATGGCACCTCATATAATTCTCAATAAATAGTAAAGATTCAATAAATACTTGAGTGATTAATATTTTCTCCTTTTAATACATAAAAGAGGAAACCAAAGAAGGCAATAGAAGGCTTTTATTACATTTTTGCCCTAACAATTATAATTATATTGAAATATCGAATATGGTCAGAAGAACATTAGAACGAGATTGTAAAAGCCTGGATTATTTTTCTTATAACAGACTTGGTGGCATTTTAAAAAAGCCTGCCTTGGGCTCTTTAGATTTCAATAACTCCTCACCTGAAACAGTGTTTAAATCTCTCAAACTTAAATGCATAAGTTTCTCATCATTACAAACTTTCATCATTTCTTCACTAATAAGAGGATGCTAGAGTGTTAGTTTTATAACCAACATTTTGCCACCTTTAATTCTGAAAAAGTGCATGTTTATAGGGCACTAGCAGAAATTAATTTAAAAAATCAAATAAAAAAATACATCTTGGCCAGAACCATCCTCCTCCAGTAATTCACCAAAATGACAAACACAGAGGGAAAGAAGAGAGGCACCCGATGTGTGTTCTCTAGGCCTTTTAAAAACATAGAGCTGTTTCTTTGGCCACATGCATAGGAATCGATAAGAAAGGTGATATTACAGACATCAAGGGAATGGATACTGTTTAAAAAGGAATGTCCTGCAAGTATTTCCATGGCAAAACTGGAAGAGTCTACAATGTTACCCAGCATGCCATTCATTGGCATTGCTATAAACAAACAAGCTAAGGGCAAGATTCTTGCCAAGGGAATTAATGTGTGTATTGAGCACATTAAGCACTGTAAGACCTGGGATAGCTTCCTGAAATGCGTGAAGAAAATGATAAGAAAAAGAAGGACGCCAAAGAGAAAGGTACCTGGGTTCAAGTGAAGTACCAGCCTGCTCCACCTAGAGAAGCACACTTTGAGAGCTAGTGGAATGGAGCCTAGCCTGCTGGAACCTATTCCCTATGGATTCATGGCATAATAGGGTAATGAATAAATAACGTCTGGGCTGTGAAAGAAAGAAAGAGAGGGAGGAGAGAAAGAAAGAAAGAAGGAGGGAAAGAAAAAGAAAGAAACAGAGAGAGAGGGAAGGAGGGAGGGAGAAAGCAAGCAAGCAGGCAAGAAAGAAAAGGTAAGAAAGAAAGAAGGAAAGAAAGAAAGAGAAAGAGCGAGCAAGGAAGAAAACGAAAAAAGGAAGGAAGGAAGGAAAGGAAGGAAGGAAGAAAAAAACAAAGAAAGAAAATACATTTTAAAAAGATTTTTATACCTGATAGTTCTTTTTAAATTCAAATATACATAATGGGAAAAAGCAGAACTTTGCTTCCTTTTGTTTTTCAGTTTAGTCCTTTAAAAAAATTTTGAACTATGTTTCTGTGGAAAGGGCCACTTTAAACTTTTTAGTGCCTAAGGCCTCTACTGACTTGACTAGAGAGCCCAGTCACAGAGCTACTTCTTGGAGAGAGAGAGCAGGATGTCATGTAGCAGATATGTTTAACAGTTAGATTTAACTGGCCCAAGAGGAGACAAACTCATATATCTCTCCCTAAATCTCCTACCGTAATTGTTTATTATGGCATGCATGCATAGTGTTAAATCATATAAGAAAATCCCTTGATTTATTTTCTACTAAAATTAGCAGCAATTAAATGGCATTAGGCAAGGAGAAATTTCAAATGAAGTGTTGATGACATTAAAAGTTCAAACACTTCAGGCTTGGTAAAGGGCAGAGCTCTACAGTTTTGGGAAACTCATGACTTCCCCATTTGTTTTAAAAACACTTCTAGTCTTTAGTCCTACAAATATGTATTAAATACCTACTATGAGCTAAGAACTGAAGACACAGAAATTAACAGCATTTTTCCTGCCTGAGGAACTTACAGAAGAGATCAGAGAGAGGAATAAACAAAATGTAACCCTATGAAAATCATAATCGCATGTGGTCCAGTCTCAGAGTAGTTACAGAAGCATAATGAAAAATACAGATTTGAAGTGAGTCGACTTGTGTATCTCAAGGTCTAAGAAATGAAGTATAACCCTTCTTTAAAAAATCCCTTTCTCATCCATTTCACTCTTACTGCAGCTGTTCTTGCCTTTTCCTCAAACTCCCTGAACATTTCTTTCTCTCCTTCCCTCCACTCTATAACCCTCACTAAATTTTTGCTTCAAAAAATTTATCCCTGGCCAGGCACAGTGGCTCACGCTGTAATCCCAGCACTTTGATCTGAGGCGCACAGATCAAAAGGACAAGAGATCAAGACAATCCTGCCCAACATGGTGAAATCCCATCTCTACTAAAAATACAAAAATTAGCTGGACGTGGTGGCACACACCTATAATCCCAGCTACTTGGGAGGCTGAGCCAGAAGAATCGCTTGAATCCGGGAGGCAGAGGTTGCAGTGAGCAGAGATCACGCCACTGCACTCCAGCCTGGCGACAGAGCGAGACCCCGTC
This sequence comes from Homo sapiens, assembly GCF_000001405.40. Classification (NCBI taxonomy): domain Eukaryota; kingdom Metazoa; phylum Chordata; class Mammalia; order Primates; family Hominidae; genus Homo; species Homo sapiens. The sequence goes on from NC_000012.12 coordinate 24,644,640, forward strand.
TCAAAACACACACACACACACACACACACACACACACACACACACACACACACACACACAGAGATTATCTCCGATTATCTCCTCAGTATCAAATCTACCAGAAAAAAATTCTTAGCAATAAGGGAAGAAAAAGATCTGGCCAGGCCGATAATCTCTTTAGCAACCAGAAGTAGAGAAAAGGCTGAATTATTTTCATGCTACTATTGTCTGATGCAAGGGTATCATAAAATAGTGTGAAATGCCTTGTATTAGAAATATGTACAAGGATGAGTACTAGTCCAAAGGCAGTACAAGAGAGACTTTGCCAAGGAAAGCTTACGTTCTGATGGGTCTTAAGTTTTTCAGGCAGGTGAGGAGGGATAATATAATACATTGTGGGAAAGGACAAATTTCATTTATATGAATCTTTGGACTTGGGTAAGTTAAGAAGAACCAATAAAAGATCTTGAAGATAATCAATTTCTTCCAATATAAATTTTTTTTTCCTGGCTAAGGACATGGCAGAAATATACAAGATAGAGAATGGGACATTTCTTCGCAACAGAAATTTTGTAGGGTTTTGTATGGTTTCATACAAAATATGATGATATAAAGATGTTTTGAACATAATAGGATGAAAAGAAAAACAGGAACAAATAAAAATCTCTCTAATTCTAATATGTTATATTTATTTATGTGATTCTGAATGTAATTCTAACCCACATGAGATAACTGGAAGGAGATCAAATGTAGTGGCATTGAGAGACTTCAATTATCAAGGGAGCTGCTAGGAAAATCACTCTGCTAAAAGTGGAATGTCTGATAAATTCTTGACTTGCCTGCTGACAGTGTCATTTCACAGAAGCAGGAGGTAGTGATAGAGGGAGCTGCATCTCTGAAATTAATTCTGAATACAAGGGAGAACTATTTGATCAGGTGGGCATCACAGGGAATTTAGGAGAAAATAATTATGTCGTTTAGAACTCATGGCAACCAAATAATGTGGCATATTATTTATATTTATGTCTACCAGTTGAATTTTTTTACTAATTCAATAATATTTATTAAGCACCTACTATGTGCTATACTTGCCTATTTACCAGTGATGTGTGTGTGCATGTTTATAATGAGTCTTTATCCTTGAAAACTTTTGACAAGGTCAAAGAAAAAAACAGATGATCCCTCTCAACCCAATTTACCATGCTGTTAATTCAAAGGTACCACATTAATGATAATAACTCACATTTTCCCTGGATCTGGCCTCTAAGCTTCTTGCTGAAGACTTCAGACTGGGCAATCCATCCCCCCCAAACACACTTATGCACACACACACACACACACACACTTACTTCTTGGAGTGTTCAGAAATGGCCCAATTCTAAGAATTTGTGGAAATCAAAAGAGGATTTGGGTTTGGATGTTCTCACATCATGGAATTGGGAGTTTGAGGCAAGTTTATCTACATATCTGATAGCCTCAGCTAAGAACTCTGTCTCTCTCTCTCTCTCTCTCTCTCACACACACACACACACAGAAAGAGAGAGAGAGAGAGCGCTAGACAAAGGACAGGAATCAATTCAAGTGACAGCCACCACCTTACACTTACTCAGGCTCATTCTCCTTTCCTGAACAGAGCGTTTTCACCTTTGGGCCAAGCTGACATGCCTGCCTTCATCTCTTCATAGGTAACATTTGGTGCCATAAAGCTCCTCAGTCCCTTGCTCAATAGACTTCTAGCAGTCCTGCCACACCAGCTTACTAGATTTGTTCCAGTGGCAGTTTAAGCTCAGGATGAAGGCCCCACCATGAATAAATCAGCTCCATGGCTCAAGTTGGTGAGGATGTGGGTACTCTCAAATATGAAGGTCTCAAATTCAATTTTTAATTATATAAACATATGACAAAAGGGAGGGAGGGATTGAAGGAAACTACTTAGGCTGCTGGGGAGTTTTGTTGGGTTTATGTTTAAAAAGAATGCATCTAAAGATAGAGAGTGATACATAACCAAGAATGAAAACAGAATAAAAAATAAAGCTAGAGAATTTGATCCAAACTGAACCTGAGGATAAGCTTAGGTATGCAAAAAGGCCAAAGACCAGGTGGAAAAAACTTTTAAAGCTATCTTAGAATGAAAAACAACAAGGAAAAAGAGATTCAGTGTTTGATTTTTCATCTTATTATGCTAACAAATTACACAAAGAAAGATGAACTACTCATCTCCTAATTTGCTTCTATTTTCTCTATCAAGGAAAAATGATCTTCAAACAGAAAAGAGTAGAATAAACATGGTTAAGAGGGAAATAAAGCTCAAATTAGGTGAAGAGATGATGAGAGAGCTCCTGGGTGTTTTGAATAAATTCAAGTCCCCAGATTAGAAAAATTATTCCCAGGGGACTGGGGGCTGCACAGGTGTGATCTCAGAAACACTGGCAGAAGCAGTCGTTGAGTATTTAGGGAGAAGAGATGTGATGGCAGAAGACTGGAAATAGGTAAATGTCCTAATTTTCTACAAGTGGAAAATGGTATACTACAAAAACAACAGAATACTGCCCCCAACAACAATCGTCAGAAAAGTGATAGAGAATATTATTAAAAAGCTCTTTTGAAAGTACATAGCCATTTTGGGGGATCAGCAAGGACTCACTGAGACCAGAGCATACCAAAATGACACTTGGATGTTGTTTGGAACATGAGGAGGAGAGGGGAGTGGTGAGATTTATGATGATTTAAAGAAGTGAAAGAAAAGAAGAGGTAGAGGAGAAAAGAGAAGATCAAATTTGTACCTGCTCCAAGGTTGTGCGCTTCTGTTTGCTAAAGGCAAAGTTGTTCTCACTTATAAGCAGGAGCTAAATCATGTGTACATATGGCCATGTGGTGGAATAATAGATATTGGAGACTTTGGAAGGTAGGAGGGTGGGAGGAGGATGAAAGATGAGAAATCACCTAACAAGTACAATGTCCACTATTTGGATGATGGTTACACGAAAAGCCCAGACTTCACCACTATGAAATACATGCATGTAAGAAATCTACACTTATACTTACTAAATCTATAAGAATTTTTTTTTAAATCAACAAAAATCAAAGTTGGGATAGGAGTCGAAAAAAGGAACTGCAAAGCAAGCAGCCAACTTGAGTGATGGAAAGGCAAGAGTCTCGGTGAGTGCTAGCAGAAAATGCTAAAATAAGCAAAGGCATACTAATGCCAGATTGGAAACAGAGTGGATAGCGTATTTATCAGTAATTCCTGAGAACCGAGAATCATTTCATACATATGCCCCACCCCTGGCTATTATCATGTGTTAATAATGTGGGGGGAAGTCCTCATGTTTCTCTGGACTATTTGTGGGGATAATAAATAATAATCAATTAGATCAGAGTAGTAAATTATCTTAACCTACAATTTTTGTGCTAAAAGAGATCTTTGTACTACAAGAAGTAGCAGAAGCGGATCAGGGGCAAGTTTCAGTTAAGATCACACAGGCCGAGGGCTAAACTCATTTAGTTTGTTTGTTTATTTATTTATTTATTGAGATGGAGTCTCACTGCATCGCCCAGGCTAGAGTGCAGTGGTGCGATCTTGGCTGTCTGCAACCTCCACCTTTCAGGTTCAAGTGATTCTCCTGTCTCAGCCTCCCAAGTAGCTGGGATTACTGGTGTGTACCACCAGGCCCAGCTAATTTTTGGATTAGCCAAATACAAACACCATGTTGGCCAAACTGGTCTCTAACTCCTGACTCCACCCGCATTGGCCTCCCAAAGTGCTGGATTACAGGAGTGAGCCACCACACCCAGCCAAAACTCATTTAGTTTCTTTTTTTTTAAATGTGCTTACTAGCTGAAGTTTAAGCTGATGTTTTAGCCTTATCTAGATTTTAGGGGGGCATTTTAAAAATATCTCAGTTATCTGTTTATAAATTATTGTCATTTTTCTAAGTCTTCTGCATGTCACACACTGGGCTAACCTCTTTGTGACTGTTATCTCCAACACTTATAAAAGTCCTATAAAAATATGATATCTCCAAATCACAGATGAGAAAAATGAGACTCAGAAAAGTTAAGTGATTTGCCAAGGTTTTCAGCTCTCAAGAAGTGGAGATGGGATTTGAATTGAAGTTACCCTGCTCTAAACCTATGCTCCTCCACTAGACTGTATGATCTCCATCATGAAATATATGTGTAAATTTGGAAAAGCTGATAATATGGTCAGGAGAATTTCTAAATAAATAAACGATTATACTAAAATAATTTTGATAAATTTCAGGTATGAAATCAAAAATAAGGTCATTGTGGCTTTCAGGTACATATGTATATATATGTATATAAGACATAAGGATTTTAATTAACAGCAACTAAATAGAGTTAGTAGAGTGACATGTAGGCAAAAATAAGCAAGGGAAAAATCTTAAGGCTTCATGAATACTCATTCATTCATTCATTTCTATTTATTGTGTACTAATCAAAGGAAATAAAAGACAATTATACTCTGCACTCTTAATACCATATCTCATACATGGCTCACAGTGTTCCAGATGTATGATTTAAAATTAACTTTTTAATAATTGGAATGGGTCTTGGTGACAAGACATGAAGAAAGGTCTGGATAACATGCCCTTTGAGAAAGAGTATACAAACTTAGGATGTTTAGCCTGAAAACTTTTCAAATATTTGAAGCGGGCAGATTTTATTAAACCGCTCGTTCATTCATTCATTCATTCATTCATTCTGGATTCACAGTATAAAAATATATTTAGCTTTTACAAGGTACTAAATATGCCAGGCACTGTCCTTGGTACTAAGAGGAAAAAAAGACATGATTCCTAATCTGAAAGATTTTTTAGTATAGTGAAAGAGAAAGACAAGGAAAACCAAGCATCAGAGTATGTGCTATGTTAAAGGTATTCCCAGGGCACAGAGAAAGGGTATTCAGACCATACACTGGGGTCAGTGAAGGTTCCACAGAGAAAACTACATTTGAGTCAATAAGGGCAATAGTAGGCAATAAGGGCAATTAGGGCAATAAGGAGGCGTTAACTAGCTGAAGGACAGGGAAGAAGAGAGAACATTCCAAGAAGAGGAAACCGAATGTGTGACTATACAGAAAAAGCAAAAGAGCATAAAATAAGTGGTAAAAATACAAGTGCAATCATGTATTGCTTAATGACAGAGATACATTCTGACAAAAGTGTTGTTAGGTGATTTCATCGTTGTGCAAACATGGCAGTGTGTACATACACAAGCCTAGACGGGATAGCCTACTACACATATGCATTTTCACTATAAGGCACATCACAGCCTTCTTGTACTTAGGAACACCAGGCAGCACTTTGGCACTATGCTTGGGGCCATTTTAAACAGTGGAACCACCAAACACACACACACACACACACACATGCAAGATATGTGGCACTAGCATTAAGTAGACCTGGAAAGGAAACTTTTTTCAGTATGAGAGCTAAAACAAGAAGGCAGGGCATTGCCTTGTCCAACCACAGCTAAAAATGGGCCTGTTGGGTGACAAATTTTTTACCATCTTTCTGCTCATGTCCAGGAATAACTGTGAAAGCACGGCAAATATTGATCTTTAGGGTTACAAATGCATTTTAGTGAGTAGACAAATGAGCAAGCATGGAATACGCAAGCAATGGGAATTGACTGTAGTTATAGTAGTCTAAGTTATGGTTGATGAACACCTGAATTAAGGCAGCAGCAATGGGGATAGAGTGAAGGGGACAGGTCCACTCATTAAAAATATTGAATTTTGACAATGTACAAAGTTTGGCGTCAAGAGTCAAAGATACGGTGGAGCCTCTCAACCCTGAGGTATGTTGGTGATGAAGAGAATTGCAGGGCGGGTGGAGAATTGTGGGGAATTGACGAAAGCGGCATAAGAAATATTACCAGAAGAGATTGGTGATATCATGAAGTTTGATATTCATGGCACTCAGTTCCAGGGGCATACTGGGAGGGTTCGGAAGATAAGGGATAGGTGGAAAATTAGGTTAGCACAAGGAAGCATAAAACAATGTGAGTGATGATAAGATAGAAGACCAAAATCCAGAGATACCTGCATTGAGTCCTTAAAAATGCAGTTTTTTTCTAGTTTTTATTTTTACTTTAAAAAATATTTTATTTTAATTTTTGTGGGTACACAGTAGGTGTATATATTTATGGGGTACATGAGATATTTTGATAGAGGCATACAATACATAATAATCACTTCTGGGTAAATGGGGTATCCATCCACTCAAACATTTATTCTTTGTGTTACAAACAATCCAGTTATATTCTTTTAAGTTATTATATTTTAAAATGTACAAATAAATTATTATTGACTATGGTCACTCCCTGTTGTGCTATGAAATACGCGATATTATTCATTCTTTCTAACTATATTTTTATGCCTATTAATGATCCCCACTTCCCCCTCACCACCCCACCCACTTCCCTTCCCAACCTCTGGTAACCATCCTTCTACTGTCTATGTCCATGAGTTCAATTGCTTTGATTTTTAGATCCCACAAATAAGTGAGAACATGTGATGTTTGTCTTTCCATGCCTGGCTTATTTCACTTAGCAGAATGACCTCCAGTTCCATCCATGTTATTGCAAATGATATGATCTCATTCTTTTTTTTATACTTTAAGTTCTGGGATACACGTGCAGAACATGCAGGTTTGTTACATATGTATAAATGTGCCATGGCAGTTTGCTGCACCCATCAACCCATTATCTACATTACGTATTTCTCCTAATGTTTTCCCCCCCTAGCCCCCCACCCGCCAACAGGCCCCAGTGTGTGATGTTCCCCTCCTTGTGTCCATGTATTCTCACTGTTCAGCTCCCACTTATGAGTGAGAACATGCCGTGTTTGGTGTTCTGTTTCTGTGTTAGTTTGCTGAGAATGATGGTTTCCAGCTTCATCCATGTCCCTACAAAGGACATGAATTCATCCTTTTTTATGGCTGCTTAGTATTCCTTGGTGTATATGTGCCACATTTTCTTTATCCAGTCTATCATTGATGGGCATTTGGGTTGGTTCCAAGTCTTTGCTATTGTGAACAGTGCTTCAATAAACATACGTGTGCATGTGTCTTTATAGTAGAATGATGTATAATCCTTTGGATATATACCCAGTAATGGGATGGCTGGGTCAAATGGTATTTCTGGTTCTAGATCCTTGAGGAATTTCCAACTGTCTTCCACAACGGTTGAACTAATTTACACTCCTACCAACAGTGTAAAAGTGTTCCTATTTCTCCACATCCTCTCCAGCATCTGCTATTTCCTGACTTTTTAATGATTGCCATTCTAACTGGCATAAGATGGTGTCTCATTGTGGTTTTGATTTGCATTTCTCTAATGATCAATGATGATGAACTTTTTTTCATATATTTGTTGGCTGCATAAATGTTTTCTGTGTGTCTATCTCCTTCAATTCTGCTCTGTCTTAGTTATTTCTTGTCTTCTGCTGGCTTTTGAATTTGTTTGCTCTTGCTTCTCTAGTTCTTTCCATTGTGATGTTAGGGTATCGATTTTAGATCTTTCCTGCTTTCTCCTGTGGGCATTTAGTACTATAAATTTCTCTCTAAACACTGCTTTAGCTGTATCCCAGAGATTCTGGTACATTGTGTCTTTGTTCTCATTGGTTTCAAAGAACTTATTTATTTCTGCCTTAATTTCGTTATTTACCCAGTAGTCATTCAGGAACAGGTTGTTCAGTTTCCATGTAGTTGTGTGGTTTTGAGTGAGTTTCTTAATCCTGAGTTCTAATTTGATTGCACTGTGGTCTGAGAGACTATTTGTTATGATTTCCTTTCTTTTGCATTTGTTAAGGAGTGTTTTACTTCCAGTTACGTGGTCAATTTTAGAATAAGTGTGATGTGGTGCTGAGAAGAATGTATATTCTGTTGACTTGGGGTGGAGAGTTCTGTAGATGTCTATTACGTCCACTTGGTCCAGAGCTGAGTTCAAGTCCTGAATATCCTTGTTAATTTTCTGTCTCATTGATCTGTCTAATATTGACAGTGAGGTGTTAAAGTCTCCAGCTATTATTGTGTGGGAGTCTAAGTCTCTTTGCAGGTCACTAAGGACTTGCTTTATGAATCTGGGTGCTCCTGTATTGTGTGTATATATAGTTAGGATAGTTGGTTCTTCTTCTTGAATTGATCCCTTTATCATTATGTAATGGCCTTCTTTGTCTCTTTTGATCTTTGTTGGTTTAAAGTCTGTTTTATCAGAGACTAGGATTGCAACCCCTGCTTTTCTTTTTCTTTTTCTTTCTTTCTTTTTTTTTTTTTTTTTTGCTTTCCATTTGCTTGGTAAATATTCCTCCATTCCTTTATTGTGAACCTATGCGCATCTTTGCATGTGAGATGGGTCTCCTGAATACAGCACACCAATGGGTCTTGACTCTATCCAATTTGCCAGTCTGTGTCTTTTAATTGGGGCATTTAGCTCATTTACATTTAAGGTTAATATTGTTATGTGTGAATTTGATCCTGGCATTATGCTGCTAGCTGGCTATTTTGCCAGTTAGTTGATGCAGTTTCTTCATAGTGTTGATGGCCTTTACAATTTACTATGTTTTTGCTGTGGCTGGTACTGGTTTTTCCTTTCCATATTTAGTACTTCCTTCAGGAGCTCTTGTAAGGCAGGCCTGGTGGTGACAAAATCTCTCAGCATTTGCTTGTCTGTAAAGGATTTTTTTTCTCCTTCGCTTATGAAACTTAGTTTGGCTGGATATGAAATTCTGGGTTGAAAATTCTTTTCTTCAAGAACGTTGAATATTGGCCCCCACTCTCTTCTGGCTTGTAGGGTTTCTGCCAATAGAACCACTGTTAGTCTGATGGGCTTCCCTTTGTGGGTAACCTGACCTTTCTCTCTGGCTGCCCTTAACATTTTTTCCTTCATTTCAACCTTGGTGAATCTGACGATTATGTGTCTTGGGGTTGCTATTCTTGAGGAGTATCTTTGTGGTGTTCTCTGTATTTCCTGAATTTGAGTGTTGTCCTGTCTTGCAAGGTTGGGGAAGTTCTTCTGGATAATATCCTGAAGAGTGTTTCCAACTTGGCTGCATTCTCCCCGTCAATTTCAGGTACACCAATCAAATGTAGGTTTAGTTTTTTCACAGTCCCATATTTCTTGGAGGCTTTGTTCATTCCTTTTCGTGCTTTTTTCTCTAATCTTGTCTTCATGCTTTATTTCATTAGGTTGATCTTCAATCTCTGATAGCTTTTCTTCCACTTGATTGATTCGGCTATTGATACTTGTGTATGCTACACAGAGTTCTCATGCTGGGTTTTTCAGTTCCATCAGGTCATTTATGGTTATTCTAGTTAGCAATTCATCTAACTTTTTCCCAAGGTTCTTTGCTTCCTTGCATTGGGTTAGAACATGCTCCTTTAGCTCGGAGGAGTTTGTTATTACCCATCTTCTGAAGCCTACTTCACCATCCACCATCCAGTTTTGTTCCCTTCCTGGCGAAGAGCTGTGATCCTTTGGAGAAGAAGAGGAGTGCTTGTTTTTGGAATTTTCAGCCTTTTTGCGCTGGTTTTTCCTCAACTTTGTGGATTTATCTACCTTTGGTCTTTGATGTTGGTGACCTTCGGATGGGGTTTCTCAGTGGACGTCCTTTTTGTTGATGTTGATGCTATTCCTTTCTGTTTGTTAGTTTTCCTTCTGACAGGCCTCTCTGCTGCAGGTCTGCTAGAGTTTGCTAGGGGATCACCAGATCCTGTTTGCCTGGGTATCACAAGCAAAGGCTGCAGAACAGCAATGATTGCTCCCTGTTCCTTCCTCAGGAAGCTTCATCCCAGAGGGGCACCTGCCAGATGCCAGCCAGAGCTCTCCTGTATGAGGTGTCTGTCTACCCCTGCCAAGAGGTGTCTCCCAGTCAGGAGGCCCAGGGATCAGGGACCCACTTGAGGAGGCAGTCTGTCCCTTAGCAGAGCTCGAGTGCTGTGCTAGGAGATCCACTGCTCTCTTCAGAGCCGGTAGGCAGGAACGTTTAAATCTCCTGAAGCTGCCCCCACAGCCATCCCTTCCTCCAAGTGGTCTGTCCCAGGGAGATGGGAGTTTCATCTATAAGCCCCTAACTGGGGCTGGGATCTCATTCTTTTTACGGCTGAACAGTACTCCATTGCATATACGTACCACATTTTCTTTATCCATTCATTTGTTTGGTGAACACTTAGGTGGCCTCCAAATCTTGGCTATTGTGAATAGTGCTACAATAAACATGGGAGTGCAGATATAGCTTTGATTTACTGATTTCCTTTCTTTTGGATATATTCTTAGCAGTAGGGTTACTATCATATGGTAGCTCTATTTTTAGCTTTTTGAGGAACCTCCAAACTGTTCTCCATAGTGGTTGTACTAATTTACATTAGCAACAAGAGTGTTCGAGAGTTCTCTTTTCTCCACATCCTTGCCAGCATTCGTTATTGGATAAAAGCCTTTTGGATAAAAGCCATTTTAACTAAGGTCATGTTATCTCATTGTAGTTTTGATTTTCATTTCTCTGAGGATCAATGATGTTAAGCACCTTTTCATATACCTGTTTGCCATTTGTATGTCTTCTTTTGAGAAATGTCTATTAAGATTTTTTGCCCATTTTAAAACTTGTATTATTAGATTTTTTTATAGAGTTGTTTGAACTCCTTATACATTCTGATTATTAGTCCCTTGTCAGATAGATAGTTTGCAAATATTTTCTCCCATTCTGTGGGTTGTCTCATCCCTGTGTTGATTGTATCCTTTGCTGTGCAGGATCTTTTTAATTTGATGTGATCACATGTGTCCATCTTTTCTTTGGTTGCCTATGCTTGTGGGATGTTACTCAAGAAATCTTTGCCTAGACAAATGTCCTAGAGTATTTCTCCAATGTTTTCTTGTAGCAGTTTCATAGTGTGAGGTCTTAGATTTAAACCTTTGATCTATTTTGGTTTGATTTCTGTATACAGTGAGAGAGAGAGGGGGGTCTAGTTTCATTCTTCTGCATATGGATCACAGCACCAATTATTTGAAGGCACTGTCCTTTCCTCAATGTATATTCTTGGCACCTTTGTCAAAAATGAGTTAACTGTAGATGTATGGATTTTTTTCTGGGTTCTCTATTCTGTTTCATTTGTGTATGTGTCTGATTTTATGCCAGTACCATGGCATTTTTATTATTATAGCTCTGTAGTGTAATATGAAGTCAGTTAGTGTGATTCCTCCAGTTTTGTTCTTTTGCTTGGATAAATTTAGCTATTCTGTTTTTTCTGGTGGGGTCCATATAAATTTTAGAATTTTTTTTCTATTTCTGCGAAAGATGTCATTGGTATTTTGATGGATATTGCATTGAATTGTAGATTGCTTTGGGAAGTATGGCCATTTTAACAATATTTATTCTTTTAATACATGAACATGGAATATGTTTCCATTTTTTGTGTCCTTTTCAATTTTTTACATCAATGTTTTATAGTTTTCATTGTAGAGATCTTTCACTTCTTTGGTTAAGTTCATTCCTATGTATTTAATTTCATTTATAGCCATTATAAATGGGATTCTTTTGAAGATTACTTGCTGTTAGCAAAAAGAAATTCTATTTTTGTATGTTTATTTTGTATCCTGCAACTTTACTGAATTTGTTAAGTTTTAATAGTTTCTTGGTGAAGTTTTTAGGTTTTTCTAAATATAAGATATTATCTGCAAACAGGATAATTTGACTCTTCCTTTTCAGTTTGGATGCCCTTTATTTGTTTCTGTTGTCTCATTGTTCTAGCTAGGATTTCCAATAGTATGTTGAATAACAGTGGTGAAAGTGGGCATCCTTGTCTTCTTAAAGATCTTAGAGGAAAGGCTTTCAGTTTTTCCCCACCCAGTATTATACTCACTGTGGATCTGTCACATATGGCTTTTATTATGTTGAAGTATGCTCTTTAATATCTAGTTTTTTGAGAGTCTTTATCATGAAGGGATGTTGAATTTCATCAAATGCTTTTTCAGCATCAATTAAAATGATTATGTGGTTTTTGTCCTTCATTCTGTTGATATGAGCTATCATATTGATTGATTTGCATATGTTGAACCATCATTGTATCCCTGGGATAAATCCCACTTGGTCATGAGGAATGATCTTTTTAATGAGTGGTTGAATTTGATTTGCTAGTATTTTGTTGAGGATTTTTGCATCAATGTTCATCAGTGATACTGAGCTGTAGTTTTCTTTTTTTGAGATATCTTTGTCTGGTTTTTATATCAGGGTAATATTGACCTTATAGGATAAGTTTGGAAATTTTCCCTTCTCCTCTATTTTTGGAATAGTTTGAATAGAACTGGTATTCGTTCTTTAAATGTTTGGTAGAATTCAGCAGTGAAGCCACCAGGTCCTGGGCTTTTTATTGCTCAGAGATTATTTTGGCTTCAATTTTGTTACTTATTATTTGTCTGCTCAGGTTTTGGATTTCTTCATGGTTCAATCTTGATAGGTTGAATTTTTCTAGGAATTTATCAATTTCTTCCAGGTTTTCCAATTTGTTACATATAATGGCTCATAGTAGCCCTTAATTATCCTTTGAATTTCTGTGTTATCAGTTGTAATGTGTCCTTTTTCATCTCTTATTTTATTTATTTGTGCCTTCTGTCTTTTGTAAGTCTCTCTAAGGTTTGTCAATTTTGTTTATCTTTTCAAAAAACCTACTTTTCATTTTGTTGATCTTTTATATTGTTTTCCTTGTTCCAATTTCATTTATTTCTGCTCTGATCTTTATTATTTCTTTTCTTCTACTAATTTTAAGTTTGCTTTGCTCTTGCTTTTCTAGTCATTTAAGATGGTTATTTATTTGAAGTTTTTCTACTTTTTTAATGTAGGCACTTAGAGCTATAAACTTGCCTCAGTACTGTTTTGCTGCATCTCATAGGTTTTGATATGTGTATTTCCATTATCATTTGTTTCAAGAAATTTTTTTTCTTTTTTCTTTTCTTTTCTTTTCTTTTTTTTTTTTTTTTTGGAGACGCTATTTCACTCTTGTTGCCCAGGCTGGAGTGCAATGGCGCAATCTCGGCTCACTGCAACCTCCGCCTTTCAGTTCAAGTGATTCCCCTGCCTCAGCCTCCCAAGTGGTAGCTTCCTGAGTAATCCCAAGTAGCTGGGATTATAGGTGCCTGCTGCCATGCCTGGCAAATTTTGTATTTTTAGTAGATACGGGGTTTCACCATGTTGGCCAGGCTGGTCTTGAACTCTTGACCTCAGGTGATCCTCCTCTGCCTCGGCCTCCCAAAGTGCTGGGATTATAGGCATGAGCCACCAAGCCCAGCCTGTTTCAAGAAATTTTTAAATTTTCTGCTTAATTTCTTTATTGACCCACTGGTCACTTAGGAGCATATTGTTTAATTTCCATGTGTTCGTATAGTTTACAAAACTTTTCTTGTTATTGATTTCTAGTTTTATTCCCTTGTGTTTAGAGAAGATACTTGTTATTATTTCAAATTTTTAAAATGTTTTAAGGCTTGTTTGTGGCCTAATATATGATCTATCTTTGAAAATAATCCATGTGTTGGGGAGAATGTGTTTTCTGCAGCTCTTGGATGAAATATGTGGTAAATATCTATTAGGTCCATTTGGTCTATAGTGCAGATTAAGCCTGATGTTTCTTTGCTGATTTTCTGTCTAGATAATCTGCCCAATGCTGAAAGTGAGGTGTTGAAGTCTCCAGCTATTATTGTATTGGGACCTATCTCTCTCTTTTGCTCTAATAATATATGCTTTATACATCTGGGTACTCCAGTGTTGGGTGCATATACATTTAAGTTGTTATATCCTCTTGCTGAATTGACTACTTTATCATTATATAATGAACTTCTTTGTCTCTTTTTATAGTTTCTGTCTTGAAATCTTTTTTTGTCTTACGTAAGTATAGCTACTTCTGCTCTTTTTTGGTTTCTACTTGCATGGGGTATCTTTTTCCATCCCTTTATTTTCAGTCTATGTATGTCTTTATGGGTTAAGTGTTTTTCTTCTACGCAGCATATCATTTGGTCTTTTTTTTTTATTCATTCAGTCACTTTATGTTTTTTGATTGGCAAGTTTAGCCCATTTACATTTGATGTTATACTGATAAGTAATGACTTACTCCTGCCATTTTGTTATTTGTTTCTTGGTTGTTTTGTGGTCTTTTCTTAAATATTTTCTTTCTTCCTGTCTTCCAATTAATGAAGGTGATTTTCTCTGGCAGTATATTTTAATTTCTTGCTTTTTATATGTTGTGTATGCATTGTATGTTTTTTGATTAAGGTTGCCACAGGCTTGCAGATACTATCTCATAATCCATTATTTTAAACCAAGGACAACTTAAAGACACTGATGGCACAAACAAAGTAACAAACAAACAAAGAAAAAACAAACACTGTACATTTTAACTTTGTCACCCCACCTTTTAACATTTTCTTACTTCTATTTATATCTTACTGTACTATGTCTTGAAAAGTTGTAGTTATTATTTTTGATTGGTTCATCTTTTAGTTTTTATTTTTACTTGAGATTCAAGTTCACGCACCACAGTTACAGTGTTACAACATTCTGTGTTTTTCTGTGTACTTACTGTCACTGGTGACAAAAGTACCTTCAGATGATTTCTTATTGCTCATTAACATCCTTTTCTTTCAGATTGCAGAACTCTCATTAGCATTTCTTGTAGGACATGTCTGGTGTTTTTGTTTGTCTGGAAAAGTCTTTATTTCTTTCTCATATTTGAAGGATGTTTCACTGGATATACTATTCTGGGATTAATTTTTTTTTCCTTTGGCACTTTATTATGTCATACTACTCTCTCCTGGCCTGTAAGTGTTCCACTGAAAAGTCTGCCACCAGATGTATTGAAGCTCCATTGTTTCTTTCCTTTTGCTGCTTTTCGGATCCTTTCTTTCTCCTTGACCTTTGGGAGTTTGATTATTAAATATCTTGAGGTAATCTTCTCGGGTTAAATCTCCTTGGTTTTCTATGATCTTCTTGTACTTGAATATTCATATCTTTCACTAGGTTTGAGAAGTTCTTTGTCATTATCCCTTTGGATAAACTTTCTACCCCTAACTCTATCTCCTCCTTAAGGTCAATAATTCTTAGATTTGCTCTTTCGAGGCTATTCTCTAGATTTTCTAGGTATGCTTCATTTCTTAAAGTTCTTGTTTCTTTTGTCTCCTTTGACCCTGCATTTTCAAATAGCCTACATTTAAGCTTACTAATTCTTTCTTCTACTTGATCTCTCCTGCTCTTAAGAGACTCTGAGGCATTCTTCAGGATGTCAATTGCATTTTTTTCAACTCCTGAATTTCTGCTTGATTCTTTCTAATTATTTTAATCTCTTTGCTAAATTTATCTGATAAGATTCTGAATTCCTTCTCTGTGTTATCTTGCATGGCTTTGAGTTTCCTCAACACAGCAATTTGGAATTCTGTCTGAAAGTTCACAAATCTCTGTCTTTCTGGGATTGGTCCTGAGTACCTTATTTACTTCATTTGGTTAGATCATATTTTCCTGGACAGTCTTGATGCTTGTGGATGTTCACTGGTGTCTGGGCATAGAAGAGTTATGTATTTATTGTCATCTTTGCAGTCCGGGCTTGTCTATACCCATCTTTCTTGGAAAAAGGCTTTTTAGATATTCAAAGTGACTTGGGTGCTGTGATCTGAGTTTTTGGTCACTGCAATTGTATCTGTATTAGGGGGTACCCCAAGCCCATTATGCTGTGCTTCTTGCAGACTTGTAGAAGTACTGTTTCGGTGATCTTGGATAAGATCTGGAATACTCTGGATTACCAGGCAGAGAGTCTTGTTCATTGTTTGCACAAAACAATGGAGTTTCTCTCTGTGCTGAGCTGCCTAGAACTGGTGGAGGAATGACACAAGCACCCCTTTGGCCACCACCACTGGGATTATGCTGCGTAAGACTTGAAGCCAGCACAGCACTGAGTCTTGCCTAAGGCCTACTATAACCACTACCTGGCCACCACCTATGTTTGCTTAAAGCCTTTAGGGCCCTACAATCAGCAGGTGGCAAAGCCAGCCAGAATTGTGTCCTTCCCTTAAGGATGGTGAGTTCCCTTGGGCCCTGGGCAGGTCCAAAGATGCCATCTGGGAGCCACTGCCTGGAGTCAGAAACCTTAGAAGTCTGCCTGGTGCTCTATTCTACTGCATCTGAGCTGGCATGCAAAGCACAAGACAAGGTCCTTCCCATTCCTCCCTCTCCTTTCCACAGGCAGAGGAGTCTCTCCCCATGGCCACCACCACAGGCCCATGGGGAGTACTGCCAGGCTACCACCAATGTTCACTTAAGGCCCAAGGTTCTTCAGCCAGCTGTGGTGAATGCTTCCAGGCCTGGAACTCACCCTTCAGGGCAGTGGGCTCTCCTCTGGCCCAGGGCAGGTCCAGAAATGCTGTCCAATAGCCTAGGCCTAGAACTGGGGACTCGAAGAGACCACTTAGTTCTCTACCCCACTGTGACCGAGCTGGCACCTAAGGTGCCCTTTACTCTTCTTTGCTTTTCTCAAGCAGAAGGATTCTCTCTCCATAGCCACCAGAGCTGGCAATGTTCTGGGTCACACCTGAAGCCAGCACGTCTCAGAGTCTCACTCAAGTCCCGCAGCGTGTACCACCTGGCTATTACTGCTCATTATTCAGGGCCCAAGGGCTCTTTAGTCAGCAGGTGATGAATCCTTTGAGGACTGGGTCCTTTCCTTTACGGCAACAGTTTCCCTCTGGGACAGTGTGTCCCCCAGTGTGTACGACCTGGCTATTACTGCTAATTATTCAGGGACCAACGGCTCTTTAGTCAGCAGGTAATGAATCCTTTGAGGACTGGCTCCTTTCCTTTAAGGCAGCAGGTTCCCTTCTGGCCCAGGGTATTTCTAGAAATGTCATCCAGGAGCGAGGGTCTGGAATGGGGGCTTCAGGAGTCTGAATGTTGTACTATCCTACTGTGGCTGAGCTTGTATCCAAGTTGCAAGACATAGTCCTCTTAACTCTCCCTTCTCCTCTCTTCAAGTGGGAAGAAGGAATCCCTTTCAGAGCCATGAGCTGTGCTGCCTGGGGTTGAGGGAGGGTGGTGCAAGCACTCCCTTGGCCGCCCAGGCTGGTGTCTCACTAGGTCATGCCCCGCAAGTCCACTGGCTCTGAGCCCAGAACAGCAGTAGAATTTGCCTAGGTGTTGCAATCCTTGTGGCCTAGACTGCCTTTCAAGTTTATTTAGGACCCCAGAGCCCTTTAGCTCGTGGTAGTGAGGTTTACCAGAACTCAAGTTGCAACTGCTGGGGTGGGTGATTTTCCTATGGCTAAACCTGGTCTAAATGCTCCCTCCATTGGCGTTGGCTGAGTTCTACCCAGTGTTGCTTTCTGCTGTGACACGTTAGTGCTGAGTTCCAATGCAAAATTGCACAATCACTGTGCTCTCCTTCCCTCAAATGCACAGATTCTGTCTCAGCACCACACTGCCACTGCTGTGGGATGGAGAGGAGTGGCACTGGCAATAAAAGACTGTCTTTCTTTGCTCCTTCAGTGCCTCTTTCAGTGATATGAAGTTAAAACCAGGTACTGTGATCACTCACCTGTTTTTTTGTTCTTATAAAGGTGCTTTTTTCTGTAGATAGTTGTTAAATTTAGTATTCCTGCAGGGAGGACAATCGGTAGAGGCTTCTATTTGGCAATCTTGTTCCACCTCCACTCCTCAAAAACAGGGTTTTGAGGCATAATAAATTTACTACTAAAAGTCTGTTTGAGCACTTACCTAACTGAGTAGAAATATTTTTAAGAATTTAGAATCCATTCAGGGTGTACACAGAGGGCAGACTTGTGAAGGAAGAAAGTCATTTAGGTTTTGTTATAAAATTTTGGCTTGGGTAAATGTCTTAGTTTATTTGTGTGGCTGTACCAAGACACTGCAGAATGAATAATTTATAAATAATGGAGGCCGGGCACAGTGGCTAACGCCTATAATCCCAGCACTTTGGGAGGCCAAGGCAGGTGGATCACGAGGTCAGGAGATCGAGACCATCCTGGCTAACACAGTGAAACCCCGTCTCTACTAAAAAATACAAAAAATTAGCCGGGTGTGGTGGCAGGCGCCTGTAGTCCCAGCTACTTGGGAGGCTGAGGCAGGAGAATGGTGTGAACCTGGGAGGCAGAGCTTGCAGTGAGCCGAGATTGCGCCACTGCACTCCAGCCTGGGTGACAGAGCAAGACTCCATCTCAAAAAAATTTAAAAAAATAAAAAATAAAATAAATATAAATAATGGAAACGTATGGTTCTGGAGGCTGAGACATCCAAGATCAAGGTGCTTGCATTCAGTAGCTGGTGAGGGTCTTCTTGCTGCATCTTCTTATTGCAGAAGGGGAGAAGGCTTTGTTCTTACCTGGCAGAAGGGCTGAAGAGCAAACAGGGTCTGAGCTAGTTCCCTTCAGCCCTTTTACAAGGCACTGATCCATTCATGAAGGCAGAGCCCCCATGATTTAATCACTTCCCAAAGCCTCCACCTCTTAAAACCATCACAATGGGGATTAAATTTTAACATGAATTTTGAGGAGAACACATTCAAACCATAGTAGTAAATAATTGCCTGGTAGTCCCATTCACCAGGATAGGGGAACAGCAGAAGAAGCAGATTTGGCACAAAAAGAATCTGAGTCCTGTTTGGAACACTTTCAACTTTGGAGTCTATGGAACATCCAAGTAAAGATATTCAGCAGAGATTGAAAACACAAAGCTTGGATTCTCTGAGTGCTCTGCGTCAGACATGAAGAACCAGGAGTTGGAAGCTGAAGTTAGATATTTGTATGAGGACACACAGGATGTATGTGTTGGTGGAGAAAACCAGGTGACCAAAGAAGCAGCCTGGGAAATATGGTCATTTAGGGACAAATTCAGGAGAACCTGACAAAGGAGGCTTGATAGAAAATACCTATAGCTACAAAAGTAAAAATAGAGAATCACAAAAGCTGGGAGAAGATAGGCTTCTAAGGAAAAAAAAAAAAACTCTTCCAGACGTAATATGCAAAGTTGAAGAGAAGTCAAATAAACAAAGAATAGTAAAGACAAATTAAAGTTACTTGAAAATTATAGGTGGATTGATTTTTTGACCAATAGAAAAAAGAATTATCTATTAGGAACAATGGGAATATGGAATAGGTGTCCTTATAACATGGTGAACACCTTGTCACTGAATTATGCAAACAATGACTGCTGCTGAACAGTATTTCAAGAAGAATTCTTCCACTAGGTAGGAGATAGTATTAAATATTCCACCCTTCCAACTCTAAAATATATGTCTGACTCAGATGGGGACAGAGGATGTGCAGTATAAGGCTACACAGGGGAGATCTTATTGACATGAAAACACCATAACCCACACCGGGGAGATGAGGACCTAATTAATTAGGCATAATACTACTTAGCACTTACCATTTTCTATAAATATTACTACATGAATGAAAGAATCCTCAAAAGACTCCAGTAAAGCAGGAACTGTTATTGACATGAAACACATACTTTTGTCAAGAATTCCTGGAACCAGTCGTAGTAGCTTATCGGAATGGCCCCTTGAAACTTGAATACGATGATGATCAAACAGTAAATGACATCAAGACACCAGAATTTCCTTGGCATAGTGTGAAAGGGTTGGAAGGCTCAGGAAGGTAGGAATCTTTGAATGAATACGTAAGATGTAAGTCCTGAGATTCAACAATTTTACGATGTCATCTGAGAAAGGACAGAAGGATGTGTTCCCACATATTGAGTCATCACTTGTATGTAGCAATGGCCAGCTTGGTAACACATTCTAGTATTGGCTTCCCCTCTGCAATTGTTTGAATGTGTCCCTCAAAGTTCATCGTTCATGTGTTGAAAACTTGATCCCCAATTTGGAGTTATTGGGAAGTGGGGCCTAATGGGATGTGTTTGGGTCATGGGGCATCAACCTCATGAATGGATTAATGCTATGGAAACAGATTTTTTTTAAAGGATGAGTTCTGCCCCCTCTTGCTCTTCTGCCTTCCACTGTGGGATGACACAGCACATGACTCTTACCAGATGCTGGTCCCTTGATCTTGGACTTCCTAGCCTACAGAACCATGAGCCAATACGTTTTCGTTCATTGTAAATTATCCAGTCTGTGTCATTCTCTTATAGCAGCACAAAATGAACGAAGACACCTCCTTCTCTGCTTCACTTTGTGTATGCCTCATGCCTGCTCTTTTGGATTGCATGTTATTGTAAAATAATAGCAGATAGGGTCTGCTTTCTGGGGAACCCAGATTAAAATAGTTTTATTGTAAGTATGTTCTCAGAAAAAAAATCTTTTCCTGTGTTGTGATATAACATTAATATAAATATCATTCATTATTGGTGTCTTATCCTACATCCTTTTACAATTCCCCCTACAATGTAGTCCATGGCACCTAGTTATAATATAGCTTATTATTTGACTATTATCTCACTCCCACTTGAATTTTTCAGAAGAGGTATTAGGATTCCCATTGGTATTATCTGGCAAATTTCAAATTGAGACTTAGTTTTATTTCCAGGTTTTATTACTAACCACCCTGGGATCCTTTGTAGTATTTCTTTCTTAACTGGTGTTTTTAGCACCTTCCAATTTTGTATTGTCTGAGAACTAAACAAATGTGAGCGTGGTAGAACTCAAGCAGCTGTATGTATTTAACTACAAGGTTGGATGCTCAATTCGTGCACTGAGTATGCAACCATCAGGAAAGCTCTGAAAGGAAAATCTGCAAAGCTTCCAGCATATTTTATTAATGACCAGCCAGACACCATAGCCCACACCAGGGAGATGAGGACCTAATTAATTAGGCATAATACTACTTAGCACTTACCATTTTCAATAAATATTACTACATGAATGAAAGAATCTTCAAAAGACTCCTGTGAAGCAGGAACTATTAATCCTATTTTACAGCTGGGGAAACAGAAGCAGAAAGGTTCTTGGATTTTCCTAAAGCTACGAAAAGTGGTGGCATCAATTCCCAATTTGGCTTTCTCAGAGCTGGCTCCCTAGGCTATTTTTAGAGGCTGGTTTTCACAAAGGTCAAAGGGCTATGTATCATAACAATACACTAGATGCATGGAAGTGCAAGGCTAGTGTCAAAAGCTTTGTATGAGCAAATTGCTCATTTGCCTCTCCCACTTCCTTTGAGGGCAGGGATTATATGTTATATACATGTACCAGCAAGCAGCACAGTCCCTGGCGCATAGTAAGTGCTCAGTAAATATTTGTTCATTCATTCTTTAAACAACATATTAAATTTCTGATGTGTTCTAGATGTTCTGTTTGTCCTCGTGGAACTAAGAGTCTAGTGACAAAGAGTATATACTAAACCAATAAATAAGGAAATTATATGGGATGATAGATAAGATAAATGCTACAGAGAAGGTGACCGAAAGGAGGAGAAGAATGAGGCATGAAAATATCTGGAAGAAGAGTACTCCCGGTCCTGGACATAGCAAGTACAAACTCCTAAGGGAGGAGCATCCTTGGTATGCTCAAGAAATAAAAAGGGGCTGGGCGTGGTGGCTCACGCCTGTAATCCCAGCACTTTGGGAGGCCAAGGCGGGCAGATCATGAGGTCAGGAGATTGAGACCATCCTAGTTAACACAGTGAAACACCGTCTCTACTAAAAATACAAAAATTAGCCAGGCATGGTGGCAGGCACCTGTAGTCCCAGCTACTTGGGAGGCTGAGGCAGGAGAATAGCGTGAACCCAGAAGGCAGAGTTTGCAGTGAGCCGAGATCTCGCCACTGCACTCCAGCCTGGGAGAGAGAGCTAGACTCCATCAAAATAAATAAATAAATAAATAAATAAAAAGGAGGACAGTCTGGCTGGTGTAGACGGAGTGAGTTGAGGGGAGAATAAAAGAAGGTAAAGTCAGAGGAGGTGATAGTATAAGTCACGTAGAGTCTTGTGAGCCATTTTAATAATGTTGTTTTTTTCACTCCAAAGTTAGGAGATTTCAAAGGATTTGGGATGGTGCTATAATATGACATGACTTACATTTTAATGAGATTATTCTGGCTGAGGCTTTATAGGTAAGTCTGGAAATAGGGTGATGAGATAGGAGACTATTGCAATAATCCAGTCAAGAAATAATGATGGCTAATTACAGAATTGTAATGATGGAAGTGGTGAGAAGTCAAGTCCTAGATATAGTTTGAAGGTGGAGCCAAGAGAATTAGATTCAATGGATAGAATCTGAGGTCTGGAAAAAAGAGAGGAGTCAAGACTTATTCCAAGATTTGTCCCTGAGAAACTGGAAGGGTAGAGTTACTATTCATTGTGATGAAAAATACTATGTAAAAAGAAAACTTCAGGAGGGAAATCAAGAGTATATGTGTGGACATGTTAACTGTGAGATGCCTTTGGGCTATCCAAGTGGAGATACTGAGTAGAAAATGATGATATCCTGGATGATAAAGGAATAAAGTAATTCAGAAGAGGGAGAGGGATCAACTGTGTCAAAGGCCACTGATATGTCGAAAACATAAAAGACTGAGAATTGACCAAGGGATTTAGAAAACAGAAGGACATTGGTGGTCTTCATAAGAAAAGTTCTAGTATAGCGATAGTGTAAAAACCTGATGGAGTGGGTTCAGGAAGAAATAATATAAAAGATTTGTATATCTACATATAGCTGTCAGTGCAGGTATCAACCTAGATAAATCCTAGCTCTGGCAAAAAAAAAAACCTAGAAACAAAAAATAACTCAGTAGCAATGCATTTCTCTAGCACCCAGGTCGTAGTCTTCAAATACCATTTCCCATAAAAGGTACAAGGGATCCTTAGAGAAAAACACTGATGCAAAATCTGCAGCCAAAATGTACAAGATTAACTGGAGACATTGTGTCATATCAGCTAGCAGAGAAGCTTTCTGGTTCCCAGGGTCATGCCAGAAGGACTTGTGAGAGTTTCACCAGGATGAACTAACTGGTTCCACACTAAACTTCCTGCTACAAACACCTAAAAAACAGGGTGAAATATTTGAACCTCTATTTTTAAACACTGGACAGCCTGCAATACAGGACAGGATCCTGGAGAGGAAAGAAACAAAGTTAGTGTCCCAGGCTCTCAATTCAAAAGACAGAGATTGGAGTTAGACAGATGGAAAAATCTGGAATTTGACAGGCAGAGTACTGGAAAGGAGTTAAGCCAACAGAGAGCTTCAGAAATATGGCTAGGGGTGTCTGAGTCTATGACTGAATATTAAGTCCAGATGCCTAGGTCAATTCTGAGATGTAAGGAAATGAACAAGTCCTGGAGAGTTGGCAGTGTGAACACATCTAGGAGACATTGGAGTTTTGATCAACCAGAGTGGAGAATATACTAGCCATTCAGTACAGATCCCAAAATGTCCATACTTTAGAAATAGGACAAATCTCATCCTAGAATAAATGCTACTTCTGACATACGTTAGTAGAAAACTGGTAAATAAAAGAATATCTAGCATGTTTCTGGTATTTCCTATCCGAACTGTACCAAAATGTATATGTTGAGAAATTTACACTTTCTAAAGCTCACCAGCTGGAAATGAAGGAATAAGAATACTGCTGTTTTACAAACTGTAACAAACTAAAAGATCTGGACTTTGAGCATCAATGACTCCTAATGTCACAAAGAGGAAGCCATCAGACATTATGTGCCTGCCGATGGAAGAATATATCACCATCTATGAGTATTTTTATCAAAAATCTCAAAATGTATAAACTTGAATCTGATTAATCTTCTAAATACAAGTACCAATGTATGACAAATACAGAAGAAGAAAGAAGAACGTATTAATGATACCATAAGGATACAATTGGAAATACCCAGATTCTTAGAAAATGCAGAACAAAACATCTGATTTATTTCACAGATATATTGAAGAAAAAAAAGACAAAGGGGGAGCCTATAGATGACAAGAGGCACATGAATGAATTGCAATGCATGAACCTTGCAGAATATAGTTCTTATTCAAATAGCCAAATTGATAAATATAGTCAGATACTGCATGGTGACTTTTCAGTCAATGATGGACCATATACATGGTGGTGGTCTCATAGATTATAATGGAGCTGAAACATTCTTATCACAGAGTGATGTCATAGCTGTTGTAACATAGTACAATGCATTACTCACATGTTTGTGGTGATGCTAGTGTAAGCAAACCTACTGCACTGTTAGTCGTATAATAGGGTAGCACAACCAATTATGTACAGTACCTAATACTTGATAATGATAATAAATGATGAGGGTACTGGGTTACGTATTTACTGTAGTATACTTTTTATCATTAGTTTAGTGTGTATTCTTTCTCCTTATCGAAGAAGCTAATTTGAAAACAGCCTCAGGCAAATCTTTCAGGAGGTATTCCAGAAGAAGGAATTGTTATCATAGGAAGTGACAGCTCCACGCGCGTTATTGCTCCTGAAGATCTCTCAGTGGGACAAGATGTGGAGTGATATTGATGATCCTGACCCTGTGTAGGCCTAGGCTAATGTGTGCGTTTGTGTCTTGTTTTTTTAAAAAAAAAGTTTGAAAAGTAAACAAAAATATATTAAAAATTAAAAACAGAAAAAAGCATATAGAATAAGGATATAAAAAATTTTTGAACAGCTGTACAATGTGTGTTTTAAGCTAAGTGTTATTATAAAAAAGTCAAACAGTTAAAAAAATTTAAAAGTTTAGCAAGTAAAAAAGTTACAGTAAGCTGTTAATTTACTACTGAAGAAAAGAATTAATAAAACTAATGTAAACAAAGTCACAGTATTTATAAAATCTACAGTAGTGTACAGCAATGTGCTGGACCTTCACATTCACTCTGCACTCACTTGCTGACTCACTGAGAGCAACTTCCAGTCCTGCAAGCCACAAGCTTCATTCACGGTAAGTACCCTATACAGGTGTGCCATTTTACATCTTCTATATTGTATTTTTACAGTACCTATTCTAAGTTTAGATATGTTTGAATACACAGTTACCATACCAATTATAATTGCCTACAGTATTCAGTACAGGACCACGCTGTACAGGTTTGTAGCCTAGGAGCAAGGCTCTACCATATAACCTAGGTGTGTGGTAGGCTGTACCATGTACGTTTGTGTAAGTACACTCTATGATATTCACACTGTGATGAAACCACCCAATGATGCATTTCTCAGAACATATCTCTGTTATTAAGTGACAACTGGCTGTAAATTAACAAGAGACATGTTCTGAGAAATGCATCATTAGGTGATTTCATCACAGTGTATGTATGTATATATTTCCAATTACATATAATTGGAAATTTGAACACTGACCAGATATTAGACGTCAAGAAATTATTGATACATTGCTTTAGGTTCTTTATGGTATTGTGGACTGATTTTTGAAAAGGGTTCCTTATCTCTGAGTAAAACATCTGAAATGTTTATATATGAAATGCTGTGGTGTCAGATTTTGTTTCAAAGTTACATTGTGGTGATAGGAGTGAAATTTGGTGGGGATAAAGAGGAAACAACATCATTTGGCAATAAGTTCATAATTGTAAAAGTTGGGTGATCAGTAATAGAGGTTTATTTTACTTTTCTATTTATCAGTTCTTGAATTTCTATTAGGTTCTTTTTAATGGTTTCTTTTTCCCTACTGAGGTTTTCTATGTTTTCATTAATTATGAGCATATTTTCATTTCTATCCTTGAGCTTTATTATAATAGCTGCTTCTCCCACATCTAAGTCTTCTCAGGGTTGGTCTCCATTGATTTTTTCTCTTGATAGGAGTCACATTTTCTCCTTTCTCTTTAATCCTGGACATTGTGAATAATACATCAAGAGACTGTATTCTGTAATGTTCCTCCAAAGTGTACTTGTCTTTTTTGGTTTGTTTTGCTTTGCTTTGCTTTGCTTTGCTTTGCTTTGCTTTGCTTTGCTTTGCTTTGCTTTGCTTTGGCAGATAGTTAACTTGGCTGAACAGAAACTTCAAGTAGTGAAATATCAGTTCAATTCTTTCAGCCTTAGTTGGGTTTGCTTGGTGCCCATTCCATGCATGTGTAGTTCAGCCAGAGATTTGGGCAAAGTTTTTATGCAGATTTGAGGTTCCTGTCTGTGGCTGTCTTCTTTCTGTTACATCCTGCCTCCCTTACCAATTATCCTGATCTCTGTTCTCTAATTTCTTGTGCCAGTAAAACATCCAGCCAGGTTTCTGCCTGAGCTTTAGCTACCCCATGTGGTGCCAACTTGCAGGTTAAAAGCTGTAAAAATTAGAAAACTTCCCTCGTGTCACGCTTTTCTTACATGTATCAACTCCCATTCAATCTCTGCATGACTCTTTTCACTCTTCAGAGTTTTCAGGTAGTTGTTTTTCATATTTTGTTCAGAATGTATAGCTGCCATTTGTCTGATAAGAGCTACTTGGCCATTACTGAAAGTGGAAACTATTCTGTTTACTTTTGTACATGCTTACAAATTTTCTGAAATACTAAAGTTGGCTAGTGGGTAGAGAATGGGCAGGGGGATTGGAGTCAGGGCCTATAAACAACTCCTTTAAGGACATTTTCTGAAAAAGAGGGAGAACTAGAGTTGTAGCTGGAGAGCTATGTGGGACCCAGAGGTTTTCATTTTTAACGATTGTACACATTATTGCACATTTGTAGGCTGTTGGGAATAATCTAATAACGAAGAAAGTATTGATGAAGTAACAGAGCTGCAGAGAATTGCTGAAGCAATATACGTAGGTAGACTAGAGGGGCTGAGATTTAGTGCATGAATGAAGGGGTTGGCCTTAGATCCTCTGTGTAATAATTAGGGGCAAGATGGGGTATATGACAATGACGGAGGTTAGTTTCTAGATGGGTAATGAGAGCATATAAAAGAACTCCTGACTTAGGCTCTTTTCTCAGTAAGACCGAATATTACACATTAAATGAAGAATTTTCTTCTAAATCCCCCATTTGGGGAATAGCAAAATTATCTCAGCTTCAGAAAGATAGTCCAAGTCTCAGGATAAGCAAGAAAAAACTAAAAGAGTAAAGAAGCGCAAAAATATTGAGTGACTAGGGACTGATCTTTTTCATAGATTCAACATAACAAAGAACCTGCTTATTAAAGAAACAAAATCTGTACAGACACATTTTAAAATAATTATATTTTACTCCATCCACTTGCATTTCCATTCCTCTTTTGTTTCTCTAAAGATTTTGCTGCCACTATTCTCAGGTCTGATCATAACAGCGCTGGCTACCCCAGAAGTGAGATTGTTTGTGATGCAGAACATTACAAGGCTAAGGCATAATTTGAAAAAAAATACATACTTCTAATCAACCAATGGGTACAAGACGTAATAATAAAAGAATTTAAGGTATGCTTAAATGGAAAAAATCAAAATGAAACACAAATAAAGACCCACTTATCAAAATGTAAAAGGTAGCAAAAGCAGTAAAGAGAAGTGTATGGCCTTTGATGTGTAGATCCAAAAAGAGCAACACTATGATAAATAAGCTAAGCATCCTACCAAGAAAGTAGAAAAACAAAAACAGAATATGCCCAAGAAAAGCAAAATGAAGGAAATAGTAGAGGAGCAGAAATCAATAAAATAATTTTTAAAAATACAGTGGAGAGAATACAAGACAAAAGTTGATTCTTAGAAAAGACGTTTAAGAATATCTTCTAGCGAATGTTATACCACAGTCCCTGATTAGCAAATAAGACAAGAAAAAAAATCATCAAGGAAAATAACTATTATTCACATATGATTTGATTGTCTGCATGGAAAGCCTAAAAGACTTCATGGAGAATTTATAAGAATTAATAAGAGAACTTGACAAATTTGCCAGAAGTAAAACTGACATACAGAAGTCAACTACTTTGCTATAATTATTCAAAAATACCTAGAAAATGTAACAATATAAGAGACTACTTAAAATAGTAACAAAATTGTAAGTAATCAAGTAATAAATCTAAGTAAAATGTCTAAGAATTTTAAGTAGATAAAACTTACATTTTATTTAAAGACATTAAGGAAGATCTAAATAAATGCAGAGATGCATGATGTTCTTTAATAGAGAGATTTAATATTTTCTTTTCTTTTATGTTATTTCTTTATTATTCACACAGGCTGGAGTACAGTGGCATCATCATCACTTACTATAATCTCAAACTCCTCAGCTCAAGCAGTCCTCCCACTTCAGCTTCCCAAGTAGCTGGGCTACAGGTATGCACCACCATACCTGGCTAATCTTTAAAATTTTTGTGGAGATGGGGGTCTCACTGCATTGCCCAGGCTGGTCTCAAACTCCTAGCCTCGAGTGATGCTCCCACCTCTGCCACCCAGAGTGCTGGGATCACAGATGTGAGCCACCATGCCCAGCCAGATTTAGTATTTTAATATTAATTGCTTTATGGGTTCAATGGTATTCCAAACATCCTGTTTTCATAAACATTAATTAACTGATTCTAACATTGATATGTAAAAGCAAAGGGCCAAGGATCGCTAAAACACTTTTGAAATGACTTTCTCCACTAATAAGAAATCAAAACTTATTGTAAATCTGTAGCATGAAGAAAGCATATTATCAGCAAAAGGATAGCTAAACAAAACAGAAGAACAGACTTACATATACATGGAAATTTGACACATGACAAAGCTGGATTGTTGACATGTGAGGAAAGAATAGACTAAAAAAAATGTGGAAAGAACTGTCTATCCTTATAGGAAACAAAATGATTCCTATCTTATATTATGTGCAAAAATGAAGTCCATGTGATTTAAGATCTTTCATGAAAGGGGAATTTCTTTTTTTTTTTTAATTTTTTTTTTTAGTATTTATTGATCATTCTTGGGTGTTTCTCTCAGAGAGGGATTTGGCAGGGTCATAGGACAATAGTGGAGGGAAGGTCAGCAGATAAACAAGTGAACAAGGGTCTCTGGCTTTCCTAGGCAGAGGACCCTGCGGCCTTCCGCAGTGTTTGTGTCCCTGGGTACTTGAGATTAGGGAGTGGTGATGACTCTTAACGAGCATGCTGCCTTCAAGCATCTGTTTAACAAAGCACATCTTGCACCGCCCTTAATCCATTTAACCCTGAGTGGACACAGCACATGTTTCAGAGAGCACGGGGTTGGGGGTAAGGTTATAGATTAACAGCATCCCAAGGCAGAAGAATTTTTCTTAGTACAGAACAAAATGGAGTTTCCCATGTCTACTTCTTTCTACACAGACACAGCAATAATCTGATTTCTCTATCTTTTCCCCACATTTTCCCCTTTTCTATTCGACAAAACCGCCATCGTCATCATGGCCCGTTCTCAATGAGCTGTTGGGTACACCTCCCAGATGGGGTGGCAGCCGGGCAGAGGGGCTCCTCACTTCCCAGAAGGGGCGGCCGGGCAGAGGCGCCCTGAAAGGGGAATTTCTTTTTCTTTTCTTTTTTTTTTTGTTTTTGAGACAGGGTCTCACTCCTTCACTCTATTGTCCAGGCTGGGTGCAGCACGGCAATCTTGGCTCACTGCAACTCCCATCTCCTACACTCAAGCGATCCTCCCACCTCAGCCTCCTGAGTAGCTGGGACCACAGGCATGCACCACCACACCCAGCTGATTTTCATATTTTTTTTGTTGAGATGGGGTTTGCCACGTTGCCCAGGCTAGTCTCCAACTCCCAGGGCTCAAGCAATCTGCCTGCCTTGGCCTCTCAAAGTGCTGGGATTACAGGCATGAGCCACCGCTCTCACCAAAAAGGGAACATTTTTTAAATGTTTAGAAGAAAATTTAAAGAAAATATCTCAAGATTGAGAAGGAATTCTTAATAAGATGGGAAAACCAAAAACTATAAGAGAAAAGATTGATGAATATAAATGCAAATATTAAGAATCAGAATTTACATTCATCAAAAGACACCATAAAGAAAGTGAAAAGACAAACTGTGGACCAGGAAAAGATATTTGCAACACATGCAACTGACAAATGATTAGTATCCAGAATATGTAAAGAACTCTTATAACTCAATCAGAAAAAGATGTGCAGTCTTTGAAAAATTGTCAATGAGCTGAAGAATTTCACAGGAAAGTAAACATGCCTGAGCCATAAACATATAATGACATCCAACTTCATTATTAATCAGAGACATACATATTCAAACCAAAATAAGACTCTACTTTATAGTCATTACATTGTCAAAAATTCTGACAAAAATTTTGCCAAGCATGTGGAGCATTGGCAACTCTCATAGATTGCTAGTAGAAATGTACATTGCTGCCGGGTGTGGTGGCTCACACCTGTAATCCCAGCACTTTGGGAGGCTGAGGAGGGTGGATCACAAGGTCAGGAGTTTGAGTCCAGTCTGACCAACATGGTGAAACCCCGTCTCTACTAAAAATACCAAAAACTAGCCGGGCATAGTGGCAGGCGCCTGTAGCCCCAGCTACTCAGGAGATTGAGACAGGAGAATTGCTTGAACCTGGGAGGCAGAGGTTGCAGTGAGCCGAGATCGAGCCACTGCACTCCAGCATGGGTGACAGAGCGAGACTCTGACTCAAAAAAAAAAAAAAAAATGTACATTGGTACAACCACTTTGAAAAACAAACTGATGTTGAACATGTACATACTCTATGATCTGCAATTGCCCTTAAAAAATATTTCCTAAGGAATTTTTGCACAAATGCATCAAGATGTCTGATGACTAATTTCATGTCAACTTGACTAGGCCACAGGGTGACCAGATATTTGGTTAAACGTTATTATGGATGTGTCTGTGAGGGTGTATTTGGATCAGATTAACATCTGAAATGGTAGACTGTGTAAAAAGATTGGCCTACCTAAGGAGGGTAGCGCTCATCTAATCAACACTAAATAGAACAAAAGAATGACCCTCCTTTGAGTAGAAGGGAACTCCTCCTGCTTGACTGCTTTGAGCTGAGACATAAGTCTCATAACCTTTGGACTCGAACTAAAATATTGACTTTTCTTCACTGGAACTAAACATTGGTTCTTCTGGGTCTCCAGTTTACTGGCTGTAATCTGGTGGCTTCTCAGCCTCCATAATTACATGAGCCAATTCTTTATAATAGATATATATAGCCTCTTGGTATATGTCAGATGAATATGTAGCCTATTGATTCTGTTTCTCTAGAGAATCCTCATTAATCCAGGAAGCATGGATAAAAATGTGGATAGCAACATAGTTCAAGACAGCAAAAAAACCAGAAACACCCCAAATAATATTTAATAGTAGAATGGATATACACTTTCCATAATACAATGGAATAAATATGGATATACACATTCCATAATACAATGGAATAAATATGGATATACACATTCCATAATACAATGGAATAAATAAGTACATAGCAATGAGAATATGTTAAGTATATCTATAAATATCAATATGGATGAACTTAAAAATATTGTTGAACCAAAAGAACAGCAAGTTAGAAAAATTTATGGAGTGTAATTCCCTTTGTATAGAGTATAGAATTCAAATATGGAAAAAACTAAACACCTATAAAATGCAATGTTAACGAATATACCATATACATAGAATACTATACTATGCACACGTTGAGCATCTCTCATTCAAAAATCTGGAATCCAAAATCCAAAACATGAACTGTAAGTAGAAAATTTCACACCTGATTACATGTGCAGGTGCACAAAATTATTTAGACTATTGGATAAAATTACTTTCAAGCTATGTGTATAAGATGTATAAAAACATAAATGACTTTCATGTTTAGACTTCAGTCCTATACCTAGGATATCGCATTATGTATGTGCAAATACTCAAAAATTAAAAAAAAATTCAAAACATTTCTGCTCAAGGGATTCTCAACCCTGAAATATGAATACTTTATAATAGGTATTTATATATTCTAGTTTATACATATATACAACTATGGTAGAATTAATCATGTATAAACAAATGAAAACAACTAGATTAAACTACAAAAACTAAAAAAAAAAACAAGGAAGCTATATATACAAAATTGAAAATAGTGATTATAGTCAGTCCATTTTGTGCTGCTATAGCAGAATACCTGAGACTAGGTAACTTACACAAAACAAAAATGTATTTCCCAGTGTTCTAAAGGCTGGGAAGTCCAAGATCAAGGCTCAAGCTGGTTCAATAGTCCAGTAACGGCTGCTTTCTGCTTCCAAGATGGTACCGGGTCGCTACATCCTCCAAAGAGATGAAATGCTGTGTCCTTACATGGAGAAAGGAAGAAGGGCAAGTGAACTCAAGGCTGTGTGAAGCCTCTTTTGTAAGAGCCTTAATCCCATTCATGATGGGAGAAGCCTTCATGACCTAATCACCTCTTAAAGGCCCCACCTCTTCATACCATCACATTGGCAATTAAGTTTCAATACCTGAATTTTGGAGAAGACACATTCAAATCACAGCATCTGGGCATGAAAGAAGGATGCAATTTGGAAACAACATACAACAAGCCCAAAAGTCCACATAATAGGCTGTCTCTTAAAGTGGGAGGTAGATAGATGGGTGTTCATTTTATTATTGTTGTTTAAATTTTATGTTCATACTACATATAGCCCTATATGTGTGAATATGTATAATCCTACATCTGTTTGTTATTTGTTAAAACAATTATATCACAAAACCAAAAAATTAGAGAACGAAGTGGCCTAGGAAAGTTTGTTTGGCATATTTTCTGACGTAGAACAGGCACTCAACAAATATTTATTGAATATTAAAATATGAAACCCAAAGCATCTGTTTTCTACCTCAAGCCCTGGAGACTGGTGATCATAGTTCTTCCAGGTTTCATACTACATCCCCTCTGCTGCCCATCTCCATCTCTAGAATCTCTCATCTCTGGTCACTTCCTTGTTACTATTGGCTCTTGCTCCAGAGATACAAGTATGAGTTTAGCCTCACACTCTGGAAGTCAGGAACTGGTGATCTATGACCTAAAGATAATTTTTAATTTTTTTTTTTTTTTTTTTTTGAGACAGAGTTTCACTCTGTCATCCAGGCTGGAGTGCAGTAGTACTATCTCGACTCACTGCAACTTCTGCCCCCCAGGTTCAAGTGATTCTCCTGCCTCAGACTCCCGAGTAGCTGGGATTACAGGCGCCCACAACCGCGCCTGGCTAATTTTAGTGTTTTTAGTAGAGACGGGGTTTCACCATGTTGGCCAGGTTGGTCTCGAACTCCTGACCTCAAGTGATTCACCTGCCTCGGCCTCCCAAAGTGTTGAGATTACTGGTGTGACCCACTGCGCCCAGCCATTTTTAGGTTTGACCTAATGTTATTTTAAAATCTTTGAGCATGCCTAAAACATCAAAAGATTTCATGTATAAACCCTGACTTTCAGCTTCTCTTGAAAAATAGGAAGATCAGGCACCAGTGAGCTCATGTTCCTTCTTGCCAGAAACTAGCTGGGATTGTGCAGTAGTTGCCCATCTTATGCACCTGCTCACCATGGTGCATCTCTGTGTTCTCTGACAGAACTGTGTGGGTCACCATTTATCACCTCTCTTTCATTGTTCTTTCTATTATTATTTAGAGAAACATTTATCAAGACACTCAGCAAAAAGAAAAGTAGGACAAGGTGGCTGAGTGATTTTTCTTTACTGGAGGTCATTTGCCTGAAGTGTGACTGTTACTTCCCTTGCCCAGTTTACATTCACCTTTGCTAACTCTGCTCTGTGTTCTTATCTAGCCATATCAGAGGGCTTTCTCCTTCGTCCTATGCATAAATGTTGATGATCCAGAGGGCTGTTTTCCCCTTCTTGGTATTGAAATGAACTGAAGAAATTGCCTAAAGTTGCTGAAAAAGGAAGAATTTTAATGTCTAAAAATCTTAGGTGGCCCAAGAAGGTGAGATTGTCTCGGACCATTGTATTCCTGCACCTCCAAATGAGAGAATTTGGAAATCAACACCTTAATCTGTTTTCTTTTCCTTTGCCTTGACTTTCCCCTGTTTTCCCCACCCTGTGTTCTCTTCTTGGCAGGAAACTCAAGCCTTAGAAATCTAAGTCTATTCATAAATGCACTTCTCTCAGTTACTATGGCAATGCTGAAGGAATCTGTCACGGCCAAACAGGATCACAAAAGGATCACTTTTATTTTTATTCTCAGTGTTTCCACCAACAAACAAATAAATAAAATGCTACAACTAGCCAGAGTCACATTTGGTTCTTGGAAAACAGCTCCCAAGGACTGACTCCTTACCTTCATTTCTTAATTTTTTTCCTCCTATTTTTTACTGAGTTTTATTTGTTTTTACATTTCATTAGAAAGGACCACAGTAAGTAGTATTGTCTGCAGCCAGAAGGTTTTTCTTTACCTTTTGCTGTTATAAATGTGGCATAAGAGTTGCAATTATTTTTAAAAGAAGCAGTATAGCTTCCCAAGATTATGCTGTTAGAATTCATTTAATAAAAATATAGAGGTTTCAAATGCTGTCATCTCCATCAGCTATGGATAGCTACCCCCAGAAAGCTGCTGTTTTGTCTATAGCCCTTGTCTTTGTATTTCATCATTGACAGTTGGGAATGAAATAATTCAAATGTCCTTATTTAAAGAAAGCCAAACAAGACAAACTTCCCGCCCTATCCTTAGGGCAGGGATGACAAGTTAAGTTGACATCAAGATTAACAGATGAGCATTCAGCCACTTTGCCAGTCATTGCTACTGCATGGACTCCGTGCAGCAACAGAACATTTGCTCTGAACAACCTACAGTCTGTCAAATTCCATAGCAGTTTCCAAGGCAATGATATGTTCTTGGTCTTTTCTTTATGTATTGCACAATGCTTTAGAAATTGCACAACAAAGAAGAGGGAAGCCCTTTGAACCCAGTGGGGGAAGATCCCCTGATTACCAGAAAGAGGTGACTTCGCAGATGGATTCAAATTCTTTCTGCTTCTTACAAGAGGGCACCAGCTCTACACCCTCTAGATGAGGGGGTGACACTTAAATCTCTAACCTCAGTGCACATTTCCAGAGAAGAAATTTTATTCGAAATTTCACTGGCAATTGGATTGCATTGACTGCCCTATGTTTATGGGTGAAGAAGGAGGTAAAGATTTAACATAAGAAGCAAACATGGGTATCTTTGATTGGATATGGGACCCCCGCTGGTCATGCTAATGACCAGCAACTTCACACACAAACACGGGGACCACATAGCAAAATGAAGAATAAAGGCATAGGGTGAGATATACTTAGGTGTGAATCCTCATCCTGCTACTTATCACCCATCACCTTGGTCATGTTACTGAATTTCCATAAACTTCAGTGTTTTTCTCTGAAAAAAGAGGGTAACAGTAGTACCTATAGTGTAGGATGATTGTTGGAATTAAGTTGGAAATTGCATATAAAGCACTTAGCACAGTGCATTGTCAACAATTGGCAGTTCTAAATAAATATTAACAACTATTATTACTATTTTTGCTATTATATGCTCAACAGGAAAATGCATACTCCTGTCTTCTATGTTCCCTGTTTGTGTGTGTGCATGTGTATGTGTGTATATATATGTTTGTATGTTATTTATTTACTTATAATTTAGCAACTCACAGTGTGCCCTAGAATATTCTGAAAAAAAAAAAAAAAGTTAAGCAATTCTTCCCTTCACCCTAAGTGGTATTTAAAGATGCTTAATATAATTTAGAAACAGCCCCTTACCGCCTCACATACTCAGGCTATACTAGGTAGAAGGTGGTATACTCATTTTTTTAGACCAAAAATGACACTAACACTGAATCCACCTAAATAAATCTAAAAATATGAATGAAAATATTTCTGACATAAGATTTGTCAGCATAAATACTGATATCCAATGCTATCCCCAAATCAGAAGCCGTATAACAAATCCATTCATTATTGGGGGAATAGTTGTGATCTGATTTGATACATTTTTAAAATAGCACCCTAAAGAAAATATCAAGAGGCTAATATAACATGCATTCATTTATCTTTTGTTTTATTCATTCTGCAGATATTTATTGATTTTATTTCATGTCAGGTGTTTTGAGACACAGGATCAGTGATAGATACATAAGCAAGTTTCCATTCCTTCTTACAGAAGTTCAGGGGAGGTATGTATATGTATACTGGGCCAGGTAGAAAGTGACAAGTGCTCTAAGAGAAGCACACAATAAGTGCTGTAAGAGTCAGTATATGGAAATGTTAATATGAGTTTAATTATGCCTTAAGATTAAGGTAGTTTCGTACGTGAGAAGTAAATTTGAATCTGCAACTTTTACTGCTACCAGCTGCCTTGTAATCAACGATTGGGTATATCATAATTTAAGCACAGAGGAATTATCAAGATATTAGGTAGGTCAAAAGCAACTTGTGCATTTTTAACATACTCTAAAAAGAAAGTGAACATAAAAGCACTAAAATACATAAAATGATGGAAACAACTTAGTCCTGATCTTAATGACTGACTTCTGCTTAGTAGATCTGTGCAGTTGAGAGGAACTCAATTTATTTTCTTCAAAAATTTAACCTTGAATTTTCTTCTCCTGTTAAAGAAAAAAATCAGCGGAAAGTTGACATTTATGTGAATTCTGAATAAAAATGTGAAACAAACTGAGTCAGTAGCACTCCAGTCCGCCATCTGGGATTTCACACTACGCAGTGAATTCCAGAAATTAGATTAATATGGAAGAACTCAGAAAGGGGAATTTCCTTTCGGAGGTAATTACAAGGCTCACCTATTAACAGTGGAAAATCTGCGGCCACTAATTGCTCTCCTCAAGTCACATAGAAGACCTCAAATGAAATACAAGCCCAGAATGTGTTTTCAAAATGAGAGTTCTATTCCAATTATCAATGGGCATAACTATTAACATTATTTGGAAATATCAAAGTATAAGGAGATTTTTATTGTGAGAATTTAAAAATTGCTACAAAAGCATAGGTCAAAATACTAATCTGCTCTTCCTCAAAACATTTTGAAGTTAGGGTTTTGCTTCAGTATTTTCACTTGCTCCAGCCAGCTTTCTTTATCCCCCAAATGGCTTCCTCCGAACTGTGTAAAATTTAAGTTCAGAAAATTTGGCTTTGGTTTAAGATTTGCACACTGTGGAGAACCAGCACTGCTCTCAGACTGAGAGGATTCCAAACAGCTTCTCTGGACAGCAGGTGCTGTGGCTGAATAGTGAGTCCCCTTTGTGGAGCTGGGACCAGTCACACACTAATGGCCCGGCTGACGGTCTTCAAGACCAGGCCACCCCCAGGATCTGCCTCTCCCCTCACTCCCACTGCCAGCTCCCTGAGATGAAGTATATTAGAACACCTACAGTAGTTTCAGAGACAGAGCTCCCTCTTAAAATAAATAATGTGCACAGTCTTTGACAAGAAACAAAGAATGCAATTATTTCCTTAGAAAATGTAGAAGTAAACAATGTGATGTATGGGAGAATATTTTCATTCCTTCTGAAACTTTGGAAATTATAGTCAAACAATTTAGAATGTATGTGTTAATAAAAGATCTTTTGTCTAATTTATGTACATCACTTTACCACAGATCTATGGAATTTAGGTTACATTTGTATAATTCCATAAGGGGTTTTTGATTGCTTAAGCGCCACCTGTTCTTTATAAATGCTGTGACTGACATCAAGTTTTCCTCCATATGGTGATGACATTTTTGATTACTATTTGTCTTCTTACATTTTAATAGTGAATTGAGTTAAAATAATTTAAAGTCTGTTTCCCAATAGCTTCATATAACTGAACAGTACTGTTTATGAGTTTTATCTTTCTGTATTTTGAGTCGACATAATTTTTTAAAAGAGCTTAAACTAGCTACAGAATACAGCTTTATAGGCTTAAATGAGTAATTTTTCAGTTGTGAGCTAAAATCAAGAGTAGAATCAATACGGGCATCTCTGTAATTGAAAACCAGTGGGTGATAATTCTGTACTGAAAACAAGATAATAAGAAGAAAGATGAGCTATTCGTGGGAAAAAGATAAGATTAAAGTTGTGATCACAATTAAATATCAACTATTATTAACATTGTAATAAAACTTCCACTTATAATTTATCCTTTATTTTCTTCTTTTGAGGTATAATTATGAAGATATGCAAAATAATTTAAGCAAATCATGGTAGAATCAATTTAATTTATTATTTCTGCTAATTTAGTATTTACAGCACTGTTAATATGCAAATATTTTGGGGAGTAGAAATAGTTCAGTTTTTTTGGTATGTAAAGATTTATTTCTCCATATTTCTGATATATTATTTTTCACTTGATATGCATGTGTTTTGGAGATAACAAAAGGGGACAAAGCAAAGCATGTGACATTGAGATGCACAATGAAAGAAAAGTGAATTTCTCTCACCTTCATGCCTTACAGTGACTTCTTTACAGTCAGTTAAAGGCCTACATGTTTTTGTATTTTAAAGTGAAAAAAAAATAAGAAAATAAATGGTCACTTTCCTGTTTATGATGACTTTCTATATTTTTCTATTTATTTACATTATATAAGTTTCCCAATTAATTTCTAGCCATTTATTTGATTCTGATATACTCTTTGAAGCTGTTTTCCATCTCCCTCTTATTTTGAGGGAACTCATTAACTTTTCCTGTTTCTTCTGTTTCCTATTTATTCTTCCAAACTTCAAATTTTTTTATTATTCAAGCCCATGAACTTCTGATAAACTCATATTATCTGTAAGCAAATAGCCTACAAATATCTTAAGCTGGTATAACAAGGACAAAATGCCTTGCTTTATTCCACTATTAATAACTGAACAGAAAAATAAAAATTAGGAAACATAAATTCTGATTGAACCTTATATACATTAATTTAAATATAATGAAGAATAAGAAATTTGCCCTGCCTTAATATGAATAAACATTGATAATTTATGCAAATGAATATTTAAAATCAGCCAACCGTACAATATTTTTCAAAGTTATTTAGTAGTCCCTTAGAAAAGGGACTCTTGGTTATCTATAAAACATAAATGCATTAGATTATGTACAAATTCTAGTCTAGTTTTCAAAATTCTGATCTTTCAGAACGGAAGAACTTTACCTTCTTGCTATAGAATCTTTCAGAGTGGCCATCTGGCAAAAATTCTATTTCACAAATATTGGTCAGGTAAGTTTGGCTTTGCCATATATAAAGTCTAGCTTGGGGTGGTCAAGAAGAAGACAGCTGAATGCAAACAAATTGGCTACTTTGAAAACAACGATTACTACCACCAATTTAAGTTCTATCAGAGTCTTGGTTCTGGCCAGTATTTTATTTATTTATTTTGCCTTAAACATATATTTTTTAAATTATACTTTAGGTTCTGGGATACATGTGCAGAATGTGCAGGTTTGTTACATAGGTATCCATGTGCCATGGTGGTTTGCTGCACTCATCAACCCATCATCTACATTCGGTATTTCTCCTAAAGCTATCCCTCCCCTAGCCCGCCAGCCCTCAACAGGCCCTGGTGTGTGATGTTGCCCTCCCTGTGTCCATGTGTTCTCATTGTTCAACTCCCACTTGTAAGTGAGAACATGCCATGTTTGGTTTTCTGTTCCTGTGTTAGTTTGCTGAGAATGATAGTTTCCAGCTTCATCCATGTCCCTACAAAGGACATGAACTCATCCTTTTTTATGGCTGCATAGTATCCCATGGTGTATATGTGCCACATTTTCTCTGTCCAGTCTATCATTGATGGGCATTTGGGTTAGTTCCAAGTCTTTGCTATTGTGTGTAGTGCTGCAATAAATGTATGTGTGCATGTGTCTTTATAGTAGAATGATTTATAATCCTTTGGGTATATACCCAGGAATGGGATTGATGGGTCAAATGGTATTTCTGGTTCTAGATTCTTGAGGAATTGCCACACTGTCTTCCACAATGGTTGAACTAATTTACACTCCCACCAACAGTGTAAAAGCATTCCTATTTCTCCACATCTTCTGCAGCATCTGTTGTTTCCTGACTTTTTAATGATCACCATTCTAACTGGCATGAGATAGTATCTCATTGTGGTTTTGATTTCCATTTCTCTAACGACCAGTGATGATGAGCTTTTTTTCATGTTTGTTGGCTGCATAAATGTCTTCTCTCGAGAAATGTCTGTTCATATCCTTTGCCCACTTTTTGATGGGGTTGTTTGCTTTTTTCTTGTAAATTTGTTTAAGTTCCATGTAGATTCTGGATATTAGCCCTTTGTCAGATGGATAGATTGCAAAATTTTTCTGCCATTCTGTAGGTTGCCTGTTCACTCTGATGATAGTTTCTTTTGCTGTGCAGAAGCTCTTTAGTTTAATTAGGTCCCATTTGTCAATTTTGGCTTCTGTTGCCATTGCTTTTGGTGTTTTAGTCATGAAGTCTTTGCCCATGCCTATGTCCTGAATGGTATTGTCTGGATTTTCTTCTAGGTTTTTTATGGTTTTAAGTCTTACGTTTAAGTCTTTAATCCATCTTGAGTTAATTTTTGTATAAGGTGTAAGGAAGGGGTCCACTTTCAGTTTTCTGCATATGGTTAGCCAGTTTTCCCAACACCATTTATTAAATAGGGAATCCTTTCTCCATCGCTTGTTTTTGTCAGGTTGGTTAAAGATCAGGTGGTTGTAGATGTGTGGCGTTATTTCTGAGGCCTCTGTTCTGTTCCATTGGTCTCTATATCTGTTTTAGCACCAGTACCATGCTGTTTTGGTTCCCGTAGCCTTGTAGTATAGTTTGAAATCAGGTAGCATGATGCCTCCAGCTTTGTTCTTTTTGCTAAGGATTGTCTTGGCTATACGGGCTCTCTTTTGGTTCCATATGAAATTTAAATAATTTCTCTAATTCTGTGAAGAAAGTCAATGGTAGCTTGATGGGGATAGCATTGAATCTATAAATTACCTTGGGCAGTATGGCCATTATCACAATATTGATTCTTCCTATCCATGAACATGGAATGTTTTTCCATTTGTTTGTGTCCTTTCTTATTTCCTTGAGCAGTGGTTTGCAGTTCTCCTTGAAGAGGTCCTTAACATCCCTTGTCAGTTGTATTCCTAGATATTTTATTCTCTTTATAGCAATTGTGAATGGGAGTTCACTCATGATTTGGCTCTCTGTTTGTCTGTTATTGGTGTATAGGAATGCTTGTGATTTTTGCACATTGATTTTGTATCCTGAGACTTTGCGGAAGTTGTTCATCAGCTTAAGAAGATTTTGTGCCAAGACGCTGGGGTTTTCTAAATATACAATCATGTCATCTGCAAATAGAGACAATTTGACTTCCTCTCTTCCTATTTGAATATGCTTTATTTCTTTCTCCTGCCTGAGTGCCCTGGAGTTCTGGCCAGTATTCTGCACAAATACAACACTTCAAACATATAGTAAAGCCTAAAATTAAGTTGCGTATAAAAGGAGAAAGTTATGTTTCTATAAAGAAATGGAAAGACACGTCCCCAAGTGACAAAAACAGTAACTCTTAAACCAATATCGAATATGGTACTTAGTAGTGAGAAAGAAGAGTTGCTCCCTTTAAAAATTTTAGAATGGCAGGAGAGTCATTCCTTATTATGGGATATTGCACATTTCAGTTGTTTGCATATTGTCCTCACAATTTTTACTCCATTCACATATTACCAACAAATTAATTACTTCAAATCTTTGTTTAAAACAGTTTCTATATATTACATAAATAACTTTACATAAGAAGAAGCAGCATAACTAGAAAACCAGCACTTTTTGTCTTTAATAGGATATAATTATATAAATTAAAATAAAATTTTTATATTAAAAATTTTTAGAACCTTAATCATGTTAAAATTATATAAAAGTTATAAAATTTTTCAAATAAAACATTGTCATTAAATTTTGTCTATCTACGAGCCTATCAAAATTTCTAAACCAAAGTCTCGTTCTTTTTCGTTAAAAGGATATTAGAGACAAGCAGGAACCAGACAGACTTTTTGCTGACATAATTAGAAATATGAAAGAGAACTGAAAGGGATATAACATTCACACTGCTTGATTCCACATCTTTTATTTCTGGGTCTAAAATAGCCTCAGTATCTTCAGAACTATGTAGTCCACATTTTTTAAAACATTGACTCAACAGACAATAAAACAAATTGCAAAGATTTTAAAAATAAAAATATGTCAAAGATATATACACGGATCACTGAAACAGTACCTGACATATAGTAAGCATCCAATAGACGTTT
The DNA here is from genome assembly GCF_000001405.40 of Homo sapiens. Classification (NCBI taxonomy): domain Eukaryota; kingdom Metazoa; phylum Chordata; class Mammalia; order Primates; family Hominidae; genus Homo; species Homo sapiens. The sequence goes on from NC_000012.12 coordinate 24,686,767, forward strand.
ACTGAATGAATTAACTCACGATTTAACTAAATATATAGTGAAGAATACTGGCTGTCCCAGTTTTTTTGTATACATAAAATAACTCTGATTAGTCAATAAATGGTTCTGGGAAGTTGGTGAACAATTCAGGAAGAACAATCCAGTTTTTCCTTTGGAAAAAAATCCTTCCTTATACAAATCAAAATTTCTGCTGGGTTTGCTAGACTTATATGGTGTAGCTCTAAGGATGGAGCCAATACTAAGGAAAGCAAATTCTAGAGACAGAGAAAGATTCTTCTGAACACTTAAATTCAGCTCTGCCTATAATAATTTCCTGGGCTTTACAATTATTTATGTCAACAATATTCCCCCTAAACTTGTACGAAATGCTTTGTAGATCAGGCTGAAGAAATAAGATTTAATAGAATGGTAAATAGGGAAGCACTGAATATACTGCAGACAAACATCCTGTGATCTAGAACTATGTACCTGCAGGTACCAAAGCCCCTTGCTTTGATGTCTGCAGCTTCTAAAGTCCCTTCCAGACTTCTCTACCTAATTTTCTCCTTTCTTCATCCTCCATCAAACACCTGATTACCCTTCAACACTTACTTCAAATGTTACCTGTTGTCATGAAATCTTTTCTGACAGGAAATTAAGTCATTTTGTTCTTTCTGCCTCCATTGCACTTTGTATAGAACTCATTAATAAGTTTCCCCTATTTTACCAAAATTACTTGTATGTTTACATGTATGTTTCATCTCTTTGAGTTGAATTCATATTTGAATTGCCAGCTTCTAGTATACTGTCTAACACAAAGCAAGAGACTATTAAATGTTTGATAAATGAATGAGTGAATTAACGAATAAAGATAACACTAATAATGGTTTGAAAAAATCAGCTGATCTGCTAGAAATTTACTGCTCAAGTGTTACCCATTTCTTGCACTCTAAATGACATGGCATGTTTTACATATCTGAGAAAACTGCATGGCCTTTTTATTTCTTGCTTTTGCATGAATTTCATGGTCTGTTCTCAGGTAAATTCTTGAGAAGGTGAATTTTGTTTCAATAACTCTGAAAGCAAAGCCCAATGCATTTGCCTCTGAATGTTGATGGCAGATCCCATTGTCTCTTTTGCTCTTTCCAACAAAATCTAGGAGAAAATGAGCTTGGAGTTCTGTTCACGCCTCAATCTTCCTAATAGTAACAAGTCTTTCCGCCAACACAAGTGTTTCTTTTCTTTTTAACAATGGCATATGGTTCATATGTTTACAGCAAATTTCCACAAAATACTTTTTCTTTTTAGAGAAAGAGAGGTTGGGTTACGAACTCTTAATCTACACCTCACTTCCTACACACAAAAACAGAGTCCTTGGGTCTGTACAAGCTGTGGACATATTTGCAATGAAAGCACAGCAAAGGCGAATGGAAATTTATTTCAATGAGTTTACTGTAAGCACACTGTTTTTTTTTTAATTGGTAGGTTTTTAAATTGGTATTGGTAGGTTTTAAATACCTAATTATCTTCATATAAATGGCACCCTATCATCCTAAAAGTGTTGTACTCGGTGCCCTGTGCTGTTTATTATTTTGCATTACAATTATCATGCAAAGCAGAGAAGGTGACTTTAAGCAGCTCATTTAAAGTGCTTTTTTTTCTTAAGTGTAAAATCTTTGGGAGGCTATTTACATAGATGTTTATCATTGGGTGTTAAAAATCAGTCCAATTATAAGTACACAAAAGTTTTTATTATGGGTTTAATTTTGAAATGTAAATGACCATTGTAAAGTGCCTGTTGAAATTTTAATTTGTGCTTGTATTTTTGTCTGTGGATTAACAAGCCATCCTGTATTGAAATTAATTATAGAGATACACAGAATGTTCAAAGATAACAGAACCTGTGTGGCAAAATTGCCTAAAGGTATGCAATGCAATCCCCTCTGTGGAATTGGACATTAGCGATGTTGTATAGCGATGTTGTAAGAAAGTGCTCGTCTGCCACCCAAACCACTAACAACACTGTGCAGATGATAGGATTCCACTTCATGTTGCATTCTGTTGCCATGGCTATGATGGCCTTAATATTGTATGCTCACAGCAAGGTTGCAATTAGTATTTGGATTTAGAAGAGAAACATAATGATCTCATATTGAAGAAACACTTGTTTAATACTATTTTGGATCTAGGCATCCTTTCAAGTTGCTAACGAGCGGCTCCGTTGGTCAGAAAAAAAAATCACTCAGCCATTTTGTACCTGCATCCTCAGTTTCTTTCAAACAAACTTCAATGGGATAGAGAGCTGATGATGTTTCCGGTATGTCTACATGCCCCCTCTACCAGGCATCAAAAGCCACATTTCTTGTGTACTTTTAAAGTTATAATAGACTTTCATATGATTTCTTATGTAGTGAGCACTGATGAAGCTCCACTGCCTTAATAATAAGATTGAAATATATAGTAGATACCCCTGAAAATGCAGTCAGGGTATGAGTTGTAAGAGTTTTATGATTTGATATATGCATGGTCAGCCTCATGAAATACAGTTTTGGATCACCAGACATGAGAAGGGCTTATCATTTATTAAAAAGGAGGCTTAATTTCTCCATAGTGTTCAGTAATCATCTATTGTGAGCCTTTAACTCTTTCATCCACTTATAAAGCATTCAGTTTGGTATTATCCACCTGGAAGTGGCAATGGGTGAGAGGAGCAGGACATGGCTGGGTCCAGGGAGTGGGAGGTGGGAAAAGCCTGCCTAGGATAATAAATGAGGACAAGGAGTTGGGAAAAGGCAGGATGGCTGTCCTATGTTCTCCGACTCTGAAATGTAGACAGATCGTCAGAGCCAAGATCCCTGCAAGACTCCAGTCATGCAGTGTGGAGAGAAGGTCCTAAGCTGAAGCTGAAGCTGAGAGCTCCAGGAGGGGAGAAAGCACTGGATAAACGGGCCAAAGTGTCTTTGACAGCAGCTCAAACAGTGGAAGAAGCAACATTGTGGATATCAGTTTTGTTTTATTATAAAAGTGAGGGTTTTTTTTTTTAAGATACATTAACCTATGGTATGTGGGTTGGCAATTGCAAATATAAAAGACACAATAGCTGCCTCCTTTTGCATGCAAGAACCTCAAGTCATACTTTCAGCTTTATCATATTATAAACAATGAAATATGATCCTCTAACCTATTTATTTTCATGGAATCGTGTTATTGGAAACTGGGACCATTATTATATTAAACTTGCAAATAAGCTCTGGGGAGCTACAGAAAGCTCACAGAGTCTCCTGAACTCAATATTTTTTGGGGTCTGAAGATGAGCTCTAGAGAGAGATGAGAAACTGTCCTTCTGGGAGAATCAGGAGATACCCTGGGATCCAGGCCATATTAGTTTGGACAGTATCAAGAAGGTGTTATGTAAAACCACCAAACTGCAGAGGGAGGCTGGAAAGAAACTAAAAGACACCAAACAGATCAAACTGAAGGAAAGAGGTGGAGCTATAGATAAAAGCTAGAATTAGTGTTGTGGTACAAAATAGGAGAAGGAAAAGAAAAGGATGTTGATAATAATAATAACTACTATTTACTGAGTTATTTTGTACCAACCATGTATGACTTACCATATGTCATCTCATTTAACATCTCATTTGTGAGCAAGATATAATCTTCCCCAGATTGGAAGGAAGACTTTCGTGTTTCCATCTTCAGCTCTGTCTCCAATTCGTTATAGCAGTCCTTTCAAAGAATCTCCACTCTCCTCAAACTTCCAACCTCAACCTCAATCTCAACAGATGCTCTCACCTCCTACTCCAAAAGGAAAATAGCCAGGAGATAAGAACTCCCTTAACTGACTGTGACCAAACTTGGAAATGTAATTGTAGCCACAGCCATCCTCTCTGCTTCCCTCCAGGTGCAATGGGAGAGGTATTGTCCTTAAAGTGTAAAGTTAATCTCCCCACCTATACATTGAATTCCATTCTGGCTTGTTCCTTGGAGCAAGTCCTTCTTTCCATTTCTCCAGGTCTTCTCCCTTTCTCCTTAAAACTATCAGTAAAACCAAAGAAACTTTCCTTGAGCCCTGTGTCTCTTTGCAGCTTTTCTCCTTTCTCTCCTTCCTTTCAAAGCCTAGTTTCTTGAAAGAGCTACTTATATTTGTTCTCTTCACTTCTTCACTTTTCTTCTACTCATCAACTTACCACAGTATAATTTTTCCTGCTGTGGTCCATTGACACCACTTGCTCCAACGGGAATCTCTTGGTTATTAAATTCAATAGAAAGGTTTTGGTTACTAAATACTGCTTGTTCTCACTTGTAAGCAGAAGCTAAGCACTGGGTACACGTGGACATAAGGATAGAAACAATAGACCCTGGGAACTACTTGGGGGGAGAAAGGGGAGGGCAGAAAAACTACCTATTGGGTACAATGCTTACTACCTAGGTGACAGGATCATTTGTGCCCCAAACCTCAGCATCATGCAATACACCCGTGTAACAAACCGGCATGTGTACCTCTTTGTATCAGTCCATTTTGTATTGCTGTCAGGGAATACCCGAGGCTAGGTAATTTACGACAAGAGGTTTATTTGGCTTATGGTCCTATGGGCTGTACAGGAAGCATGATATTGGCATCTGCTTCTGGTGAGGGCTTCAGGAAGCTTACAATCACGGTCGAAAGTGAAGGGGGTGCCAGCATATCACATGGCAAAAGAGAGAGCAAGGAAGAGGGGGAAGTGCCACACACTTTTAAACAACCAGATCTCACATGAGCTCATTACCATTCATTACTGTGGGGAGGGCACAAAGCCATTCATAAGGGATCTGCTGCCATGGCCCCATACCTCTCACCAGGCCCTACCTTGAACATTGGAGATTACATCTCAACATGACATATGGAGGAGACAAAACATTCAAACCATATCTATAATAAAAATTGACATTATAAAAAATAAAATAAAATTCAGTTAAAGATTACTAAAGAAAATTATGTGTAAGGAAAAAATTAAATTAAATTAAAAATTTAAAAAATTTTGAATGAAAACAAAAAGGTTTCGGTTCCTAATGTATGTAACTCTTAACAATACTACATTTTTTTTTACACTGCTTTTTTTTTTTTAATTGAGATAGAGTTTCACTCTGTTGCCCATGCTGGAGTACAGTGGCACAATCTTGGCTCACTGCAACCTCCGCCTCCTGGGTTCAAGCGATTCTCCTGCCTCAGCCTCCTGAGTAGCTGGGACTACTGGGGCCTGCCACCACACCCAGCTAATTTTTTATATTTTTAGTAGAGACGGGGTTTCATCGTGTTAGCCAGGATGGTCTTGATCTCCTGACCTTGTGATCCACCTGCCTCGGCCTCTGAAGTGCTGGGATTACTGGCGTGAGCCACCGCACCCAGACAACAACACTATTAAAAATAATGTCGCCTCTAGGCTTTGTGAGACTACTCTTTCCTGGTATACCTATTTCCTGATACTCCTCAGTTTCCTTCAGCAACTCTTTTTTCGGGCAGGCTTCTGAAGACTGATGCTCCTCTTGGGTCTATCCTTGAGCCTGTTCTCTCCATACATTCCCTGTGCTCTCTCAATTCCTCAGGTCGCTGTGAAACACTCACTTCTATGTTGACTCCCAAGTTTGTGACTGCATACTAAATCTCCCACCCGATCAGGTCAAAGCCTCCACTCTCTCACCTGAATGTCTGAAGCAACTTCCTTACTTCTGTCTTTACTCCAAGTCTTGACCCCAACATCTTGCACTAAAAGCGGAGTGATCATGTAAAATGCAAATCTTACCATGTTACCTAGATCTTTTAATGACTTTCCATTGTCCTAATGATAAAGCCAAACTTTCTAATATGTCTTAAAAATCCTTCGTGGTCATGTCCCCATAAAACTTTCTGGCCTTATTTCTTCCCTCTTTCCCTCTTTTGTGCAATATGGTAGCTTAATCGCTTATATTAAGCACTTATTAATTTCTTTTCTGGTGCTTCCAGAGAAAAAATTTCTCCAATGTACTCATTAATGTTTCATGAGGTCTAAATGTTGCTAAAAGACAAAGTATCTCACTTCCATATTCCTGCTTTAGAGCTTTAGATGTGAGCTGGGATGTCTTTTTGTGTCTTGGGGGTAATTTTTCCAAGCACCTAATCCAGACTGAACATATGGGATGGGTGGTTTATGAAGTAGATTTTCTGGTTGAGATCGGGCCTCTTTCTTTGAGTTCAGGTCCTGCCATGAGAAAATGTTGGGATATAAACTCCAGTCCCCTGGAAGAATATCTCAGAAAGATTTGGACAGTGAGCTCGGGGATGAGAAAGAACCTGTAGGACATTGGGCCCGTGTTTCACTTTGGGGCAGAGCAGAGATATTATTAGATTGCATGGTAATAAACGCAAGAAGACAATTTCCTTTTTCCATTAGCTCAACTAGACCTAAACTTGCAGCCAGAGTGACACTTACATGCAGTTGTCTAAAAGATATATTCTTTTAAAGACTGTCACATTGCCTCCAGTGGGCTCAGCTGGGTCTTGTGACTGACCGAGAGTAAAAAAGGCAATATCATTTCTAAAGGATTGCTGCTGAGGCTTTGCTGAGAATCATGACCAGGAAACGGGGCATCAAGGAACCACTGTTAACAGTAACCACTGCCCTCTGCACCTGCCTCAAGCTGCCTCCAGGAACCACTGCTGGGCAACCTAATAGAGATCCAAGCTGGGATTAAGCATATCGAGGGTTGGGTGGAGTTTGAACATCTTGCCAAGTAATATTTATTTTTTTCTGGGTCAGCTCTCCATTTCTCTTGTAGGAATAAAGGTATAAATTCTTATTGTTTACTTACCATCTGGTGAGAAGTGTAGAGATTGTAGGTGTTTTATTATTCTTCTCATTTATCAGAGAGAATAACATGAACTTGATGGAATTACTAGTGGTAGTTTCAGACAAGAGGGCTCACATTAACTTAGTCCTTAAAATATTATTTGGCAGGGCATACACTGAGAGGAGAAGGCTGCACTAGGAAACTGGATTACTTCTGATTTATACAACACATCAACATGTTTTGAACACAGTAGGTGAAATAAAGGTACATACCAGTCAGGGTGTAATGGTGAAAAACAACATGTAAACCATGATAGGTTAAGTCAGCGGAGGGATTACTTCTCACAAATGCTGCATACCCAACTTAAGTTGGCAGGGAGGCTCAAGGTTGCAGCCAATGAACAGCTAAAACTTAAAACATAGGTTCTAGGAGGTCTTACATCAGCATTGAAACACTTTAGTACAGAAATAACGTGTCCATTTTGCTCACCACTCATTGGCCAGCCCCCTGATATCCTTACCATCTAAACTCAAACAAGGCTAAGAAGTGACATCCTACCATGTGACCTGAAGACAGAGAGTTCAAAACAATTGGCAGACAGCACTAATGATGACCACAGTAAATATGTGTTGAATAACAGATAATTTTGCATCATGAACATTTCTATTATGACCTATAACACATATATGCTGAATGTTCTAAAATAATATTTTTCTGTCTTGAAAATTTGTAAACTCCCAAGAATATATGGAATCCCAGATTGAGAAACTAAAAGTTAAACATGGTCATGTCAGGTGATCACCTAAAGCAACTTTAAGTGCAAGTACAAATATGGTCACTGAAATTGCTTAGTAGATATTCCAAAATAAGCTAATTTTAATATTTAGAAATTTTTCATCAAAATGAAAATGCAAAATATAAACTTTGTATACAGAATTGAAGATTCCTGGGTATATTCCCAAGAACTCCCATTTGGTTATAGATCCCTATTTGAAAAATAGTTCTCAGTTAAAGAAAAATAACTAATGTTTACATATTAAGTGCTTGCCATGAACCAGACATTGTTCCAAGTGCTCTGCGTGAAATAACTGCTTTGATCTGCATGAGAACTATGTTACATAGATATTTGTTATTCATATTTACTTGTGGGGGAACTGAGGCACAGAGAGGGTAAGTCATACTGCTAGTAACCAGTTTTACTTCAATTTGAACTCGGGACATCTGGGTGCAGGGCACTCATTATTCTTAACCTTTGCACTACACTGCCTCTTTACATCTCAAGAAGTTTTTAAATTTTGTAAATCATATGCTTAATAAAATATTCCTATAAAACAATTTTATAGGCATAAACCATTCTAAATATATAGACAGCCTAGAGATTTTCTTACATTTGTTCCTTTATTTATTCAATAGATATATGTTTCCTAATATACGCAATGGTGATATTGACACAGAAGAGGGTGTAAGATACTGCTCATCTTTCCATCTACAGGCAAAATGAGATAGGTACACAATGATCCAGAAAACAAAATAGAGAGAGATTATAATATACATGCAAATATTTAGCTTATTTATTTATTTCTGGTTTATTAGGACCCTTCCCCTCCAGAGTGTAAGCCTCATGTGATGAGATGCTATGTCTACCTGGCCCGCCATTATTTCCTCCATGCCCAAGGGCCTAGGAAATTGTTGGTGTTCCGTAAGTATTCGTTGGAGTAAAGGAATGAATGATTAGCAACTTCACTCCTGGCTAGATGCCAAGCACAGTAGTGAGTGCTGTATGTGTTTTTTCTCATTTAATTTTCAAAACACGTTTTACAAATAGGAAACTTTAAAGTTCAATCAATTAGAAATGACAAAGCCAGAATTTGAACCCAAGTCTTTACAATTTTGCAATTAATACTTCTTCTGACTCAAAAACACTGTCTCTCAATGTAGCCTAAACAAATACAAAGTTCAATGAGAAATTGTTTTCTTCCAAGTTCATGCATGACAATGAACAAATCACATATACAAAGAAACATTTCCAATGACTCCCACCATTTTTGTCTAAAGCAAGGACAAGAGGATATATTGCAAAGCCAGATGACTAGATATTTACCAGTCAGAAATGTCTGAAAAAAAATACAGCTTGATTAGTGAATTGCAGTATGTTCAGTAATTAATTAAGAGTTTGATTTGTAAAAACAAAGCATGATGGCTCCCACACACACCATGTGTCCCCTGAGCAAATGAAGATAGAGCTTAATGCTGAGGCTCCCAGTTCAGCTAAGCAGTCACAGATGTGACTCAAATTAGAAGAATGAACTCTGAATAACAATAACGCCATCCAAATTACCAAGGAGTATGTAAAATTTCTCCCAGAAAAGCTGGAGACTGAGTCTAGGTCCAGGTTTGTGAGCTTTATATTCTGCTAAAGCTGATTTTTGGATTTGCTTGGGCCAGTGCCACAAATCATGGGCACTCTTGCAGAAATGAGAAAAGTGTTCTAGTTGTTCAGCAGAACACACTTAGCAAGAGCTTTAAAGTCTATAGTTCATATTAGAAAAACTGCCCGTTACCATTCTAGGGAAATGTGTGTGGGGGGGGGGTGTGTAAGAGAAGTGCACTGTCATACAGACACAGTATCTGGAAATAGAGAGATAAAGCCTCTGTTGAAAGTGGTTGCCGTTGTAGAAAGCAGAGTTTGAAAGAGCATAGTAGTAACATTTTGCTTGGTTTTATTTAAGCTTTGTTATAAGCCTATGTGTCTTTTTAGAGTACACCAAGTATTTCACATTGACAAAAAATCAAAAATTTATTTTTCAAAATGGTCATCTGAGAAAAGGTCACAAAATAAAACTCAGAAAAATTGTTATAAGAAATACAAAGATTACATCTCTGCAACCAAAGGTGAATTGTCCCTTAGGGAATTTATGTAATAAGTACAACTAGAATTATAACATATTTAAGGGATAAGGACAAAATATACTTTGTTACCAAGATACGTATAGCACGCATTTTAGACACTCAGCAAAGAGCTGTCATGAGTGGTCATTTCTTTTTCATTAGAAAAACAATTTAATCATATCATTTTACTTTTTACTGTGATGGAATGCAGAAAAAGGAAAGAAAGGGTCTACACCAACTCATCTCTGTCTCCTACTACCTATTACTAATGTTACTCAATTCCATTTCAGTAAATGTTTGGTGGCTTCTATATGCTGATCCCTTATTTTTGTGACTCTACTTCTCTGTCGTTGGCCAGGCATCCATTCTCCACCCTCTCAACCTCTCCCCATCTTGCCTTAACTACTCTCTAACTCTACTTTTGCAACCTGCTGTGCTTTCGCTCACTGCCTGTCTACTCCTTCCTTGCTACTTTTATAGCCATTTTTCTCATATCCACGGAAGACTAATGACCTTTGCTTTTAGCTGCTTCATCATGTTGGCATTTAAACACTAAAATGGTGTGATAGGCCTGCCACTGCGCAAGGGACCATGAGGACTGCCTTCATTTCTTCACTTTTTGTATCGTGTTTTTCAGTAATCATGTGGCCTCAGCTGACTTCGTAGGCATTTAGTTCACTACATTTTTGATAGACACATGAACTCAAAATATTCAGCTGGGGTTGATATGACCATTTTATGAAGAAAAGGAAGTTCGTAGACTTCTGGAATTTGTAAATAACATTTAGTCTCAACTGTGCCTTTGAAATTTTCAGCTGTAAGAAACGCTTTTGAAAATAGAAGACAAAAGTCCACCAGAGAGTTGCATTCCATTCTCTGGAGTTAAAAAAGTTCCACAATCTCAGTTGTAGGAAAAAAAAATGCTTATTTTTAGTGCTTTCTGTAATTTTCTGCTTGCAAAGAGACACATCTTTCATGACAGTGTCGTCATTTCATGGCCCTCAAAGTTTTCAATCAGTCTTGTTGACTTAAGCCTGGACTACCTAGGTTTAAGTGTATGACACACGATCAGATCAGTCATCTGGAAGCACTCTCTTTCTGCAGGTATCAACACCAAGTTACCTGCAGGAGGCAATTTTGCTTTGCTTTATAATAAAGATCTCAACATTAACTGATGCTTTGCTCTCTGAATCTCCTTTCACCTTTGATGGGAGCTGAGAGTCTCAGTAATCTCCAAAACATCTTTCTTGGGTGGATTTTTTAAATCGACAAGCCTTGATATGATTGTGCATGTTCTCATTTCTAACTTATTTTTAATGATAGAGATGAGCTGATAGCATATGTATGTGTTCTCCATTAGGCCAAGGAAATTAAGAGAGAATCTTATCCTCACTCCGTAGCCATGTAAAAATTAGTTTCCTTATTTTTTTGCCCCAGATGAATTCTGCATTGTTTTAATGAATTCATTCACAGTGTGAGGGCACACAGCATTGAAGAGACCTCAAGCAGTTTCACATTACAGACACTGACATAGCTTGCTAGAGATCTTCAAAGGCTTTTGTACTCTATTGCTTCATCATTTCTTGAGAAAATTATTTTTAGGCTGTCACACTCCCCCATTTCTTTTTTAAACAGCTACCAAAAAAAAAAAAAAAGGAATTAAGGGCAGAGGACGTGATCTGAACTATATCTGTTGTTTAAAAGATTAAATAATGTGTAACTGATACAGTATGCTGAAAAATAGATTTGCCTTATTTGTAAAATTACAGAAATTTTAATGTAAAATGAGGCAATTGAATTATCAGTGGTTTTCTAAATTTCTTTAGTAGTAGATACATCTTAATAAAAACCAAAATGTTATACAGGTGCCTAGTAAATAAAATGGAGGCTATACTAATTAAAATATAAGTTGGGGACTCTTAGAAATCTGCCTTCTCATCCCGCCTTTTGGCAATCTCTGGACACTTCTACGAACCTCTTAGACTAGACACTAAATGATCTTTGATATACATTTCCAAGACAAACACTATATGATTCTACTCAATTCAATTCAAAAAAATGTACTTGGGTGCCTAAAATATAACTGGAGATACAAAGATACATACAGTATCCTCCCTGCCTCAAGAAGCAACACACAATTCTGTTTTGAATACAGTGGCTCCTTGTACCCCCAACCCATTAGCATATTAAGCCCAAAAATAACCCACTGGTCTCTCTCCTGGAGAGTGTTATGGATCCCAGTGCCTGGTGCTGGTTACTACTCAATTAATTCTTACTGAGCAAACTTATTGAGCAAATGAAAGCATTTGAATTAAATAAGTGAGTTTCATGACTAAATAAAATAATGGGTAATATACTAAGAGTAAATGAAAATACAGTCCTAGGGAAATATTATATTCAATGCAATAGCTTAAAATAAATGTCATCCTTATAAACTGTTAAATCAAGTTTCTATATGGTTAAAAAAACATAATGAATGCCCTTCCTTGTCAGTTCCCCTACAACAAGCAGTGATCAGATACTTCAAAGGAAACCCTATCTTTTACTTAACTATGGAATAGTACTCCATGAGAGGAAATACCTGATTTCAACTGATGATTAGCATATGCCTTAAAAAATAGGGAAAAGGACTCTCAATGATTCTTAAATGTTAACTGTTTTTAATATCTTACTTGGGACTTTTAAGGCCTCTCAACCTCAGCTAATATCCTGTAACAAGAAATTCTCTAATATTGACAAAGCAAATAAGCAAATGTCTTGCATATTTTAAGTTGAGAGCTTAAGTATTTCTTTGCTCTTTTTTTCCCTTGTATTAGGAAGCTGCATTGCTTTCTTTCTACGGGAATAGTTTCACATAGCGACCTGTCCCAACACCTATGATTTGCATTGTGGACCAAAGGCCAGTGTGAAGACCAGAGCCACAGAAGAGCCCACCAGAAAGTGTGTGAGAATACTCAATGGTATGTTGAGGCAGTTTTCAAAAAAATCATTATTTTACATTCACTGGTTGCTGCCTTGTCCAGATAAACAATATCTCTGTCCTTTTGCCAAGTACACAAGTCATTTTTTGTTCTTTTAGGCTAAAAGGCCAATTTTAATAGAATTTTTTCATTTGGTTAATTCACTCTGGAAAGTAAGAATATAAATGACTTAAATGAAACTATATAGAAACTTACATTTAGAGAAATAAATGTTTATAAATGGCTCTTTTAACACAACTGAATATCTTTTGGGTATTTAATAGTTACTTATTATAAGGAGCATTAAAAGTTGGCCACAAGAGAAAGAGAAAAACTAACACTTTCATAGCTCTAGTCAATAAGCTTGGCTAGAGCTAACCCAAATGTTAGGTATATTGTACAGGATATGATAAATCCATTTAGAATCCACTTAAAGGATAGGATTTTGAAACAAAAAAAATTAATACAGTATGGTATATCCATCCACTTGATTGAATATAATAGTCATTTAAAAAGATCTTTATTAAAAAATTTGGAAAAAAGTATTTTTGCTAAAGGAAATTATTTCCACAAAGCCATTTTTATGTAGCTATGGTAAAACAGTTAATTTAAAATCACTCATTTAAACATCTTCAAGGATTTCCTGAATCAGACACTAATGACCCTGTCTATTCATCCTTCTCATCTACCACGATTAAAGGAGGTTTGACTTTAATTATTTGACTTGTATAGGTATACAAATAACCTCTGTATCCGGAAAATAAAATGTGTATAACTGTCTTCTGAAGCTGGGTTCTAAAAATATTATCACATCTGTCTTACAATCGAGTACTAAGAGAGCTATTTAAAATTTAAATGAGCATTTCCCCTAATTGAACTAAGAAACATAGCAAGGTCAGGCTTACTATCTAGTACATAGCCCTAAAAGAAAAATGGAAAAAGAGAAAGCTTAAAAAATACGGAGTTGCTGTCCTCTATATTTTTAAGGACAGAGGAAAATATATTGATTATTAGATAGAAAAACACATGTGTTAACTGACAGTAAAATAATATAACCTTCACAATTTTATGAGAGAAATCAGTGTTTAAGATGAAGATCATTCAAAATACAGCAATGTAGATCAATCAAAATGGTTTGAGAATACATCACACCATATACAAAAATGAACTCAAAATGAATCAAAGGCCAAAATGTAAGAGCTAAAAGTACACAACTTTTAGAAGAAAGCATAGGCATAAATCTTTATGACCTTGGATTAGGCAATTGTTTCTTAGACATAAGACCAAAAACACAGGTAACAAGGGAAAAAAAAGATGAATTAGACTTCATCAAAATTAAAAACTTCTGTGCTTCAAAGTAAACCATCAAGAAAGTGAAAAAACAACCCACAGAATGGGGGAAAGTATTTATAAATCATGTATCTGATAAGAAACTGGTATCCAGAATACATAAAGTACTTACACAACTCAACAATTTAAAAAAAATTTAAAAAGGAACAAAGGATTTCAATGGACATTTCTCCAAAGAAGTTGTACAAATAACCAATAAATAAAAAGATGCTCAACATCATTATTCATTAGTGAAATGCAAATGAAAACCTCAATGAGGTTCATACCCATTAGCATGGCTATAATCAGAGAGACAGACAATGACAAGTGTTGACAAGGATGTGGAGAAACTGGAATTCTCATACATTGCTGGTGGGAATATAAAATGATGTAGCCACTTTGGAAAACAGTTTGGCAGTTTCTCAAAAAAGTTAAACATAGTTACCATATAACTCAGTAATTCCACTCCTAGGTATCTACCCAAGATAAATAAAAATATGTCCACACAGAAAGTTGTACATTAAGGTTTATAGCACCATTATTCATAATTTTAAAAGTAAAAACAGCCCAAATGTCTATCAATTGAGTGAATAAACAAAATGTGGTTTATCCCTACAATAGAATATTTTTCAGCCATAAAAAGGAATGAAGTACTGATATGTATTATAACATGGATGAACCTTGAAAACATTATGCCAAATGAAAGAAGACAGACGCAAAAGGCCACATGTCATATGATTCTATTTAACTGAGGAATCCGGACTAGACAAACCCATAGAAATAGAAAGTAGATTGGTAGTTTCCAGGGGCCAGGACGGGGAGGGGAAATGAGACATGAATACTAATGAGTTTGGTGTTTCCTTTTGGAGTGATAAAAATTGTCTGTAATTAAGAAACTATAGGTGGTGGTTACACAACTTTGTGAAAATACTAAAAACTACCTAGTTGTACACTTTAAAAATGTGAATTTTATCATATATTAATTATACCTCAATTAACAAAAAATGCTTAGAGAAACTGATGACCTTTTCTTAAATGAGAAAAATTGACAAATAACTAATTTTTTTGCAAATATCACTTGTCTTGTCAGTCAGATGTTTCTTAAGTCCTACACCGTTGTCCTCATTGCCTGTGATCTCCATCCTGTTTTTCAAGCCACTGGCATCTTACTCTTCAGCAGAAAAGGATTATGGGAGGAAGAGGTTTAGGATGAGGAAAGGATGTCTATTTCTTCTTGTTGGTAATTTAAAAAATAATGATCATAATCTATAACTTTGATGATTTTTTTTTATCATGTTGAAAGAGCTGTGTCGAAATAGCTTCTTCAGCCAGGCACAGTGGCTCACGCCTGTAATTCCAGCACTTTGGGAGGCCAAGGTGGGCAGATCAACTGAGGTCGGGAGTTCAAGACTAGCCTGGCCAACATAGCGAAACCCCGTCTCTACTAAAAATACAAAACTTTGCTGGGCATGGTGGCACGTGCCTGTAATCCCAGCTACTTGGGAGTCTGAGGCAGGAGAATTGCTTGAGCCCGGGAGGTGGAGGTTGCAGTGAGGTGAGATCGCACCACTGCACTCCAGCCTGGGTGACAGAGTGGGACTCCATCTCAAAAATAAAAAAAAAATAAATAAAAATAAACATAAGTGTTGAAGATAGTTTTTTAAGTGTAAGGAAAATAATACCATGTGGAAACAAATCTACACAAAGGAATGAAGAGGGCTATCAGTAATGAATAGGTGTTTAAATGTAAAGAAAAAAACCTTTTTGTAGTAATAGAATTGTTCCATACCTTGATTGTGGTGAAGGTTATATTAGTATAAATATTTGGGGCTGGGCGTGGTGGCTCACGCCTGTAATCCCAGCACTTTGGGAGGCCGAGGCAGGTGGATCATGAGGTCAGGAGATCGAGACCATCCTGGTAAACACTGTGGAACCCTGTCTCTATTGAAAATACAAAAACATTAGGCGGGCGTGGTGGCGGGTGCCTGTAGTCCCAGCTACTCAGGAGGCTGAGGCAGGAGAATGGCGTGAACCCCGAGGGGCGCAGCTTGCAGTGAGCAGAGATCGTGCCACTGCACTCCAGCCTGGGTGACAGAGCAAGAATCTACCTCAAAAAAAAAAAAAAAATTGGTAAAACTCACCAAACTGTCAAGTAGGTGCTTAAATGCCTGTATTCCATTGGATGTAAGTGCTTTTCAAATCCTCTAGTGTCGTTACTCCTTGGATGTGTGATTGATCATTGATATGGATTTGATATTTGTCCTGCCCAAATCTCATGCTAAAATGGAATCCCCAGTGTTGGAGGTGGGCCTGTTAGGAGGTGTTTGGGTCATAGGAGTAGATCCTTCATGGCTTGGTTCTGTCCTCACAATGCAATAGTGAGTTCTTGAGGGATCTGGTTGTTTAAAATTCTGTGGCATCTTCCCCCTTCTCTTGCTCCTGCTCTTGCCATGTAATGTACCTGCTCCTACCTTGCCTTCCACCATGAGTAAAAGCTTCCTGGAGCCTCCCGAGAAACTGAGCAGATGCCGGCACCATGGCTATGTAGCCTGCAGAACTGTGAGCCAATAAAGCCTCTTTTCTTAATTGAAATACCTAATCTCTACTGTTTCTTTATAGCAATACAAAAACGGTCTAGCACAATCTTTTAAATTTCTGTCTCTTTTAGTGTACCTTCCATGCACCAAATTCTTCTCAGGAAAATGCTGGATCAATAATGTGAATTTTATTCTCCTATATCTAGTCAAATAAGCATAACTGAAGAAAAAATTACCATGCAGATGTGAACCACTACAAATATATTTTTCCAGCTTCAACTGGTTCCTCAGTGCTGTGCATGAATTCTTGATGTGTTCTTAGCTATGGTCTCTTCACCTCACTTATTGAGTGAATGAAAGCATTTGCTTTCATTCCTCTCATTTCAAATATGAGGGCTGATATTTGTGAGATTTCTCTCACTTTCTGAAGAACATCTTGCTTTGTTACTTACTTATAAAAGGGAAAGAATCTGTCATAAATTGGCCCAAATGTCCCCCCAACATATCAACAGATCTACATTCACCCATCCTTACCTCTTCTGTCCACTCTCAGAGGATGAGGTGCTCTGCTGTTCAAGGCCTGTCCCTCCATCTGTCCCCTTGACCCTGGCTTCCCATAACTTATCTGGGATTTCACTCCATCAGTTCTCTCACCCTCTCATTTTCAGCCCACCTCATTATTGGCCCTGCATTCAGCTAATCAATACGCTCAAATTATCTCCCATCCTAAAAATAAAACCAAAAGTCTCTTTCAGTTGGCTGCCATATTCTCTCTTCCAAATTTCTGTAAATTAAAAGTAGTCTGTGTTTCTCCCCCAAACGACTCTCTTTAATCTCTGGATCTTCTGACCCACCACTTTGCTGAAAATTTGGCCATAAATAACTCCCCTTCTTACAGTCTTTTTGGATATTTCCTATCCTTAGTGAATCATTGTGCTGTGCTTGATGCTTGTTGCCCCCTCTTCCCTTCTCCCTTGGTAACTGAGGTAACAGCAGGGGAAAAGTTTGCCCAAGGAGAATGTCGATTGAAAAGAGAAGAAGCCCAAAGGTGAAAACTTAGGTGAAGTGAACATTTTAAAAAGCAGGAGCCTATGATTGAAGAACTTTAAATTTAGAGGAAATGGTCAGATGACAAGAGAAAAACCAAGAGATGATGTCGTGGAAGCTAGAGGAGAAAAGGAGAGGGATCAATGTGCCCAGCAATTTCTTCAAGGCAATAGGCTGCGCAAGAGACTGGCAGTTAGGAGCCTCGTGCTCTTGGCTCACTTCATAGCCATCTAGTTCTGTGGCCTACCAGTTCTCATCCTTTGAATTCTTAGGTTAGACGAGAAGATACATGAGATCTCTAAATCTTCAGGTTTAAACGTAGATGTCTTTCACTACACCAGAGTAAATAGCTTATTCAATATTCATTTTATGATCGTTATTGGACTTCGGCTTCCTACTGCCTTTCAAATAGGCCATCGCAAGATTTTGTCCAGTAGTAACGGTAAGCATTGCGGCATCTTTACTTATCTTCCATGCTCAAACAAACCAGCCATCTGGGCATTCTCAGCCATAGAGCCTCTTACTGTTTTGAGTCACTACCTTCTAAAGGTTGTACTGGTTTTATCCCAATCTCTACCAAAATAAATGCATGAGCCAAAGAAACTGGCTCATGTGTTATGAATAGATTTGTTCTCTGTAAATATAACTTCAAAAATACTATGAAAAAAGTATATGTATTTAGGTTCAGGAATTCCAGAACTGGGTACTTTGCTTTTTCACCCTTCATTTTTCTTTTTTCTGAAAGATTTCATCTCAGACTTATAAATGGAAACAAAACACCTTGGGAAAAGAAAGAAGTAGTATTGATTAATTTCTTCTATATATTATTCTAGCCCCCTTTAGTCAGAAAATAGCTAAGAGTACTGTTCTTTTGGCATTTGGAGTAAAACTAGTTCCTAACATTCTTTTTTGAGTGAACTTATATCTCAGACACCAAGGAACAAATGAGAAGTGTAAAAACAGCACTGCCTCTACCAACTCCCACTATTTTTCTGTCTTGAAACACTTTTTAAAAGTTCAATATAAATTACCTGACAATGGCATTTGCAGCTGTGGCAAGGTGATGGGAAGTGGATTTCTTTTGCCAAGTTTCCTTTGAGGGGTGCCGGTAGCAGTCCTTTCTAACTCTGTGGTTATACCCGGTGCAGCACAGATAGTCTCCAGGAACTGTTAATCCTTTCCTTGCAGCAAATTTACAGTGGCAGCCAAGGAAAACAGAAATCAATGTGACTTGATGGGAAGAAGGAGATGATTGCCAACTGGAAGATGGCAGTGGAAAGATAAACTTTTACAAAAGAAATAGATCTAACTTGTCAGGAAAGCATGCACCTGTATGAAAATTCATGAAGCAATGTGTAGAAATGCGATGATGAGTTGGGTGATGATAAAAGGAGAGAGAAATAGAATTGATATTGTCATGGAAGTCAGCTTTACACTAAATGGCCAGAGAGGAGATGCATAGTGTTTTCTGAATATAGCCAATAATACTGACACAGAACAGGATCCAGAAGTGATGGGGGTAGGGCCGAGGCTTTATCTACACAGCTGCTGAAAGTTTCATTCTGCTAAAAGCATGTATCTGGTAAATTCTTGACTCGCTTTACTAATAGTTTCATCTCTCAGATGTTTGAGGAAGTGATAAGGGGAACTGCAACTTAACTATGAATTTCAGGGAAGGGCTAGATGATGATGCGTCAGGGACAGGAAATTTGTGAGATATTTACCCCTATATTTTGGAGATTTGTAAGAGTGAGCAGTGGGAATTCTGGGAAGAGTCAGAAAGCCACTTCGGCCTTCAGGAAAACAGATTTCAAAGAAACCAGACAGAAATTTTTCACATTTTTTAAAAGGAATGTAGCTCAAGAGGGAAGGGCAATTCTAAAAGTGAGGAGAGAAGAGAAAGTCTAACAAAGCAGTTATAACTTCCAATATAAAAAAGAATTCTTTAAAATTTTTGAGCTTTAAAGAAACAATAGGTATTTATTTATTAGTGAACTCCCCAGTCACTGGAAACAAACTAATTCCACACAGTTGCCTCTAAATAATGGAATCAAGGGGATTTTTATATAGCATGGGAATTTGAACTATATCAAATGTATGTGTACCTTGATTCTTCTGGCAGACTGGAGAAGCCTGTGGATCTCTTCTCTTAATAATGATTTTAAATGTAGAGAATTACAAAAAAGTTACATTGAAATACAGCTATCTAAATTTTAAAAATAAATTCGTGATATAATAATGTATGCATATCCTCATTAATGCATTAAATAATAAGATCTAGTATCAGGTCTAATAACTATTGTAATTTTGAGTAGCACAGAGTGTAAATATCATTTCAAGATACCAAAAACAAATTTGATGAGATGTGAAAATATTTCAGTCACAGGTGCCATGAATACTACTGACATTTTTTACCTAAATTAATAGTTTAAGAAAACACTATGGTACAGTTAGACATTTGTATAAAGATGTAGCTGGGCATGGTGGCATGTGCCTGTAGTCCCAGTTACTTGGGAGGCTGAAGCAGGAGGAACCCTTGAGCCCAAAAGTTCTGGGCTGTAGTGAGCTATGCCAGTTGAGTGTCTGCACTAAGTTCAGCATCAGTATGGTAACCTCCTGTTAGCGGGGCCTACGGGGCTGGCAAAGGAGGGGTGAATGGACCCAGGTCGGAAGCAGAGCAGGTCATAACTCCGGTGCTGATCAGTAGTTGGATCGCCTGTGAATAGCCACTGCACTCCAGCCTGGGCAACATAGCAAGACCCTATTGTTAAAATATATATACATATTTTTTCTATCCAAGTTCATAGATACCCTGAATTCTATCCAGAAAAGCCTGAATTCTACCCAAGGAACCATGAGATTCTACTAAAGTGACTGCATATGAAATTTCACTGGATTCCCATTTCCTGTAGAGAAAAAAACAAATTTTAGAATTGCAAAATAGGTCTTCAATGTGGTGCTTGAGGAATGGAACTCTGGAACCAGTTTGCCTAGGTTCAAATCTCATTTCAGCTGCCTAGCTTTGTGATCTAGAGCAAATTACTTAAATTCTTAATGCCTCAGTTTTCATATATGTAAAATGGGAGAAATTGTAGTATTCATCTCATTGGGTTTGTCTGAAGTTTCAGTGAAATAATTATTGTGTTGTCATTAGCTATTACTAACACTGATGTAATCTTATTTATCACTTTACCCACCCTCTATCTCTAGCCTGTGCTTAGACATGCTAAGCTAACTGCAATTGCACAAACACACCGACATTGTTTCACCCCTCCATGCCCTCACTCATGTTACTCCTTCTGCCTGAAGAATTGGTGGTAAATCTTTTGCAACACCTTCCCTTCCTTGCATCTACCCCTGTACCTTAAAATCCATCAATCCAATCTGGCAACACTTCTATGAAGTCATTTTACCTCATTCAGAGCAAACTGACCAATTTCTTCTTTGGGTTTTATCATGCTTCTTCTGACCAGCAAATTTTGATCTGTATTAACCCTGGCAGATAACAGATTAACAGATAGGTCTAGCACCCGGGAGAGCAGTCAGGGCTGGACATATAAATTTGGGAGTTATTAGCATGTTAACTTATAGGTGGTAAAGACTTGGGACTGAATGTGATATTCTAGCAATAATGCAGGAAAGGAAGAAAAGAGAGTTAAGTGCCTGGCACATAAGGCACCATACATGTCTGTATGTTGATCATAGCCAATGCTGTCTTTATGTACTTTTGTTACTTTTTCTTCTCAACGAGCATACACTGCTCAAGGATAAGAACCAGGATTTGATGATGAAGACCTTATGACAAAGCTAAAGCCAGGTGTGCAGTGCAGTTCTCACAAATGGATGGATAGGTGGACAGGTGGATGAATGAGTGGATGAATTGATGAGTGCATAGTATAATAGTAGAGGGTTTTCAGCATTCATATCAAGACAGAGGTCAAACTAGCTATGCTGACAGAAAACCAAACAAAAATGATTTAATCTCTCAAATGATTCACATGTAACTGGAATCTTGGCCCTGCTTTTCTCATGAATTGCCCTTCAGGTATATGCCTTCTTGTTGGAACTATTTCTAACTTACTGGGTTGCTGTGGAAATCAAATGAGAGAATGTATAATATAATGCTTTATGAAATGTAAAGAGCTATACATATGTAAATAATTAAACTATGTAATTTGAAAGATGCTCTCTCAAAATATCTCCTACCATATTGCCTTTCCTGGCACAATCTGCCCCACAGTGCCTATCTGGTCAGAGTTACACAGCCCTTCTCTAGATCAGAGAACATCCACAGTTCATTGTCTTTCTAATGTCACTGAGCAGTGGTTACTCATAAAAGAAGGGATAGGGATGACTTTATCCTTTTCCCAGACACAGAGATAAGTTTATTAGTCTAGCTTTGAAATCAGACTCCCTGGGTTCAAATCTTGAATTTGGTTCAAACTCTGAGCAAGCGACTCTATCTGTCTATGCCTCTGTCTAGTCCTACTTCCACAATTCTCATTTCTCTCTGTTCAAGCTTCACTTTCCTTGGCTTCCATGTCATTCCATCGTCACTCTCTGCTGTTATCTTGTTCAACCTGTCAACATCAACTAACATGAGAGATCACTTTCCTTCACTGTCATCTCTTGGCATCTGGTGACTCCACTCTCTCCTGGTTTTCTACCTACTTTACTGGCCTCTCCCTTTTAAACTCCTCTGCCAGATCCTCTCTCTCTACCTAACTTTTAAGTCTTGAAGTGACTTAGAACTCAGGCCTGAACTCTTTTCTTCCTTTTCTGCATTATTGCTAGGATATCACATTCAGTCCCAAGTCTTTACCTGAAAGTTAAAATGCTAATAACTCCCAAATTTATATGTCCAGCCCTGACTGCTCTGCCAGGTGCTAGACCCATCTGTCCAACTTGGCATCTTTATTGAATGCCTAAAATCCATGTCAAACAAAACTGGATTTTCCTCAACCCATCCCCACCAAAAAGAACACACAAAAAACCCCACTCTTCCCCCACTCATTCCCCTCTCAATTATGACACACTTTAACTGCTCAAGCTGAAAACTATGAGTCATCCTTCATTTTCTTCCCATCATCTTCACCCACATTTATCTTAATGCCTAACAGCTCCACCTCCAAAACTTCTCCTGCCTCTGTCCTGAATATGCAATCATTTTCATGTCTACCACCAGAGTCTAAACCACCCTGATCTTTCTCCTGAACTATTCAATAGTCCTGTAACTTATCTCTCTGTTTATAATCTCAGATGCCTACACGTCATTTTCCGTAGTGATCTTTTAAAATTATAAATCAGACCACACCACTCTCCTGTTCTGATCCTCAGAATACAATCTAATTCCTTCCATAGCCTACAAAGCCTTGTAAGTACCGGCACTAATCTATGATCTTATCCCTAATCTAATATTCTCTCATTTGCTAACTATGGTCCGGCCAGACTAGGTTTCTTCCTGTTTCTCTTAATTTATTTACAATTCCAGGATCTCTGTGCTTATGCTTTTTTTAAGAGTGTTCTTCTCTTAGATAAAAGTACATCTGACTTTGTCCTATCACTTAGGTCTGGCACAGCCTCAAAGAGTTCTTTCCTGATTACTCTATGTAATGTCAATCTTTATTGCACCATCCCATTTTATTTTCTTTATGCCACTCATTACTATCTGAAATTATCTTTACCTTCTTGTTTGCTATCTGCTTTCATGGCTAGATTTTAACTCAATCAGACCTGAGTCTTCTTTTTTTTTTTTGAGATGGAGTCTTGCTCTATCACCCAGGCTGGAGTGCAGTGACACAATCTCAGCTCACTGTAACCTCCACCTCCCAGGTTCAAGCAATTTTCCTGCCTCAACCTCTCGAGTAGCTGGGACTACAGGCATGTGCCACCACTCCCAGCTAATTTTTGTATTTTTAGTAGAGATGGGGTGGTCAGGCTGGTCTTGAACTCCTGGCCTTGTGATCTGCCTGCCTTAACCTTCCGAAGTGCTGGGATTACAGGCATGAGCCACCACACCCGGCCCAGACCTGTATCTTATTCAAAACTGTATTCCCAAGACCTAGAATAGTACCTCACATGTAGTAAATGCTAAGGGCATGTTTGTTGAATGACTGAATGACTGATTGAGTGGATGAATGAATGGCTGAATTTTGTTATGGTATAGGAGTTTTTGTAAGGGTAAAATTAGATGTACGTAAATTCCTTAGCATACTGTCTAGCTCATAGTAAGTATTCAAAAATAATAGGAACTAAATAAATTTTAGCTCTTATTTTTATAATTAGATTTTTTCCCTTAATCTCCCATAGCTTTCTAAATAAACAAAAATTAATTATTAATTGAATTATTCACTTGTGGCTTCAAGAAAGATTTGACTTCGCTCATAGAGAGGTACTTTGATGGTGGAAAATCCGTAGAGGAGAACAGAGACCCATGGAAGGAGAAGCATCTACCTTTGATGTCATCAAACCCAGTGTTTCACTCTCTGGGAGCTTGCTTTTAAACTGGTCTTTGCAGTATGGCTTGCAACTGGCATGGCCATTATACTATTGAGCACACAGTGGTGGGCCTTGTGACTTTGTTCCCACACATTTCACAACAATCTTTGAAAATAGCATGGAGCGATGTTGAAGCTGGTGGCCACCAGCCATAAGAGTCCCATTCAAGTTAAAATATCTGAGAGGTGTGAGAAGGGAAGATATTTTTCTTATTAATTGCCCTGAAGTAGGCCACAGGGAGCCGTGAAGGGGAGGGTTGGGTGTAGTACAGTATGAAGGAAAGAAAAGTTTATTCAAGGCATCCATGGAGCCTATATTTGTCACAGAAATAACTAACATGTGTTTTATAATTGCTCTGTCAAAACTCAGGACATATTAAAGTCCCAGTAACAACATAACTAAAAGTATGGGGAATTAAATCCCGCCCACTGAAAGCTTCTACAGATGCATGCTGCCCACATAGAGAACTGTGCACAAGACTGAATTAGACTGCCTGCAGCTTCAGCAGACTTGGTGTTAAAATGCTGGGAGCTTTAGGTGAGATGCTATCTGAACCCTGTAAGTTTGAAAATATTGCACTAACACAGTGTCCCAAAAAGTCACTGTTTTACTAATACAATGGAAATCTTGCTCCAAAGCTACCACTGAGTGGGCTGGAAAAGGAAAACTGTGTAGTGAAAAGATCACAGTCTTTCGACATATAGACCGATGAGAGTTCAGAACCCAGCTCTGCTGAGTGGCTTTCGAAAAGGTGCTGAACTAACACAGTGCCTGCCATCTAATAGGGGCCCAATAAGTGTCTGGTGAATGAAAAAACTAATTTTTAACTTCAGAGAACCTATCTGTAAAATGAGGATAAAAATTACATCTACGCTACCTGACTGTAATGAGCATTAAAGATAAGCTGTCTGGCCCCAAAAGTACATGCCAGTAAATTGTAACTTTCTAATTTGCCTTTACCCTCCTAGCAACTGTCTCCTTGTAATACATCCTTCCACCACTACGTCCTTTGGGATAGCCAGGCCAGCAGCATTGCCTCACTGTTTGGATTATTTCATCTTTTCTTGAGGAAATTTAGGATAGAAGAGCACATATAGCAGATTTGAACCCTTATGCTTCAGGCTTTATTGGAGACTGCCTGATCTGATTGGTATATTTTTCAGTGTTTCCTGTGTTCATATGTAAACTGACTATATCCAGGTATCTAAGAAATTAATTATTGGCCAGGCACCGTGGCTCACGCCTGTAATCCCAGCACCTTGGGAGGCCGAGGTGGGTGGATCACTTGAGGTCAGGAGTTTGAGACCAGCCAGGTCAACATGGTGAAACCCAGTTTCTACTAAAAATACAAAAATTAGCTCGGCATGGTGGCAGGCACCTGTAGTCTCAGCTACTCAGGAGGCTGAGGCAAAAGAATTGCTTGAACCTGGGAGGTGAAGGTTGCAGTGAGCTGAGGTCATGCCCCTGCACTAGCCTGGGCAACAGAGTGAGGCTCCATCTCAAAAAAAAAAAAAAAAAAAAGAAAGAAAAGAAAGAAATTAATTATTAATTAATATACCTGATATACAATAAGTCAATGCTATGTGTCTCTTTATAGTTCACAAATTTCTCCAAAATACTATTTCACTTGATGTTGCTCTTGGATCTTCAGAAGGTAAGAAATAACTCTGGGGTAAAGGGAACTTTAGAGAACCAAGACATCTGGGTGGGAATTCACATGTGATGTGATCTGACTGTACTATCTGTCACCCTTTGGAGCCTCAGGGTCAATTCAGTGAATCTGGCCAGTCAAGAGGATGCTCTTTCTCTCTCCAACTCCATCTTTCCAAAAGCTGGGAGCTTAGGCAGAGAAAAGGTCAGAAGTTCAGTTCAATTTAAGGCAGGGAACTTATAAAAAACCTACTGTGGACCAAGATCTGCAGATACAGGGGTACAAAAGATGAGGCCCCAGCCTCCAAGAACCTCACTTCTCAGTGGGTGGAATAGAGACATGAGCAGTTCCTTTCACTGTAATGCTGTAAATGTTAGGACATAGGGGTTTATTCTCAAGGAGAATCGCTTGAACCTGGGAGTCCTTTGGGAGCCTGGAGAACAGCTTGAACCTGGGAGTCCTTTGGGGGCCTGGAGAAGAACATTCAGCCCAGCCCTAGCAGAGAAGAGACACCAGGGAGGGGAGCTCAAACAAAATTTAGTTTGAGGAGTCCACTGATGGAAAGACACATTCCTTCTTGGCATGGCTCAGGAGTAGGAGCAGCTTACATGGGCAGGGAATGTGTACGTTGTGTGGATACAGAGAGGGAAAGCCAGGTATGGGTGTTCCAGGCTTTGGAGAGGAGTGCTCTGTGTGTCTCTCTCTTTGCCTCCCACTGACTCTCTCACTCTTAGCTCCTAACTCGTCTCCAGACTCCAATCTCACCTCACCTCAAACCAGCACAGACACTGCCTCATTACTGCACAATCTTTGAAAGTGACATTTGGCTGTGTTGCTTGCCTACTGAGACTATCTCAGTGGCTATCTATTGTCCACAGAATGAAGTTTGCACCCAACCACCACTGTCTGTGACCTGGCCCTCGTCTTCTCTTCCAGCTTCACCTCCAGCCTCTTGTCCTTTTACCATATGGTCCAGTCTTTGCAACATGGAACCAGCCTCTCACTGCTTGGCCTTTGTACGAGCTGTCCCACCCACTCTCATGTGCTCTCTTCCATCTCTACCTGCACCCTATTGAAGACTGAGCAGAGGCCATGCCTCTTGGAGGAAGCCTTTGATGACAGTGCTCCCCAGCCTTGTCTCCAACACCCGCTCTGTCTCAGTTTTCCATCTGGTTTAGACGCTCTGTCTTCTCTGTGCCCACGTATTGATTACATATTTTAGTCCTCCTTTTTTTTTTCTAGTGCCTCCATCAAGGATGTATGATTCCTGAGTAGCAGGGTTTTTTGCCTTTGCTGTATTCATAACACCGGGGGTACTCCAGTGACCAGTGGGGCTGTACATCCTTGGCTTGTCCCCCACATCCACTTTTCACCCCTCTCCTAGCTCTGTATCTTGGGAGCCCGGACTGCAAGCTCCCTTCTAGTTAGCTTCTGGTTGTGTAGGTCTTTGGGAGGCCCCGGCTGGGCACTGAGAGGTAAGAAGACAATAAGGTCTGGAAATGAGCCAAGTAGCTGGGAATTGGCTGTGTCCCTTTCTTTTTTTTTTTTTGTTTTTGTTTTTTGTTTTTTTGTTTTTTTAGACAGAGTTTCGCTCTTGTTGCCCAGGCTGGAGTGCAATGGCATGATCTCGACTCACTGCAACCTCCGCCTCCTGGGTTCAAACGATTCTCCTGCCTCAGCCTCCCAAGTAGCTGGGACTACAGGCGTGCACCACCACACCTGTCTAATTTTTGTATTTTTAGTAGAGACGAGGTTTCACCATCTTGGCCAGGCTCGTCTCAAACTCCTGACCTCGTGATCCACCCGCCTCGGCCTCCGAAAGTGCTGAGATTACAGGCGTGAGCCACCGTACCCGGCCGGCTGTGTCCCTTTCTTTAAGGCCGTGGCTCCTCTCAGGAGGCCTGCTCCATAGAGCATTCCTTTCTGGGTTGCAGGAACTCTTCTGACTGTTATCCCTTCAGGCCTAGGGGTGGCAGTGGCTCCCCGCTGTTACTAAGACCCACAGTTGTGCACTACACCTTGTTCATTTCCTTACTCCAGTCCATGCAAATGCTTGCCAATAGCCCGTTTATTAAACTCCATGCAAATCACTTCATTGAAACGTACCATTTGTTTTTTGATATACAAGCACACAGAAGTAATGTAATAAGAAGGAAGGAAAGAAGGAAGGAAGGAAGGGCGGATGGAAGGAAAGAAGGGAGGGAATGGAAAGGAAAGGAAAGGAAAAGAAAGGAAAGGAAAGGAGAGAAAAGAATAATATCTCTAAGTAAGGTATTTCCTGAGCTAGACTCGCTACACATTTTGATTCTTGTCATTATTAACTGTGTGTAACTGGAACTTTCATTATTCTTTTTCCCCCCATGATACAGTTTTTATTTTTACTGCGGTAAAATTTATAAACCGTGAGATGCACAGATATTAAGTATTCAGTTCAATGAGTTTTGACAAATGTATTTTCTTGTATAACCAACAGCCCAGCCAACATATAAAATATTTCTATCACCCAGAAATTGCCCTCTTTGAAAAACACTCTGACCCTCACAGGGGATCTGATCTGTGTCACCATAGATTAGTTGGCCTATTCTTGAATTTCATACAAATGGAATCGGTGCTCTCTTGTGCGAAGCTTCTATACAGCTGTTAAAAACAGTGTTGTTAATAGCGTAAAACATACCTGGAGAAACAGCGTCAGTCCTGCCAAGGCTCTCCACAGCAAAGATCCAGGCTGAGAAGCCCAGAGGCCGAAGAGACTCAGTAGGGTTCAATTGGGAAAGCAGAGGCACGTGATTCATTGCTAGCAAGGAAGA
Source organism: Homo sapiens (assembly GCF_000001405.40). Taxonomy (NCBI): domain Eukaryota; kingdom Metazoa; phylum Chordata; class Mammalia; order Primates; family Hominidae; genus Homo; species Homo sapiens. Next base: position 24,715,271 of record NC_000012.12, read on the forward strand.
GTCTGTGGAGGCATGGGGGTGGGGTTGAGGCAGCAGGTTGCAGGTTGCACCAGAAGCCTTGACAAGGCCAGGCCTTCAGCAAGAGCACTGGGTTGACTTGAACTTTTACTATTCTTTATCATCGCTGACAGTGTGATTTGTCAAAAACTTCCCTGAGAGGATGTTGCAAGCCGTGACTTCCTAGAATGAGGGCCAGGGTCTCCTCTGGAAGGTCATAACCTTAGGAAAGAATTTCACACCCTCTGGCCTGAGAGCAAATATAATTCTTGTGCCACAACGGAGCAGTTCCAATGGAAAGAAGTGCCCGCAAGGGGACTTCTGAGGAAAGGTACAGAGCTGGACCTGAAGGGTGAAGGAGAAAAGAAGGTTCATGTGATAGAAGAAAGGATCCGTGGTGCTGAAAGACTCCAGTGCTAACTGAAGCTGCTAGAGAATTAACCGCAGACCAAAATAAATTAATGTAAAATGGTCACCATTGCCTCCACTCAAGTTTTCTGAGGGTGAATGTTTTTCATATGGCCAAATATGAAGAATTTGATTTGCAACTCCCAAATCTCTAAAGCTATGAAAGCCCAGAGTCCCCCAGCTCAGATGCAGGTGGGTCTCCCTCTCAGGTGACTGTCCTGGAGATTGTTACAGGGTCTCAGGCTTCAGGCAACAGGAGAAAGCTGTGGTAAGCCTCCTCATTCCCTTTACCACCAAGGCTGCAGCAACTACTTCAACACCATTTTCTTCCATTTCCAATGACTACTGTTAACGAGTTTGCAACTCAACATATCATTCCAACACCCCCCTCCCAAAAAAATCTTATTCATGATTTTGACACATAAGAAGGCAATTGATACTGTGAAATGTCAGAGCAAATTGGCACATTTTGTTCACCACAACTTAATGATTTCTTATTATTTACTTCAAATCGCCATTCCCACATTTATTACAAAGGTGAATTTTTAACAGAAACCTGTGATTTTTCCAGACTACGTGCCCTTTGAACGCTAAGCCCCTCAGCTCGAACATGCCTGAAATACATGCACAAACAATATAAAAAGGCCCATAGCCCAGGATCCAAGTGGCATTTGGAATTCCAGCCCACTGAGAAATGTTTCCACCTACTTCCCATGACTAGAAAGCAGCTGAAGGAAAGTCACTCTGAACAGTAATTGCATGTTTTGTAAAAGCTATCAAAAGTTACACACAGATGCATTTTACAAAGACCTGGAGGGGTGTTCACACTTCTTGGCAGGTGTGTGAGCCTGTGGCTCTAACAAACCTGGCCCTAGAGCCACAAAGGTGGCTCAGGTGATCTTGAACACATCTCTATTAGATGATTTTAAACATTGCCTCCACATCTGTATGGCTTGGCAGCAAGCTGCAAATGTGTTTCTGTCACTGGAGCCCTTCAAGGGCTGCTATCTTCCCGTAAGCCATAATGAATCCCACAGTCAAACACTGCATGGTGTGCAAACTTCTGAACACCTGCACTCTCCAAATCCTGCCTTTGACTTATGCGATAGCGTTTGTCACTTCATTGGCACTGCATTATAGAAACTAAGTGTAATTGCGACCTAGAAAGGTTCAACAGTGAAACCAAAAAAAGAATAAAAGTAAAGGAACCTCGGCTTAATATGGAGCATCAAGAACCGCCTCAGTCTCGGAGTGTTCGGAGGACTCCAGTTAACAGTGGAGGAAAACCAGGCTTGCGTTTGAATATTACTTTAGCTGGAAAACACTATTTCATTACATTAATGTCTGCACTAATTATTATAATAATCCTGAGTTTACACCAGTAACAAATCAATTGTAATGAGCTGAACAAAAGAATCTAGGTGGAATTCTTCCCTATAAATATGCTCCTGTCAGTGCAGTCAAAACACAGTGCCAGAACACTGCCTGTGTCAGTGAATAACACATTTTAAAACTGGTATGTCCTTTTAATCTCTTAATTGGTTGTGTATGTGGGAAATCCTATGAAAAGCGAAGTCTCTGTCCACCTGGATTTTTGAAGGATAGCTATACTTACAGCTGTCACAAGTTGTCAGTATTTTGTAAAGTGTCTGAGTCTGATTAGGTATAGAGGTGCGGAATTTGAGTGTCACAGAAGGGGCCTGAATTTGAATCTTGGAATGTAAACAAATTAGGATTTTGTAGTGCCTAATATAGTGTGCTCATACAGTTTCTTTGAATAAATGTGGTTGGTTGCCTTAAAAGTTAATCAATCCCCACTTCTAAAATAGTTTTACAACTGATATGGTTGAGCACAAAGAAATAATTTTTTATTCTAAAACAGCTCTGCAAAGTTGGATAGGGTTGACTTTAAAAGTTGCTCATGTGAACGATTCAGTCGTTTAGGCTCCTTTCACAGACATTACCCTATTGTATCCTCCTAACCCAGGAAGTAGATAGGAGAGGTTTAAAAGGTTCTGAAAGGTTAAATGAGTTCCTGAAGGTCACAATGCTAATTAACAGTTGAGCAATTTCTAGAACCCAGATCTCTGTGCACCTTGTTTATGACAACACATTTTCTCTGAACAGGTTATTTTTTGGTTAGATCATTGATGGTACTATATGGTGAGTGCTGAGGGAAACCTAGGAAGAATGATTCCACATTTAGGTTGTTGGCATGAGTTGCTATCTATGTAAACACGTCTTTAGAGTCTCTCAGAAATGAATGGAATTGCTTTTGTTCAGCTAACAGAAAATAACTAGTGGGCAATGTCATAGAAGAGGGAGAAATATCACTTAAGTTTGGGGACCACTTAATATAAGCATCTAACTGTGTGTGTGTGCATAGATGCTTGTGCATGCGTGCGTGTGTGTGTGTACATATGAGTAAGAAAGTGAAGGAGAAGCCCTGCGCGGTGGCTCATGCCTGTAATCCCAACACTTTGGGAGGCCGAGATGGGCGGATCCCAGGAGTTCAGCCTGGGCAACATAGTGAAACCCTATCTTTACAAAACATACAAAAAAAAAAAAAATAGCCAGGTGTGGTGGTGCGTGCCTGTAGTTCCAGCTACTCAGGAGGCTGAGGTGGGAGGATTGCTTGGGCTCAGGAGGTTGAGGCTGCCGTGAGCCATGATCTTGCCACTGCACTCCAGCCTGGGCAACAGAGTGAGACTCTGTCTCAAAAAAAAAAAAGAAAAAGAAAAAAAAGAAAGTGAAGGAGAGAGAGTCTGAAGAAATTGCATAATAACACATTACAGCCCATAATATGATGTAGTGCTGTATGTTCCACAATACATTATGAAGCATCCAGACGCCATAGGTCAATCAAAGTCAGGATGGCTGAAATGTGTGTTAAAGTGTAGGAGATTAAAATATTATGCCTAACACTGTATAATGCATCATGGAAAAATCCTTGTAAGTATAAATTAGCTTTACTGTTGAGTATGAAATCTTCCTTTTGGTTATTTATGAAGCTTCATTTTGAAGATTGCCTTCACTGACTAACAAGCAAATCAGAACTTGTCATGTGCAAATCTTGTGAAGATTGCAAGGCCAGTATATAATTAGCCTCAAAAGAGTGTGACCAAATTGGGTAAAAAATAAAAACACTATGAAAAGGGAATAAGAAAACCAAAAGGAGGTCAGGGTGTGGTCAAACCATGGGAACCCTTTAACTTTACGTTTTCCTGACATGGTGATGTTCAAAGTCTGTAGAAAAAGTGAAATTATGAAACAGATATTCCTATTCTGCTATTCAAAGAGCTGCTATTGTTCATAGATCAAAGAATCTGGTGATGAAGAGAAGTTTATACAGCTCTGAGTGTGAAAAATATTCAAACTCGGAACAACAAAAAGAAAGTTGGCAGGAGGAGAAAACAGGGATGAGGAGGAGGAAGGGCTAGAACAGTGACTTGCTCCATCCCAAGTGCTCAATAAATATTTGCGGAAGAAATGAGGAAGGCTATGGAGAGCTCTTTTTCCTTCAGGCTGTATCATCAAATACACCCTTCCTCAGTGACCTCTCTTCCCCCGCCCTAGCCCAATTTTCTTTCTACTCTAAAAATCAGAAGCAAGATTCCAATCCTATATTTTACCCTCTTGCTAATCATGTATGTAATGCCCTGAAGTCATTTTCGAATTTCCTGTAAGGCACACACCACCCTTTCTCACCACAGAGAGTCTTGCTTGTGAGGTCAGATGGTTCTCACAGATGACATGAAGGAAAAAATTCCCAACTAATTGTCATTGCTTAAACCCTCTTCCCTCACAGTCTCCAGAGATGGGACTCTGGGTTTCACAGGGACCATTACATCAGAAGGGTCTGTCAAGGCTTTAGTTAATGAACCCAGTTGAGATCATCCCCTGCAGGGTGGGGTGCATGCAGACCCTGGGTGTGAAGGCTTCAAGGGGGAAAACCCAGGAAGTGGTCAGATGACTCAGTGGTGGTGCTTTGTTGAGTCAGACCTAGGCACTGGCACTATGATGTTCCAATGTGCAATGGGAGACCCCAGCTCTCAAAAGAATTTCTTCATGCTCATTGTCCACAAGGTCCTCATTAGATCCCAGGACCTCTTCCTTCTTGTTTTTGTCTTTTCATCATTTAACTGTGGAGTTTGTGCCTTTAGAGTCACTGTTACATCCCAGCCAAGGTGTCTATAGAAGTGAGCTGCTGTATGGAGGTGAAGTAATCCTCATACTACATATAAATGTGTAATTAGTTCAACAAATATTTATTGAGCACCTAGACTGTGTCAGGAGTTCCGTTGCTTATTAATTTGTATTGAGGTAATTTGTAACTCATATTCTCCTGAAAATATTTTCATTTATCATATGCCCTCTTTAATTAAGTTGTTGTCTGCTCTCTGAGAAACACCATTAAACAAGTATCTTCATCTTGTCACTTGAGCCAAGTTAGTTTTAGTGTAACTCATACAGAGGAGAAGAGAGGCAACAGAGAAGAGCAAGTCCTTACTCATACAGCATATTGAGTATCTCCCAGAACTGTAGAGGCAATAAGGAAAAAACTGATACGGGAGGGGTGGTGAGAATCAAATATCTGTGATATATCCATTCATCCAGATTATAAATTGCTACAATAAAGAGAGCAAATTTCCCCCAAGTCTATATTGCTTCTCAGTATTAATATAGACCTCTTTGTGGTCTTTGTGTCCAGTAAATCTCTCTTGACATTAAAGTGCTTTTTAAAAATTTCTGCTTTAGTAAAAGTATTGTCTCAATGACAAAATACTAGCCCAGAAACCAGGTCTAAATTCAATGAATTCCAGTAACTGTCCCTAAAAACAAATATTCTGGGAGTGATTTCTCAAACTGTGTGGACAGAATAATGGCCCCCAGAGATGTCTACATCCACATCTCCAGAACCTGTGAAAATCTTACTTTATGTAGCTAAAGAGACTCTGCAGATGGAATTAAGCTAAATGTTTTGAGATGGGGAGAATACTCTGGATTATCGAGGTGGGCCCAGTGTCATCACAAGGGTCCTTATTATAAGAGGGAGGCAAGATCTCTTGTCCCATCTCCCTATCAAACATCAGAAAGGAGATGGGATAAAAGAATCTGAGGTTGGAACCATGTGCTTTGAAGATAGAGGAGGGGGCCATGAGCCAAGACAAGCAGGAAGCCTCTAAAAGCTGGAAAAGTCAAGGAAATAGATTTTCCCTTGGAGCCTCCACAAGGAATAAACCCTGCTGATGGCTTTGTTTTAGCTTCATAAAACTCATTTCAGACTTCTGACCTTCAGAATTGTAGATAATAAATGTATAATGTTTTAAGTCACTAAATTGTGATAATTTGCTATGGCAGCCATAGGACATGTGTATTTGTATGTGGCATAGAAATAACTCAAGCTGAATAATTGATGTCTTCTGATTTCATTCCTTCACCAAATATTTATATATTAACTACCCTGTAGTTGCTAACATTCTGGAAACTGGGGACATGAGAGTAAGCAAAATAAACATGGTTTCTGTTCAGTTTAGGAGGAGGCAGGACTTTGTTCATTATACATATGAGGAAATTTATGAATTTATCTAATGTGAAAATTAAACCAGCTGTTTATATAGGAAAACAAAACAACTGGTTAACTTTTTTTTTTTTTTTGCTTCCAATAAGTTAGGTTGGTGTCCCACTGTGACTCACTGTATTTTTATGTCATAATTGACTAGTATTACAACCATAACTGTGGTCATTTGCTAGTCAAGTTCCAACTCTGCCCCTGCTTTCTTTAAAGCCTAGTGTCACAGAGATAAATTGAGAATATTCAAGGACTTGTGATTTTTTAAATTGAATTCTCATGACCCTATGTCCAAAAAAGATGGGTATGCAAAAAATGCCTCAACAGCTAATGATGAACCAAGTACAAATACATCTTAAGCAGTCAAGGTTTTATTACAAAGAAGTTTGAGAAAAACGCTCCTTAAATATGGTCCAAAAGGGAAGAATACTCATTCTCTTTTCATATGAAGAAAAAAATATCATAATGGTTAGAAAGACTTCCTTTGCCCAATAAAGCTCATGAAGTTTAAGCTCCAGGGTCCTTCCTTCACATAGTTTCTTTCTATCCAAAAATCTGAGAGTGGGTAAAGAAATATGTGCCATGAGGGTTTTTTTTAAATAAGATATTAAGTATATATATTTTGGTTTAGAAAGCTATCTTGGCAGGGCATGGTAGCTCACACCTGTAATCCCAACATTTTGGGAGACCAAGGCAGGAGGATTGCTGGAGTCTGGGAGTTTGAGACCAGCCTGAGCAATATGGCAAAATCCCGCCTCTACCAAAAAAATAAATAAATAAATACAAAAATACAAAAATACAAAAACTAGCTGGGCGTGATGGTGAATGCCTGTAGTCCCAGCTACTTGGGAGGCTGAAATTGTAGAATTGCTTGAGCATGGAGTTGCAGTGAGCAGAGATTGTGCCACTGCACTCCAGCCCAGGCAATGGAGTCACATCTTGTCAAAAAAAAAAAAAAAAAAGAAAAGAAAGAAAAGAAAGAAAAAAAGAAAGTTATCCCTCTTTACTCCAACTTTCTGTTCCACTTTTCCCCATTCCAATGATGTTGGTGTGGCCATGGTTGTTTCTTGAATCTTCCAAGGGGAGGTTGGGTGGAGGTGCACATTTTTTTGGTTCAGTGGGACATGTTGATGTGGTTTGAAGCAATATTCATGTGTAGTTGGCACATTGCTAGCCATTTTAGTGTAGTGTTGAGTTTTATTTCCTGCCCACTGTGCCGACTCTCCTGGTGTTGTGCCATGAGGTACAGGTCAGAGGTTCTATTGTGATAGGAACAGGTGCCATGACACCCAGCACTGAAAGCGTGTGGGTAAGAGAGAGCAGCCCAGGTTTGAAATTGATGGAATCACAAGTTAGTCTGAGAATAAATCTTCTGTAACATGTAAATGTATAAGTAAAGAATTGAGTTTTTCTTAATTCTTAGTCATAATAGAAGTTCTATTCTGTCAGGAATATCCTTGATGTGGTTTGGCTGTGTCCCCATCCAAATCCCATCTTGAATTCCCATGTGTTGTAGGAGGAACCCAGTGGGAGGTAATTGAATCATGGGGGCAGGTCTTTTCTGTGCCGTTCTTATGATAGTGAATACGTTTCACAAGATCTGATGGCTTTACAAGGTGGAGTTTCCCTGCACAAGTTCTCTCTCTCTTTGCCTGCTGCCTTCCATGTAATACGTGACTTGCCCCTCCTTGTCTTCCACCATGATTGTGAGGCCTCCCCAGCCATGTGGAACTGTAAGTCCATTAAACCTCTTTTTCTTCCCAGTCTCAGGTATGCCTTTATCAGCAGCATGAAAACAGACTAATACAATACTTGATAATGTTGTATATACAACTACAAATACACTACACATTTTTTTTTTTTGAATATAAAGTTTGTGAAATAGAAATTGTCAGAATTCTGGTGTTGATATGGCAAAAACCTGTAGTAACGCTGCCCAAAGCAAGCGTGTCTGTGTATAAAGTTGCCAATGTTTTGTACATCTCAACTAGCAATTAAATAAAAATCTATCAACCATCCTAAGGAAAGGGCTGACTTTTTTATTGTTATAGAAAAAAGCATTGAAAATTAAATAGGAAAAAAAACTGAGGAAAAAAGTATTAACAAGGTTATACTCATTAAAAAATATGATTCCTATAGATTTCAGGATGTTTGTGTACTTGTTAGCTTTCTGACATTTGTCACTTGATATGATTTCATGTCTCATTCTAAATAAATAAATACATCTAATTTTGTATTTATAACTATATATTTCTTAAAGTTATTCCTCCCAAATGCTTCAGTTTGGGGTCCTGGAGCCACCTCTGCCAATATGTAGAAAAGGAGTTGAGGCACCCGATCAGGGAAAGCTTGCAACAGGTTCTGCTTCATCCTCAAGAAACCAGGGCTCTGAAATCTGATGCACAGGGCTTGTGCAAGCAATGCTCCCAAATGAAGCTCTTTCTTCCACTTGGCATCTGAACTTGATCAAAGACAATGGAATGGAATACTGGATTGACTATCAGGACGAAAACATTTTTTCACTTTGGAACTTAGAATGAGTACCTGGAATCCTTCTGTACCTCAGTTTCCTTATCCATATGTCATGCTTAAGGCATAAGCTCTAGAGCCAGACTGCCTGGGTTCATATCTTGGTTTTGCCACTTACTATGTGACCCAGGGGCAAGCCACTTAGCCTTGCTAAACTTCAGTTTGCTTGTCTGTGAGTGTAATAAGGAAATAGTACTTCTTACTTCATAGGTTTGTTGAGGGATTAAGTTACATAATGAATGTAAGGTGCTCAGCATAATGCCAGGCAAATAGTAAGTGTTCAGTAAGTGATAGCTATTATTTTTCTATGGAACAAAGAACCCAAACAAACCCCAAACCATACCTGACACTCATCTTTCTTAGAGCAATGGGGTGAGGAAAAAATAGCTAAGTAGAATCAGAAAGAAAAAAAAAAAAGAAAGAAAAGACAGGAATTAAAATGTGCCACGTTCATAAGTGTGGGGGATAATACAATCTGAAAACCCTCATCTGTTTGTTCCAGGTCACAGGACTCTGCTGATGTGTGTGTATGTGCAAACCTGTTGGGGGGTGAATGCAGTGTAGACAGGGGAAGGGCCAGGAAGGGGAGAAGCAGCTGGCATGCCTGGAATGCCAGATCCTCTCCTGTTGCCCCATGCAAGTTCATCCATTCAGATGTCCTGGGCTTTGCCTCCCACAGTCCCATCATTTGAGGAACAGAAATGGAAGCTGGCTTGGAACTTAGGGCTATGCTGTCCAAAGGCAGATGCAAACCTCTGGCTTCTACTTCTCCTCTACTCCATACATCATCCCATACTTCAGCCCTGAACATGCCACAGCATTCTGAGAGATGTGGACAACATAATGTCTTTGTGAAGTTGCTACTCGTGTTAAGAAGGAAACAGACAGAATGGAAGAGATTTACAGTTTGGGACAAACAGGAGGATCTGCAAGGATAGTGAAATTTCCTACCCATCCTAGGAAAGAAAATATAAACTAATATTCTATCTAAGAAGTCTACTAATTTTGTTTTGTCACTAAATTTAGTGCTCTTGAAAACATAGGGTCACTTGAAATTCAAAACACAGTGTTTGAACTAAAAACAGAAGTGTGTTCTTGGAGCTGTATGTGTGTGTATACATGCTGTATTAGTCCCTTCTCATGCTGTTATAAAGGACTGACTAAGACTGGGTAATTTATAAAGGAAAGAGATTTAATTGACTCACAGTTCCACAGGGCTGGGGAGGCCACAGGAAACTTAGAATCATGGCTGAAGGGGAAGCAAACACGTCCTTCTTCAGATGATGGCAGGAATGAAAAGTGCTGAGCAAAAGAGGGAAAAACCCTTTATAAAACCATCAGATCTCACTCACTATCACGAAAACAACATGAGGGTAACTGCCTCCATGATTAAATTACCTCGTACCACGTCCCTCCCATGACACATGGGGATTACGGGAACTACAATTCAAGATGAGATTTGGGTGGGGACACAGCCAAACCATATAAAATGCCTAGTGATCGACCACGTCCCCACAATTACCTCATTTAATCCTTACAACAAGCTTCCAGTTAGGAGTTGAAGGCCTTAATGTTCACCATTTATATATTAGAAAATTAACACTGTAAGATGTTAAAGGAGTTGCCTAAGATTGCCCAGCAGAGATCAGTAACTTTGCCTTCCCACAAAAACACGGGAACACACATATGAATAAATGCCTTAGTTACAGTGGCACACACATATGAATATATATATATATATATGTACACAGCCTGTATGTGTACGAAATTATATAAATAGGGTAGGATGATATTTGTAAAATAATACTTTTTTCCTTCTTTTTAGTGTTTCTCTTCTTCCCTTTCCTGCTTAGAACAGAAAATCAGAACAGGTCTATGTGGGGCCAGAAAATATCCTCTGATCTTCATACACTTGGTTTTCAACAGCCCAACACTTAGGAGAATGATGATAATTAGGTTACAGGTCAGCTAGTAGGGAAGTCACAAAGGCAGAGGGATTTCCCTTCAAGACCTCAAAACACTTTCTTCTGGCTTCTGGGGAGGAGAGCAAAGAAGACAAGTGGATCCTGAAGAAATAATGGCTAATCCCAGGAGTGAGAACATGAACCCAGTTAGGGAATTAGCATTCATTTGTATGTGACGAAGCATGGCCTTGCAAGGATTCCCTTGGCCCTAGCATGCCAGGAAACAGCAAGTTCCTGCTCCCAAAGTTGTCAAAGTACTAGCAGGGGGCCCACAGGCCTGGAGGTGCCCTGTGGACAGAGGGTTGACAGTTTCCCTGTGTCAGTCTGTGTGGAGCAGACCCCACCTCACCTAACATCTCGGCCTTAATTACAACTATCAAGTGCCACAACCTCAGTGAAGGAAGGGTTCCAATAATAGTCCTGGAACTAAGTTTCCTCACATGCCAGTGGAATGATATCTGAAAATAGAAATTAAGTTGAATTTTAGAAGAATGAATGGTAGTTTGCACACCTGAAGTGGGAGCCTGAAATTTAAATCCACCGTATTGCCTTAAAAAAACAAAACCCGAAAACTAAGAACCATAACTGCAGCAGCAGATGTATACATTCATTTAGCCCCTAAGTAGTTAACATTTAAAGTGTCAGATTAAGTTTTCTCCAAAACAATCAAGGGATATTTTCCCATCCCCTTATCTGACCCCCACTAAAGGTTTAAAGCCTAGAAAAAGAAGCCGTCAGATAGAATCACTTGAGCTCTTCCTCTGACGAAACCTCTCATAAAAGAGACTTATGCTATCCATTGTAGAGATCTCAGATATCTAAAATTTAGTGCATTGCCAGGTAGACACTGCATCCGGGGCCTTATCACAAAAGCAGAACTGATATCTAGAAAATACAGAATGCTCAAAACTTTTACTATCTGTCTGTTTATGCATCCTGAAGTCAAAATTTTGTAATCCCAATGAGAAGGAATATAAATTTTTTTTGGAGAGGAAAACAGATTCGAGTAAGTTAATATTATCCTGCACATATATTGTCTGTTCATTGTATTTTATGATTTACCTAAATTTTTTTCCCTCAAAATTAATCTGGTGAAATCACTGCTTTTCCCCCCAAGTGGATATAAAATAGGGTTGTGCATACAGGACTATTATATGTTCGTCCTATTTACAGCCTCATTTTTCTTCTTACTTCCCACACAACCACATCTTTGGCTTTCATGCCTCTATGGCTTTGCTCAACCAGGAGCACCTTTGTCCACTGGGTGTGGGGTAGATTTCTCTTCCTCAGCTAAATCCTCTTTCACTTTCCTCAAGGAGCCCCTCAGTCTCCTTTGCTCCCATCTCATTTTATGTAGGACTCTGGGGTAGCACACATTAAATGAGTGCTGTGGTCTGAATGTTTGTACCCACCTCATAACTCATATGCCAAAATTCCAACCCCTAAAGTGATGGTATTCAGAGATGGGGCCCTTGGGAGGTGATTAGGCCGTGAGGGCAGAGCCTTCGTAAGTGAAATTAGTGCCTTATAAAAGAGACCCCAGAGAGACTCTCATCCCTTCCACCATGTGAGGACACAGTGAGAAGGTACAGTCTGTGACCCAGAAAGGGGGCCCTCACCAGAGAGAGACTCTACCTTGATCTTGGACTTCCCAGCCTCTACAACTATGAGAAATCCATTTCTGTTGTTTATAAGCCACCCATTTGATGGCATTTTGTTTTAGCAACCCCAACAGAGTACGCGACAGTGACCCAGTCCCACTGGGAGCCTTTGTACTTAGTGTCTCTGCTGCCTAGAGTGTTCTTCCCTCCAGACAACCACACAGTTCACTTCTGTACCTTCTTCAGGTCGTTTTGCAGAGAGAGACAGAGACCTTATCTCATGACCCAAAATAAAAATATAGCCAACCTAATCCTCTCCTGGCCCAAGAGGCTTCTCTCCTCTCTCTGCTTTATGTTTTCTCCTTAGCATGTATCGTTATTGAACATACTATAGAGTTCACTCATTTTATGTGTTTATTTTATTTATCTAGATTATTGTCTGTCTACTCTAGTGTAAGATTTTTGGCCATTTTATTTATTATTTACCTTCTTATAACACCTGAAACACAGTAAACTCAATAAATATTTGTTGAATGAATGAATGAATGGGTGAGTGATGATTCTGCTCTTGCAATTACATGCTTATTCCCTTATCCATGTTCTACTCATCCTTATGTTTTCTTCAGCCCTTGGCACAGTGCTGGGTACAGAGAGAGGGTCCACAAATGTTTACTGAGTAAAGGACTGAAGTGAATTCACCGTGCCTTTTTTATAATTGAGATAGGATGGAGATTTCACCCTAATTTATGACATATTTTTATAATACCGTAAAATAACAGTACTTCCTGAGCAAAAGAGGCAGAGCTTTTTCACCAGCAAGTGGAAAGATATAAAGTATCCATAAATTGTTCTGGTAAAAAATGAGTATTTTAATACCTTTTTTTCAGTAAGACAACTCATGAAATTCCACAGCAAATATTTATTGAGTATCTAGTGTTTATTAGGCAGTTTATAATCACTAGGCTTCATACACAGTCAAATAATTTAAAGTCAGCTCCAAAGTGGACTGAAACAATAGAAGATGTAGAAGAGTTTTACTTTAATATTTCTTTAAAAAATATATTTCTGTCTAGAAATTCCAGTACTGTCCATTGGCTGCAAGTGAAGAAAAATAAAACCATAAAGTGAAATTCAAAACTTTAATAAAAGAGCAGAATCTAAAATATAGTAGCAGATAAAGCAGAAATAATAAATGAAACTGGATTGAACAAGAAGGCCATGCCACCTTGTGGGTACTGGGAGTATTTTACCATCCTCAATATCTCTCTACAGAAAGAGTGACCAATTACAGATTAAGAAACTGGGGAAACTTTCACTACCTTTTTCATGGTAAATAAAATACATAGTATTTACTTTTTGATGCTGTAGCCATTGGAAGCAGTTTTTTATCAAAATGCAATACATCTTAAGCCACTTTGATGAAAGAAATAGTCTGCAGGTGATGAGGTTGTAATGTTTTAAATAAAAAATAATCTTTTTAAATGAACTTGAACATCTATTTAAAGATGTGGTCATGTACTCTTTCCTTTTCATTTTTCTGAACAGAAGAGGTACATTGTTAATGAAAGAAAGTGTTTTAATAACAAAATCAACAACACATATACTCCTATGTAATGTCCTAAGGAATAATCGGAAATTTTAATGCCTGTGTAAACTTGTACCAATCCATAGTTTAAAATTTAGTTACAGATATTACGTAATGAGTAACATGATTTTTCCGAAAAATTAAAACTACTAACCATGAGGGTACAAAATGTCTCTGTTGCTTATAGATAAATCTATTATTCTTTTAAAATGAGAATTTGGAAAAAAAATTTTGCAGGTTAACAAGAATATGAAGCAACATAAGGTTTTCTAGAAGGCAAAAAATACAATTAATTGGCCGGGCACAGTGGCTCACGCCTGTAATCCCAGCACTTTGGGAGGCCGAGGCGGGCGGATCACGGGTCAGGAGATCGAGACCATCCTGGCTAACTCGGTGAAACCCCGTCTCCACTAAAAATACAAAAAATCAGTCGGGCACGGTGGCGGGTGCCTGTAGTCCCAGCTACTCGGGAGGCTGAGGCAGGACAATCACTTGAACTCAGGAGGCGGAGCTTGCAGTGAGCCGAGATCGCACCACTGCACTCCAGGCTGGGTGACAGAGTGAGACTATGTCTAAAAAAAAAAAAAAGAATACAATTAATTTTTCTTATAAGAAGACTTGTCGCTGATCTCAAATTAGAATCTTAGAATCATAAACTTTAAAACTGGAAAGTACCTTACATGGGGCAGGAGGACCAATGACTCATTCTAATGAATCCCTAGGCAGCTAAATTATTTCAACTGAGAAATTACCGGAAATCAACAAAAAAACTTCCTTATTGACAAAATACAATAAATAACAAAAACAGAGTTACTAGTATAATTGAATGCTAACTGGAAAGGGTCTTAGAGATCATTGAACCCAGGGTTTCCAAAAGATATCTGTGATACTCTATTCTTAAGAGATATTAAGGTATGTCACCAGACAAAAAAAATTTTGGAAAATACTGTACTAAAGTCAGGCATAGTGGCTCACACCTGTAATCCCAGCACTTTTGGAGGCAGAGGCAGGAAGATCGCTTGAGCTCAGGAGTTTGACACCAGCCTGAGCAACACAGCAACACAGGTGAGACCATGTCCCTACAAAAACAAGAAAAGAAAAGGGAAAAGAAAAGAAAGTTAAACCATGTGTCCAACTGCAGAACATTTCACAGATATCAATATGTCAGTGTACATTTGAACAGCATAGTATGCAGTAATTCTCAATTTATTTTATCACAAAATTACTTTTACTTTTGCAGACAACTTCACAGGTCTGAAGTACAAATTTGGGGAACTCTGAGCTAAACCAATTTCTTATTTTATAAAGAAGGGATTGACACCATGTTGGTATGTGACTTGCCCAACCCAACAAAACTGAATAATAGCAGAGGCAGGACTGGGGGTCAGTTTTCCTTAAAGTCAGGGATTTGTTCTTTGCATCATGTCATACTGCATCATTCTTTCCAAATTGTCATAATTCAAAACTACTGCTCTAAAAAGTAAATGTGTTTTTAAAAAAGTTCACTACAAATGTTTTTTCACAATTTTATGTTGTGTTTTATACAACCATTACCATCAAAGGACCAACATCCCCAACTCAGCCCCACCCCTAAAGCTGACACTTCCCAAATGACATCTTTGTGGTTTCCTCAAAGTGAGACCACCAGATAAGAATAGCAATACAAATTAGTTTGATTAACTATAGTGTTTCTGCCTCTTTGGGGTTCAAACCCAGATGTGTAGTCAAATTGGTTGGCTTCACAATGTTCATTTTGAGAAAGTGTTTTTGACTATAAATGAAGTGATTCAAATATTTAGAGAGAAATTTTCATGCTTACTCAGTGATGTGAAAAACCATGACATTTACCAAAAATAGGCACTCATATGTCTACCTCTGACTTTCATGTGGAGGAGTGGGTAGAAGGAGAAGATATGGGGTCTAGGGTTGAGTGCAATGAAGGTGTGTTGTCCTCAGGGTCACGGAATGAAGGTGTAAGTGAACTCAGTAACATATCTACAGTTCCTTAGCCATTGGGACATTGGCTTGGAAGCCCAAGGCTAGTCTGCAGATGGCTCCAGAATGTATTCTCCAGCCTCCTGGAATCCTGTTCTGGTGCAGATATGCATTAGGTTCTACTTAATAAAGCAATCTTGATTGTTTTAGGAGATGGACAGTCACATTGCTGTCTAGCAAACAAGGCATGCTGAACTTGACAAATTATTTTAAAAAGAAATGATACAGAACTCTGAGAACAAGAAACTATGACCTCAATTTAAGAGCTAGGAATACCCATTTTTCAGGATAGACTCCCATCCACTGATGCAATTTGTCCCTCTGAGGCATCTGTACTTCCTCCTCTTGTTCTCTGTATGCTCAAACGAAGGGAATTTAAGATTATGTTGGCAACACTACTGGAGCTGTTTTGTTTTTTTTTTTTTAAGCTAAATAAAAAGAAAATTTAAGACTCTCATTTGAACAACCTGGGTCCTAAAACCCTGCTGTTGAAAAATAGGTGGTGGTTTTGTTTTATTTTAAACTGTTTGCAATTGTCATCTTAATAGAATGCATTAACTAGACAATTGCTTGGCTTTCAAAGTACATTTTTCAAGCCCCTGTCAACTCAACTTTTTATAAAAAGAATGCAACAAAAAAATAGAAAAGAGAAATACTGAATATTAAATCTTTCTTCAACCCACTGTCTGATTCTCTTAAGGTCTCTGCTGATATTTTTAGGATTTTAGCACATATAAAATTTCATGGCTGTTTTAATATACATACAGGCTTGAAACAGATGAAAGCTTCCATCTGAATGATATAGATTCCCACTCCCACACGCAGTACTCAGACAAAACACATGAAACTAAGTTTAACTACTCCAGAGGAAAAAAAAAAGCTAATTCAATCCTGCCAGGATTTGAAGCTGAGATTCTAAGGATTTTAGGCTTTGCAAATCTGTTCTTTAGCTTTTTAACACACTCCCCTCTGTCAGAAGCTCTCACATGGAATCACATCTCAGGACTTGTCTGTGTTTATATAGTGAGTCTTCATTATTCAACATGGCTGCAATCCTAGAGGTCATGATAAACAATGCAATATCAAATAAGTGGGCAGAGGAGTTGGTTCTCTGGTGTAAGAAGGCAAAGTCCTTCAGGGAGGATTAATTTCTGTTCCTGAATTAGTGAGGAATCTGTGCACCAATGAAAAACATGACAATAAGGAATGAGGGCTTTCTATCCGTATATAGTCAAACCACATAAGACGGAAGGGACAGACATTTATTGAGACCTTATCATGTACTATGCATTGTACAAAGTTTTTTTAGATGCTTTGATTTTGTCCCAGTAGTCCTTATAAGTTTGCTGATAAGAGAATTTTCTATCCCCCGATTCTATAGAGTAAAAAACTAAGGTTCAGGGGTTACTTACTCTGCCTAAATTTACACAGTAACTAGGAGTGCCAAATATGAACGATCCAAAGCTAATTAGTACTTAAGACTAACTCAGTTTACCCCAGTGGTGGAAAATTCCCTATAATCAATGTAACTACAGTGGACATGAAATCTACCTATTTGTCAAACAAATTATACAAATCTTGTGCAATTATTTTAGCTATTGGAAAGATGCATTTGAATGAAAACATGTACATATTAGAGGTCACAGGATGAAGAGAAAAGTGATGCTTCTTTTTATTAGTAAGATAAAATCCTATCATGTTCCTAAACAGAAAAATAAAGTTTTCAGATTGGCACCACTGCCTTGCAGACACAGTTCAATACTTGCAATGCAAAATATCTGCTGAATCCACTTTTGCTATAAAGTTCAATGGTTTTTTGCAATCTAAGGAATACAATGAAATGAGTTGAGTCCAGGCTCATTGACTAAAATACTATGATCTTGTCTCCCTCATTAGGAAGAGTGACAGGTCATGAGAATGTGTCATGTGAAAACTTGCAGAAGAAATCTCAGTGTGTATCTTCTATAAACATGTGATCTTAATATAACATTTGACATATCTTCATATAACATTTGATACACTGCTAAATATATTGTTCATTGAAATGTACTTTCCAACTCTCAGAAAAGAAACCAAAACTCTCATTAATATTTCCCAAGCTGGCTTTCTTGTGTTATTGTTTTCAATGGGTCCCTTATAATCATGAAATAAGGGCTGCCTGTAATCCCAGATGTAGGGAAACAGTTCTCCACGGGTGTATTATATTTCTGCACATCTTGAAAGAGAATTGTTGACCTTTGTTCTAGATCATCTTTTCAAGGAAGTTTCTATCAGAAACAGCCTTTGAATATAGAGATAGTATCTCTCTCCAGAGCAAAAAGTAGGTTTGCTTATAGCTTTGGAAGCTGAAAATGGCATATCCCCCTGGATGAAAGAACAGGTATGCTTACTGACCATTATAAAATATTCTATTCCAGTAAGCTCAGAATATCTCTCCTATAACACAAACCACTATGTGTGCAGGTATCATCTGGCCCTTTTCATATCACCCTATGCAAATTGAATCTGAAATAACTGACACAAAAATGTGGACTCTCTGTCTACTTCTTGCTGCAAATAATAAATTGTTCTTTGTCTCTGATTTAGGAGTCTTGTGTCTTCTACCAGCATCTATGAAACTGTAGTGGCCTAACTTGTTAGTTTGCAAGTAAGGTAAAATCTCAGACTATTCACAGTGTTTGACAGTTTTATAGATGAGGATGAGATGATGCTGACAGACACATGGCTTTATGGGAGAGAAAGAATGGAGGCCTCACAGGCCAGTTAAAGGGATATAAAGGAAGTTCATAAAAATCAGTGGTGAACATTTTGTCCACATAGTATAGTGTGCCAGGCAATAAATGTTTCTCCTCTTTATTGCCTACTAATGAGGAGGCATTTGGAAGGTGGTTGAAGGCTAAATACCAGAAATTAGATTCAAAGAAAGCTGCCCAAATGCTGTCCTGTTTTTGCTAGCACTCCCTGAGGTGGAGGAGACTTACTTTCCATTCTGCCAATCAGCATCAGGCCCTCCAAGTGGGAACAAATGGCATCAAGATTCATCCTGGGTATATCCCCTTTCAGACAAGAGTTACAGAGACACAACTTACATTGAGTATAACAGGAATGAAATTTTGACCATATAGGTAGAAACCAGGTACATCAATAAAACTTTGACCTGATATGCTTAGGAGATGAAGAGCAGGCTTCATAATACTTCTTAAGGAAGAATGGTAAGAGTCAACCCATCTTATGGCTCACACCCACCTATCACACCCATTCTAAATCTACTTGGAGATGACAGAAAAGGTCTTACAGTTTCTTGTAATAGGTACTGAACGAAACAAGGAAACTTTAGCATTCTCAGAGAGATTTCTCCAGGACAAACTCCCAGGTGAAACCATAGATGAGGTGTTGATGAGTACCTGGGTTCTTATTGCCCTGGTTGGACTTACAGTGCTGTTGAAGGTAACAAACTGGGCAAAACCTTAAGACATTTTCTTGATAATGACCACCAGGTTCCCCTGAGTAAGCTGGATCCTCAAAGAAGGTTAATGTCTGAATCATCCAGAGAGTGCAAACTTTGCAGCCATGGCAAGAATGCAATATATCTGTGGCTGCAGAGTCAAGGGGTCCCTGAAGTTTGAAATAGAAGTAATGATGCCCCTGCCACTTGATAGAGAGCTTTTGGTGGAGAAAAAAGAAAAAGATGGGAGAGGGGAATTTGTTTGGTTGAGCTGTGAGCTTAGTGTAAAAGACAATGTTTCCTTCCAGAGCAAAGGGCATTTATGTAGACTTCTTACTATGAAAGATCCAGGTGTTCTATGTACAGGTTCTTCTCCTGAAACACAACCTACTACATATTTGGGTGCCATCTAGCCCTCTTTGGCTCATCCTGTGGGAATTAGGGCTCAGGGGGCTGAGGGCTGTGTTGCTGCTGTTGGTAATAAACTGTCCTCTGTCTCTTATCCAAGAGTCTTGTGTCCTCTGTTCACATTTATGAAATGGTGGCAGGCTAACTTAGCTTGCAAGTAGGGTAAAATTTCAGCCCCTTAACAGTTCTTGACACCAGACAAATTTATGACTTCTGTAAGAATTTAAGAATTTGAATACATGCATACTGTGTGTGTGTGTTCTAAAGTTGTTGTTTAGGAAAATGTATAAGATAGAAACACTTCACAAAGGTAAGTAAAATGGCAAGGGGTAAATGACAACGAAATATAGCTCTTCCCTCAGAGCTAAGTTTAAAGCTTTTCTTGTTCTATTGCCTGAGACCCCACCATTGAGCTTTCACTTCCTAGATTAAAGAAAAATTGACTTGTAAATATACATGCTCCTGGGACTAGAATACACTAGGCCAGCTAGTGGTCATTCAAAACTCAAGATAATTGAACCAAGCCCCTCCCTCTATCTAATTGGAATCATCAACAAGAAAGAATAAGATGTTTGATGTGCTTGTAGAGGGATAAGTGAGGGGAGGTAGAACAAAAAGGGGAAAAAAGAGTAACACTGAGATAATATTTAGCCTGCATTATCGCACCTGATTTTAGCAGTCAGAATGCAGTACAACTGTAAGACATCCCAGAGACACGTATCCAGAAAAGGCATAACAAAGACGATAGTGGGTAGTCACCAAAGACAAACTGTTTCCACATCCCTAGAGATCATCCAGTGACCATGGATATAAAGTGACTGGAAGAGTCATTGAGACTGATCTGCCACATCTCAACTGTGCACTCTGGACCAGGTTTTAAAGACAAGTTGTATAGTAAGTTTGGACAGTTCAAACATCTTTTATCACCTTCAACTCCACTTTTTAAGAATTGACATAATCTAGAGGTCTAATTTTAAGAAAAATGACAAAAACATTTGTTGCTTTCATTTGAAAGACTAATATTGAGAATCCAAGCCTTGACAAAGTTAAGATAGCTCAAACTGTGTGAAATTAAGTTTATTATTACAATTGCTAAGTGAGTAATTTAACATTTTTCCAGCTGGGTAGAAATAAAACATTATTGCCTTGAGACTTTGGAAAATATTGCTAGAAGAAATAGGTTTATAGATCTGTCATACAAATCTTATCTTTCTGTAACTGAGTTGTAACAAAAATATATTTCCTTCAGATAATCAAAAAAGACAGTCTACAAAGTGATCCCTTAAATCCATTAACTTTTTCCCCTAGATATAAGAACAATGCTCTGCACGTAGTAGGAATTAGTAAATATATGCTGATTCGAATTGAATTCAATGCTGATTCTAGAGAGAAGGATACATTAGTTTGAGTTCTAGGTTCAAACTCGCTTAAGTACATACTTTCTTTTAATGTTTTGCTCTACCAAAATAAATCAACATAAAATTTCCTTAATCAGTAGCTGCTTTGAGCCTATATGTAACATTTTGCCATCACAGGATCACTTAGCACTGTTCTGGATTTGATGCCTCTACTCTATTTTTTTGACTGTAAAATGTAAATACCTATTCAAAGATAAGAGATGTCATATATGATTCCATATATTAGGACTTTATTGTGCAAATATGTATTCAAAGATAAGAGATGGCATAAATTATTCCATATGTTAGGACTTTCTTGTCTATGATAGTAAAGTGACTTAGTTTAAGCAACCAAAATTGGGGAAAGAGTGGGCAGTTGTCAAATAAGGTCCCAAGAATCTTTCAGTTCCATGACCGTGTTGTTATCCTATGTCTCTGAAAGCCTGTGGCTGTGGCAGTTCACAATGCATAGTGGCATCATTTCCTGAGAAGGGAAAAGCTAGGAAAGAACAGTATTGGAGTGTGTGTGTGTGTGTGTGTGTGTGTGTGTGTGTGTGAGAGAGAGAGAGAGAGAGAGAGAGAGAGAGAGAGAGAGAGAGATTGAGAATCAAAGGTTAAGAATTGTAAGAAATGCTCTGTTGAGGAAACCTAACGTACATCCAAATCTTGTACTTTACCTCCTTATGCAGTGTGGTCCTCAGTGACAGTCTCATCAAAGGTTCTCAGTTACATCGTTTTATCCTACAGACAATTCACTACAAACACACAAGGTATACTTATAAATATAAATTTGACTCAGGAATTACTAGGCTGCTATAATAGATGTTGAGTAGGAGGGACTTTTCTGTTCTCCAAAATTGCAGTTATGATTCAAAGCTCAGGGTAATAGTGCAAAGTGCCCAGTCCAGAGATGGCCACCAATGAGCTTCTGACAATTGTAATCGGCTGTATTAGAAAATACATAACTGACCCTGTTACCAACAACCACTACCGTAACTCCTACCCCACAGTCAGTATTTAAAAAATGACTGAAGATGATGGGAGGATATGGACAGTCAACCTCATAGAACACTATAATGTAGTTATTTCCTTCCCTTCTTGCTTCCTCCTTCCTGTATGTAAATTGAAGGAGCTAAACTTTGAAGAGGGAGAGGAAGATGTTACACAGTGCCGCAGCTTGCCTCCTTCCCCGCTTCAAACTCCTTAATTCACAAATCTACCCTATAATGAGGAAGGAAAAAAGTTTTAAACTGGATATAAGATTGAAATTTTAAACAGGTCTGGACTACGGTTTAACTACTGGTGATTGGTAAATGATAAAATATGCCCAAGATGCTATTAGGAATAAGAAAGCAGGAATTGCTATAGTATAGTAAAAGTCAGTGTTTCAGCAGATAAAATTATTTTACATAATATACCTCAATAATTTTAAGACTCTAACTATTATGCTTCACATGAATCAAAAATCATATGCTAAATTTTGTTCCAACCACAATCACTGCACATTAACAAAAGATAAAAAGAAGGCCCGAGATATCTGAGAAATAGGATCCATTTACAAGTGCATTTCTCTGCCTGCTGCCATTGAAGCGTTCTTCTAAACATTTTCTGCTGTCTTTGTGATAATGCTCAGATCTAGAAGATCTCTGTTTTCAACTGGGGGTTGTGAAGGAACACACTCATTTGTGCACGGCAGGGCAAGCAGGGGTGGGCTGCAGGAAAGAGGAAACCCACATGTATTGAGTACCTACTATTTACCAGCTAGATGCCTTACATATGTGATCTCATTTAATCTTCAAAGTGTGGTTTAGATAGTTAGATCAATAGATGGACAGACAGATGGATAGATAGACTCAATTATTAGAATTAAATGTTAGTGAGTTTCAACTAAAATAGCTCACTGTAGTGGGTTTAATTTTTTTCAAAGCCAGGATGTTTATTTTTTTTAAATGACAGTTTTGAGGATATAAGAATTTCCCACTATTATAGCCACATAAACCTAAGGCATGTTGCCAGAATCATCTACAAAATCAAGTATAAAACTAGAGCGAAAGAAAACCTAAGTTCTATTTCTCTTTCTTGACAGTTTCCTCAACTAGGAAATGATGAGATTGGTGTAAATCTCTATGGTACATTCCAACTCCTGCAGTCTAAGATTTTTACATGATAAAGTGAAAGGATAAGCTAAAAAGTTCAGTTGTTTGTATAAAGCAAATCTAAATTAGCCAGGTCTAAGGTTATGTCCACATAATGTCACCTAATCAGTTGAAAAGTGAGTATTTCAGCCAAACCATAGATTTGTTATTACATAGTGGACCAACGGCAGTACATGAGAACCATACTAACAAAATGCACTATTCTGCAATTTTTAAAAAGACCAACACAAAAAAAACTATGTATGTAGATATGACCTAAGATTTCTGAGTTTTCTCAAGTCCCACAGTCTTCTTTCCAATAATAAACAATACCCCAACAAATTCCCTTCTAGGAGCGCAGTGGCCCTGGATACCAAGTGGCATTTCCTGTGGATTCTTTTCCTGGGGGAGGCCTTTGAACATCAACATTTTGAGGTTTCATGATGTTGAATGAACCTCATTGAATGCTAAGGCTTAAACTGATCTTAGTCTAAGTGTTTCTTTTTACAGATGGGGAAACTGAGGCTCATAGCCTCATTTCTTATCCTGCAGTATAGCATGAATTCCAGCAATGTTGGCTACTACATTTTGATCCCTTTAAGATAATTAATTTTCTTAGAAAATATTAAGTGCCCCATGCTGGAAATATTAAGTGCTACTTAAGATTGGAGCCAAAACTACCAACATTTTCTCAAAAGAAAAACATCTTTTCCATAAAGACTAGAAATAATATGTTGCAGTGAGGAAAAAAGATGTGGAAAGAGGAAACATAATAAAAAGAGGGGATTTTTTTTTTTTTTTGGTGATTTTGATAAATTTTTCATCAGGTGATTTGTCATTTGTTGAGCTGTAGGCAATAGAAGGATAATTTCAGACTCCCCTAGGCTTCACATTTGATTTGGAAGAAACCAAAATGGACTTTTAAAAAAATAAGTTTCTAAAAGGATACTTTGTTCTTTTTCTCTGAAGTGAGTCCAAAATCAACAACAACAAAAATGGAACTGTTAAGGATGGAATGTCTTAATCTGGATTAGTTTAGTCACTGTTTAATTCAATTTAATTTAACTCAACAAAGTTTTATTGAGTATGTGATATGTGTAATGCACTATCTTTTGTATTTTCCTGTCTCATGACTGTGTATCTCTGAACTTCAGAAGTTAGTCAAATGAGAGGTGGCAGGGTGTGTAGATTACAGTTTAGGATAATATTTGGCCCTTAAAAACTAAACTCCACTTTCCTGACTGGCTAGATTCTAATGGGGATGTCACATTGGAGAAATATTTGGCAACACCAAATGTAAGTCAGTGTTATTACTTACATTACATTACTCACACTTTACTTAGTTAATGAGCCCCACGTACTCAATATTCCAGTGGGATTATGTATACGTGTGGGTGGGGGTAAGGGGTGCCCCATTCTCTTGGTTGCCTCAGAACTATAGTTCCAAAGCTACATCCAAAGTATTTAAACAAGAAATACTACAATAACTTCATATTAATCTATCCAGAGCAATCCTTCCAGAGGTTTTATTGAAAAGGGCCCCACCTTTATAATAGCAGAAACATCAACTGTCTTCCCAGTTTACTCCTCTCAAGCAAGTGGTAACTTCAAAGTCTGAAGTTTTAACCCAGACATTACTACAGCTGAGAACTTTACATTCCAGTCACTGTAAATTTGGATTTACAAATATAAACAAAAAGACCAGAAATGCAAATATTAAATTTCTTTTAGTTCTGAGTTTGCAAAATTGATGCTAACAGTCTATAGAAATTTTGTATTTATTAACATAGGTGAGAAAAGATTTCCATGAGTTATTGTATTACAGTTTTGCATGTAATTGTTAACTCCCTAAATATTAATATTTGTGTAAAGTGTTAAATTTACTTAGCATTTTGTTCCCCCTAAGACATTCAAAGACTTTACAGATATTAGCTAATTAAAACTCAGCCCATTACTGAAATGCAAGAAGCCCTAGGAAGTATAGTCCACAATTAAAAGATGCAGAGGGCCAGGCGAGGTGGCTCACGCCTGTAATCCCAGCACTTTGGGAGGCCGAGGCGGGCCGATCGCTTGAGTTCGGGGGTTCGAGACCATCCTGGCCAACGTGGTAAAACCCCGTCTCTACTAAAACTACAAAAATTACAGGGCATGGTGGTGTGTGCCTGTAATCCCAGCTAATCAGGAAGCTGAGGCAGGAGAATCGCTTGAACCCGGAAGTTGCTGTGAGCTGAGAGCGCGCCACTGCACTCCAGCCTGGGCGACAGAGCAAGATTCCGTCTCAAAAAAAAAAAAAAACAAAGCAGAAAAAGAAAACCAGGAAGTGATGAGTCATCAGGTCCAACAATAAGCAGATGGCATATTTTAAAGATGCTTGGGACCAAAGGGAGAGAAGCCACAGAGTTTCCTGTCCCCACAGGTTCAAGAGTTCATTCTGGAGTAAGAGTATAGAGAGGAGAACTAGTCTTAACAGTTCTGGTCCTTTCTAACACAGAAGATAACAGAGGAAATCCCATTCCAATCTTACCAGCACTCTCAGCCAATCCGACACAGTGCTGTGGAACCACCCATCCTGCAGAGACAGAGGACCCAATTGTAATGATGGCCAGCTTTTGTAAAAAGACTTTCTATATTATTTGTTTTTGCACTACAGTTATTTGTGCATCATGAAAAATAAACTGCAGAGTCAAAAAAAAAAAAAAAAAAAAACGCCAAATCTTGGCTCTGCCCCCTACTAACTGTGTGATACGTAGTCACTGCACATAAAGCAGGTTCAATTCTTTTATCTGAAGAATCGAGATAATAAAACCTATGTCACTGCATTATTATGAGAATTAAATGGTAAAATATAAAAGTGGTTTAGAACTTAATGGACTCAGAAATGTTTTTCTTTCCAAAATGGATCTTTCTGTGGGTAGGGTGGCGGGGGTAGGGTGGGTAGGAGTTGAAGGTTTGTGTTTGTATAGATACGTTGTTTGCAACCGAATTCAAATTTATCTGAAAGATCCTACTAGAGCTCCGGTTATTTTCGAAAGTCAAAAACTAGGTCATTAGCAACTCAACTTGAAACTTTCTTTGTTAGCATTGCTACTAATTGAGAGGTTATCATTAAGCACCATGGCTCGGTTCAACTGGAGCTCAAACAAAGGGGAAATTTTGAGCAATTACCCAGGACTCGGTGTCTAGAACCCAAAGTCAACTTATGAAATGCTTTGCAAACAATGAAGCATTAAGAGGAACTCACTGCCTCGGTAGAACCTGCTCTTGTTGGTACCAAGGGACAAAATGCAACTCGCTGCAGTATCCAGACCCAAAAGGGTTTTCTCAAATGGACTCTATCTCTTGAGTCAAAATTGTTTTTGCATGTCACTACACTGCCCCATCTCATCTGGCTTTTCCACGTCTCTTCACAAAAAAGAAACTTTTGACTAGAAATAAAACACTCCCAAATTGCTTTTTCCTTTACCAGGACTAACATAAAACACAATTATAATGGAAAGCAAGAGGGAGCACCAAGAAAGAACCAAATCTTTAATTTTTATTTTTTAATTTTGACATAAATCTCAATTTTCTGGTTCTTACAGGAATTAGAGGCACTTGAAAATTGTAGGGGGAATGTAGAAGTCCTAGGCTGACAACAAGAAATACATATTTCTTGCCAAAAATGTCTTCAGAAAAATGAAAACCAACATTCTGAAATTTCCCAAATATCTATTAATATTGATTGCAATTTCTGATTGCAATGAAACCAAACATAAAAATCTTTCAATGGCCCCACAATTAATCTTCTTTCTTCAGGACAGATACTCAAACAAAATGAAATAACTATTTAGGTTCAGCCTGTTCAATGTTCTGATTTAATTCTGGTTTATTAGTTTAAAAAAACAAAAAAAACCCATGAGTTTAGGTCTAGCTGAAACAAGTTCCCTAGGTTTTCTTTGAAAGATTTTAAGCTCAGTTCACAGTTGAGTTAAAAAGTAACAAGAAAGTCAGGGTCATATTAGGTTTATCAAATCCTACAGTTCTTAAGGTTTGGGACTGAAAGGTGCTTTCAGGCCCAATCTTGGCTTCAGAGACCCGGGAGGTTCACTTGGGTGGACAAATACTGAGACAACAGGCTGAGTTTTATGCAGTACCTTTTAAGTAAGGAATGAAAAGGGAAGCAGCCATCTGCTTTGTGAGAAATGAAGGAAGTGCCCCAGTCCCCTGCAATTCAATCTGAGAAGTCACTGCAGTGTGGCTTCCCCCGAAACTTGAGTTCCTGGCAGTGGAACCAATAGACCGTGGGGGTTGGGTAGGGGAAGAGCAAAGACAGTCAGTCTCCTCATGTAAGCCAATTTCTTCTCTTTACAACTCCTCCCACTTTACTCAAGGCCAGTCTCCCAAGACGTGCACCCATACACCCATCTGTGCTGTCAGGAAGAGGTGTCTCCCACCTCTTCCTCACCTAACTCAACTTAAATGTCACGTCTCAGATAGGCTTCTTTGACCATCTCTTTTGAAATTTGATGTTCACATAATACAGGTTCACGTCTTCCTGTATTTTTCCTTTATTGCTCTTATTAACAATTGTAGGAACCAGGCTTGGTGGCTCACACCTGCAATCCCACCACTTTGGGTGGCCAAGATGGGCAGATCACTTGAGTCCAGGAGTTCAAGACCAGCCTGGGCAACATGGCAAAACCTCGTCTCTACAAAAAATACAAAAATTAGCCGGGTGCAGTAGCCTGAGCGGGTAGTCCTGGCTACTCGGTTGGCTGAGGTGGGAGGATTGCCTAAGCCTGGGAGGTTGGGGCTGCAGTGAGTGGTGATCCTGCCACTACACTCCAGCCTGGGTGATAGAGGGAGACCCTGTCTTTAAAAAAAAAAATTATAGCTACACAGACTCTTGTGTGGTTATGGCTCATGGTTGGTTTCCTTCACTAGACTATTCATTCTATGAGGCTAAGAAAAATAAGTATTTTTTAAACTTCTATTCCCAGCCCCCAAGCAGAGGGTTTGGTATATAGTAGATGTCCATTAAATAATTGTGGAATAGGTAGCTCTCTGCTCTCAAATATCAACCTCATCTTTTGATTGTTTTTCCCATATTCAAGTCCCATTTTATATTCTAAATACCCTTGGATGTATTACACCTTTAGCAATTAGCAGAAATAATTAAAAATATCACTTACTGAGGCCTTAACATGTGCTGAACATGGAACTCAACACATCATTGACCTGTAATCCCAGCACTCTGGGAGGCTGAGGTGGGCGGATCACATGAGACCAGGAGTTCAAGACCAGCCTGGCCAACACAGTGAAACCCTGACTCTTCTAAAAATACAAAACTTAGTCAGGTATGGTGGTGGGTGCCTGTAATCCCAACTACTTGGGAGGCTGAGACAGGAGAAATGCTTGAACCTGGAGGGGAAGGTTGCAGAGAGCCAAGATCATGCCACTACACTCCAGCCTGGGTGACAGAGAAAGATTCCGTCTCAAAAAAAAAAAAAAAAAAAAAAAAAAAAAGACATCATTGACATTATTTCATGGAATTTTCTCAACACTGTGAAGTGTGTAAAATTATTGCTGTGTTACAAGTGAAGAAATCAAGGTTGGATTAAGCCTAGAGGGGAAGTACCGCTTGGCATGGAAGAGAGAAAGAAGGGTTGGTGAGGAGCATGGAGACAGTGAAGGTAGGAGTGTGCCAGCGAACATTCCTTATGTCATAATCCCCCAGTCAGCCCCGTCTATACCACTTAAGAGCAATGCATATACCATATGTGTTGCTGCTGTCTGCAGCATTAAACATATATTCCATAGTTGAATCCCTTTTCCTGGTGCTCAAAGGAAAGAGAAAATAACAGATCAAAGGAGAATGCTGAAAAGATATTTGACTCTCTGGCCCTTATTGTTTAACACCTTTTAAATTTGTTTTTTTCTTCTGTGTCTATAACACTGGAGCTAAGACATGGGTGGCCAGAATAGATAAGCCTCTGGCCCTCTTCCAATCCTATGATTCTACAATTCTATGTTGCCATAATAATTTCCACTATATTCTGTCAATGTGCTCTCACTTCCCTTCAGACAGGATTTATCTGGCAACTGAAGTTGGTCCTGACAACATCTTAAAATGCCTAAACTGATGGTGTCTCTAAGATTTTTCTAACCCCTATTTATATACCGTCAAGACAAATATGCAGGAATTCGGCAATCAGAAAGTTGATTTCCACCATTGTGACAGCCACTGTTTTTTAACGTTTCATTCCCATTCTTGAAGCAATGGTGGGAAGCAGCTCCTCTGGAATTTGTCACGTAGCACTTCAGCTCTTCCACGACAACTGGTATGCACAGAAGATTGCAGAATATGCCTTCCTCCCGTGCCAAGGCATCACTCTCCTCCCTTTCTCCTTGTTAGTCATTTGTCGGGTTCTGTAAAACTGCATTGATAAGGTGCTGCTTTAAAGGTGCCAATTATCTATTTTGTTGTAGTGTAATTTTTTAAGAAAAGGATGCTGCTAGTTATCCTCTTCTTGATGTTTAGAAGAGTCTCAGAGGGTTTTGACTAAGGGGACTGTAGTTATTTTGGTGTAACTTGCAGTTGTTCGGTGAGAGATAGAGTTGAGGTATGAAGACATTTGAAGAAAAATAATGGTAAACTTTTATGTTTGAGTGAAAGTAGAGAGAGATGTTCTCTTTGGGCAACATACAACTCCAATTTGGATGGAAAAATATGAGGACAAAAGTTACCTTGTTCAGGTGAAGATGTGCCTGGAAGGAAAGAGAGCCTTTCCCATGAATTTTGTTGGAAACTGCTCTGCTTTTGGTCACATGCTCCGTGTACTCCCACAGAACACACAAGGGATGAAGGCCTGACCTTTGAAGTCAGGATTAAATTCCCATCATTTAATCTAAATGTATTCGCCCATCACCACTGAGAAGCAGGAAGCATCAGATGCTCTGCTGTGAGCCGACTGGCATCCTCTCCCCTTTTATTTTGCAGTATTTTTCTCTTATAAACCTCTAGTTATTTAAGACCTGGTGTTTGACAGATCAGTAGGGTGACTATAGTTAACATCAGTCGATCATACATTTCAAAATAGCTGGAAGAGAATAATTCAAATGTCTGTAGCATAAAGAAAAGATAAATATTTAAAGTGATGGGCATCCCAATTACTCTGATCTGATTATATGAATGTATCAAATTATCACATGTACCCCCAAAATAAATACATCTAATTTTTATATAAAAAATAAATAGCCTAAAAAATAACTAAAGTGCTATGTTTTAATAAAAGAGGAAAAAGAAGTGATAATAACATACATATTACATCATCATTTCTGATTTTACATGAACTTTAAAGAAGAAAAATCCATAAATGTGCCAACAGAAAATGTTAACAAACCAATCATCTCCATTTTGGCCATCATCACAGCTTACAAACACACACACAAACCCACATACACATGCACAAAGAATGGAGGGAACAATGAGTTAGAAAGGAAAAAAATGTGAGACATATTCACAATATAAATTCTACAAAAGGAATTCAACAAACCAGAGCTTTTGGCTTAAGTGTGCTTTTAAAAATATTTTTGTTTCAGGAGAATCTCTTGAACCCGGGAGACAGAGGTTGCGGTGAGCCGAGATCGTGCCATTGCACTCCAACCTGGGCAAGAAGAGCAAAACTCTGTCTCAAAATAAAATAAAATAAAATAAAATTCGTTTCATTATTAATATTTTATCAAAAAATAATAGTTTTAGCACAAATTCCACTTTTCAAAACTCACACGGCTCCAACACTAAGGTTATCTTGTTTGGCATTAGAATAGCTCATGTCTACATTAAAGCTGGAATCTTAGAAATGACATAAACAGGCCTTTTTCTATAAAGATAAAAGGCTAAGCTTTAAAGGATTTTATATTTATAGATAAATGTTTCCATAGTAATCAGTACTATAAAACTTGCTGGTGTCAGCACTCCTTTGCATACAAAAATGGCTCATATTAAAATGAGCTAGATTCAGAGAATCAAATGTAGATTCTTTTACCTTAAAAAAGCACAACTTTTGTGAGAAGGGCAAAAACCTTACTGAATTTTGTTGGAAACAGCTCTGCTTTTGGTCACATGCACCGTGTACTCCCACAGAACACACAAGGGATGAAGGCCTGACCTTTGAAGGCAGCACGGACCATGATGAAAAGTAATTTACAACAACACACTCATTATTACATCCTCAGATGATGAGCTTGGAGCTATGCATTTTAGATTTTTCCCAGTGTCTGAGGTCAGTTTTGTTTTAGGAAGCAAGAAAGTTCAGGAAGAAAGAAAACAAAGTTCAGAAGGAGGCAAGATTAAAAAGAAAAGAATACAACACTAATGCTTTAATAATAGAGTCAAAAATTCATGAAATAAATGTTACACGTAAGACAGTATAAAACTGGTAAGAATTCTGTTTTTAACATTTATGACTATCCTAACAGATATAGAAACATATCTTCACTAAAAAACATGCACAAGGAATGTTTGTAGCAGTCCTATTCATAATAGCCTCAAACTGGAAACTATTGAAAGTTTACCAACAGATTAGATATTTTGCAGTCTATTTATGAAATGAAATACTATAAAACAAGCATGAATAAACTATTGCTATATGCAGATACACAGACATAGTATAGAACCAAAGAAAGCAGGCACATGGAGGAGAACTTAGTATATGATTCTATTTACGTAGAACTCAAAAATGCACAAAACTAATCTATGGGTTAGAAGTCAAGTGATTGCCTGGAGGGAAGGCAGCAGCTGGGAGGGGAACAACAGAGGTTTCTGGGGCCCATATTTTCTTTTTTAATCTGGGTACTGGTTACAGTAATGTGTTCACTTTGCAAAAACTTGTCAAACTGTGCCTTCATGATTTATGCACTTTTTTGCATGTATATCATACTTTAATAAAAAGGAAAAAACACAACGTTGAGGTGGTCTGAGTGTTTTTCAATAAATATATATAAATGTTTCCATTGTAATCAGCTCAGCTTTATCTGTCCTAAATACCTCCTCATTTTTGTTTCTCTTGGCCAGTGAACATTTGACACTCCTAAGAGATCACTTTCATAAGGCAAATGCATGTGTGTATGTATGCACACTTCACCCTCAGTTACCCACATTTTTATGACATCTTTGGAGGCACATATTCAGTTGTTCAGCCACCCCAAAGCCTCCAAAATCTGGGACCTTGCTGGAAAAAAAAAAAGCAATTTTAAAATAAATATTGAACCGATCCTGGACTGTGTGGTGTTTGTGTTAACACCTCACAAGAGAGTGGAGGGCAGGCAGGGGAGAGTGCTTCCATTTCCAAAAGGCTGCCTGCGGCGCCCACAGGCACTAATGGGACCGGGCTGGGGCTCTGAGACATTGCCAGGTGGAGGCAGGACAATGGGTACCCTGAATCCCCCGGCAGAAGGCTTTGGTCTGTCATTTTCTGGGGTTTCCATGTGGCACTCAAGTGTCAGATAAGTAAAAAAATTAAGTGGGAACTTTTAACAACATTCCATTCCTGGACTTTGTACTGCTCATTCTGCAAGGCTTTTGACTGAGAGAACCTATCTTTTTATTTTCATTATTTTAAAAAATTTTTCAGAAGAAGAGCTAGCTATGAGGACAAGGCAGTGAGGAAATAGTGATAAAGAGTGGCATCACTAAAGCCTCTTTCCCTAAGTGACTGTGTGACCTCAGGCATCATCCTGCATCTCCAAGAACCTTAGCTTCTTAGCTGGGGGCATTCCTCATATGACTGGTATAAGGAATAAATGAGATAATAGTAGAGTCCGCAGGTCATTATCTTCTGGCACAAAGCACACCAAACACGCAATAAACATTAGCTATTATTGCTATTATATTATTGCTCTTGAAATGTTTTCAACTTCGTATCTGGATTTTTCCATTGCATGGGGCTTATATAAATGGAATCCTGGCTGCCCCTATTTGAAAGTCACCAAACGTTATGTCTAATCTTCAAATAACCACAGGTACTCTGGCAATTATTTTCATGGCTGAAAGTTGAACACCCAGGCACAGAACCATTGTGATAGAACAGCGACGTGTGTAGAAGGCCTGTCTCCAAAAAGATCACAGGAAAGAAGCCTTGCAAACCTCAGCTCTCCGTTTGTTTGTAATTTTGCTCCTTTTGGTCTCTTCCACTCTCCCCCCTCACCCCTTCGTTTTTCACATCTGTGCTTGCTTCCTGACATTAGCATAAGTTTGGGAGTCAGGTTGCTGGGGGACTAAGAGGCTGAACTTAAACTAAAGGGGATCGTCGTGAAAGGAAGAATGAAATCGAGGACTAAATGAGGGGACTGTGTATCGGCAGGATTCATTCGTGCGCACACATAATACTTTTGGATGGTCTCCTGAGATGGGCTGCGTGGCAATTTTGCTGCCTGTATTCAAATATATTTAATAGTCCTCATTGCATTCCTAATCATGTAGCTCATAAGGGAATTTCTGCCCTGAGATATGACAGAGAGGCACAACAGCCATAAGGAATAAATGTTGGCAACACAAAAAGTAAAATATTTTACCTGCAACACTGGCCTTCACCTTTGGCAAAAGCAAAACAAACAAAAACAAAACACTGAATATGGCCAGGAGTTTCCTTAGGATCCAAGAAAATGCTAATTGCTAGGCTGGCAGTTTTTCCGATAGCTCTTTTTACTTCTTTGTCCATTTCCCTTTCTCAAGCAAAATAAAAAACATAAATGCCAGAACTCTATAAAAAGAAATTTTTTTCTTTGTTTCTTTTTATTTTCTTCTTTTTTTTGCCACATATTGATGGAAATTAGAGAAACGTGAGACCAGGTAAGCGAGGTGTTGTGACAAGGTTTTGATTCATTGGCTTTAGGTCATTAAGAAATTAAGATAATTTGGATCTATACTCAGATTTGCCCAGATCTGTGAAAATTATCAAATTGTAGGGGAAGGGTCAAGATTTCCTGTTATGACTCAACATAATTGAGCCATCGCATACAATTACTTAGCTGAACAACACAATGTTGCATCTTCAGGCATACCTTTTATACGCAAGTGATGAGTTTGTGGCTCATGGGCTTCTGCAATCTCACTGTGAGCAAGATAACGTATGTTAGGAACTTGACAGTGCCTGACAGTTTGTAAGCTCCCAACAAATGGCAGTGACCATTGCTATCACAGGCCTATGGGGAGTGCCTTGATCCAGTGGAGCCCCCACAAATCCTGACCACAGAAATGAAGCATGTCCTAAGCCAGAATGCTTTTCCAGTATGATGGCAATACCTGGATGTACAAGAAGACACAGGTTGAATTTGGAACAAGTTCCATATGAAACAAAGCTCAGGCTAACATGACATAAATATGCGGATGGAATAAACAACCTAATAGCAGGCTCCCTGGGCAGCTTCGTTCTCAGAAGTTAGATGAATCATGTAAAACAGAAGTTTATAAGTTTAAACGAGATGAAATGAGGAACAGTAGAGAAAGATGAAGACCTTCTGCAAACAAACTCAACCATGCTTTATGCAGTAGACCAGATCCATATTGCACAGGTATTTACACCGCACTCAAGAGCGCCACAAGGTCAGGCTGGGGGCCACTGGGAACCGTGCATTGTGGCAGGCTAATGTTTTCATATCTCGTCAAGATTTCCCTATATGTATTTTCCTTTATGCTTGTCCATTCCTTCCCTTCAGGTACCTTTTCAGTGCTCCTGGAAACGTAATGCAAAAAAAAAAATCAAACCCTTGGCTTTGTAAAGTTTCAAAAAAGTTTAGGTTAGAAATTGTGGTAATGACTGTATAACTCTATGAATCACAAAAACCTTTGAATTGTACAATGAAAATGGGTGAGCTGTATGATATCAGAATTATATCTCAATAAAGTTGTTTTTTAAAAGTTATAAAGTTTAGGTCAGGCCACAGATTGCAGATTTGGAATATATAGTACCAGGTGACCCTGCTCTCAAACTAAATAAATATTATTCTGATTCAGGAAAGAGAGGAGTTCAAGGTTGAGGGCTTTTGATGGTAGAGAGCTAAAGAAACGGGATCCCTGGTTTGTACATCTTCCTGACCACAGGCCAACTCTTAGGAGGGGGTGGGTAGAAATTCCTGGATAGATTTGTGGAATGTGAGAACAGAGAGAAATCTGCCTTCTGCTTTTCTATAGCTCAAGAGTCCCGAGCACAAAGGGCCCATGCAGGTGTCCAGGCAGCTGTCCCTGAAGCAGCCTCACAGAGTTTGTTGCAGCCCAGAGTTGTAGGCTATCCGTGGAGTGTTTCCTGGGTATCCAAGAGGAGGTCAGGCATGACACAAAAGCCCAGGGACTGGAAGGGATGAGAAACTGATAGAGAAATCTATGTGGACCTATGACTGAAGACCAGATAATAAGGGCACCTCAGCAGATGACGACATGGATAAATTGCAAAGAAGAGGAGCACGTGCCACTTTCATCCAAACATCCTGGCACTACACGATTCATCCAGATCATAACAACTGTCCAAGGCAAGTAAAAGTGACCCTGAATTGACTGAAAATATGCTTTTGCCTTTTGTCCAAATGAGGACTCAAATTCAATTTTATATAAATGAAGAAAGTTACATTAATTGAGGCTGAGTTTAGAGATTGAAATTTTGTCTAATATAGAGTTATTTTAAAATCAGCACAGGAAATCATGAGAACCTCAGATCCTGAATGCCACAAGCTTTACTGGGCTGATTTTTACAAAGGGTGAGAGAGATTTTGCTGCCATCTAAGCCTCTTGAGGCAGATCAACTGGACATTGCAGATTTAGAAGCAAAGAATCAGGAAATTAAAGAGACATTTACATTTTCTTTTAAAGAAATACTATAGCTTGAATTACCTTCTCAATAATGATCTCTCCTTCTCTGAAAGGTTATGCCACAATGACAGCAAGTTATTTCACAGGTTGAGGTATTCTGTTAAACCTTGAAGAATCTGCTTAGAATAGATTTGAGTTAGAAAGGGAAAAGTATATTAGAATGTTTATTATAGATATTTTCCATATGAGTCATACTAAAACTGCCATTCAGTTTATCCATGTGTGCTCTTATTCTATCTCCACTTCAACCTCCAGAGTAGCTTCTTGGTTCCTTCGGTTGTACTTTCTTATGCATCACAAGTCAATGTTATCAGAAAACATACATACTTGAGACTTACCGTTAAAAATGAAATCACATTTCTTTTCTGCAATCACTCCATTTTTCTACTCTCCTCCATCCCTATATCTCTCAAAAGAATGATTTACGTACATTTCTCTCCATTTGCTCACCTCCCATTTATACTTTAATTTTCTGCAATCTGATTTCTGCTCTAAGCACTTTCAATGGAAGGGCACTATTCCTGTGATGATGTCCGTGTCAATTCAATGGACATTTCTCTATCCTCAGTATTTGTTGTGTATTATCTTGGCATTACCTCTTTTCTTGGCATTTGAGACATCACTTTGATTTTCCTTGAAATTTACTAGCTGTTCCTTCCCATTCTCTTTGGCCAGTTGCTTCTCCTGTAATGAATCTCCAAATCTATTTGGATTAGAGCTGAAATCTAACTCAGGGCTGAAATGAAAAGGCTCTTATCTTCTCTGCATCACTTACTCAGATATCTCACCATTCCCATGGGTTTAAATACCATGTGAATTCTGATAACCCAAAAAGTTTCTTCCCATTTAGACCTTACTTCCAAGCCCCATACTCATACACAATATTGCTTATTTAAATCAGACATCTTGCAGACATTTGCAACTTAACAAATTCAACATGAAATTCTTGATTTTTTTCCTCAAAACTGTTTCCCCATCAGAAGCTCAGACTTCTTCTCAGTAAAAGGCACCACCAACCACTCAGTTGCTCAAATGAGAAATAGAAGTGTCATTCTGGTTTTTTTGTTTCCTCCTGCCCCATATCCATACGATAGAAAGTATTGTCAAATCTAGCTCCAAATATAGCTTTTGTTTGTTTTGTTTTGTCTTGTTTTTGAGAACACGGTCTCACTCTTGTCACCCAGGTTAGAGTGCAGTGGCGTGATCTTGGCTCACTGCAGCCTCAACCTCCTGGGTTCGAATAATCCTCTCACCTCAGACTCCTGAGTAGCAGGGACCACAGGTGTGTGCCACCATGTCCAGCTAATTTTTCTTTTTCTTTTTTTTTTTTTTTTTTTTTGTGGAGACATGGTTTTGACATCTTGCCCAGACTGGTCTCAGACTCCTGAGTACAAGCGATCTGTCTGCCTCGGCTTCCCAAAGTGCTGGGATTACAGGCATGAGGCACCATGACTGGCCTCCAAATATATCTGAATGAGATTGTTTTCCTTCATCTCTTCTTCCATTACTACCTTACACTAGTTCACCTTCATCTCATTGCACGGACTATTTTAAGTTCAGTTGATCTCACATCTTCCATTTTTACCTCTCACCAAGCCACGCTCAATATAGCAGCAATAATTATCTTGTTAAAATATAAATTTTGTCTAATGTCACTCTACCACTTTAGTGTCTTCCTGTAGCTCTCAGAATAAAATCTAAAGCCCTTATAATGATTTGTGAGGTCCTGTTCACCTTCCCAGTTTCAACTCATATGACCCCTGGGCTCTGCACCAACCACTCTAGTATCCGAGTTTTTTCCTCTTCCTGCAAATTTGTCAAATGACTGCTTCCTCTGCCTAGAATGCTGTCATCCTCTGAGCTTCAGGCTAAATATTAACTACTTAGCAATTTCCTTGCCTATCTCTCTATTTAAAGTAGGTCTCTTTATTTTCTTCATTAAGCTCCTATCCCTTAACTTTATAACATTTGCACTGATTATAACTATTTTATTTATTTGTCTGTTAATTTTTGGTATCTCTCTCTTTCACCAGAATATAAGTTCCAAGTCGTATAGAAGATAAATTGTGAACATCATGTTTCTCATTGTATTCCTGGAGTTTAGCACAGGGCCTAGTGCATAGTAGGTACCCAAAAGTAAATATTGATTGACTGATATTATCACAGTAGAAGTAGAGTTCTTATCCTCATGCCTTTGTACATGTATATGTATATGCGCCTGTAAGGGCAAAAGAGAAAAGTACATTAACACGTAATTATCTACACTCACACCCAATGAGTTAGTGGCTTGGCAGAAGTACTTTTCATATAAAAATAATACAGAGATAACATATATACAGAGATACTCTCACTTATCTACCTATGGGATTTGTTAAGGGATGATTTCCAAAGCTGACCTTTCTATCTATAAGACTGAAGAAGTGTTTAAAACCTTGCCAACCTTATCAAAGGGAATAATTAATCAGGACCTGATAATGTGCCATATTATAGTAGAAGCAAATTATATATTTGTTAATAGATCTTTATAGATCATGTTTTGAATGTTCATTTGAATTTTCTTTTTTCATTTGAAAATGACTTACTTCAAGTTTTGGGCCAGTGCTTAGAGGTTTACATATCTATTTGTGTGCTATATGAGAGTACGTGATCTTCTCTGATGATAAAATTTCCCAGCGCATCTTTTTCTCCATGATATTAGTTTCTTGTGAGTATGAAATTTATTCTAAATGACTTTCAGGCCACTTCTCACCATAACCAATGAAAAGGAAAATTATCTGTTGCCACCAGAAAACATATTTGCTTATATCCTGCATGGCCAGGTCTCTAGCACCCAGCATCCGCAGAGGGTCTCCCATCTCAATACTTATCCTGTTAGAGTTCTATGATGGTTAATTTTATGTATCAATTTGACTGAATCATGGTACTCAGGTATTTGGCCAAACATTATTCTACATGTTTCTGTGAAAGTGTTGTTTACATGAGATTAATATTTAAATCAGTAGACTTTCAGTAAAGCAGATCACCCTCCATAATGTGAGTTGGCCTCATTCAATCCATTGGGGGCCTTAATAGAAAAAGACTGGCCTCCCCTAAAGAAGAGGAAATTCAGCCAGCTGCCTCCCTTCATCACTTAAACTGCATCATTTCTTCCCTGGGTCTCCAGCTTGACGATCTACACTGCAGATTTTGGACTTGCCAAGCCTCCACAATAGTGTGAGCCAAAGTCTTAAAATACGTTTCTCTCTCTCTCTCTCTCTCTCTCTCTCTCTCTCTCTCTCTCTCTATATATATATATATATATATATATATATATATATATATATATATATATATATATATATGTATGTGTGTGTGTGTGTGTGTGTGTGTGTGTGTGTGTGTATGTATCCTATTGGTTCTGTTTCTCTGGGGAACTCTGACTAATACAGTTTCCATCACCAACCCATTTTCAATTTACTTCCCATTTTAAGAGTACCATAGAAGCCACCAACAAGACGGAGTCTCATTTTTCCTCCTTGAAACATTCACAAAGAATAAGAATAACTGTAATTTGGGTAAATGGAAGCACTCCGTTCTCTGTGGTGGAACACATTAGTCTCTATGACCTCAAGACTCACCCTAGTCACCCTTCGCACCAACTCAAAGGCATCAGATTCTGTAAATGATATTGTAACAAAGAGCTCAGCAATTTAAGTTCTCTGCTCTCCACTCCTTTATTGACCAGTCTTATTGACTTTGGCCAGGTCAAGAGCTTTTCATTGCTTTAGTTTCCCCATCTGTTTGTGTAATGCTTATTTCTCTGATATTTTGAACTCCTTCCATAAGCAGGTGCCCCAGAAGAGCAAGTGGGGCTATTGATCTGGTGCTACATGCGCAGGAAGGCTCCAGTTCACATGCCTGAACCCGTTACCCTGCTTTGTCACACATTAAAAGCCTGGAGATTACCAGAAGTATTTGGTTTGGGTTGTTCTTTGAAAGATATGACTGTACCCACAAATATGCACAGAATACTCATCAAGGACTCTTGAATCACAAAGGCAAGTCCTTCCCTCGTCTTGCCACAATCTTTGATGGTGATGAAGAATGTGTTTACTCAAGTTCACAAAAGAGAACTTGGTTTGCTCTGTTTTAGCAACAGATTAGGATTTTCAAAAGAAAAACTGGCAATATAGGTCATTTTTTTTTGAACAAGCTTTGAAGCCATGCTGAAATCTTATCAGGATGTCAAGATTTAAAAACTCCTACCTGTACATCTCTCTCCCTAGAACTCTTTTGTGCAGCTGCTGCCGCCTCCTTTGTTGAGTATGTGTGAACAGAAAAGTAGCATACACTCAGCTCAAGGCACCAGAAACCACTGTAAGCCATTTCTATCTCCTTATGGCCGATTGGGCAGGCAAATTCAAACCAAACATGAATTCCTAGGGATGTATTATAATATATACTATGTGATTAAATTGTGCTGGCTCACCTGCAATGGATTTGTACTTGCTCTCTCTCAGAGCCCCCATTTTTCCCACAGTAATCTTCCTAAAGGGAAAGCCTACTCACTGAGCTCTTTTTAAAAGGCGAGCAAATCTCAACACTGCAACCATTTAATGCCACAGACATGATTGTAAAGAGAGCACAACAAAATGAAGGTATTGTATTTTCATCATTCATCAACAGAAGACTTATTTGTAATATACCCCTTGCAGGCGGGTCTGGTGTGTATATTCATTTATTAGGATCACACATCACATTACCTCACGTACATAACCATTTAAGTCATGTCAAAAGTCAGCCAGCAAGTAAGCTGTGATGAAAAGATCCTCCAGAGAACAATTTGCTTCCCTTTTACTTTTCAACATCATAGCTTTGCCTCTTCTTGGTAATTTCTATATAAACCAACAAACAAACTCTGGTTTTTATAAAAACAACTCAGGGCATGTTGCATGCTTACATTTTAGGATGTTCGTAGAGTATGCTATCATATTTTAACCTCAGAGCCTTCTTTGAGCCAAACGGGATTCCTCCTAACCTCTCTACCTGTATCTAAACAAACTTCAGATGAGCACAGTCTGCAGATTGCTGACTTTCAGCATATCATCATCAACACAGCAAAACCAAAGATTCTCCAATAGAATCTTTCAAAACCAGAGAATCCAGAAAGACTCGGACAGCAGGACTGGTGGACCGTGAACTCAAGTTGCACCTCTGATCTAACTTAATGCTTACATATATTTTCAAGAGGAAAAACTTTGAGCACACATAGTATAAAAGTTACTTCCTGGTCCACACTGCAATACTTTTCTCCTACTCTCCCAGAAAGCTAGAGAAAACCTTTTTAACAAATAATACCCAGAAAAGACTTTCTGCAGAAGTACTATTTTCCCAGCTCAATGTCACAATTATTTAGTGTGTTGAGCACTATATGTCTTTTAATTTCCTATAATCCCTACCCATAGTATAATGTTGAATTCCATTTATTCTATTTTTAAAGAGATGAAGTCATCCAGGGTGGAAACTATGCCCTGATTGAAAGGACTTAAATGCTGCTATGTCTCAGACTGGGCTCTGGCACATGGAGAAGTATAAATTAAACTCTTCTGCAGACATTTGATCTCTTGCTATGAAAAGGGATATTGTGTTTCCTCTGTTTAACAGTATTCTCTGTCCACTGTGAAAAGAAGCCTGTTTGCTTAAAAAAGTGTGGCATATTTCTTCCACTATGAGTGGCATTGCAAATGAAATCACAGCACGCACCGAATATAGTTCCAATCGTCTATATGAATTGTACATCTGTCAAGAGAAGCCAATGTTGAAATTGTGGTCACTTAATATGAGATGAATAATTTAATAATATGATGACTGATCACAACCACATCTCTGGATGCTAAGACTGGCAGCTTTTGTTGAGTGCCCACCTGCAGACGGCACTGCGCAAAGCAAGTTAAACAGAAACAGTCTTGCCTTCTAATCCCAGTCCATCTTGCTGCACACCAGAGGCTGCCCACACACAAAGTTAGGATATCACTGTTACTGGTGGGACGTTATTCTGAAAGTGCATGCACATGTTTATCAGTTGGGCAGAAACATTTTCTTCCATTTCCTCCACAGGTCCTCTGTGCTTTATTAAGATCATAATAATTCTCTGTGAAAGAATAGAAACTCTGAAAAATCTATGACACTGTGTTAACATACTATTAAAATACTCGCAGTAAAACTTTCATTGGTATCTAGTATGTGGTAGGCACTGTGTTGGCTGAATGAACCAAGGCTATCATCTCTGAAGAAAAACTCAAGCAAAGGTTTTCAAACTCTGTCCTGCTCATTTACTGGAGGTGTTGCAGGAGTTACCATAACATCGTTTGTCATATAACATCAACTTTTTTGTTATCCTAAAGACTTGAACTCTCCTCGTCTACCACAGAGAGGCTGATAAATTAGGAAGGTGCTGATTTAGCTGACGAATCTGGTCAGAGCTGGGAAAACCCGGTAGACAACCCTCCCCCTACTCCGCAGCCGCTGCTGAAAACATAGCTGCTCCTAACTTGTTTCTATATTGGAAACTATATCGGGTTTTGGAAAAAAAGTGTTCAGCTGCCACAAAAAATAGCTTAAAAACCATTGCTGGAAAGCATATTTTTGTACCTTAAATGAGTTTCAATTTTTAATGGCTTATATTGAGACATAGTGTCAATGAGAAAGATTACATAGCAGTTGCCATAGACCCAAACGATGACTTTTATTGTCATAAGCAGGCAGTAGGTGTCTTTGGAATAAACAAATAATTTATTTTTCTTAACCAAAGTGCCAATAAATCTGTTTCACTTTGTAATGAAAGGAAAATATTATAGCCCGATCCACATTTTTTTACCCCAACCTAATCGGCAGTACTTACTTTAGTAAAATGATCTGGAGACCCAATAAAAAAATTTGGCACAGTTGCTTTTATATTGCCATCATTCCTTCTACTAAAATGGCTTGCAAAATTATAAAATGTATAACCCCAACCATCTCCTCATTATTTTGATGCTCAGTAAGCCCTATATTACAGTGTTCCATTTAAAGCTTAATAATATACAGTAAGTCGAAGAATGCTGTTTTACTCAATTTACTTAATCATTTTTGCAATGTTTCCCAAAGTCCCCTAAAGATCATGAACACCTGGAGTGCTTAGTAAAAATGGATTCCTGGGCCGTGAAACAGACTCTCTGCACCAAAATTTACAGGGAACAAGTCTGGTAATCTGCATACCTAGCAAGCACACAAGATGATATTTATCCTCATAGAAGTGGTGAAAACAACAGGGTAGAGGAAAATCGAGTCCAGACTCAACTGATATGCCAATTTCCTGTTCTACCCTATATGTAGTTCTCCCATTGTAGAATGATGATTCCACTGCAGAGGTTAAAAAGTTGGAATCTTGGCAAATGTACACAACTGTCCTGCCAACCCACATGGCTAGCTGAAGTGATCAGTTTGGGATCAGAAATTAAATATTTTACTTCTGAATGACATACCAGTTATGTTAAGAGAGTGTGTTTTTCCAATATATGTAACTGAAAGAGCATGTGATTCACTGAAATATCCCCTTACTCTTATTGCATTGTAAAGGGAAAATAACTATCAGAATATGGCAGCTGAGGTGAGAGAGGCCAGGTTGTGTTTATTTAGTTTCAAAAACTTTTCGTGCATAATTTTTCATTACCCCTATTCCTCTGGAGAATGCTTTTGAGTTTCCTTTAAACTCCTAAGGCTCTAAGGACACTAAGGATCTGGAGTTATCCCATATTATCCTTTCAGAAATCCCCAATAATATGATGGCTGTGAGTCTTCGTAGGTAACAAATGACTTCTCTTAATGATTGATGCAGTAACTTTCCAAGAAAAGTGAAATATTGAGTGGCTATCTGGTGAATTCAAACAGTGTAGACAGTGAAGTGAGAAAAGAAAGGTCCAGAAAATACATTTGACCAGTGTGATGAGATTTGCTTTGGGACCCTAAACGAACAGCTGACCAATTCATCTCTTGGGAGTTTGGATTGTGCAGACTGGCCGGCTTTATCTGTCTCTGTATCCCTCAAAACCCTTCCAAGGATCACAGAGTCTCCTACAGGATCAAGTCCAAATTACTTACCATGGTACAAGAGGGACTCTGGATCCAGCTATCTCCTTTCTCTTTATCTTCTTGCAGTCCACTTCATGACTCAGCAACAGAAGCCTCTTGTAGCTTCCTCGGCTGGGCGTGGTGACTCATGCCTGTAATCCCAGCACTTTGGGAGGACAAGGTGGGAGGATCACTTGAGGTCAGGAGTTCCATACCAGTCTGGCCAACATGGCAAAACCCAGTCTCTACTAAAAATATAAAAATTAGCCCAGCAGGTTGGTGTGTTCCTGTACTTCCAGCTTCTCAGGAGGCTGAGGCAAGAGAATCTCTTAAACCCGGATGGCAGAGGTTGCAGTGAGCTGAGATCGTGCCCCTGCACTCCAGCCTGGGTGACAGAACAAGACTCCATATCAAAAAAAAAATAAAAAGAAGGAGAAGAAGAAGCTTTTTGTCGCTTCCTGTACAGACCCTGGTATTTCCCAACTTTTGCTGGTGTGATTCCCTCTACC
The DNA here is from genome assembly GCF_000001405.40 of Homo sapiens. NCBI lineage: Eukaryota > Metazoa > Chordata > Mammalia > Primates > Hominidae > Homo > Homo sapiens. The sequence goes on from NC_000012.12 coordinate 24,759,748, forward strand.
AGGATTTCCTGCCCCAGCCTTTGCCTCTAGGACTCAGCTTAGCGGTCATCTTCTCCAAGAAGCTATCCCTCCCCTGTACTCTATCTTTGTCATTGAAACAACCAATGCCATGACATCATTCGAACTCTGAAACGTAAGTAATAAGACTAAGGAGAAAAGGAAGGAGAGGGCTTATTGGACTGTATGCCTCCAATGCCTAGTACAGAGCCCAGCCTAAGGAAGTTCTCAAAAGGATGGTTATTGACCAAAAATATGTGAATCCATCCTGAGGGTGTTTGCAAATAGTGAAAATGAGGAGACCAGAGTATGCCTGCCAATGTTGGTTTTCTGTTGTCCGATGTCCTTCAAAAATGACCACCATCATTTTTTTTTATTATTACAGCCTTGGAAAGAAGGCCTGCAGTAGAAAAAACACTCCATTCATTTTCCATGGAATACATTTGTTTGGTATGCAATGTGATTCTTTTTCTGCCTGTTAACGTGTACATTTTAAAAATTAGTTGCACCTTTTCCTTTTAGAGGTACTTAGTAACCATGCTGTTTCAGATACAAAGGCCTACAGAGCAATGCCCACTGCCCTGTGAATGGGGCCTTTGTTCTCAGTGCTGTTTTGGTAGGAAATGGTTGCTATTTAGGTCTCCAAGAGGGAATATAAACTATGCTCACCTAATCAAACAGACCAGTAAATACAGCAGTTAATCTGACAACTTCAAATTCCTGAGTTGCATTCTGAGAAACAATTTAACACCAACAATCATTTAAAGCCTATGTAAATCATAAGCCTTTAGTTACTTAAGAGGTTTATTGTATTTTATTTCATTTCACTTTATTAATTACCGCAAATGCCTGGTTCTAAGTCATATTTCAGGACACAGACTTCTTGTTGGTTGGAAAAGAAAAGAAATCACACTGAAAAATACAGCACTGAAGCTCAAAAATAAAAACATGTTATCCAGACGCCAAAGAGAGAAGAGACACAGCATGGGTGAATATATGAAAGCAAAAGATGACCCTATCATATTAGTATGCTAATGAAGTAAGTATTGGTCCTGAGGACAGGGGAAACCCAGGTGCAGGCCTTCGATGTCCATTGTTCTCATTCCTTCAGATAGTTACTTCCAACGAATCTGCACTGTGGCTGTGAAATAAAAAGCAGTACCTGTTTGTTCAAGTTATTAACAGTTTTACAATGCCCTCACCACCTCACCTTGAAGGTTCAGTCACCACTTGAGAAACAAAAGCACTGAAACAATATATTTGTGGGGAAAAAAATCCACCTAGTTCTTAAATGCAATGTGGAGTGATACTTTAAACCCAAACAACAACAGCAAAAAGATCTCTTAGTTGGAGTTATGGGATATAAATATCACCATTTAGATCCTACCTGTTTGCTAACAATTGCAATAGCCTCTTACAATTTGTGATTGCAGCATATCAGGGAGCAGCGTCCAATAGGCACACAGCCTGTATTAAAAGCACTATCTGAACTATTCCTTTCCTTTTGAAGGAAAAAAAAAATCAAGTGTTTCTTGTTTTTAAAGGCACCATTGTCACTTCTGGTTGAATGTTTATTTTACTGTCTCCTGCACAGCGGAGGGCATTTCACCTATAAAGAGTGATTACAGAGTACTGGGACAATTTGAATACTCTAATCAATGCTAGTTAAAGGAGGAATAAATAAACTTTTATGGCACCAGGGTTCCTACCCTTCATGGAAATTATTGTTAATTTATTGAATCAATAATCTTAAAACAATAAATTATGATGCCCTTTGTTTTATTAAGCCCTTCTCACAGTGTGTTAAAAAGCAAGGGCTTTATAAATATTGCAACAGGCTGGGAGGAGGTTTTCTTAACCAAGTCTTTGTATGTGGTCCGTTATGCAACAGATTAGACTATAAAAGTTAAAAGTGTGTGTGTTGGGGGCTGGGGGGTGCGGGACTCGAACATGATTTAGTGTCTACTAAAATAATAATAATAATAATAATTCCTTTACTACTTAAAATTAGCCATTTTAAGCAAGGAATTTGGATTATTTTTCTCATTAACCCTGCCACTGCTTCGGGTTATTTGGTTTTACTCTTCAACTGTTTGATAATTTTTACATATTAAGGGCATATTCATTACAAAACAGGAAGAAAGATTTTCAACTAATACGGGCTGGACACCGACTGTCCAGAAGGAATCGAATCATTGTCCTCAATGGTTTTCTCTTAATCATGGTCCCATGTTTAATCTGTTTTCCACCAAAACCTTTAGGGAAAACAAAACTCCCCAGCTTGTTTTGAATTTCCAATCTCCTACTATCCTGACCTAGTCAGGATAAGATAAAGTGCCTAAAACAGTGTCTGGCATAGGGCTGACTCTAAACAAAATAGAATGTTCCCTCTCTGGGGCCATCCTAGTGCTGCTTCTCTACCCCACACGCAACTGTAACAGGTCATGAGAATTGTATCCTTGAAATCTTTATTAGTTTTCTCATTATGTTTTTACCTTTCATAGCTATCGAAGTATCTTTTGGGTACCTATTCATCCTGTTACAAAACTGTACCCAAATGCAAACTCTCTGGCTTTAAAAAATAAAATATAATGGGGAAAAGTGCACATTTGGGGTAATATCTGCAGATGAGACATTACCGTAGAAGCAATGTCCCAGAAGCACCTAATATCCAAAGCTTTCTGTATAGACTAAGCTCCTGTAATGGCTCTACAGCTACTATATACAATTATGTGCTCACTAACAGCATCCCTTAAAACAGGCAGAAGGGATCTTTGAAGCCGAGCTCTGCATACCTTAATTACGGAACCAATTTGGGACACTATTTGTTCCAACATTTTTTAAAGGCCTTCCCTAGATTACAAGAACACATCATATCAGGATTACTTTTTGTGCCTGGAGACCACAGACCTGAATGCAGGCCATTGGAATGGTCCCCCAGAGTGTCGGTGTTCACCACCTCGTTCTCCTGGGGGTTTTACAGTTTTTGTCACAGGACTGGCCTAAAACCAGAAATATTATTCCCTGGAGCTAATGTTCTGACCGAAGTTCACCATCCTAGAGATCCAGCTCTGGCTATGGAACTGTAACAGTTTAGCACCTGAAGGGCCCAGCAAGGAAACTAGAAGCCGACAATTTATGGAACTTCCACCCATCATGGATACAGTGATTTGACAAACTCCTGGCGAGTTCAGTAACAGTTCAAGGAATCTTCCTGGTATTCTGAAGAGTTCAAGAGATGCACCTAGACCAAAGGAGGAAAAGGAGACCCAGCATACTATAACCCAGGAGTGTTGCTGAATTAACCAGATCTTCGCAGAGCTGAGCCATTGGCAGAGGCCCTCAGTCTGAGCCATTTGTAAGGGGCTGAGGCAGGCAAGGAAATTCTTGGGCCCATTTTAATTTACTGGGAAGGCTTGGCTAAGTTAAGGGTTCTATTTAGGTCCTTGGATACTTTTCCCACTGTATATTCCCAGAGCAGCTCTAGAGCCACTGGAATCTGGCTGAAGGATAAGGAAGAACCATACCCAAGAGTATTCATTACATTCAATTGCATGGCAAGACGAATCAGGAGTCCAGGCAGTCAATAGAACTGGCTGCGATAATGGTAAAAGGATGGCTACTACATACCAAGCACTATCATGGGAGACATATATTGTTTCACTTAGTTCTCACAACAACCCTTTGGGTAACGTATTGCAATCTTGATTTTAGAAATGAAGGGCAGAAATTCAGAGTGGTTTAGGGACTTGCCCAAGGTAATACAGTGGTGGTATCATGTCTGGGCCTTTCTAGCTCCAAAGGTCATCCTGAAACCAATAGGCCATGCAGACAGACTTTCCCTAAAATTGTTCTGTCACTTCAGCCTGTGTATCTTCAGGGCCTTTGCAACTTTCTTAGGATTATCTCTCTTACTTACAGAAATCAATCCAAACCTTGCCCTTATGGCTTTTCCACAGTCTGAACTTCTCATAAAGAAAGAATCAATATCCATTATGTAGGTACAGGATTCATAGATTTCAGTGAATTCATTCATAAATAGGAAGGTTCAGTATTGATTTAATGTTAGTGGGTCTATTAATATTAAAGCTGATTATATTAATTGTATTCTTCCAGCCAGCATTCATCCTTTAATGTTCGTGCCCGTCTCCTTAGTGCTTGATAGAAAGGATGCACTTCTTATGTTAGGTAAGCAACTTGAAGAAATGGGAGGAGAGGTAATTATATGCAGGTATGTATATATACAACACCGAGACAGGAATATTTGGGGGAGCTAAGAACAGCCATGCGTCGGGGCTTCACAGAGATAAAAGTATAGTTTAAAACCAAGAGGGGGCCGAGCGTGGTGGCTCATGCCCGTAACCCCAGCACTTTGGGAGGCCAAGGCGGGTGGATCACCTGAGATCAGGAGTTCGAGACCAGCCTGACCAACATGGTGAAACCTCATCTCTACTAAAAATACAAAAATTAGCTGGATGTGATGGCGGGCCCCTGTAATCCCAGCTACTCAGGAGGCTGAGGCAGGAGAATCACTTGAACCTGGGAGATGGAGGTTGCAGTGAGCCGAGATTGGGCCATTGCACTCCAGCCTGGGTGACAGAGTGAGACTCCATGGAAAAAAAAAGAAAAAAACAAGAGGGATCTAAGACAGTGCTGGAAATGGAGTTATTTTGACACTTTCATGTTGTGGATACCAGGGTTCAATGCTCGGATCTCCCTTTCAAGACTAAGGTTCCTACCTCCCCTCCCCACTACTGTGAGTGATGCCTAATCATGGAGACTCTCTGCACGAATCGCCCTTGGCCAAAGCGAGCCACCAGTTCCCAAGGTTATGAACCTCCATAGGAAGCAGCCCATGTACAAGGACTGGTCTATGCCCCTTGCTTCACTCAGACACAACTTTGATGGCCATCCCAACTCCAGAACTCCCATTAGATCAGGTGTAGCTCTGTTGCATCAGAACTCATTCTCTCCTTTTGCCTAATTCTGTTTCCCTTTCTCTTCCTGCACACAAATCTCCCACCTCAAATCTGTTTCCAGAAAACCTGACCTAAGACACCTCCTAAGGCATAGAAACTTATCAAAGCTTTGCCATTAAGTCACTCAACCCATCTCTGTCTTTGTTTTACCCATTCTTGTCATTACCAACCAAATTTGTCACCCTTGACCAAATGCCTTTTCTTTACTATCTCCTGGTTTCTATTTTTATAGCTTCTGCATACACATAACTTTGGCTTACTCACAGCTTTAGTTTTCTCTTGGCCCTTCATGGTTTTCCCATCATCGAGCTTCTTCAGGTGAGGTTTTGAGTACTGCTTATATGTCACTTGCAGTACTATGAATTTGACTAATTTTGGTTCAGGTGCATATATTTAGATGGAAGATGGAGGAGATTTATAAAACATGGCCACCCCTGCTTAGGAAAAAGCTTAAGACATCTTCCTTGTAGAGAAAACTAGGAGCATGACAACTTCTGTTAGAAGGAAGGGTGAACTTTGGCCAGCACTGTGACTAGCCTGTCCATTGCATTCATAAACCAGATCTAACTATAATCAAGGCATCAGCGACATCTAGGAATCAGTTCCACAAATATTTATTGAGCACCTATTAATCAGGATCCATTTTAGGAAAGGAAATAGACAATAAAAAAAATGACAAACTCTTACCCTCATGAAGTTTACATTTTAGTGTGAAGGACAGAAAAAAATATAGATAATTGAAATTCAAAGAAAACAACAACAATCTCAATAACTTTATACATTTTCCCTGGCAAAAACTGCCTTCCAGATCCTCAACAGAAAGGCAAGATCAGCTGACCTTTTACCTCCTTTCTCTACTCCTCTATCCTGGTAGTGTTCATGGGCAAGAAAATGACCAGAGAAAGAGAAGAAAAGGAAAAACCCACAGCCTTAAATCATCTGCTTCCTTAATGAAGTTAGCTTTACAAGTGAGCAATAACAACTTTATCCTGAGAGGGAATTCTGTTTTCTCTGTTCAGACTGTTTTATTCAATCATTTGTAATTTTTAACAACACTTACATAGCATTATTGTGGTTTAGGATGCATTTCCATTTAATCATTCATTTAATCTCTCATTCAGCAAACATTTAGTATTTAAGTATGTGTGTCAGACTCATAGACCATCTTCTTTCTTCCAAATGCAACTCTAGCAAGAGAGTAAATATTGTTAGCATACCCATTTACCAGAAGAGGTTGGTGAGAAAATAAAGCCCAGAGGTTGACAACAAGGAGAATAGAAAAACCTCGGCTTTAGAGCCAAGTGGACTCAAGTTTGTTTCCATATATGTGTCTATAGGAATATTCTTGCATATGCAAAGAAAAATGTTTTGAGATGGTTTATAATAATGCATGCAATACAGTCATGGAAAAAATATAAATGGATTGAAAGAAACTTAATGAAGAGACAATAGGAATAGAATGGAAAGATGAGAACAGGCAGCAAATAAGAAAACAGGTATTGTGCTAGCTATGTTAACAAGATCTTTCATGATTACTAAAGTTGAGCCTCAAGTTTTTTATGAGCTTTGTTGCTGTTGGGGAGAAAATGGAAACACAGAAAAGATAATGATTGTGTTTTCCTTCCTTCCTTCCTTTCTCTCTCTTTCTCCCTTCCTTCTTTCCTTCTTTCCTTCCTTCCTTCCTTCCTTCCTTCCCACCCAGGCTGTAGTGCAGTGGCACAATGATAGCCCACTGCAGCCTGGGCTCCAGTGATCCTCCCACCTCAGCCTCCTGAGTAGCTGGGACTACAAGTGCTCACCACCATGCCCGGCTAATTTTTCATTTTAAAATTTTTTTGTAGAGATGGGGTCTTGCTATGTTGCCTAAGCTGGTCTCAGACTCCTCAGGCCAAGCAATCCTCCTACCTTGGCCTCCCAATGTGCCTTGTCTTTCAATGAATAAATTACAAGGGGTGGGGGGAGGGAGAAAAAAGTAGAACTTACCAGTTAAAAGATAATTAAGAGACATATCCCCCAAACCAACTGTAAAAGAATGACTTAGGAAGAAATTGGAGAACTAACGGTGACTTTTTCATATTAAGAAACTGCTATTTTAGGTGCGATAATGGCATTGTGTTAATGTCTTTAGAAGAGTCATTATCTTTAAGATACATATTGAGTTATTTACAGTTAAATTGAAAAAGGAAAACAACAATAACTATGAAATTCCTGTTGCCCTCACATTAGCTTTGTGACTTTGGGCCAGTTATGTCACTTTTTTCTCCTATAAGTGGAGGGAAATGCAATATATTGCTCAGAGGTTTTTATGGAGATTAAATGAGATACATATAGTCAATCTACATGATTTGTGTATTCCCTATTTGCAAATTCCCCTACTTGCTAACATTTATTTGTAATCTCAAAAGCAATGCTTGTGGAGCCTTTGTGGTCATTCTCAGACATGCACAGAGTGGGGAAAAACATTGAGTCACCTGGAATCCACGTTCAGCTGAGGTTGAACCAGGTATGCCTCTTGTTTCAGCTCTCATACTGTAAACAAGTGTCTTTTTCATGGTCTCTTTAGTGCCACATTTTTTGCATTTTGTGGGTTTTGTTGTAATTTCTTTGTTCATAATGCCTCCACAAACATAGTGCTGAAGTGCTATCTAGTGTTCCTAAGTGCAAGAAGGTTGTGACATGCCTTCTAGAGAAAATGTGTTAGATAAGCTATGTTCAGGCATGAAGCTGTAGTGCTGTTGGCCAAGAGTTCAATGTAATGAATCAACAATATATGTTGATTTCTGTCCTTAAACAGAAACATACATAAAACATGGTTATGTATTGACCAATTAACAACAATACTGTGACCAGAGGCTTGCAGGAACCTAACCCTGTATTTCCCTTAGGAGCAGTGGTTCAGTATTTGCTATTTCAGAGTTTACAGCGACTTTATAAAATTTAACTACTGTGAGTAACAATAATCAACTGTACAGAAATGGCTTAGGCTAACACCATCCTTAGAGCAAGCACTCAACAAATGTTTTTACCTCTTCCCTTCGGTGACAGAGACCAAACCCCAAACTGCCTTCTGCAGACTAATTTTCTGGACTCTTTGTTCTTGAGAAAGCTCCCCAGCCTGTGAATACATTGTAATGTGCGTAACACACTATTTGATCAAACAGACCTTCATCTGGACATATTTTCCATCTTTCAGCCAGTTTTTGTTTCTCTGGGGTAACCTTGGTTAACAGAAATTGCACTGGGCTTGGAATTAGAGAGCCTGGGTCAGGCTTCTGATCTTATGAGTTGTGTGATCCACAGTCATATCTCAAGCCACGAGAAGTTCTCAGCAATAAAATAAAATGTAATAAAACTCCAAGTTCTATGGTTAAAAACTAAAAGAGAGAGATGAATATAATCTGGAGAAGCTAAGGGAAGGCTTAAGGGGACAGACGAAAAACAAGTTTGAAGCTACCTTCCCTCCTGGCACCATTGAGTACTGCTTGTGCCCACCATCCCTGGAGAACTCCTAGGCAAGTTGCATATCCCACTATGATTTCCAAATCCAAGTTTATTTCTGGCCTTCTAAATGGGTATGCCAGGCCTACTCAACACCCCAGGATCAACATGTTTCCTGGAGTATCCGTTTTACTAGAATGTTCATTAAGGAAAACATATACTAAAATAAAATTTATTCAGCTATGGCTCAAAAAGTCTACATAGAAGGATGAAGTGCATGCTTTTGGTGTTCCACAGTGTCTCCTCTCAATTCACCTTGGGTTGTACCTGCAACAGGGAGGGCAGTGCAGTTCTCATGTAAACCAAGAGCCTCCCAGCCTGAGTGCCCATGGTCTCTCAGCTTTCTAGTCTCAAGCTCTTTCCCAAGGCCTCTAGAGCTTGCTCAAGCTGCCCAGAGGGCAAACCCAGAAGTGCAGGAGAGAATGACCCTGGGGAGAATTCACAGTAATGAGAGCTAAGTGCCTCACCTCCATGTCCTTCAGAGGAACAATTCTGAGAAGCAATGTACATGGTTCTTGAAAAGCTGAAGCCCCTATTGTCCACAACAGCAAGCAGCTCAGAGACACATACTTTATTGAATTTCTGTCTTTCTTGTCTCACTCTCCCGAATCTCTCACCTTCCAAAATGCTACCTGTACCCAAGTCCTTGTCTCAGGCTCTGCTTTTGGAATCAGAAGGAGCTATTTGGCTAGAAAAATGGACTTGAGCTGCATTTGCACAGCACTTTACATGAGATTAAAGAAATCCATGGTGAAACCCTGTCCCTACTAAAAATACAAAAATTAGCCAGGCATGGTGGCATGCACCTGTAATCCCAGCTATCGGGAGGCTGAGGCAGGAGAATCACTTGGATCTGGGAGGCAGAGGGTGCAGTGAGCCGAGATCATGCCACTGCACTCCAGCCGGGGGTACAGAGCAACACTCCGTCAAAAAAAACAAAAAAAGATTAAAGAAATCCAATTGTCTGTTTAAAGACACACCAAACTGCCCACAGATACATGACAAACTTGAAAGCACAATTCCCCTATATTAAGAATAAAAAGATATCAAGAAACTTCTCTCTTGGTGCTACGTTGGCCAATACGTCTAACCTCCAGTCTATTCTCTGTGATTAAGGTTCCTGAGTGAAAAAAAATCACTCTAATCTTTTTTTCTTTTTATTTCTTTTTCTTCTTTTTCTTTTTTTCTTTTCTTCTTTTTTTTTTTTTTTTTTTTTTGACAGGATTTCACTCTGTTACCCAGGCTGGAGTGCAGTGGTGCAATTACAGCTCACGGCAGCCTCAACCTCCTGGGCTCAAGTGATCCTCCCACCTCAGCCTCCTAAGTAGCTGGTACTACAGGTGTGCATCACCATGCCTGGCTAATTTTTTTTTTATGTGTGTAGGGATGGGGGTCAGGGGTCTCACTGTGTTGTCCAGGCTGATCTCAAACTCCTGGGCTCAAGTGATCCTCCAGCCTCAGCCTCCCAAAGTACTGGGATTACAAGTGTGAGCCACCACACCCAGCCCAGCTTAATCTTAATAATCAATATTATCCACCCACATAACCAATCAGGAGTTGACTATAACTGAATGCCAATGCCAAGTTCTACAAAACTCCATTTCAGCAGGTGGGGCTTGGAGAAGGTTTAAGTGTTTGTTCACTTTGATAACCTACTGGGACGCTCAAGGGGAACTGTATCATAAAAAGAGGCCACGCTACTTCTCAGGCAAAGGAAAACGGAAGTCTGATTCAGTAACCTGGATAATTGTGACTACATGAATCATATTAACATAAAATTAACTTTCTTTCAAAGGATCATTTGACCCTGCAAATCTGATTTTTAAAAATCTATATATGCAACAGTATGTTACTGCTTTATTCTGGAGGATTTCAGGAGCCATTGCTTTAAAAACCACCTTCACAATCAAGATTCTTCCTAACAATAAAAAAAAAAATGAATTGCCCTCAAAATTGGATAAATGTATGTATGTGGACCCTCCCTTACTGACCATTTGTCCTTGGGAAAGATGAGTTTATACCCAAAGTCTATATATTGTTGCTGCTATTTCAAACTGAAACTGAAGAAAAGAGGTAAATCAAAGGAAATTAATGGCTGATTTTTAACTTTCTTAAAAAAAGAATTGACAGATAAAATAATATGTATTTACCGTGTGCAACATGGTGCTCTGAAATATATATAAATTGTGGAATGACTAAATCTATCCAATTAACATATGCGCTACTTCATGTAGTTATCATTTGTGTGGTGAGAACATTACATCCACTCTCTTAGCATTTTTCAAGAACACAGTATATTACTCACTATAGTCGCCATGTTGTGCAATAGATTTCTTGACCTTATTTCTCCTATCTAACTAATTTTTAGCTTTCAGTCATGTGATAGAATTTCAATGTATACCTATTAACCTATTCTTCAGGATGCCCTGTGCCAGATTGATCTGATTTATCATTCTTCAATTCATCTTATAATCTACATTGCATAAGTTACAGTCTTCTCTAAATTTTATGAGACAGATATGAGCACTGATTTTGGCATGCAGATCTCCGTTGCTTCGGCCCTATTGAAGTTCAAGAAAAGCTGTACTGTTTGTACAAGATTTCCATCCTCATCCTCAATGGCTTGGATTTTGTTTTGTTTGGAGAGGGGTGACAAATAAACAAAAACCTCTATCAAAAGCAATGAGGAAATAACAGTTTACAATATATTCTCTTTTAAAAACTTAACATCATTACTTTTATTCCGTATATGGCCAGCAACGTATCCACCCCCGGATCTTCTGAATGTGGAGGTCTGGGTGATGAAATCACATTGACCTCCTTTTGCTGAGGTCAGGCAACAAACTATGGGCCAGTTTATGAGCATATCGTGTGTGCTCTGTGAGTTTGTTGTAAATTACTGCTAGATTGTTTTTGTCCCCTCCTTTTTTTAAAATAGAGTCTGGACCCAAACACTGCTATTTGATGACAAGAAAAAGCACAGCTGTACTATTGTTAATCATCCATCCGTTTCTTCCATCATGCCCTGATTTCATAAGGTGTCCAAATAATGACTCTTTTCCAACCTGGAGGATGGAATTGAAATGGTGACAGGGCAAGTTCTACTGAACCACACCTGTCCTATATTCTACTAGTTTAACTCCATCATCAGAAACTATGTGTCCTTGGTATCAACTACAACTGACTGGTCCAAGAAGAATTATATAAATAATTTTGGCTTTACTTTTTTTTAATGAAGGAGAAGAGATCGAAATATTGATACTTCTGCAGAAATGTGTCATTCATATTGAAAAACATCTGGACAGAATCACTTCTTTGGGAGTGAAAGCAGTTTGAAAACGGTAATGTTCTACATAAATGTATCTGCAATTTTGTTTCTGGAATTTTTCTCTGCCTGCTGGTGGTCATGCACTGAAGTTTCTTGCAAACCTACTTGATGTGAATTAGTCTGTAGTTTGTACCTTTCACATATCACCATCTGCTAAAGGCAGTACAGAGTTTTCCAGGCCAATCCACAGAGGGAGGACCGAGGATGGGCAGTCCTGGGGCACTGTGACAGATTGTGTGGCACAAATTTAACACAGAATTCAGTAAGAAGTATACTTGAATGTAACTCGTTTATTGATTCATTCATTGCCAAAACATTTACTCACTGTCTATTATGTGATCCATACTATGCAAGCCCTGGGAATTCAAAGTAACTAAGATAACTTACTCTGTAGGACTCATAGTCTAGTGAGGAAGGCAGGTAAACAGTTATAATCAAAGAGATAAGGGCTGATATAGGCTCTGCAAAAGGCTAGAAATATGGATAATAAATGATGAGGCAGTTGCATTTTATAGTTCCACGAGAAAATGAACTTGATTTTCATTGCTTCGAATCCACATGGTCTTCCTTGGAAACATCTTCTCAGTAATTAAGAGAATTCAATAAGAATTTCTACCTTTTTAGACTTTGGTGCCCCAGTGTAGGGAAGGAAAGGAAAATTATAGACTTTCTTTCCCTTTGTTGCTTGGTGGGCCATCACCATGGTCAGACTCAAGTCTACAGCAAAACTCACAGTTCTTATCTCTGCAGCTGCAAACAGGGCTCTGAATGCTCACACAGGGAAGCAAACAGATGATGGAAATCTCTTTCTAACAGAAATGCAACGAAGATAGACTTTCTATTACTTTAGAATTATTCTACTTTCTTGGCAAGTTCTAAGAAGGATGGACTACTGTCTCCTTGAGAGGTCTCATTATGTAGAAAGGCAGCATCTGAGAAAGAATAGAAGGAAGGGAATGAAGGACAGAAAGATGAAGAAAGGAAAGAAGGAAGGAAATGAGAAAGGAAGGGAAAAGGAAGAAAAGAAAGAAGGAATGCAAGATAGCTATAATATTTGAAATAAGAGAAATTTTATTTTCTGCTGCAAAAAAATCCTGCAAGTCACACCACATCTATTAACATAGGAAGTAAAGAAATGTTATGGGGGCATAGGGGGAAAGTTAGCCCACAGTCCTTCCATAAATCTATTTTATCGCTTTATAGTCACCTATTATTAAACATAGTGGGTCAATTCTCACTTTGCTTCCCTGTCTACCCATTAGCAAAAGCTGTGTGTTAATTTTTCTGTGACAAGTTCTGGTGTGTGAAGCCTGGTAACCTCACTGGAAAATAACTGGATTTTTGGAAGCAAAGGCCTAATGACCACTACTTATGAGTTCACATTTTTGAGAGCTCAGTCCATATGACATGAAAGGAGTCATACACAATCACATGAACTCTTGGTGAGGATTAAAGAGGTGCAAAGACTGTCTCTTGAAAGCCTTTTTAGAAGGGAGAACAGCCTACTGGGCCTTGGGCCCAGACTGTGAGTACACTTCCCTTCCTAGACATTCTCTTAAGTCATAGTATTTCTTTATTGTAATCAAGTAAAATAAGAAAAGAACATTAACATTTTCTAAGAAGGGAGACACTAACTCTATTAAAATAAGAGAGAGGTCTCCTTTCTTTACTTAATATTTATTGAATGTTTCTAAACATATGCAATTTGCTACAACTCTCTCATGTTTGTGACGGTGATGAATTAATACAGTTGTTAAGCACATCAAATAAGATTTTTCTCCTGGAGGGAAATCACAGAAGAGGAGAATGGTTGGTGAACTATTTTGGAAGCTTACACTGAATTAAAGTCATTCATTATTGCTGTGCAGAGTTAAGTAATAAAACTAACAGTTTCTTAGTATTTTCCTTAAATTGTTATTTTATTTTGGAATGTAATCTCTAATTTGGATAATAATAGTATTCAGTCATTCTTTCAATAGATATTTCTTGAAGACTCATTATGTGTGAGGCACTATTCTAGGCTCTGGGAAGAAAAAACAAAGTTCCTGCCCTCCTATATGTGTACATTTCAGCAGGGGAAGACAGACAGTCAATGTATAAACAGGAAAATAATTATGCAAGATCATTTTAAATATGTATTAGTGCTAAGAAGATAATAAGATACAGTAATGGGATAGAGAATGATTGAGGCAGTGGGGAGTGGGGATCGCTTCAGCATGGTCAAAGAGGACCTCACTGAGCTGAGACAGGAATGATAAAAAGGAGGGAGATGTGTAAAGAACTAGGGGAGAAGTATTCTACACAGAGGAAATAAGTACAAAGGACTTGGGGCAGTTTACCCTTGAGTATTAGAGTATGTTTCGTACATCTTTTCATAACTTAAAGCACTTCCATGTATATTGTTTCTTTTGATCCTCACAGCAATCCTGGAATCAGGGCACTACGGGTAACCACATTCTCACTTTACAAATGATAACTCACACACCCCATGGAAGATCCGGGAAGTCTTCTGATGCCCCTGCTTTCCAAGACAATATGATGCTTCTCTACATTCCATGGACTATGACAAGTATATCAGTCGTCGAAGTGGGTGGTTTAATGGCATGATTAGCTCCATTTTCTCTTCCTGCAGCATAGCAAAGTGCATAAAGCTTGAGCTCTGTGTCCAGCAGATCTTTATTAGAATTCCAGTCCCCCCACAGTTACATATGCTCTCTCCCTGACAGTTTTCACAGATGAATCATCCAGACTCCATTTCCTATTAGAGCTGGACCCTCCACTTGGACTTTTGACACTTAGACCCCTCTAGCCCACACAGGGACATCAGTGCAATAATTCTCCCCTTTCTACAGCATCATTAAATTTTGCCTCTCTCCTGGATCATCCCATTCACATATTCATATGCTGTTATTTCTCCCATCTAAAACTGACCAGGCACTGTGGCTCATGTCTATAATCCTAGCACTTTGGGAGGCCAAGGCTGGCAGATCACTTGAGGCTAGGAGTTTGAGACCAGCCTGGCCAACATGACAAAACCCCATCTCTACTAAAAATACAAAAATTAGCAGGGTGTGCTGCACTCCAGCTTGGGCGACAGAGCAAGACACTGTCTCAAAATAAATAAATAATTAATTAAAAATAAAATTACTTTCTCCTGATCCCATATTTCCTATGATTAAAATGCCATTTCTTTCTTCTTCTCTCTATGAGTTCTTCCCAGAAGAGTTGTCTATACCTATTGCACCAACCCATTTCTTCCAATTCTCCATATTGTCGGTATTTCCAGTTATCCTTACCTCTCTCCCACACAGCCCCTATCTAATCTGGCAGAAAATCCTGTTGACTCTACCTTCAAAATATAGCCAGAGTTCAATACTTCTTACCATCTCCGTGTCTACCACCCTGGTCCAAGCTACCATCATCTCTCATCTGGATAACTCAATTACCAACTAACAGGCCTGTCTGCTGGTACAGTCTGTGCTCAAAACAGCAGCCGGAAGGATTCTTTTCCAAAGTAAGCCAGGTTGCAGCCCTCATCTTGCTGAGAGTTTAATCAAAGTCCTTAGCAGTGTCCTGTGAAGCCCACATATCCTGACCCCTCAGACTCCTTTGACCTATTTTCTACTTCCCTCCCCCTCGCTCACTCGGCTCTAGCTACATGGCTTTTATCCTGTGACCCCTTTGCTGGAATGCAAGCTTCACAAGGCAGGGATCTTT
Source organism: Homo sapiens (assembly GCF_000001405.40). NCBI lineage: Eukaryota > Metazoa > Chordata > Mammalia > Primates > Hominidae > Homo > Homo sapiens. The sequence continues at coordinate 24,775,267 of NC_000012.12, forward strand.
GTCTGTCTGGTTCACTCATGTATCCCAAGTACAGTTAGTCCTCCGTATCCATGGTTCCACATCCGTGGAGATGGAACGGTGGACTGAAAATATTTGGAAAAAAAAAATGCATCTGAGAAGGAGGGCAAGGGTTGAATAACTACCTATTGGGTACCATGTTTACTATTTGAGCAATGGGCTCATTAGAAGCCCAAATCTCAGCATCACAGAATATACCCATATAACAAACCTGCACATGTACCATCTGAATTTAAATTAAAAATAAAATTTAAAAATAAAAAATTTATATTGCATCTGTACTGAATATATACAGACTTTTCTTGTCCTTACTCCCTTAACAATACGTTATAACCATTATTTACAAAGCATTGCATTCGGTTAGGTATTATAAGTAATAGAGCAATGATGTAAAGTAAACGAGAGGATGTATGTAAGTTATGTGCAAATACTACCACATTTTATGTCAGGGACTTGAACATCTTTGAATGTTGGTATCCAAAGGAGGTTCTGGAACTAATCAACAGATACCAAGCGTATTAGTCCGTTTTCATGCCGCTGATAAAGACACACCCAAGACTGGGTGATTTATAAAGAAAAAGAGGTTTAACTGACTCACAGTTCCACATGGCTGGGGAGGCCTCACAATCATGGCAGAAGACGAAAGGCACGTCTTACATGGTGGCAGGTAAGAGAGAGAATGAGACCCAAGGGAATGGGGAAAAACCCCTTATAAAAACATCAGATCTCATGAGACTGATTCACTATCATGAGAACAGTATGGGGCAAACCAGCTCCATGATTCAATTATCTCCCACTGGGTCCCTCCCACAACACGTGGGAATTATGGGGGCTACAATTCAACATGAGATTTGGGTGAGGACACAGCCAAACCATATCACCGAGGGACAAGTGTACCTGGAACATGCATGGCGCATAGCAGGCATTCAATATGTATTTGTTGAATGAATAGTCTGTGCATATTTAACATAAAGTTAACACAGATTTGCATGCTTTTCACTTAATCTAATTAGTGTGTAAAATTTTCTACCAGATCACATCACAATCTTAATTACGAAAAAGTTTTCCCTTAAATAAAGATACGAAGTGTAAAACTCCCTTTCACGACGTATTGCATAGACTTAGCCATTTATTAACATCTCTCCCCTACGGAAAAGGCAACTCCACTGGCTGCTATCTTAGTTTAAGGATCCAGTCTCCATGTTGAGGAAATATTGCTTGCTTATCGTTCAGATTATTGGTTCACTACAATTTAAGGGCCTAGAAATAGTTAGGAAATAACCTTAAAATAAGCAATTTACTCCTTCCCAAACAGAATCAAATCTGTTATTGAGTTTCTTTTTGGATCAATGAAAGCTGTCATGAGATTATACACTAGTTTTTAACTCCTTCATATAAAATAGAAAATGGTTACTTATGAAATAAACACAAACATTTCTTTTTAAAATGCTTTGTGACTTAATCATTGGACCAGAATTTTCTCTGGATCGATCAAGAATTTTTCTTTACATATCAGAGTTGATGACAGAAATAAGGCTGATTGTATAGAGCTTCAATAGAGGAAAAAATAATTCTCCTTAGAAAAATGAAAAAAATGAGAAAGTAAAACGTTTAAAACAATAAATTACATCTCTGAGTTGGACCTGAAAGGTTACTGTACTGAAGTCTTGTAATTACTTTTTTCAGTTCTACAATCAAAACCTATTAGGGCAATTTTATGTGGTTTTTCTTTTTTCTTCCTTTTTTTTTTTGTTTTGCCTAACATTCTTGAACTGAGTTCAAGTATTAAGTATTTCGCCATATGTCCTGTCAGTCACATATCTAAGACAGAATAAAATAAATGTATTCTCAGACTGTGTTTCACACTCTTCCAAAGTTTTTTTTTTTTTTTTCCCATGGAACTCACAGAGCTTTTAAATCTGGTTATTAGCCCTGATACTTTCTCCCTTTTCATCTTCCAAACCCTAGGCACAATCCCGCTGACCTCTTCTGCAGCTATTTGATTCCCAACACAATATTCAAACACAACTAGGGGCAGCCTTCCTTAATCAGGTCTGTCCCTGCAGAGTTTGGTTTGCTTTGTTTTAACAAGCAGGAGTCTTGATTTTCTACAAAGCTCTGCAAAGGTTGTTACAATCGGCGATTGAAGGAAACCGAAAACTGATTGCCAAAGAACTAATTGACCTATTTTTTGAGTCTTCATTAATTTCATTTTAGCTCAGTCATACGAACATTTAGTCAACATCTGTCTACCTTGCAGGCCTGGTGCCAAGCATTAGACAAATAAGACATGGCCCTGTTTATCGTAGAATAAATGCTACGGCGGAAACAGGTACAGAGTACTCTATAATACCAATGGGGTGTCGCACTGTTAGGCAGGCAGTGTTTTATTTCTATAGATTTTCAGGGTTTCTGTTCTGTTTTCAGTGTCTCTTTTCCTAGGAGTCAGAGAAAACTTTCTAGACAAAATCATGCCTGGGCCAAAATTTCAAAGTAAGTGTAAACTTGGCAAAACTAACTGGAAAGGGCATTCACAAATTCCATTGATTCATTTTTACCAATTTTATTTTTCTAAAAAAATGAAGAGGAGGAAGGTTGAGACCTAGTATCTAAAAGGAGACTGGATTATCTCTAAGTCTTAGTATATCTTGGTTTGTTTACCTTTGCTGAGCTCACTCGGGGTAAGCTGCAGTCCTATATTGAAAATGCTTGATTTATTTTGCTTGCTGTGGTGTAAACATCTTCATTAAAAAAATAGTTGCCCTGGTCTGAATTTTGAAAGTAAAATTAATATATTCTGGATTAAGTGTGAGTGAAATCGCATTTTAACTCAGTTAAAAGACATTCTTTTTAATAATCAGGTTTAAAATTTTGAATGACTATACATAAGATTTTTAAAAGAAGTATTCAGTTTGAATTTTGCTTGCTAATATCAGAAGAAACCCTACTTCTATGGAAAAGAGAACTGTATTCCATTTTCCTTAATCCTTTGTTAGTTTGTCTTCCTTAATGTACCCACTGTGGTTGTTTCTATAACATATGGGATTTTATACATTAAAGCAAAGCTGTGTTTGTAAAAAAGGAAAGAAAGAAAAGAAAAAAGAAAACTGCTGATTTTAAATTCCAGTTTTTATTCTATGTATACTATACTTGGTTATAAAAAAGTTACAGATCATTCAGTTTTGCCCAGATTTTACCCTACAGAAGTCCCTTTATTAAGAAATGAGATTTAATGAAAAGAAAAGTAGGGCTACTGTTTATGTGGCTGCAAATATCACTGGGGAAATATTTCATGTTTACATTTTGCTAAACTATTTATAGTGAGGACACATACTACAGTAAGGCCCTCTTTTCCCCATATAATGGATATCTTTGTGCCTTAATTCTACACACTTGCACAGTTTACATTTTTACCCAGTCTGCCCACATTTCATGCCACATTACTTTGTCCTCCAAAGCCTAGCTATATTGGAGCAACATCTTCTGGCAGAACAGAGACACTGAAAATCCAGAGAAATAAAACCCTGCCTGCCTAACAGTGTCTTAGATCGTTAGCAGGGAACACAGACCAAATTTAGCTATTTAACAAATCTCTCATTGATGATTATTGGGGTTTTTTCTTACCCTCACTATTGATCTTTGAAAGCTCTCAATTTTAAGCAACTGAGTTTCTTTCCCTGAATTAATGGTTAACACCTATTGCTGTGTTTTATCTATATTTTAACTATTTAGCATGGTGTATGAGTACACCATGTATGAATCTTCTAAAACAGTTCTTGCCTGAAGTATAGAATCAATGAGTGAACTTTGGAGTCCCTCTGGTGGTCATTTGAGTCAGTTTTAAATGAAACTGATCTCTTATAAGCCCTTAGATACCAGCCTCATCCATTGGCCATCTTATCTCTGCACCCCTACCCCCTCCCACCCTACTTCACTTTTACCACTCATCACACATAATTCCTCACGCTGCTCCTATGAAGCGCACAAATACAACGTAAATAATTTCTATAAATTTCTAATATTTGCTTGTGGAAACATTTTGCCCACAACATTGGATTTACAATAAAATGCTCTCCTGTTTTATGACGCTGCTGAAAATTAAAACTGTTGCCAGTTCCCTGATTCTTCAATAGGAAATCACAGCTTTGGTTTCTCCTTTCCTTAAGTAGATTTTACAAATTAATTGTAATTTTTAAAGCATATCTTTCTTCATGTGTGTGTGGCCCTTAATGACTTGTATTTCTTTTTAGTCACATGATTTAGTCTCTTTGAACATTAATTTCACTAAATTAAGAGCCCAAGTAGAAAACAGTTGTGCTCAGAATAAACAGTGATTTGGGGTAGTCACTGTGCAAATATATTGTCTTTCCCGTGATTCCTTCTTTTTACCTGTAGAGGAGCGATGTCTTCCTGGACTGGCCCTTGAGTGGTGGAGGAGGCTTTCAGGAAAAGTCTTGAACTGTGCTTAGAAGAGATTAAGAAGTCACTTACCTAGACGGAAGTGAGATGTCTTCTTGACATTATGTTTCGTCCCCTTGATAGTCCTGTCATTATCTATATTTCTAGTCTGTGGTCTTAGAATTTCAGAGCATTAAATGTTCAGTTCCCATGAGTTTGTGGTTTTTCTGAGTGGGTATGTATTTGCGTGCCTTCACTTTCAGTTGAAAGATATTCATCCTTCAGGGCTGTGTTTGCTTTTATTCAGAAAATAAGTATATTTAATGTACTGTTTTTGAAAAAGGAATGAAAACAGTGATTGAGCTGATATTGAGATCATCAAGTGTTTCTAAATCTCTCCAAACACATTGCTCCCTACATGCCCAGAAGGCACCATCTTTTCCTCTTAATATAATGGGTTTGCTTGAGTATCAAAATGCTGCATTATACAACACGAATCATCACACTGAAGATATCAATCACTTGTTTTATTAAATTAGAGTAAGAGAATTTAGTACAGAACAGAGGCAAAAAAAAAAAATTATTGCTGGGCATGGTGGCTCACACCTGTAATCACAGAGCTTTTGGAGGCTGAGGCAGGAGGATCTCTTGAGGCCAGGTGTTCATCACAGGCCCAGGCAATATAGTGAAACCCTGTCTCTACAAAAAAAAAAAAAAAAAAAATTAAATTAACCCATTATGTTGGTATACACCTCAGCTACTCAGGAGGCTGAGGCTGGAAGATGACTTGAGCCCAGGAGTTTGGGGTTTCAGTGAGCTATGATTGATTGCACCTCTGTACTCCAGCCTGGGTGACAGAGCAAGACCCTGTCTCTAAATAATCATCATAATACCACAGCACAGATCATGCTTTTAAGAGTTATAACAACCAAATATAAAAATCTACATATACACATGTTTTATACTATTCAAAAAATAGTCAAATAGATATAACCTTGTCCACTAGGAACAAAACACAAAGTTGCATTTGTTGAAAGTCGACATTAATTAAAGAAAACATATAATGAATAATTTGCAAGAAAAAAAGAATGTCATCTTTTGCTGCTTAAGTGTTGCACCGCACAACAGATGAAAAAACAAACAACAGCAGCATTACTTCTATTGCAGACATTTTTTTCCCTGTAGTTTCTGACCTCCAATTCACTTTCATACTCTGTGCTGCTTCGGGGCATTCAGTGTTTTGAAGGAGAGTTGATGTTTATATTTTAACATTTTTAAGAGAGGTAAATGATTCAATGTAGCAAAGAGAAAATAGGTTTCATTGTTCTTTGGGTTTTAAATAAGTAGTTACTGTTAAGTTATAGCAAGCAAATCTCCAACATCTTGCATTCATCACTATTCTGATGCAGTTTTTCAGAATCTGTAACAATGTGATTTATAGACTCATGAATAAATGTTTCAACTGTTGTCATATGGTCTTAATTATGTTAAATTAGAGGATCTGGCTGACAACACTAGAAACATGGATGCCTAGCACCATCTATTGTTCATGAACAAAACAACTGTATGGTAAATAAAGGGGAAAGTCCTTCCCCAGGTAGGACTTTCAGAGAGGGTTTGCATTAGTTTTCTACTGCTGCTGTAACGAAGTATCACGAACTTAAACAATGCAAATGTATTATCTTTGGGTTCTCAATATTGCTTATAGGTTAGAAGTCTGCAATGGGTCTCACTGCGCTAAAATTAAGGTGTCAGCAGGGCACTTAGGGGAGAATCTGTTTCCTTGCCATTTTTAGTCTACGGAAGACACAGCTTTGAGAGGCCACCAATATTCCTTGGCTTATAGCCATCTTCCTTCATCTTCAAAGCCAGCCATATTGCATCTCTTGAACCATTCATCCATAGTCACATTGCCCACTGATTCTAACCTCAGCTGGGAATGTTTCTCTGCTCTTAAGGAGAAGATTCAGGTGATTAGGTTGAGTCCATCCATACAACCTATCCAGGTTAATCTCCTCATCTCAAGGTCCTTAATCTTAATGATATCTGCAAAGTTCCTTTGTCCACATCATGTGACATATTCACAGGTTCCAGAAATTAAGACACAGACATCTTTTGGGAGGCCATTATTCTGCCTACCACAGGATACGAGAGAGCACTAATTAAAAACCATATCTAAATATACAAAATTTAATCTCTTGACTTTTGGTGGAGTCAGTATGTTGGCTGTGGTAGATTATCATTATGTTGGAGACAGAGAAGATTTGCTATTTTAGTGCTTATGAACTTATACTACAATTTGTTAATTTTCTCTCACTAATACATATTAGGTAAGTATTCTTAAAATGACCATTTCTTAAGAATCTCCCTACTAAATTCAATATTCTTTAGGTGATGAGTCAGTCCTTATTTCTTCCAACACTCAACCTCTGCCCCTCGCCCTGCCCCACCCTTCAACCTGGTCAGCAGTGTGCATGTTCACACACACACACACACGTGCCCATACACACATCTATACATATTCATGCATTCAATAAATGTTATTATTTTCTAACCTTTAATGTCTGTTTTACTGAAGGGTTCAGCTTTGAATGTCTTTGGGAACATATAGATAACTTTCTCACCTTCCTTTCAACACTGAAATACTCTGTGATTATTCCTATTTTTTTTCTACAGTCATGCCATTTGTATGTCAGTGATAGATAATTTTGAGGCTAAGTCCTCATCTCAGCATCCAGTTTTATTGCATTTGTAACAGTAACACAGATACATGAGCTGCTGGGCTCTCAGGATGCCATTAGCGCTTCATGATTAATCTAGAAGAGGAAAAGGACAGTTGTTAAAGAAATACCCAACAACTTGCTCCATGTTAAAATCATTTCCTCTCCTGACCAGGAGATGCTTGTGACAACTAAAAATAGAGGCAGCTCTTGGTTGACAACATTGCTCTTAGTCTTCAATTATCTGTAACCTATGCCCATCACCTTAAATTTTCTGGAGGAGAAGAAATCTGTAGAGAATAGTTTGTCACTTTGTGATGTGTTTGATGTTTCTCACTGAGGAATGAGAAGAGAGGACATTTTGGAAAATAGAAGCCTGTTTTTATAATTTTTCAAATTTGGTAACAAAATAAAGGTACTGAGTTTTTGAAAGGACTTGAAGATGAATATCAGCTCTTCCTGGTCTATCCAAACTTCCCTCTCAAAATCAAAACAAAAATGTATACAAATATAATGTATAAGTCACGTTCACAACCACATAACTTGATAGCAACACTATCCCTGTATCATAGATATTATTTTGCAGTTGAAGAAACTAATGTTCATATCTAATTGACTAGGATTCTGCAAGAACATGCTTGTCGATAAGGATATGTGGAAGTAGTCACTATTACATAATGTTGGTGGCAGAAAAAAATTAATCCAAGTTTTCAGAAGGGCAGTATTAAAATGCTAACATATGTCTTAAAGCAAGTCTTGGACCCAAATTTTTCGCTTTAAATAAGTAAAAGTTTAATGATGTGAACAAAGATTGAAATAAAGTGGTGTTCCATGGAATACTACACAGCCATAAAAAGAAATGAGATAATGTCCTTTGCAGGAACTATGGATGAAGCTGGAAGCCATCATCCTCAGCAAACTAACACAGGAACAGAAAGCCAAACACTGCATGTTATCATTCATAAGTGGGAGCTGAACATAGAGAACACATGGACACAGAGAGGGGAACATCACACGCCAAGGCCTGTTGGGGGGTGGGGGTGGTGAGGGGAGGGAACCTAGAGGACTGGTCAATAGGTGCAGCAAACCACCATGGCACACGTATACCTGTGTAACAAACCTGCACGTTCTGCACATGTATTCCAGAATTTAAATTAAAAAAAGAAATAAATTTTAAAAATGGTGTTCATCTCAGCATTGTTTATAATAGCAAAAAATAACCTACGACAGAAACTGCTGATATTCAGCAAAGTCTGTTTCCCCTCCCTCATGGACACACCACTGGGCTACATTTCCCCTGTTAGAGATGATCATGGGGCTGTATTCTGGGTGACAGAATGTGGGCAGAAGTGATGATACAACTTCAAGTACTAGTCCCTAAATATCTCCTGAGTGATCCTCTATGCTCTCTTCAAGTTGGTGAAATACAGAGAATACAGTAAAGAAACCTAGAGCTCTAGATGATGACAAAACTAGATCAAAGGACCCTGGGTCCTTCCCTGGAATGACCAGGTGGAAGATAATCTCTGACGAGGAACATACACATTATGCTTTGTGTGAACAAGAAAGAAACTTACACTGGTTTAAAACACTGAGATTGTAGTCTTTACCAAGTACAGCAAGTAAAGTAAACCCTAATACAAAATTTAAATGTCCAATGATAGAGAAATTACCCAAATAAACTTAAGTGAATTTCTTGCAACATAGACTTCCTTTGAATGAGTTATTGATCACAATCTGGGCAACAGCCAAACTACCATAGAGATAAAAGCACGTATTTCCATTCTGCTTTATTATCATCAATTTTAATTCCAGGCTATTAAATAAATGCACTACTACTTATTCTCTGCAACCTTTGTGCGGCTGAGTTGGAAGTCATTCTGCCTCGTATCTCTGTTTTTGACACTATAGGAAGAGGTAGGAAACAAGGAGAAAAAAAAATTTACCTGTAATTAAATCCTTTAAAGATAAAATGACACATTCTGATTGGTGATTTGCCATGGGATCATAGAATTGAAGATTTAAGGTGAATGAAGGGCTGGTTGAGCCAATCACCAAAATGGCTTGAATTCCAGCCACACCATTCAATCAAAGAGTCATCCATTCTTTCCTTGAACACCTTCAATTATGCATACTTGATGAAAGAATAAAAAGCAGCTTAGGGTTTTTGTGTCTCTCTGCTCGTTTGTTTTGCAGAGCTAGTAACAAAGATAAAAGGAGGAAAGCAGGTAAGCAGACAAGCTAACATTTACCAAATGTCATTTGGCTAGGACCTGTGTATAGCACATCTGTACATATTATTTCATTTAATTTTTGCAACAATGCTATAGGGTTGATGTGCCCATTTTTCAGAAGACCTGAACCTTAGAGAGTTGAAATAATTCATGTATCTGCCAAGTTGTTATATCTTCCATCTTCTAAAGTGATAAAGGCAGTGTTTACTCTACAAGAGCATGGCAGATCCTTGAAAGAAGGCAATAGGAAAAGACAGAGAGGATTAAAAGCATTTGGCTAATGATTGGTGAGCTGACATTTGCAGTTCATTTCACTGGAAGACTGGGGAAAATAGCATTATAGTAGGACTTGGCTTCTAAAATTAAACTGCTGAGGTTTATATCCAACTGCCTCTATTCCCTAACATATATCCTTTGAAAGTTTCCTAACCTCTCTAGACCTCGGCTTCCTTATCTGTCAATGGGATAATAAATGATAGCTATTTTATACAGTCATATCAAAGATGGTTTGCGATGATGCACATGAACTATTTCGCACACGGCTTTGCAGAGAGCTGGTGAAAGCCATAAGGTTTTGTGTACAAAGAAGTGTGGCAATGGTTGCCCCTAGTTGAGAAGTTAAAACTTCAGGGTGCTTGTAATTTTCTCAGATATATATTAGCAGATATGAAAGTGATATAAATACACAATAAAGTATAGTTTTTAAAATAGTATGTGTTTTATTTCATGTTCATATCACTTTCACCAGGCAAAAATTCTGAAACTTTCTGTGTGAACATAATATTATGGGTACACTCTGCATTATACCTCTAGGCGTCATCAGAAATTTGTGCTTAATATTGTCCACTCACATTCCCTGAACAACGCTCCCTACTAAGTTCCCTAGACTAACAACATGAAGTCTTAGGGGTATAGTCTATAATCATTACAACACAGGAAGAAAATACCTGGTATTCCATTAAGCGGCAGAAACATCACTTTAGCATAGTGATTGCAGCTTCCAAATACACCTGACTCAGATTTTGAATATTATAGTAAGCAAATTAAGTACTCCTTTTCCCCAAAACATGTTAATATATAAAAGGGCATATATAAACAAGGTCATATAGATATGTAAAAATCTATTCAATGAAAAACTAAGTTTTTTTTTAATACAAATGTTAGCTGGGTATGATGGTGGTGGTGGGTGCCTGTAGTCTCAGCTACTTGAGGAGACTGAGGTGGGAGGATCGCTTGAGCTCAGGAGGCAGAGGTTGCGGTGAGCCCTGATCGTGCCACTGCACTCCAGCTTGGGTGACAGAACCAGACCTTGTCTCAAAAAAAAAGAAAAAGAAAGAAAAACTAAGGTTTTTTTTTCAGTGTTTCCATTTTGTAATTATATACATGCAATGATTTCAGTGCTGAGAAAAAAATTAAAAAATGGTACACTGGGGGTATTTCCAGCTCAATTCCAGTTGTCTATGACAATCAAGAAGAGACAGGATGCAATAAATATTTTCACAATGAAAAGAAGTATCCTGGCGGACTGGGAAAGAAAAGCATTAGGAACTTTGTGATGCTGCTGAGGTATTAGACAAGACAATACATAGAGTTGATCTCTACATATTTCTCTAATCTTTCAGATTAGAGAATGGTAGTGGTTAAAAAAAGGAATGGAACACTTTTATCAAATAATATCTAGTGGAACCCCAATGTATAAATAAGCTGAAAGTGGAGCTATTCTGCTTGAGGTAAGGTATGTCAGATCTCCTCTAATAAACCTCCTTTCTGCTGACATCTGAGCCTCTTCAGAACACAGTTTGGAGATCAGTGCCTACTTGAATACAAAATAACCAACAGGAGATGTGTGATAAAAATGTAGATGCCTGGGTTCCAACCCCAAATATTTCAGTTCAGTAGCTCTGATGTGGGGTATGGAGATGTTTATTACTGAAATGCCCTCCTAGAGATCGGGATGTACAATGAGGTTTGGGGAGTGCTCATAAGACAACCTAGTACAACCTGTTAAGCTAAGGCAGTTGAATAAATCCTACAGATAATGTGCCTCTCCGGGTATTTAACAAGGCACAGCCATGTTACAGGTTGATGTGGGTAACAAAAAAGATGGATTTATTGTTCTAGCCTTAACAGAGTAATGGAGGCAGTGGAAAACATTCAAGTTATACAATGAAAAGATGACCGAAGCTTAGCCTGAGAATTTGGCGCTAAAAAAAATATATATATATATATACAAGTGTACCTGAAGACAGCAGGCTGGCATCAGCTCTCCACTGCACAGCCGTCACTACAAAAAAATGCCTAAAAGAGCACGGGCTCCCAAGTTACAGTCCTAAGCTTGAATTCATGCTCTTCTATGTAGCTGTTTGACCTTGGCTAAGTTCTTTAATCATTTAGTGTACTTTCCTCCTCTATAAAAAGAGGTAAATAATAGTACTTGTCTTGTTAGATTGTTTTGAGTTAAATTGTTACCAGGCAGATAAATAGCTCTCAACAAACTCTCAACTGACTATTCCTACATGGTCAGAGTCAAAATGTCTGAATTTGAATCTCAGCAAATTTACTTACAGGCTGTAAAAACTGTGACTAAGTTGTAATGTTTCAGTGTTTCAGTTTCTTCATCTGTAAAATAAGGATACATAATAAACTATAAGAGTACCCCCAAAAGTACCTAGCACACGATCTGCTCTCAGTAAATGTCTGATATCTACTCTGCTTATTTTTGCAGAATATAAATTGTGGGAAACTAAAGATGATTCTCAGCGTCTTGCTTAAGAAGTAGATAGGGAGTAGTATCATGATTCTAGAAGTTGAGATTTGTCTTCATTGTGTTACATTTGAGTAGCTGTTGGTGTTGTCAATCAAAAACAACATGGGTCATGGTAAGGTGACAGGGAATGTTCTGGTTGAAAATTTTATCATTTCAGTTCCATGTTGCTGCAGATGCTAAGGGAGTAGGGGCTCTCACCCCAAATCTTTAAGAACCTATAATAAATTAAAATAAAGTATGGGAATAAAGAGGGAAAAACTGCTGCATAGCTGAAGGCTTAAAATGCTTTTAAGAACCATGAGAGCCATGAAGGTGCACTGCTTGGATCTCCATTCAAGAATTTGCCATTCAGCTACAAAGAGCACATTTGGCTGACCGCCTTCAGCTCCAGCACCTTCAGGATCGCATTCAGCTTTTGAGTCCAAGCCATTCCCTTCCTGGACAACCCCCAAGAAAAGACTGAGCACAGCTGGGGTACTAGGGCTTGACCATTTCTGCCCAATGTAAGGCTCTTCTCATGGGAGATCTTAGCGCCAGCGCACCCCACTGGGCTGGCCAAGGCTCTGTTAGACGACATAATGCTCTGAAGCTCTGCTCGTCCGATTTCTATCCCTCCTCTTTTCACAGGCACTATTCTCCATAAACTACTCATATTCCTAAATCCATCTCAGCATCTGTTCCCTGGAAGACCCATGTATATCATTTTGCAGTCTTCTTTATTAACAGACAGAAATTAGGACCGGAGCTACTGATCAAATTGGGCACTTATAAGTGAAATAAACAAATTCAATGTGATCATTTACCTTCCTCGATGTTTGAATGTAAGTGATTGCCTTACAGATCATTTCTTACTTCTCAGATTCTACAATTGGCACATAAATCAGTGCTCTGAAATCTGTTGTAAATTCAGGATAGGAGATGCCCAGTTTGTGTCTGTAGATACAAAGTAAAATTTATGGTAGCAAGGTCCATCTCTCCATTTCAACCACTGATTCATATAAATTATCTGGGGATGGATTTGGTCATGAATATCAGCAGCTTCCTTGAACCTACACAAATAGCCACATGACGGTGGAAGGAACACATTATGTAGATACAAAAGTTGGTCTATCAGTTGAGGTAAGTCAGGATTTAGTTAAGAAAATGGAAGCCACTCCCTGTTGTTTCAAACAGAAAGATATCTGATACAGTCCATTAGAGGCTTACAAAAACCCCTGGAAGGGCAGAGAAGTAAAGGTCAGGACCCCAGCTTTCAGCACACAAGGAAGGACAAAGATTACAGGAAAGGATGCTCCAATAATCATCAGCCACCTGTGGCACCACAGTGGGCAACTCCCAGGAGGACCCCAGAAGCCAAAGGAAGTCACTATCAATGATCTCAGTGGCCACTGGAGAGTAATGGCTCTTCCATTCTGCACTGGGCATCAATCAAAGGTCTGTCACTGGGCAGGCTGTAGCCCACAAACATATTGAAAAGAGATTTTGAGAATTGTATTTCCAGAGTTTTCCCCTGCAGGAGGTAAATGTAGCAGGGGCAGGAGGGATGCTGGGCTGCTAACAGACAATCCAGGGTACCAGTATCTGTTGCCCACATCTTCTGACTCTGCTCCCTCACTCACTGTATTCTCTCCTGCTACTGGTTCTTGCCCGGCTGTTAAGAATCCAACATTTTGCCACAGCCAAATGTTTGGACTTTGCCTACCACAAATATGAATGCCACAAAAGTCTGGCAAGAATACAACAGGAAAGCAAAAAATATGTTAAGTTTCGTAAGGGCTTACTATCTGATTTCTGTGATAATTACCTGATTACTCTCAGGGCTCATAGGCAAATAATAATTTCCTCAGCTAACGTATACTACATTATTTTACTCTTCTCAGGTAAAGAGAAGTCCATTTGAGAAAATGTTGTAGCAACATTGCCTTGGGCCCTTGGAGATATGAGTTGATGGTTCCTTGACCACGTGTAATTCCTACTAACATAACTCACTCTATTCCCTACCCATCCTTCCCATCATTGCACAAATATGCACCAACACAGTCATTTTTGGAAATGAGAGAGACGTTATTATTCCATATGTGTTTGTTTGTTTGTTTGTGGGACAGGGTCTCGCTATGTTGCCCTGGCTGAATGAAGTGCAGGGGCTATTCACAGCAGCTATCATATCACACTACAGCCTGGAACTCTTGGCCTTAATTGATCCTCCTAGCTCAGCCTCCAGAGTAGCTGGGACTATAGACAGGTGCCACCATGTCCAGCTACTTTAAGGTTTTTAAAGCAAGTCTAGAACTTTATCCATCCTTTGGCTTCATTTTCTAAAACAAAATGAGTTAGGATCAAGCTGATATCCCATATCCTTCTGGAAGAAGACTTCTGTACTAACTGACACATAGTACTATGCTCATTTTAGAAATATATCCAGGACTTCACAAAGCCAAGATAAATTTCTACTTAGGTGGGTACTTGGCCAAAAAATCCTCTTAGGAAATGTCAGATTTCCTGCAGATATTTTACAGTATAAACATAAATAATGAAACCGTAAAAGACAGTAAATCATTTTCAGTACTAAAGTAAACAATTTTAGTATTTAAAACAATTTTAAATATACTTATGAACCTAAATATACAGTGTCTATATAAAAAATTTCCAAGATGTATTACTTTCTCAACTTTTTTCCCTAAATACTTCAAAAATAGAAGGCACTTCTAAAAACATGTACACATGAAGCATGGAAACTAAAACCACCACCAAAAACTGTAATGTTCTATGCAATGTTTCAAATTACTACATCTAATTAAAAAGCGTTAATAACAACTTTTTTTGTTTGTTTTTTGAGACAGAGTTTCACTCTTGTTGTCCAGGCTGGATTGCAATGGCGCGATCTCGGATCACTGCAACCTCTGCCTCCCGGGTTCGAGAGATTCTCCTGCCTCAGCCTCCTGAGTAGCTGGGATTACAGGCGCCTGCCACCATGCCTGGCTAATTTTTGTATTTTTTTAGTAGAGATGGGGTTTCACCATGTTGGCCAGGCTGGTCTCGAACTCCTAATCTCTGGTGATCCGCCCACCTCGGCCTCCCAAAGTGCTGGGATTACAGGCATGAGCCACCGTGCCCGGCCAATAACAACTTTAAAATGTCTTACATGCTGCATGGCTAAACAATGGAAGAGAACACACCTGTCTGGTAAACCAGCTGCAGTGAGGGGCATTCAAAGTATATAATTCTTACCTATTGAGCAACAGAGAGTGTATGTTCATTTTTAAATATTTGGCTTCTTACAACAAGAAACATTGCAACATCTTTCCATCAAACATAAAAAATACTGCTCCTTTGCATTTCATCACTGCTTCACAGGAGATTGATAATGCATTTTAGTAATGGCATTTTCTTTGGTTAAGTTGTGCCTGTTTCCATCCTAAAAGGTTAAGCATTATTAAATCAGTTGAGAGGTATGATCAGACACTTTTAGAACTTGCTTTCTTCCCCCTTCTTTTTCTACAAGTGAAGTAGATGTCATAGAAGTTAGTATCTATATCATTCAGTTCAAAAACAATAAAATTATTGAAATAATAAAAATTTTGAAAAAATTCAAAAATTATTAAAAATTCAGTTCAAAAACAATCAAATATTGACTCATCAGTAGAATCGCTTACACAACACAGCATTTCAATTCTAAGCAAATCTCCATTTGTTTCCATATTAATTGGGGCAATAGCTATTATATAGCAATGAAAAAAATGAACACTTCCAGGTATAACCAAAGAAGAATCCCTGATTTTTCCTTAACAAAAATCAAATGGGTCTTATTTAGCTGCCTCTAGAAATTAATCAATGCTACTGGGTTTTAGTTGAAATATTTGTAAAACCCTTTCATGACCTAATTACTCATTTTTAAACATTAAGCAAAAGTAAGTTTGTTTGAGGACAGAGATCATGTATTTCTGAGCCTGGAGCTTGTTCAATACCTGGTATGCAAGGGCTACTCAAAAGTGAGTTAAGAAAATAGTATGAGCCTTAGAAGATGCAGAGAGAGAAGAATGCCAAAAAGAGAATATTTTAATTTCTAAAAGTAGATTCCCATATATCTCAAACACTGTCTTAGAGCTAGAGAAAATACTTTCTTTTTGAAGTATTACTACAAAACTTTATAAAACTTTTGGCCACAGGCATTAGCCAAACATTCTGTGCAAGGACTTACTCTCTCATTTTGCAGGGAAGTAAATAGTAATTAGGTTAACACCTAAACATAGCCTGAACTAAGAAGAAATAAAAGTCTCTTCTCTTCAAAACCCATCAACCCCTTTTCTGGACTGTTCTTTCACACTCTTGACCCACCTCTTCATTGCCAAGGCTTTCATTTTTTCCTCTGCCCACACCAACACCCATTTCCTTCACATCACCTACATGGGTTGCATGTGGCAGCTTCCTGTGCTCCCTGGTTTACTGCTGAGAATTTCACGTGGAACAACACCTGTTAGTCAGATGTTCCATTCCTTCCTGTCTTAACTGCCTCTCATTCAAATCCAGAATGAATGGAATTAATTTCAACTAACACGACCTTTCATAATCCCATTAATAAAAACTAGAGGGTCTTCTGAACTTATCTGCATTTCCCAAAGGAGGAAAAAAGTGTGCATTTACTTTAAACTAGAAGTTACCCACATTCAACCCACCGAATACCATCATATCTGCCACCTGCAGTCCTCTATTAGGGTTGTAAAGTGAGTATTGATAAATACAAGAAATCTACTCAACAAGTCTTCTAGTGTTACAGAGGAAGTCAGAAATCTCTGAAGATTTTCCATACAGTTGGCTGTAAATCCACATAATCTAGGAAGCACTTCCAAATTAATCCTAGCCATTCATAATAAACTATGGCAATATATGACTTTATCCTACCCTTCTTTCCTGCACAAAATTATAACTTCCTTGAGGAAAGAACACCATTTTGTGTTTAGTAGACTGTAAGGATTCCTAGGGACTTGCTGTCAAGCACTAGAACTGTAAAGATAGAAAGGACATTGAGGGAAGTCGCCGACCAGAAGGCATGAAAACACAGAAGGAACAACGCTCCTTTGTATTGAGTGGAAACAAGTCAGACTCAAAGCTAATTTAAGATCGGAAGGAAAGGCCTACATGGCTTTTTAAAGGTAAAAAGTAATTGTGTCTACCTCAAGAAACAAAACCCAAGCAAAGTCTGATGTAAAAAATAGCCTGGATTGATTCTGGCAGCCAAAATCAATGAAGACATCTCTAATTACTGAAGACAAGACAAGTTTGAGATGTTTAGTATAAATGAGGAAGGGTTGGAAAGCGCACATTATCTGGGAATGTATGCTCCTGCTACTCAACTCAAGCAATGAAAATTCGATTATTTTAGAAAAGCTAAAATAAGGACAAGATCAAAGTGAAAATAACAGGAGTTGCTTGGAAAGGCTGCAGAATAAAACATTAACTTAAACTCTTACGGAGGAAGGTACAAAAATTATATTCCAGAAAAGTGTTCATCAGACATTAAAGGAGGCAGTTCTCCACTAAAGACTGATTTCGTCTGAGAACAGGTTTTGCTCTTTGAAGAGATCAAAATACTCTTTCACCTTTAAAAACTCCAAAATATTGAGCTGTGAGATAAACTACAGTAGTACTAAACAGGGACTTCAGCTTTTAGGCGCTTACATCCAAAATCAAACTAAACTAATCTAGCACGAGTGACACTTAATGGGGACAGGGGGACTTACCTAATAACACTCATCTATGACTGTCATATAGTTAAACAAGGGCTAAATGAGACCAAACAGTTCAACTAAAGCCATAGAAGGGTCAACACTGAACACAGAGAGAAAAACTGTTCCACATGTTAAAAACTATAAATGACACTCTACTAGGTTTTATCTGTCTATCTAGAAATACATTTTAATCCAGGTATTTAGTTTCAAATTAATACTCAGAAGGTGCGTGTGTGTGTGTGTGTGTGCGTGTGTGTGTGTGTGTGTGTGTGTGTGTGTGTGTGTGTAGAGGAGGCATTCAAATTGAATGCCCTAAATGAAAGTTAGAGTTATCCTCCTTAGTTTCAACTTTCAAAGATAGGAGATCTACCTTAAAGAGCCATATTTTTCTTGGCATAACTACTGCTGGTGCAATTGTTTGAAAATGTATCAAAAAGACTTGACTTAATGTACTTATAAGGTCCTCCTTTTTCATCTCTCAGAGTAATATTTCATGTCTGTTTACTCATAGATAAAATGATAAATTTTTCTTATCTGAAAATAACTGCCTTCAAGCTTCAGTGGGTTTCAAGCAAGCTAATATTTACCAAAAGAGCTTTAATTTTGTGCCAGGGAAAAATTAAATCTGGGGAAAGCTAAACCAAATGGGACATTTCAAGTTGGGGAGAGTAGCTGGAGAGATAGAAATTATCATTTAAAAACAAATGTTAGATGTTTAGATGCCATTAGTCCCCTGGGTGTTCTTCTGACCTAACAAGGAGTTGATCCACAGAATATGGAATCTGAAGGAGACCCAGAGATTACTTGTTAACAAGACTTTTCTGCCTCTCCCTATTTTTTTTCTTCACAACTGGGGATATTGTGATGGCTAAATCATCAGCTAAACAAACATCTTCCCATTCTCAGGCAAAACAAACAAACAAACAACAAAACCCTTTGATTTGTGAGACAATATTTTCTTTGAGAAAAAATGAGAAGTAATCCAGAATATATGAATAAAGTTGTTGAAAGAAATAATACTAAGCCAGAAAAAAACTAAATCCAATGGCCTTGGCAACTTGTATGTGATTTTAACTGTTTAGCCTATTGGAAATACTCCACAAAAGTTCAGAGCCACTACTGTGGGGAGGTGTGGATAATATATGTCATAAATATCTGATCTGTGAAGTACACATATTTAAACAAATTTTATAATTTTAAGAATAGGACTAGAAATAACATATATTTATATTCGGTGAAAATTCCCCACAGGAGCTTATTCTCATACAATTTGAATTCAAAATACCTTTAAAAATTTGGTTTAACAGAACAGTTCCAGGAATACTACAAGCATGTTCATGCTGGTAACATTTCTGTCAGAAATGATCAAGGAGGGAGAAGCTGGGTTGACGAAAGCTCTTGAGAGAAAACAAAACAAAAAAAATGCATGTGTTATTACAACTCTTTGAAGCCGAGATAGAGCAGTTCTTATATAAAACTTCTAAGCAATCAGAATATCTTCGTAGGTGAAAAGGCATTACCCGCAAACGTTCCTACTAATAAATGCAGTCATCATTTGCAAGAACTAGAAACTGGACAATAAGGAAATTCCCAAGATACAGCTGTTTATGTGAACAAAGTGTTTAACAAACCAGGACATTAAATGCCTCTGTCAAAGTAAATGGAAAGGAAGCATCTAAAACATACAGGCCATCACTGGGCCAAGTGATAGTGATAATTACCCATTCATTTTTCTTGCTGGAACTACATCTGTGGCATTTAAATTCAAGGAAACCAAATCCTCAGTAGAGCCTGTCAGTCCATTTCACATCTGGGTAGTCCATTTTGGGAGAAAGACTGCACCTTATGTATGATTAATTAATTCCTTGTTGACAATGTGTCCCATGGTGCTAGTGACCCTCTTATAGAGAGTTTTTTTTTTTCTTTTCTGTGTCTAAAGGCTTAGATCTTGGGCAAAATAATGGCCTGCTTTGGGTTATTGAGCGTCACTTCTAGAAATTTTGAGTGGACGTTGAGAGTCTAGGGGTGGTTGTAAATTTAAAGTGATGAGTTGTGTAAGGAGATTTTCTAATAATCAGCTTGTCATGGGGTTGCAGGGAGAATTGAGGCACTAAACTCACTTTCCCCCTTTTATAACCATAATACCTGGATCACTCCCAACAAAAATGAAGAAGAAAATTCCCTAAGAACTTTCCTATCAATCCCCATTCCATATTCAATTTTCTCCAACTTTTCCTAAAGGCTGTCCCAGCCTGCTTTGGTTCCTAGCTAGGATTGATGGATGATTCCACGTGATCGTTGCTCATCACTAGCATTCTTGTAAATCTTAAGCAATTCCTCCAACACCTTGCCCACACGACCACTTTAATCATTTTAAATTGAAATGTTTATTGAGATAATATAGATTCACATGCAATTGGAAGAAATAATACAGAGAAGCCTGGACAACATAGTTAGACCTTGTCTCTACGAAAATAAAAATTTAAAAGTGAGGAGGGTGTGGTGGCGCATGCCTGTAGTCCCAGCTACTTGGGAGGTTGAGACAGCAGGATCACTTAAACCCAGGAGTTCAAGGCTGCAGTGGGCTATGATTGCACTACTGCTCTCCAGCCTAGGCAACAGAGTGAGATCCTATCTCTGAAAAAATAAAAATAAAAAAATAATACAGAGATCCTACATGTACTTAGTTTCCCCAGTGTTAACATTTTTGCATGCTATCACAAGCAGTACGTTGATGATTGCTACAACCGACCCATCATATTCAGATTTTTCTAGTTTCACTTTCACTTGTGTGTGCGTGTATGTGTGTTTAGTTCTATATCTATATATTCATTTTGAGTAATAACAATTACAGCTAATAACAATTACAGCTAAACTGTATTGAGTATCTGCTCTCTGCCTGGCATTGTTTTAAGTCCCTTTTATGTAGTATCTCATTTAATATCTCATGTATTAAGTAATACTCCTGTCTTTATTTTACAGATGAGAGAGGCTAAATGACTTCGGGGTGGCAGAGCATTCCTGCTGCAGAGCCAATTCCTGGAACTGCCACCACCATGCCACACATTGCTCATTATTTCAGAGCACCTGATGGTACATGACACAGCCTTGTGGAGCTAGACTGTATCCTCAGGGGAATGAGACTGGTAACACAATTCTAAAATAGCTATAAAATTCAATGTCTTTTATAGGGTATTTTTAGTGTGGTGAAATTATTCTGCATGATACTGTAATGATGGAGATAGGACATTATGCATTTCTCAAAACCCATACAACCATACAGCAAAAAAAGTGAACCCTCTCCTGGTTAACACGTGAAACCCCATCTCTACTAAAAATACAAAAAATTAGCTGGGCTTGCTGGCGGGCGCCTGTAGTCCCAGCTACTCGGGAGGCTGAGGCAGGAGAATGGCGTGAACCCAGGAAGCGGAGCTTGCAGTGAGCCAAGATCGCGCCACTGCACTCCAGCCTGGGCGACAGAGCAAGACTCCGTCACAAAAATAAAAAAGCGAACCCTCATGTAAACTAAGTCACTAGTGGACTTTAGTTAATAATCATGTATCAATATTAGTTTATCAATGGTAACAAATGTACTATGCCATTGTGATACATTAATAATAAAGGAATCTGGCAAGAAGGTTGGTGTGAGAGGAGAATAAATAGAGACGCTCTGTACCTTCTGCTCAATTTTTCTATAAATGTAAAACAGCTCTAAAAAAGAAAGTCTATTAATTTTAAAAAAAAGTTTTTTTAAGTCAATAGCTCGTTCAGATAGACCCAACTAACAAAGATGAAACTAACAACGTGAAAATATTTTCATCTTGGAAATCTCCAAACTTTGGTCACTGAGCATTTGTATTTTGCCAGCTGCCTTGCGTTATCTGAAGTGGCAGGAAAATAGTGACAAAAAAACTCAGGCACTTAGAGGGTGCCCTGGGGATGTGTGTGGCTTTTTCTCCTTCCATATCTTCCCCTGCAGTGACCTCAGCAGCGGGGCAGAACCAGGACAGACAGAGGAAAGTGTGTGTAATTCTCATCCATTCTGGGCCCTGTGGAATTGGAACTTATGCTTACTGCATTGTCACTTGAACATTAAATCTTAAATGTCGAAATATTCTGCAAAGCAGAGAAAGAATTTCAACATGGTATCCCAAAATCTCTTTTCCATACTTTTCTTGGAAGCTCTGTCAAAATAAAAAAATTGCTACTGCTTAAAAAAAAATTATTTTCATGTTCCCATGGAAATTCACAAAGAGAATATTGTATTTGCTTTCTACCACAAGCAGAAATAATTGTTTCTGATGGAAATCATATTAGACATGAATATCATGAAAAATATTATCTAAACTTTTATTTTGGGTAAAATATTCATCCTGTGCCTAAGAGTATCGTACACCCAGAGCAATCAGGAAAATTGCCAACAACTACCCGCTGTGGGACTTGCTACTTTGACAAACATGCTCTACTTCCAGGCAAATTGTAGCACCGCCATCCTCATATAAAACCAGGGAGACAAATTAATCTTAGTAACTATTTGGAGAAAGATATCTGAATATGTCTCGCCCTGCTCTGCCCTAAATCGCAATCCAATATTAACTCATAATCTTTTTCATTGGCTTTAGTAATGGTACCCTTTGAAGACAATCTATGAATATGCATATGGCCTTTAGGCACTTTATTTGCCATTTCATCCAATTAACAGATAATTAAAAATGCTGCCTATGAGTACCTTTTCTCCCTTCCTTTCATCACCAAAGATAACACAGTGCTTTAAGGATGAAGTGCTAGATGCAGGCCACATCAATGGCAGGTCTCAGGAGTATCAAAAACAAACGCAGCCAACCTTCCATTTCACGGAGTCTCAATCACTTTGTAACTTGACCCTCTAGGTTTGGGTTTTAATAATCTGCTATTCTCCTTTAACTAGTTAATGAGTTGTTATTGGGCTAGTCATGTTCCCAAAGTTTCAATGTGTTACTAGAGTCATTTGCATGTGGATTGTCATGGGTGGATTACTTTTTAGCACAAAGAGTAAATCCTACTTATGACTAAATTGGCAGAGAGATCCATTTATAGATACTGGGACCAGTCTTTTCCCTACTCAGTAAGGGGAAGAAATGGACAATATCTAGCCCAAAGAATCAGAGCCTGATTTGATAGAATAGTCAAATAAATACATTTTAAGGGATTTTTTTTCAATACCAATCAAGATAGGCCATTTTAACATTTGTAATATGAACAACCCTCAAACTTCAATGATTCCAGCCAGGTTTTTTTTCTTATTTATGCAACATGTCTAACATAGATCAGCAGGGATCTCTGCCTAATTTAGTCACTCACAGACCCAAGATGACAGATGTTTCATGAAACTTGTGATTCTGTGACCACTGAAGTAGGGAAAAGGAAGTTTGCAGTTGAGCACCAGCAATCAAATGCTTCCACTTAGAAGTGGCACATGTCACCCCTGCTTATATTTTATTGGTCAGAGCAAGTCACTGGCCAAGCCTATCTTCAAGGGGCCAGGAAATCACAAACTTAACAAGGGCCCAGAAGGAGGAGAATGAGAATATTTGTAAATGACTCAATAATTGCCTGCTTCCTGTGATAGTAGTTTAATAATATAATGTCATTTAGTGAAGTTTGATAATTTAGCATTGAGTGTTTCATAGGGCCTGGAAGATCTATAATAAAGTCTCATGTCATGTTGAAGGTAGATATGTAGCGTTGTGGTTCTCTACTTGTCACATTCACTGCAACTCGAGGAAAGTATTTTTTTAAGAAACATACTTTGTTGTCTCTTATTAAAACTTTTTATTCTTTTAGAAAGCAAGAAAGTCTTTGTCTCTCTCCCTCTGAAGAGTCGGTGTATTTCCACATCTAAATTAATTATAATCCATTGACTTTGCAGAGAACCAAGTTATAAACTTTGAATTAGCCCCAAGTGTTAACATATTTTTTTACTTTTTCACCTTGATTTCTCCTTTATAATTAATTTTAAAATTAATTACATTAATTTTATGCATTATATTTGTCCTTTTTATAAGTGACCTCAAGCCCTTTAGTGAAAGAGGTGGAGAGTGATAAAGAATTAGAACTGAAAAAAAAAAAACCCTCACTTTATTAAAGACAATAATTTTCCTGGTTGTGAGGTGCTATAGTAATGCAAGATAGTACCACTGGGGGAAACTGAGGGAAGGATACATAGAATCCTTATGAATTATTTCTTACAATGCGTGTGAATCTAATTATCTCAAGGTAAAAAGGTATATGTGTGTTTTTTAATCTACAATAACCCTCCAAAGAGAGTTGACTACTACTACAGGAGCTAGAAGTCTCTTCTAAAGACTTGAAAAATTCCAAGATTCTCTTTCAAACCAATTACCTCATGAAGAAAATTTCAATTTACCAGGCAATAGAAATCATTGGGGAAAAAACGCTTGGAACCATAGTCAGTAGACATTTTTTATGGATAAGCAAAAAAAAAAAAAAAAGGCAAAGGATTAATACCTAAAGAAAGCTAGGTTGGCATGGTGGTGGCTTATGCCTGTAATGTCAGCATTTTGGGAAACCAAGGCTGGTGGATCACTTGAGCTCAGGAGTTCAAGACCAGCCTGGGCAACATGGCCAAACCCCATCTCTAAATAAATATAAATTTTTTTAAAAAAGAAAGCTAGCTTGCTTCCCTTTTTCTTTCTTTTTTTCCTTCCTTTTTTTTTTTTGAAAAACATATTCACTAAACATCTCCTATTGCTAAAGACTATGGTAGGCAATTGATAAATAAAACAGAAAGGGTGTCTGTCTGCATAGTGCTTATATTTTAATGGAGGAGAGGGTAAACAAGCAAATCAATAAAACAATTGCAATTGTACTATGTGCCATGATGAAAACTAAGAGAGTGCTAAGATGAGAATGATGTAGGTGAGGAGCCACTCTAGCCAAGGTGGCCAAGAAGCAAGAAGAGCTCTTTGAGGAAATGGAGTAGGAGAAATGACTAGTGTCCTAAAAATCAGGTTGGGATCATTCCAAGCAGAAGGAATAGAATATGCAAATGGATTTGGAGGAGGTGGATCTGAGTATATTTGAGAAGCTGGAAGTTGGCCAGTATGGCTGGTAAGTGGTTAGCAAGGAAAGGCAAGAGAGGACATTGGAAACATTGTGGGCAGAAGTGCAGCACAGCAACTCCACATTTTGTTACAGGTGAATGGCAGCTCAGGTTGACATGATGACTAATATTTGTTCTAAATTGAACAAATTCATTATCAAACTAATGGAAATTAGAGTAGTTCTCTCTGCCTTATATGTCATTATTGTTCCAATATCCTGCCAAATTCAGTTTCTAGTGAAAAAGCTGATGAACAAGATTAAGCAGATACAAAATTGGAAACAAAAGTCCGAATTAAAGCCTGTTGTTAGAGCCCTACAAATGTAAATAAAGCATCAGCAACAGGGGAAATGCACTTGGTTGAGATACATGGGATGGAATGTAAGTATATTATGATTCTCACAGCCAGCTATTACCACTGGGAAGGACTCTCTGCTCCCCACGTCTTCTCCATCTGCCAAAAATTCTACTAAAGTTATATAAAACCTATTTATTTTCTTATTAGAGATGAGGCTTGAGTACAATAGTCCTTGCAGGGGTAACACTATGACTTAAATTTACATTAAAGATTAAATAACTATCCTGGAGAGAGGTTATCTGCCAAGAGTAGAGGGGGGATTGCAATAGATGAGAGGATACCCAGAGGATTAAACTTTAATGGTAACATTATTAAACTTGTTAGGTGGGTCTGCCTGGATGATGAAGGTATTGATCTTTACAGTGTTTTAGATTTTGTATATATTTCCTAATAGTTTCTTTTTAAGAAGTAGATTACTCACTTCTTAACTTTGCTAATAACTCTTTCCTAAGAGTAATTGTTAAGCAAGCCACCTCTTAGAACTGGGAATCATGAGGGAAGAGAGGGATGGAGAAGACCATCTGAGTCCATTAATGATAGATTTCTAGAGTTGAGAAAGCTTAGAATTGGAAGGGACTTCAGAGGTCACTACTTGAAACCTTTCTTTTTACAGCAGTCAATCGGTCAAAGCTATGCAGCCAGTGAGTAAAGTTGGCAGGAACAGAGAAGGGAAGAGTCTCAACTCCTGACTCCAGTCTGATGCTCAGCATTATAATACAACTGCCTTGAATTTCCTTTTCATTTAGTCACTAGTAACACCGAATTTTACTTTTGTGACTAAGGGAACACCTGGGAACTAGAAATAGACCTCAAGTAGCCTGGATAATATAGTGAGACACTGTCTCTACAAAAAACCTTAAAAAAATTATCCAGGCATGGTGGCACACTCCTTTAGTCCCAGCCACTTGGGAGGCTGAGGAGGGAGGATCACTTGAGCCTGGGAGGTTAAGGCTGCAGTGAGCCATGATACAACATTGCACTCCAACCTGAACAATAGAACGATACCCTACTAAAAAAAAAAGTTTTAAAAAAAAGAAGTGGACTTCAAAATATTTATTGGTAAATTGGAGAAACTTTTTTTTTTTTTTTGAGACGGAGTCTCACTCTGTCGCCCAGGCTGGAGTACAGTGGTGCAATCTTGGCTCACTGCAACCTCTGCCTCCCAGGTCCAAGCGATTCTCCTGCCTCAGCCTCCTGGGTAGCTGGGACTACAGGCACATGCCACCAAACCCAGCTAATTTTTATATTTTTAGTAGAAACGGGGTTTCACCACGTTGGCCAGGATGGTCTCGATCTCCTGACTTCGTGATCCAGCTGCCTAGGCCTCCCAAAGTGAGTGGCAGGAGCCACCATGCCTGGCCTGGAGAAAGTATCTTAAACAAGCTAATGAGAGGTCATAGAGACAACCATCATGGCTGAAAAGAAAAGGACACTGAAGAAATCACTGGAGGAGTAAAGCAAAAGAGCAGAATGAGCGTCATACCCAGAAGTATCACAGCAGTACCAATTAAAAGGACTGTGACCTCTCTACTGACTAGGATGTTACCAAGGCCCATTGTCCAGGTCCACAGACTGAAGGGTGAGAAAAGCCCAGAGTCTGAGACGCTGCAGATAGGTACAAAGTTTGATAAGAAAAAACGTGACACAGAGCGGAAACCTTGCAATTTCACCTAGAGAAGCAAAATTATTGACAACAAAATAATATTTTATTGTATGGAAATCAGATTTTCTTCAAGCCTGTCTATAGATAAAATATAATTTTTTTTTTTTTTTTTTTTTTTTTTTTTTTTTTTTTTTTTTTTTAGAAACAGGGTCTTGCTCTATCACCCAGGCTGGAGCATAGTGGCACAATCATAGCTCACTGCAGCCTTGCACTCCTGTGCTTGAATGATCCTCCCACCTCAGCCTCCCAAATAGCTGGGATCACAGGCATGTGCCACCCTGCATAGCTAATGTTTTTTATTTTTTGTAGAGACAGTGTCTCATCATGTTACCCAGTCTAGTCTCAAACTCCTGGCCTCAAGTTTCAAAGTGCTGGGATTATAGGCATGAGCCTCAAAGTCTGGTCTGAAAATATTTTTCCTTAATAGCAAAAAGGATTTAGACTTGAGAGAAAAGATCTCCTGAAAGGGTTAGTTACAGTTCCTCCTCTGGGGATAGTTAAAACAGAAAAAATTCCTCATATCTGTGCTGGTTTAGACACAGTCCAGCCCGATGTACGAATTACTTCTGGTCTACAATAGAACAAGGAACTGTGATTCTGACAGGAGCTAAACCCAACTGACTTGACTCTCAGCACCCTAATTTCAGGTTCTAGGAAACCTGCTGATAACAGTGGGAGACAAATTCTATACTGAGCTGCCAGTTCAGTATAGAATCTATGATCAGAGTGAATACTTCTATGATGGCTTTTAACCAATCAAATGGTGCTTTTTCCAGGACCACCTATGGACCACTCAGCACACACTCCCCCATTCTGAACCCATAAAAACCCCAGACTCAGCCTCACAGACAGCTATCCACTTTTGGGCCCCCTCTCACACATAGGGCTACCCATTTCGGGTCCCCTCTTGTTGTCAAGAGCTTTTCTGTTGCTCAATAAAATTCTTCTCTGCCTTGCTCACTCTCTGGTGTCTGTATACTTCATTCTTCTTTGTTGTGGGACAAGAACTGGAAACTGGGAACCCTCCAAACAGTGGGAGCAAATAGGGCTGTAACATGCTTCGCCAAGCTGCAGACGTTGGGACTGAATGAGTTGTGAC
Organism: Homo sapiens; assembly: GCF_000001405.40. Lineage (NCBI taxonomy): Eukaryota > Metazoa > Chordata > Mammalia > Primates > Hominidae > Homo > Homo sapiens. Next base: position 24,803,352 of record NC_000012.12, read on the forward strand.
ACGTCCCTGTTCATTGGGCTGCAAAGGCAGGAACAAGAGAGAGCTGTAGTGCTTCTTGGGGGCCCCAACCTTGGGACTTCCTGAGCAGAAGCTGTGATGCCCTCTTGGAGCTCCACATTTGCTAGCATCTCTGAGTTTTTGAGCACCACTGCATCCCCCTCGTCAGAATGTGGGCACCCATTTGTGGAAGCTGCTTGCAGCACACATGGTCCCTCCTTGGGCTGAGGATGCAGCCACAGTGGTTGTGGGATCTGGGCCAGGGAATGAGCCAAGTGCAGCCTGCCCACGCAAAGCCTGGGCAGAGGTACTGCCGGCCACAGAGGTTCCTGACTGGGAAGTGGCACCAAAAGAATCCTATGTCACTACTACATTCATAACTAGGGAAGGATAACTCATTGGAATCACTTGGGCTGAGAGCTGCACCTGTGATACCTCATTAACAGGCTCACATCCCCCAGGTTATCAGCCAACCAACTGTCATTGGCAGAGAACATAGGTTAACATAAAAGGAAGCACTTATCTAGGTTAGTGTTCCAAGAAACTTAAGAACAGCTGCAACTTGGCTGAGACTCTCATCTTTTTAATTGTGCATATATGCCCAGAGGCTCTACAGTAACTCTAAATATAAAGAATAAATAGTATGCAGGAATTCAGTAATTAACAGTTTCCTGTTATTTCCTGTGTGGTAATTTTCAAAGACCACAGTGATAATTTACTTACACGAAACTCAGACATAAAGGAAGTTCCAGGAGAAAGCTCAAGAAAGCATTGGCAGGTTAGGAACATTTCAGAATCAAACCTGCATATGTTGGGTTCCGAGCAAACACAAGGCTACATTGAGTATGATGATGTAAAATCACTTCAGCTTCAGAATGAATTCTTTTATTTATAAAATTAATTCTGTTTTTCAACTGAATCATTTCTTTTTTTCTTTTTTTTTTTTTGAGACAGAGTCTCTCTCTGTCACTCAGGCTGGAGTGCAGTGGCATGATCTCAGCTCACTGCAACCTCCACCTCCTGGGTTCAAGCAATTCTCCTGCCTCAGCCTCCTGAGTAGCTGGGATTATAGGTATGCACCACCACGCTTGGCTAATTTTTGTATTTTTAGTAGAGATGTAGTTTCACCATGTTGGTCAGGCTGGTCTTGAACTCCTGACCTCACGATCCACCTGTCTTGGCCTCCCAAAGTGCTGGGATTACAGGCGTGAGCCACTGCACCCGGCCAAATGAATCTTATTTCTAACTTCACAATAGTTTCTCCTTAGCCCCTGTATTTGATGTGATGCTGAGAGATTTTTTAGATCAGCACTTTCAAATTTGAATGTGCTTACGTGCAGTCACAGCTACTCAGGAGGCTGAGGCAGGAGGATCACTTGATGCCAGGAATTTCAGGGTGTAGCATGTTGTATTACTTCATTTTTATACTGTTTTGAAGAAATACTGGAGACTTGGTAATTTATAAAGAAAAAGAATTTTAATGGACTCACAGTTCCACATGACTGGGGAGGCCTCACAATCATGGCAGAAGGCAAAGGAGGAGCAAAGGCATGTCTTACAAGGTGGCAGGCAAGAGAGCATGTGCAGGGAAACTGCCCTTTATAAAACCATCAGATCTCATGAGACATATTCACTATCATAAGAACACCATAGGAAAAACCTGCCCCTATGATTCAATTATCTCCCACTGGGTCCCTCCCGTGACATGTGGAGATTAAGAGTGCTACAATTCAAGATGAGATTTGGGTGAGGACACAGCCAAACCATATCACATGCTATGAACACACCTGTGAATAGCCACTGCACTCCATCCTGGGCAACATAGCGAGATCCCTGTCTCAAAAAAAAAGTGAATGTGTAGATAAAACATCTTGTTAAAATGCAGATTCTGATTCAGTAGTTTGGGGGAGGGCTTGAGATTCTGCATTTCTAAAAAGCACCCAGACCAGCAGTTGCTGATACTGCTAGTGTGGTAACAATCCCTTGAGTGCAAAACATTCAAAACTCATCCAGTAGATGCAATGTTGGGTTTTAAAAGACATTACTCTCTAAAGAAAAAAAAATTAATTAAATGAGAGGAAACCCAGACAGCAAGAAGCTAACATGATTTTCCAAGCTAAATGGTTGCCTCTTTGGACCAAGAGGGAGTTCTTTTAAGTTGAGACCTAGGGAGCAAACTGGCAGACAAAGCATTACAGACCAGAGCCAGGCAAGCTGAAGGAGGTAGGGAATAGTTCAAATTACCATATCCAAGGGGTTATGGCAAACTCGGGTCTAATGAAAGCCATTCTTAGTATTGAAGAGTTAAAGACTGCTTGGTGGGGTTTAGCAATAACCATAATTGAGCAAGAGGTCATGGTTATGTTTCAAAGATGTTCATCTAGATGGAAACTGGACCCATCTATATCTGGGTGGGAAGAGACAAAGTCCAGGCTTGAGAAGGTGGTTGGGCCCTGGTCAAGCGGGCTAAGACTCTGAGAACACTGCCTCTTACAGAGAACTATACCAGGGCAGAAATCCAGTCAATCAGGATGGATAGACACATATCTTGTGGGTTAGGAAGAAAGCTCTAGCTTGGTGAAACCCAAGGACTCATCCAAGAGATACCAGATGCTGGGATTAGGGCAGCAAAGCTAAGCTCATGCCCCTGAACCTCAGCTGTTAATGCACCATCAGGCCTATTGCCAATTAACTCATGCATTGGGTGAGATTGAGCCTGGAAACCAGAAGCCTTCAATCCTTGGAGCTAAATAGTGCCCAGATAGGTCTGCCAAATATTTTGTGATTACTAGATGTCAGACACTAGGCTGGAGGCTCAATGCATACTATTCATATGTGATTAAAGAATTTTGTTCTGAGAATATTGGAAAATGTGTTAGATGTAATATCTTGAAGAATTACTAGTCTAGTGGGAGAGGAAAACATTGACATAAATAATTACAAGTTCTCATAGTCTCCTAGATGGCTGTGGGGAAATTGAATGATTATGAATAAAAGGGAAATATAAAAACAAAATTATCTACCAGACTTTGTACATTTGACTGTGAAATCTAGCCATTCAAGTCAATGATTAGCAAGAATAATAATTATTGAATAGTATCAGGAGGAGGACGTTTGCTGTTAAAGAAAGTTTGCATTAAACTGGGTGGAAAATGCTCTTGCAGAAAATGCAACCGTTAACCTCATGACTATGAAACAAGCAAGTCCAAGGAAAATTCTCTTCCTTTCCTTCATGCAAAATATGAGATCATCTTCTCCTTTTGTGAGAACCAAACTGGTGAAGAGCTGCTGTGGATAATCCCCATCTCCCTCACTTAACCTTGTTCAGCTCCTTACTGCCTTTTAAGTTGCCTTGTCAAATCTCACTGCAGATGCAGATCAATTTGTTCTCTTTATTCAGGAGTTTACAAAAACTGACTTGCAAAAGATAACTTTAATAGATGTGGAATACAGAGATATGAAAGTTGAAATGACTACAGAGATGTTTCCTAACTTGAACCTGGTAGTGGGAGCACCAGTAAGTCTGGGGTTGAACCTGGTTGTCATACTGTGTAGACAGGAGGTCTGGGTGACAGCCATGGTGATCACTGCAGCCACACATTTTAGTAAAACTATGAAGCTGACTTTTATCGTTAAAATGGCTCTTACATGACAAAATCATCCCATCCTTCAATTATACCAAAAAAGCTTTTTCTGTCTACTTTTGGCCATGTTGCATTCTCGGGGCATAGATTCAGGCCCTAAACACAATAATAATAACAATAATTTAAGGCATTTCATGGCCTAACACTCAGAACTATTTCTCCCATTGATGCCTGAAAATACACTTTTGATGTCCGCCCTCATTTAGTTACTTTGGGTTGTGCAACGTTGCCCATCCTGGAATTCTTATTTTTTTCTTAGGTACTATGTTTATGATTAGAGTACACTATCACTAGTGCCTTATGTGATGAACAATTTTCTGAAAGAATAGGCTTGCCTGAGTCCAAAGAGAACAATAGAGTACGTGATTTTTTTACTTAGTAGAGGAAACTGTAAGTAAAAATGTTGTTTGTTGTTGTATTTGTCAGGATTCTATAAAGAATAAATAGGCACTGTACTGCTATCTATATCTATCTACCTACATATATACATGAAGAGAGAGATTAATTTTTTCTAAGGAATTCAACTGTCTCATAAAATTGTAGAGGCTGACGAGTCCACATTCTGTACAGCAAGCCAACTGGTTGGAAATTCAGGTAAGAGTTGACGTTATGATCTTGAGTCTGAAATCTGCAGGGCAGGCCAAGCAGGTTGGAAATTCAGGCAGAATTTCCATTTGCAGTTTTAAGGCCAAATTCCTCCTGTCTTTGCTCTTAAGGCCTTCAATGGATCGGATGAGGCCCACTCACTTTCTCACATTATGGAGGGTGATCTGCTTTTCTCAGTCTACTGATTTAAATATTAATCACATCTAAAAGATAACTTCACAGCAACATTTAGGTTAGTGTTTTACCAATCAAGAGGGCACCGTAGCCTAGTTAAGTTGACGCATGAAATGAATCATCACTGTTGTATTCATGGGGAGCATAGAACTTATATTTGTAAAAACGAAAAACGTCTATTTTTCAATAATCGATCATCATTGTTTAATCCAGCCCTGGTTTTTACCTCCAGACTTGAGTAAATCACACATTTTTAACTCACTCTAAGCAGTCTGGGAATGCTAGATTATCCCCCTGTCCCAAGCAGCTGTGCTCTGAACCTAGGAACATTTACCACCTCCACTGGGTGGAGAGGAATGATCATGGGTTTCGATCAACACTGTCCCTGTTGCATACATACATAGCTAGAAAACAAGCCCAGTGATTATTCTACAGACATAAGAAGCGTCTACATCTCGGCTGTGGGCTGTTTGGTTACAGAAATGTGATCCTGCAAGTTGTCACCACAGCTTCTTCACACAGGACTTTTGTGAGCTATTAGCCCCTTTCTGTCTTTGGGTTCATTCATTTTTAATAAAATTCCATCAGTTTACATTTTACACATGAACTGTTGTAAGATATTTATATTCTCACTAATCCTTATAACCAATAAGATTGGTACTATTTTTTTTTTTTTTTTTTGAGATGGAGTTTTGCTCTTGTTGCCCAAGCTGGAGTGCAACGGTGCGATCTTGGCTCACTGCAACCTCCGCCTTCTGGGTTCAAGCAATTCTCCTGCCACAGCCTCCCTCGTAGCTGGGATTACAGGCATGTGCCACCACGTCCAGCTAATTTTGTATTTTTAGTAGAGACGGGGTTTCTCCATGTTGGTCAGGCTGGTCTTGAACTCCAGACCTCAGGTGATCCGCCCACCTCAGCCTCCCAAAGTGCTGGAATTACAGGCATGAGCCACTGCGCCTGGCCAAGATTGGTATGTTTATGATCTCCTTTTTTTTTTTTTTTTTTTTTTTTGCCAATTTAAGAAACTTACTCAAGATCACAGGATCAGCCAATGGCCCTTAACCATCCTGTTAATTATTAGGCTACTTGCATGTTAAGAAAGCTGTTTTGTGGCATCCTACAATGGCTTGGAAGAAGCCAGAGATTAAAGTATGCATCACCTTTGCTTATCATTATCACAAACAAATTTTTCATGAGAAGTGTTTACTAGATTATGTAACTATCTTTTTTATATTTTTAATTTCTGTGGGTACATAGTAGGTGTATATATTTATGGGGTACATGAGATGTTTTGACACAGGCATGAAATGTGAAATAAGCACTTCGTGGAGAATGGGGTATGCATCCCCTCATGTGTTTATCCTTTGAGTTACAAATAATCCAATTATTCTCTAAGTTATTTCAAAATGTACAATTAGGTTATTATTGACTATAGTAACTTTGTTGTGATATCAAATAGGAGGTCTTATTCATTCTTTCTATTTTTTTGTACTCATTAACCATTCCCACTTCCTCTGTCCTCCCCACCAACATTACCCTTCCCAGCCTCTTGTAACCATTCTACGCTCTATCTCCATGAGTTCAATAGTTCTTTTAGATCCCACAAATAAGTGAGAACATGCAAAGTTTGTCTTTCTGTGCCTGGCTTATTTCACTTAGCATAATGACCTCCAGTTCCATTCAAGTTGTTGCAAATGACAGGATCTCATTCTTTTTCCTGGCTGAATAGTACTCCATTGTGTACATGTACCACATTTTCTTCATCCATTCATCTATTGATGGACACTTAGGTTGCTTCCAAATCATAGCTATTGTAAACAGTGCTGTAACAAAAATAGAATTGCAGATATCTTTTTGATGTAATGAGTTCCTTTCTTTTGGATGTATACCTAGCAGTGGGATTGCTGGATCATATCATACCTCAATGTTTAGTTTTCTGAGGAACCTCCAAACTGTTCTCCATAGTGGTTGTATGAATTTACATTCCCAACAACAGTGTAAGAGGGTTCCCTTTTCTCTGCACCCTTACCAGCATTTGTTATTACCTGCATTTTGGATATAGGCCATTTTAACTGGGGTGAAGTGATATCTCATTGCAGGTTTGATTGCACATATCTAATGACCAATGATGTTGAGCAACTTTTGGTCATGTAACTATCTTTAAAACAAATGCAGCTTGATCCCTTTTTAATGTAATCAGTTCAGCTTCAAAAACTGGTATATTGCATTTGGGATACAAACAGTCAACATGAATCTTCCAACTCAATTTATTTGTTTCAGCTCACGAACTTTTCAGAATCCCTAGTGGCTTAGTGACAAAGACCTTTGGAGAGAATGATCATGGGTTTTGATCAACACTGTCGCGATTGCATACAGACATAGCTAGAGAACAAGCCCAGTGATTATTCTACAGACCATAGGAAGCATCTACACCTCAGCTGTCGGCCGTTTGGTTACAGAAATGCGATCCTGCAAGTTGTCACCACTATACATAAAGTCAGGCTATGATAGCATATTTCACTTAAAAATAAATTATCACAATATAAGGCACATATGTATATGGAATCAGATTCATGATTTGAAAAATATGCTTAAATCACACTGAATCAGCTTAGCAGAAAAATAATTATAAAATTTGAAATATCCCCTTTTCTTTTTGTTTTGTACTAAATCAATGTAGAAAACACACTTTCTACCCTGAAGGAAACTGCTGTCTTATCTGATAAATTATATAAGCTCCAGTAAATGTATGTCATCACCCTCAGGAATGACAGGTCTCTCTTTCTCACGCTTGTGGGAATTGAGCGTTGACACTGTAAGAACACTTGACTAATAACCTTTGCCTAGACCTTCCAAACTCTGCGCGTAACTTCTTGAGAGATCTGAATAAAGGCCAATATTTTCACAGGTTGACAGGGTCTGGAGAAGTGGGTCACCGAGCACTCTGACATTTTTAAGTTCAGTTTACAGTAACTCTTTGCAAAACTTCAGGTTTTGCTGTACTTCAAATCATTTGGGCAAATTATAAGAAAATGAATACAAAATGTGTGACCCTTGGGTAATTCTGCACTTGGCTTTGTTCTCCCTTGGTGCTTTTGAGGACAATTTCTGCAAGGCCTGGTTTGGCTAAAAGGGACACTTCATTGAAGATCTCTAGGCCTTTTACTTTTTAAAGTGTCTTTTATTCTAAAGCTAGTTAACCACATATAGAAGTATGGTGTTTATCAGTGATGTAGATCCATTATGACAATGAATGGGAAGAGGTAATCTACTCCCCCCATTCTGTGCAAATCTCAAACGACAAAGCTAAGTTTTACTACAGATAAATCCATAACCAGGGGAAGGAAGAATTTTTAAATGCCCATTTTTTTCTTGTCCAAATGTTTGAAAAAGAAACATATTGAATCTCTATCCAGTGGTGTGGTTTCTGGTCTTTCTGGTGTGCTCAATTCTCTCTGTGTCATTTTGGTGTAAAAATACTATCCTACATTTACTTCCCTTGACCAGAAACCTTGAGACATCATAAAAATGTTAATTTAGCATTATTACTTCATGCATTCAACAATGCTGATTTCATGAAACCACACAAACAGGATTCTTTTGTTTTATTGATAACAGAAACTGTGCATAATTACAGATTTGATGAGGAATCTGCAAATAATAAAGAATGTGTCTATTGCCAGCAAAATACAATTATTCCATGCCCTCTCAACATACAAATATAGAGTTCTTCACACCAGATGGCTCTGGTGTAACAAAGCCATTTTAGATGTTTAATTGTGCTTCTACAAAACCTTCAGAGCATGAGGTAGTTTCCTTTACCTACGATATTTTCCACATTTCCATTATTACACTTTTAGTGAGCTAAAATCCTTTTAACATAGCCTGCGGATGATCTTTCACAAAAGCCAAGCCTCATTTACAAAGGGTTTATTTCTTTCTACTCAATTTTTCTTAAAAAGAATTTCAAGAATCACTACACAGCTAAGATATCTGAGACTTGCAATGGCTGGAGTCTATCAGTACAATAGTAATTGCAATCAGATTCAGATACAAGAGAACAGGTTCTAACAATTTCATAATTAAGTTGATATTCTGTTTCTATCTATAAGCTCACATTTAAAAACTACTTCCTCGAACTACTTATTTTTCCTCAGCCACAAGTAAGCGCAAATCCTTAAAAACAGTGGGTTGAGCCCCAGCTCCATGTATTAGGTAGCTAGGTATATTGTGGGATTATTCCTTGTTAAGTCACCCCAGGAAACATTTGCAGAATTTAGAAATGCATCCAGATTTGTGAGTTTATTTTTAAGACCTGACTAAAAATCTGCACTCTTCAAAAACTTATTGATGAAGTACAAATTGAGGCAGAAATTTACATTCCTTTCTTAACCCTGAGAATGAGTTTAATGATCATAGGAAACTAGTTTGAGGAAACTGCAATGTGTTATTGCACATTTTAGTTAAAAACTAATAGTCAACCAATTTCCAATTCAGTAAACCTTCCACCTATCAGGATAGGAGATAGTAAATAGTATCTCTAAGGGAAAAAAGTCACAATCTACTTCTTGTCTAAACTTATTATTTTATTTGGCCTCAAGAAGCTTCATGGATCTTAGAATAAAATGGTTGAAGAAATGACACAATAGATATTACTTACTATGCTATTATAAAATAAAGCCTAGTCCAAGTTGATAATAATCTAAAGTGGTTTCTATGTAACACAACCTTCAGATTATAACCTCAATAGTGTGACCTAATTCTAATATCTGATGAAGTGTTTGCTATATTTAGTCACTACCTAGTAGCATTATTTGTATTTAGCAACTACATTGAAAGCTGAAGAAGATCTCAATGCTTGACAGAATAAGGAAAAAGCTCCTTTGGATAACACAAAAATATGTTTTGTTTTTTTCCCCTCCTCTATCATTCCTTTCTTCTCTACCTCCACTTATTCTTCCTCTGATATCATCTTTCATTAAATTTTTCTCCAGAATCCAATAGTGAGCAACAGGAAACCTAGCCATTGTGATAGTGGATATGTAGAGAAAAGCCAGTGAAACTATATTTTAATTCATTCTTACACCACAGCCTACATCAATTCTTACCATCCCAACAGTAGATTACATAAACTGAACATCATGCAACTCAAGTTATACGTCTTGTTGATTGGGTCTATTGTAGAATGAAAAATACACTTTCAGACAGAATAAGATGACTTAAAACTTCAATACTTGTATCCAGCAGATTTGAAAGGGCACTTCAAATTTGTTCTTCTTTTTCTCCCCCATCACCCCCATTTCAATTTTTAAGACTGATTTCATGCCTTTATCATTTTGAAGCAAATATGTTTATATATGTCTGACCCCAGGAAATTATTTACCCACAAACACTACTATAACTACTATACTCTGTTGATATGTTTCATTATCAACCTCCCCAAATTAAACATCTGACAAGTCTTTTATATATGTATGCTGAAGAGAAAAAATAAATCACTTTCTTCCACCTTTGAATCTTTAAAAGGGGTTTGTGGTAATGATAAAAAATTTATCTCTTTCCACACATTTAAGACCTCATACTGTGCAAAATCATGGTTATATGAAAGTTATTTTCTGAATAGCTGGATCCATCACCTTCAAGCTAATACTTTAAACAGCATGGTTCATAATAGATATTTTCTAGAAAAATTCACTCTAGGATCATTTTCTTTGTTTATTTCCATCTAATCTGGCTTTGCTGAGAAAATCAGCAAGGATGCTGTAATCTGTGGTGTTAATTTATTAGGTGCACCATGATAACTCAACATTGTTTGAAAAGAATTCAGTCAACACATGTACTAGGTTGGTAGTAAATAGTAAAGAAAGAGAAGGTAATTCACACCAGATGAGGAATGGTGTGAACACTAACCTAAACACCAACCTTATTAAGTAGTTTTGCACTAGAAGAAAGGAAGGAATTAAAGAAGGATAAAGTTGCTTTAAAAATGAGATAAACTATTCATTGATTTCTTGATAAGAGATGTGTTCTGGCCTTCTTTGCTTATGATCTAACTATTCAGCTATCTAACTATGCTTTTATAGCTACAATCAGTTCAAGTAGTAGAATACAAACTCCATGAGGGTAATGTCTATATGCCATTGATTTCTTAAAACTAACTTCCTAATCTCTATTGTTGGTTATGTCAACATTTATCAAATGAACTATTAATAGAGTCTTCATCATCTTTGCCAAGTAATAGGTAATGCTCATTGAAAAGCTGGTACCCTTTGCCTCCTTTTGTGGGGAGATATCTGGAAAATAGCTGAACAAACTCTACATGTGGCGAAACAAAGTGACAGTTGTTATAAAATGTCTACTAAAATTACCTGCTAGCATTACTACGTATAACTGAAGTTTTTGCATATCCGCATAAGAAGAAATCCACATTACAAGGAAAAGTACTTTGATAATTTTAGAGTCAAGACATGAAATAAGGGATTTCTCTAACCCTTAACTCTTCTGCCGGCTTACTTGGTACCTCTGATGAATATTTATTGCTCTAAATGTTTTAGAAACTATCACTCTTTGAAAGTGAACAAACAATGTTTTCTGCTGAAAATTCATCTTTCCCAATCATAAGGGGAAACCAAATATGCAACTTGAAAAAAAAAAAGGAAACAGAATATAGTGACTGAGCACTGAGTGGGATTGAAGAAAATAAATGAGCTTATTTTGGCAGCTGCTTTCATAGCACAATTCCCCAAAAGCAGAACTGAAACTGTAGCTTTAATAAAAAGCTCCAACAATTCTTTTGACTAAGATATACTCATTAATTGCCTCCAAGTGTTCAAGACTGCTTGGATTTGAGGCAAGCAAGACCACTTGCTTAGGTAAATTTTATGAAGCAACAAAACTAATATGGTGAAGAATTTTAACCCAAGGTGTAACTTAGGTTTCCCATGTCTTCAAGAGAGCTGACATTGCATGTTACCATCTAGCTGATGTTACGCTCTGCTTTCTTGCTACTGCCTGCCTCTGCCTCTGTTTGTTTTTTTTTTTTTTTTTTGTCTTACATTTTTTCTTACAGCAATCTTTTGAGAAAAGAATAGAGAATGTTTACCAGGTAGAAAAAACCTGATTCCTTAACAAGACTTCTCAGTCACTTGTTTCTCTTTCCCTTTCACTTTTCCTTTGTGCTTTTGAAAACAAAGGCTAAAGCAGGTGTTATAAATTTATTCATTCCTGTGCTAGAGAGCATGGAACACATCTCTGAAGTCAACTCTTCTTTTGGTGTATCACGAGTTGAATCCTTAATAAATGACTGCCACAAAGAAAATTTCTAACAGCAAATCTTTTTAGGAACTGCTCAGGTTTTGCCTTTGTCTTGACACTTCATTTTAAAATCTTGGTTTCTACTGATGTGTTTTCAAAAAAGCTGACAAGCTCGGTCTGAAATGTAGAAACTGAAAAAAGTGAAAGGAAGAGAACATGCAATATAAGTTAATCATTATCATTTTAAGTGCCACCAGTTCTGTTTATATTAATGCACTTGTGAATTGCTGAATCTCATTTGATCAACCCAATTAAACATTAAATAATTGCAGCCAATTATGCAAATATCAGCAACAATATTAATTTGTTGATCTTTTTGAGCAGATTAGCTTCACATGTTCCTAATGCTAGACCATCTTATGCCTTAAACGATCAATTAGTGTGACAATAACTAAGTCTTGAAGAATGGATAATTGCCTAGTTATAATGTGGCACTCTTGCTGTATTAATCCACTGCAATTAAACAAATAGTGCACAAGGAAAAAAGATGTGCAGATGTTCCTGTTAAATCTATTTAACAAGAAAGCGTCAAGGTCAATTTCCTGTCTTATTACTTAAATGACAATGGTGGATTGTGTTCTCCTTATCAGGAGACCTCCAGTTTTTAAACATCTATCCTTAGTTTTCACTGGGTCTGATGAAAAGGGCTTAAAAATGCTCTTGAGGTTTTATGAAAGAAATGATACAAACATAATGTTCTCTAACTTTCACAATGGACAAGTCTCGCCACAATAAATTTGGAGATGCAAAGTATAAAATGTGTTGATGGCAAATAAATAATTCTCATTTCTCATAGGAATAGAAATTTAGTTACTATGTACCACTAGACAGTTTAAATTACCTGCAACTTTTTCCTAGACTACTATATGAAGAATGAGGTCAAAGGAGTTAGCCAAGGCGAAAGCACACCCTTAGAATGTTGCTCGGGGTACACAGTGCGCAGGCGACAGTCAAGAGCACCTCAGGCCTGAAAAGAACAGCTTCTCCCAAGATTTCAGATCACCAATTAAAAGCCCCCTAAAAGATATTTTTATCATTCCTTTTCATCTTATATTTCTCAATTTTCATTTTACTATCCCTGTCTATAAAAGACCCTATGGCTAAAAGTTTTGGAAAAGAATCAAAGCCCATTTTCTATGTGTTGCTAAATGCCTCAAGGAAATTTTTCCAATGCATCAAACTTTTAGAATCCTTTTTATTTTCCTTCTCTGAAAAGAGAATAAAATATGTTCAGCAAGAAGGAAGTTATGAGGACTGAGGGAAACCAAAATACAATGTCTGAGAGTTGACCTTCCAAGGAAAAATGTTTTCTGTCAAGATTTGACTTTCCTTAGATAAACCACAAAGGATACAATTTTAACTCACAGCTCCTAAACAAGGAAAATATCACCCATAGTAGCTCTCCCTGCATCCTAACCACTTGCTCATCAAATCTCCATTCAAAGAAAAGAGCACCTGCAAAAACAGAGTATAAAAATCAGAGTATGCCTCTTTGTTTTCTACCAAAAAAAAAAAAAAAAGATTTATTTCTGCAATTAACACTTGACATAAAACATTTGTCATTTCCATTTGGTTGGTATGATATCATGACCTCTCTCTAGAGCAGTGGTCCCCAACATTTTTGGCACCAGGGACCAGTTTTGTGGAAGACAATTTTTCCACAGACTGCAGGGTGAAGGGTGGTTTCAGGATGAAACTGTTACACCTCAGGTCATCAAGCATTAGATTCTCATAAGGAGCGCATAGCCTAGATCCCTTGCATGCAGAGTTCACAATAGGATTTGTGCTCCTATGAGAATCTAATGCTGCCACTGAGCTGACAAGAGGTGGAGTTCAGGTGGTAATTCGAGTGATGGGAAGTAGCCATAAATACAGATGAAGCTCCTCAATGGCCCACCACTCACCTCTTCCTGCTGTGTGGCCCATGGCCTGGGGGTTGGGGTCCCCTGCTCTAGGGATATATCTTCAATTCCAAGATAATTCTAATACAATCAATATGAAGTGATTTCCTAAACTAACTATGCTTCAGAGTATCTCTAATGACTTAGTAGCTCATGGAAAATAAAGACAATATAAGGTAAATCTATACACTGTCAGAATCAATCACAAATTCTAATAAAGAGGTTTCATAATATAGAAACAAAGAAGGTACACTTCTATAGAAGCAAAATGTTCACTGATTCATTATAAAACCATTTACTGAGTACCTACTATATGTCAGCCATGGGGGATACAAAGATCTATAAGGCACAAGACCCTCAGTCTTGTAGTCGCCTGACAGCCAGCCAGCTACAACATAATGTGGAAAGGACAATGGTGGGAAATGCACTCAGGTCTTCCTAATGCACAGAGTATGCTCAGGCTGTGACATCAGGAAGAAAACAGATATTTACCTTAACACGGACTTGGAGGACCTTCAAAAAACAGTGATGGGAGGAAATCCAGTTTTAAAAGTCTTGATTTAAAAAAAAGAAAACACTTTCTGTGGATAAAGATAGGCTGCAGGAAATGTAACCTATGAAATTTTCTCAAATTAGCTTTCAAACACACACAAAAAATTGCATTTGTTTGAGGAGCAGAATGTAACTTATATTAAAGAATAAACTACTATTTAGTATCTGAGTGAAGTACAAAAGGAGGCACTAAAATCATTGAGGAAAATCCCATGTTATATGGCTTACATTAATGTTTTTCTAGGTAAGGTAAGGTAAGTTACTACTACCAAGTTATGAAACACCATTTGATGATTGCAATTCATTTTCTCTGGCATGAAGAAACAATCACTCTTGTAACACATTGATACTACAAACTACATTATGCACAGGTAGCCAAAGAAATCTATCACAATTCAAATGCAACAGTCTGTCCCAGTAGCATACAGTTGGTATCCTCTATTTTCCATTGTATCCTCTATTTTCCATTCAGGATAGCACAATTGTCCAGTCGCTCTCTTCTCTTCCATACTGCAACAAAAGCAAGAAAACGTGTTTCAGTACAGAAGCTAACAGGGCAGAAATAGCTTACAAACAAACTTAATACCGCCAAGGTTACACAAAAGGTTCGCTTCTGCTTTGAACAACATTTTCACATTAAACATGTTCACATTAAAAACTGGATTAGAGAGAAAGAGAGGAAAAGAGGGACACCATATAAAACATAAGATAAAAGCATACATAGGGAGTTTTTTAAAAACCAAATACCTGAAAAGAATTACAAATTTTACAATTATTGCTGAACTCAAATTCATAGCTGGTATAGGTCCTTTATCTATTTAGGTACATGCCTTTTCATTATCATTTCTCATTGAGTTAACTTGCTTAATGACTGTGACTTTTACTGTGAAAAAGTGATCCTCAAAGTGTATTCTCAGACCACTAGCATCAGCATCACCAGACAACAAGTTAAAAATGCAAATTCCCAGACCTCATCTCAGACTGAATCAGAATCTGGGGATGGGTTCCAGCAACCTGTGATTCAGCAAGCATCAAATGATTCCGACATGCACTAAAGAGTGTTTTATGCTCATAAACAAAAATATGAAGTTGACAAGTCCCATGGATTTTAACAGAGACTCTGTTCTCTAAATCAAAGTTGTTCATGCTGTGTTAGCATTTTTCTTATTTCTTCAAAAGTTATGTAACTGTATCATAGTCAGAATTTCATTCTTTGCATCAGCAAATACTTTGGTTTAAAAGCAAGCCTGAATTTTAATATTCAAAATGAAATTAAATGAAATAGAGATATTCCATACATCACAAATAGAAAGCTAGTTCTATATTCATTCATTCAATCAGTCAGTCATTCAACAAAAATGCCTGTGTTTATAATAAGTTCTCACTCTGTGAGCAATTAATGTAGGCCAATGTCATCATGCCAGGAGTTTTACAGGCTTATTACCTCATTTAATACCCACAGTAACTGTACATAGAAGGTACCATTATCAATCCATTTTATGAATGAGAAAACTGAATATTAGGGAGATTGAATAACTTGCTCAAGTTTGCAGTTAACAGATGGAAGAGCCCAGACCCTAACCAAGCTCTCTCTCACAGCAAATTCCATGTTCTTGACCACCACCAAGACTGCTCGCCATGTGTTCACCGAGCCTTGTGTATTGAGACTGACTTGGAACAGATCTTTCCAAGCCAGTGTATCAGGCCACTAAATCTGTCACTATGGGTTTGCCTAAATCACTCAGACTATGTCTATTTTCACACGAAATGGCTCTTCTAGTCCTAATTTAACTTTAGTTTAAATTAATATAAAACATCAGAATTTCTGAACTAGAAACAATGTTAATAACCATCTAAAAGGTAGGAGATGACTCAAATAAGTGGGGCTCTGGATTTTACTTCTTTACTTCAGAACAATCCTACTTTTATCCATTTTGTATATTGGGATTCCAGGAGTGATCTCTTTTGAAGAAAGTTCTGCTGCATAAAAATCAAGTGTAAGGAGCAATGAATTTTAATCCAAGCTTCTCATCTTACATATAAGGACACTAAGGCTCTAGGTCACCCTTAATTTTGACAAGCCCAGTTCTCTGCCTCTGTCTGATGTTCTTTCTCCTATATCACAATGTACATGTGCTGTGTTTGTCTTAAAGACCTCAGAGAGCAGAATCTATCCAAGTGGTAAAAATACTGGCAGCCAAGAATGGGTCTACCTACCACCTGGTAGTTTACATGCAAAGGGGAATAAAGGAAGCCAAATGACTGTAAGTTTCTTGCATAATCCACACCAGAAAGCATTGCCTACAGACTGTAACTGCCCGCTATTGACTCTGTTGCTTCATGATGAATGCTGGATGAAACATCTTCAAATTCTACCTGATTTATGTATGATGTCAACATGACTTAAGGTAAGGGCAAAATATGTGTTTTATTTTCCTTACTTGGATTCCCATTAATATATTAAACACTTTCACCATTAATAACAGTTCATTGGCATTTTAGCAGATCTACAGAACTGTGATTCATGACTACTGTCACTTCATCTTGAATTTCATCAGTTAAAGTAAATTTGCTTTCAATTAGTTGTTTTAGTTTTATAAATGATCAAAAATCAATTTTGATTACAATGACAGTCGTAGGCCACATATCACTCTGCGAACCTGCATAATATGCACTAAGCTTTACTCTTCTCATTCTGTAATTTATGCTTTTATGTAAAATCATAGCATTCTGAGAAGTGCCCAAGAAATGTGATATTACAGGTAATTCATAATGTCTAGAAGTAGGCATTTAGTAATCAGATTTTCCATTTGGCTGATGGATAATGCAATTTAATTTTTCAAGGGAAAATAATTCTAAGTAGAGATGGCAGATTTAAGCAGAAATAGAAATTATATTATTTCCTTAAGAGTAAGTAAGTATACATAGAGGGAGGGAAAAGAGAAAACATGTCTTCATGGACTAGGATGTCATTATACTCTTGTCATTATACTCTTGTCATTGTCATTACAAAACAACAGTGCAGGCTCACACCTTCAATGTTTGGTAGGGCGGCTGTAAGTCACACTTACTTAGTTTTGTTCACTGGAATCAGAGATGGTGTCAAAGCAACGTGGCAAGTCAGGTCGAGCCTGCGGGATGGTATTTTGAGCCCATGTGGAAGACTTAATGAAATGTGCAGAATTTTAATCTTTTGCAAATTCCAGCGAGAACACTAAACTAAAACACGACTAATGACAAGTTCATTACCTCACATTCGAGGTACATAAGGCAGATAATTTCATACGGCTTTGCTAAATGCCTTTAAATTCCTGGCAAAACAAAAGCACAACCTGCATGTCATGCAGTCACTCTACGCAACGCCAATAAAACTATAGTCAGTGCTGCCTACCAGGTAGCAATCTGTCATTCTTGCTCTAAACCCTATTGAAAGGCTGTGCAAAGCTTTGTAATCCTGTAACACGTGGAGGAGGATGTGCTGGAAACAGAAGGGGCTGGGAAGCTGGTCCAGGGACTGAGTCACACGAGGGCAGTCTGGAAACAAAGTTTGTATGCACACGGAGGACAGCTTAAGACATTGGTAGGGAAGGGGGTGGAGCCTTTAACTTCTTATGTAACTAAGTCATGGAGCTGCTCCATTGAAAACAAGAAAAATACAATAACCACTAATAGTCATTTGTCCTTGAAAACTGTAGCCACTAGTGAGAACATAGATTTTTTTAATTCTATCTGGTGACCTGCAATCAATACAGATCCTGCTCCTATCTCATTCAAGCTGCCCCTTTCCTATGCTTCAGATGTCCATCTCTGGATCTTTGCAGTCGCTGCTTCCCACTTTATGGAGCTTCAACAGCAGCAATGCTGATTATTCACACATGCTCCCCCTGATACTTAAAAGCCAGGCTCTAGCTTTTATGTGATTATTTGTTGACAGCAGTGTCAACATGTATCTCATTTTGAAAAAAATCTAAATCAAGATCTCTTAAGAAATAATTTGATATTATTCAAGACCTTCCTCCCATCTCTTCTCGGAATGTGTTAATATACAAGAGCAATACATGTTTTGCTCTTTAGTATTTGTTTGGTGTTTCACTTGCCCATTCACTCCTTCAAGAAACATTACTGCATACGCATTATACCCTAGGCTCTGTGCTGAACACTGGAGGTATAAAGAGAGTGAACGATTCAAACAGCCCCAGAGCAGAGAGAAGTGCATGACTAATTATAATGTAATTTAAAGGCCTTACGGGATCATCCCCAGCACTGTGAAACTGGAGGAAGAAGCAGCATTCAAGTGAGTGAATGTGTATTTGGACTGAGCAAAGGGAATATTCTTCAAGAGAGATTCAAAAGGCTTCTGAACGAGATGAGTCATAAAGGACAGCCAAGGCCTTATCCAGGTGAGCAATTTCTAGAAGGTGCAGCAAAACCTGGAGGCATCAGAGAGCAGAACACAACTGCAGAACAGAGGACCCCAAGTGGCAGAGGCAAAGGTGAGTATGATGGTGAGTAACTGGAACAGTAAGGAATTTAACAGTAGAGAAAAGAAACACGTCGACAACACGGCCAATGCTCTCCAAGTTTAAGTTTGGTTAAATATAAACACAGACGTGCTTTTCTTTGTTGCTTTAAAAGAAGAAAAAGGAAAAACGAAACTGTCATTTGAAAAATTCTTCTCTTAGGAGGTATTTATAGAGCAATCTAAGACCCAGGGAGTTATGTGGACAATTAGCTAAATGGGATGAATACTTAACCTCAGAGATTATTACTCATATGCAGAAGTACAGAAGTTGAAAAGTCAAATCTGTGGTTATGAGGGAATTTTTCCCCTGAGCCATACTGGCAAGAATCTTGAAGGTTTTTTCGGTGGCTGTTGTTGGCCTCTTCTTCAATTTATCAGAGCACTTTGTAGAAAACATCCATGCTCCCATGTCATGCCAAAAGTAATGAAATGTAAAACATGATGCAATTCTATGCTTTTTCCTTAATAATTACTGAAATTTATTTTTCTTGGAGAAACAGACAATCTAGGAGCTTAGCTGACAGCCTCAATTTGCCATCTTGTAAGAGTAATTTTGAGACTTTAAGTTCCATGCACATAGGCATGAGATAACTGAGACGTGCTCTTCAATTCTGAAGGGATGGTCCTTTGTTACTAAACAATTTGTAGCACATTTGGTAGTTCTGGTTTGTGGTTAGTTCAGAACCACTGTTTCCACCTGTCCTGTGATTGCATGCCTTTGTTTCTTTGTTTAGTATGAGGTTCTGAATATATCATTTAGTTTTTTGTGTTAACTACCATTATACTTTACTACCAACGGTGAAAAAAGAAATTATTCATTTCTTATTGGCCATAAGCACTAATTTATAGAGGGAGTATATAAAGTTAGGGAGAAAAGGTTTTTTCCCCGTCTCCCATCCTCTGCTTAAACTATATATTTTACTTTTAAACTTTTTTACATGGTCTCACATTTACACTGAATATTTGTTTTGACTTTTTTTTTTTTTTCATTTGTTTTGACTTCTTTTTTTTTCAGATGGGGTCTCACTCTGTTGCCCAGGCTGGAGTGCAGTGGTGCTATCATGGCTGACTGCAGCCTCAACCTCCCTAGGCTTAAGGCATCTTCCCACCTCAACCTGTAGCTGGGACTACAGACATGTGACACCATGCCCGATTAATTTGTTTGTTTGTTTGTTTGTTTGTTTGCATTTTTTTGTAGAGACAGGGATTTGCCATGTTACCAGGCTGATCTCAAACTCCTGGGCTCAAGCAATTCTCACGTCTCAGTCTCCCAAAGTGTTGGGATTACAGGCGTAAGCCACCATGCCTGGCCACCTTCTTCATTTTTTTGCCCCCTTTTTCTTGAGTAAACCACCAGTACCTAGAATAGCCCCTGCATATGGCTTGCACTCAATATACACATTAAAGAGTTAAACAAGAACATTTACTTTAGTCACTAACATTCTGATATGGTTTGAATTTGTGTCCCCACCCAAATCTCATGTGGAATTGTAATCCCCCATGTTGGAGGAAGGGCCTGGTGTCAGGTAATTGCATCATGGGAGCAAACCTCCCCCTTGCTGTTCTCATGATAGTGAGTGAGTTCTAAGGAGATCTGTTTGTTTTAAAAAGTGAGTGGCACCTCCCACCCTCCCTCTCCTCCTCCTGTTCCCACCATGTAATATGTACTGGCTTCCCCTTTGCCTTCCGCCATGACTGTAAGTTTCCTGAGGCCTCCCCAGCCATGTCTCCTGTATGGCCTGCAGAACTGAGCGTCAATAAAACCTCTTTTCTTTACAAACTACCCAGTCTCAGGTAGTTCGTTACAGCAGTGTGAGAACAGACTACTACATATCCTTTTGGCTTCTATAATCTTACTTTTAAAAATGCTCTTTCTGAGAACTTTGGTAATGGTTTCCCATCTTACCCCAAAATTGTGTGTTTGGGCTTCTCTTTCAGTCACTTTCAGGTTTGAATGCACATATTTTGTCACCATTTCAATTTTGATGAGTTGCATTTCTGCTTTTGCCTCCTAGAGTTTCCTTCCTCAGTGAAAGCTTCATGATCATGTCTGCCAAACACCTCCACTTAGATCTTTATACCAATTCAATAGAGTTCAATTTTTCTCAGCCTAGTGACTACGTTTTCCTTTTCTATTAATCCTTTACAGCCAAATCAAATGAGTTTACATTTCCTTCCTTCCTTCCTTCCTTCCTTCCTTCCTTCATTCCCTCCCTCCCTCCCTCCCTCCCTCCCTCCCTCCTTCCTTTCGAGACAGGGTCTCTTTCTACAGTGAAGGCTGGAGTGGAGTGCTGTGGCACAATCATAGCCCACTGCAGTCTCACATTCCTGGCCTCAAGTGTTCCTCCTGCCTCAGCCTCCTGAGTAGCTGGAACTACAGGTGTGTGCCACCACACTTGCTATTTTTTTTGGTTGTTTTGTGGAGACTGGGTCTTACTATGTTGCCTAGGCTCGTCTTGAAGTACTAGCCTCAAGTATTGTTCCTGCATCAGCCTCCCAAAGTTTTAGGATTACAGGAATGAGCCATCATGCCCACCTAAATGTTTTTATTTCATACAATCTCCAAGAGGTAACCCTGAAATCTTATTTGGTGTATTAACTGCTACAGAATGTACAATTTGTTTAAGAAAATACTGTATAATTTGTTCAAGAAAATTTTCCAAAAGGGTCTTTCTTTCTTATCACTATGGGCACACTTCTCTTAAAAATTTCTAAACTCCTGATTTTTAAAATTTTAATTAAGATAAAATACACATATATAATTTACCATCTTTACAATTTTTAAATGTTCAGTTTAATGGTAATAAATACATTTATATTCTTGTTTTTTTCCTTTATCCTCTACTTCCCACTCCCCTTCTCGGCCTCTGGTAACCTCTAATCTACTCTCTGTCTTCATAGGATCTACTTTTTTAGCACCTGCATGAGAACATGTGATGTTTGTCTTTCGGTCCCTCGCTTATTTCACTTAACAAAATGGCCTCCAGTTCCATACATGTTGCTGCAAATGACAGGATTTCATTCTTTTTTATGGCTGAATAGTACCACATTGTGTGTGTGTGTGTGTGTGTGTGTATATATATATATATATATATCTTTATGCCACATTCTCTTTATCCATTTATCTGTTGACAGACATTTAGGTTAATTCCATATCTTGGCTATTGTGAATACTATTGCAATAAACATGGGAGTGCAGATATCTCTTTGATATACTAATTTTTTTCTTTTGGATATATACCCGGTGGTAGAATTGCTGGATCACACGGAAGTTCTAGTTCTACTTTTATTTTTGGAGGACCCTCCATACTGTTCTCCATAGTGGCTGTACTATTTATATTTCAACCAACAATATATGATGGTTCCCTTTCTCCACATCCTCCCAGCATCTGTTATTGCCTGTTTTTTTTTTTTTTTTTAATACAAGCCATTTTAACTAGGGCAAGTGGATTTTACATTGTGGTTTTGTTTTGCATTTCTCTGATAATTAGTGATGTTGCGCATTTTTTCATGTACCTCCTGGCCATTTGTCTGTCTTCTTTTGAGAAATGTCCATTCAGATCTTTTATCCATTTTTAATCAAATTTTTTTTTCTGTTGAGTTTTCTAATCAGGTCTCATGCCCATTTTAAAACCAGATTACTAGATTTTTCCTATACAGTTGTTTGAGCTCCTTATAGACTCTGGTTATTAATCCCTTGTCAGATTGATAGTTTGCAAATATTTTCATCCATTCTTTGGGTAATCTATTCCCTTTGTGGATTGTTTTCTTTGCTGTGGAGAAGCTTTCCAGCTTGACATAATCCCAATTGCCTATTTTTGCTTTGATAGCCTATGCTTTTTCAGGTCTTACATAAGAAATCTTCGCTGGCCAGGGACAGTGGCTTATGCTAGTAATCTCAGCACTTTGGGAGGCTGAGACAGGAGGATCCCTTGAGTTCAGGAGTTCGAGACCAGCCTGGGCAAGATGGTGAGACTCCATCTCTACAAAAAATTTAAAAATTAGTGGAATGTGGTGGCATGCACCTGTGGTTCTAGCTACATGGAAAGCCAAGGTGGGAGAATTGCTTGAGCCCAGGAGGTCAATGCCACAATGAGCCAGGTTCATGCCACTACACTCCAGCCTGAGTGACAGAATGAGATCTTTGCTTAGACCAATGTCCTGAAGCATTTCCTTAATGTTTTCTTCAAGTAATTTCATAGTTTCAGGTCTAAGATTCAAGTCATTAATATACTTTCATTTGATTTCTGTGTATGGTAAGAGAAGCGAATCTAGTTTCATTCTTCTGCATATAATTATCCAATTTTCCCAGCACCATTTATTGAAAAGACTGTCTTCCCCGTTACAGTTCTTGGCACCTTTGTCAAAGATGAGTTGGTTGTAAACATGTGGACTTAGGTATCTGGGTTCTCTATTCTGTCCCACTGGTCTACTATGTCTGTTTTTATATCAGTACTATGCTGTTTTGGTTATTATAGTTTTATAATAAATTTTGAAGTAAGGTAGTGTGGTGATTCTAACTTTGTTCTTTTTGCTCAAGATTGCTTTGGCTATTTGGGGTCTTTTTAGCTCCATATACATTTTAGGATTGTTTTTTCTATTTCTGTGAAGAAAGTCATCAGTATTTTAATAGGGATTGCATTGAATCTGTAAATTGCTTTGTGTAGTATAGTCATTTTAACAAAATTAATTCTTCCAATCCATGAATATGGAATATCTTTCCACCTTTGTGTGTTTTCTTCAATTTTTTAAATCATAGTTTTATACTTTTCCTTGTATAGATCTCTCATGTCTTTGGTTAGATTGATTCCTAGGTATTTTATACTTTTTGTGGCTATTATAAATGGGATTGCTTTCTTGATTTCTTTTTCAGATTGTTCACTGTTAGCATATATAAATTCTACTGATTTTTATATGTTGATTTTATATCCTGCAACTTTACTGAATTCATTTATCAGTTCTACAGGTTTTTTGAGGGAGTCTTTAGGTTTTTCTAGGTGTAAGATAATGTCATCTGCTAAGAAAGCTAATTTAACTTCTTCTTTTCCAATTTGGATGCCCTTTATTTATTTTTCCTGCCTATTTGCCCTGGCCTCTAAACCTCTGTTTTGGAAAAAGGCTTTCATGTAATCTAGCCAGTTATGTATTTTTTGTTCTATTTGTGTTCTTTATTTGAGCAAAACTGTAATAATTTATTATTTTCAGATTTACTCAGGCAACCTTAAAAAAATTAAAATGCCTAAGCCATCCATGCAGAAATTTTTATTAGCTACTCTTCAAATTACTTGTAAGTGTTGCTGTGTACAAAGGTAGAAAACAACTCTGACTAAATTTTATTTCTTCCAATATTAAGATATTCCTTTACTTAGCTTACAGAAAATTCTCATAGAAAACCTTTGCTGGAGAGCAGAAGTATGGCAGCTCATTGATTAAAAAACCACAATCAAGGCCAGGGTGCGGTGGCTCATGCCTGTAATCTCAGCACTTTGGGAGGCTAAGGTGGGCAAATCACTTGAGGCTAGGAGTTTGAGACCAGCCTGGCCAACATGGCGAAACCTCGACTCTACTAAAAATACAAAAATTAGCCAGGCATGATGGTGCATGCCCATAATCCCTGCTGTGTGGGAGGCTGAGGCACAAGAATCACTTGAACCCAGGAGGCAGGGGTTGCAGTGAGCTGAGATTGCACCACTGCACCCCAGCCTGAGCAACAGAGTAAGACTCTGTCTCAAAAAAACAAACAGAAACAAAAACACACTTTCTTTCTTTTTAATACTGTAAATTTGGCAGAAAACTTGCTGAGTAAGTCTCTTTTAAAACTGCCTTTTAAACTCTCTTTTAAACTTTTATTTTTATTTTATTTCCCTTTTTTTAGAGGAAGGTTCTCACTATGTTGCCTAGGCTAGTCTTGAACACCTGGCCTCAAGCGATCCTCCTGTCTTGGCCTCCCATAGTGTTGGGATTATAGGTGTGAGCCACTGCACCCAGCCAGAAATGCCATTTTTATCACTACCCAAGGACCTCCATTGCTCTCTGGAGGCCTGTTGCATTCTCAGCCACCTTTAAGTTTCACTTAGTTTCATGACTTAATGCCATCCGACATCACTCAAATGATCAAACTTTATTTTACTTTTCAATGTAAGTCTCAGGCCCTCTTGGATATTTTTACTAATTGACAAGGATAGTAACTGGCTTCAACAAAGTCTTCTAACTTGTGAAATGCTTGCAAATTACAGGATAATCTCTTTTCTGAGTAGCCCAGTGTTATCTGGTATTTAGCATGCCTGCTTAACTGCCTGATGAGGCATTACTGTAGATTATTGCTCAGAAAAAAAATAGGCAAAACAAAGTTAGCAGTATGAAAAAATAGACGTGTATACTCTTTGATCCCAGATTTATCCTTAGGAAGTAATCGAGGATGTACTGTCCATACTAGTGAAAAAAAAATTGCCAACAACATAAATGTTCAATAATATAATTTTTTAAAAAAATTATGGTACATCAATATAATGGAATTCAATTAAACTTTATAAATGGTGTTGGAGAAAACTACTTATTGATATAAAAAAGCAAAGCATTTATTCAGTGAAAAAACATGTAACAAAATTATGTACAATATGATCCCATTTTGTTAGGAAAAAATAACTATCTAAAAGTATACTGGCTGGGCATGGTGGCTCACGGCTGTAATCCCAGCACTTTGGGAAGCCAAGGCGGGTGGATCACCTGAGGTCAAGAGTTCAAGACCAGCCTGGCCAACAGGGCAAAACCTCATCTCTACTAAAAATACAAAAATTAGCCGGGAACGGTGGCATGAGACCTGTAATCCCAGCTACTCGGGAGGCTGAGGCAGAAGAATCGCTTGAACCCAGGAGGTGGAGGTTGTAGTGAGCTGAGATCATGCCACTGTTCTCCAGCCTGGGTGACACAGCGAGACTTAGTCTCAAAAATAAATAAGTAAATAAATAAATAAATAAATAAATAAATAAATAAAGTATATAAATGCTTACAAAATATTGAAGGTTAAGACATCAAAAAATGGCAGGGCACAGTGGTTCATGCCTGTAATCCCAACAATTTAGGAGGCCAAGGCAGGTGGATTACCTTAGGTCAGGAGTTCAAGACCAGCCTGGCCAACATGGTGAAATCCCATCTCTACTAAAAACACAAAAATTAGCTGGGCATGGTGGCGCACACCTATAATCCCAGCTACTCGGGAGGCTGAGGTAGGAAAATTGCTTGAACCCGGGAGGCAGAGGTTGCAGTGAGCCAAGATCGTGCCATCGTACTCCAGCCTGGGCAACAAGAGTGAAACTCCAGCTCAAAAATAAAAAGACATAAAAAATTAACAGTGATTATATCTCAGTGTTGGAATCACATGCACTGTAATTTTCTTCCTGAAGTTGCTTCTACTTTCAAATTTTTTCTTCCTTTTTTTAACAAAAGTTATGTTATCCTTCTTAATGAGATTTTTAAATGTTACCAAAAATTACATCTATTTTTTAATGTTAAGTAATGTGGAGTCCTGAACAATATTTTCTTTCTTTTTTTAAAACATACATCTTCTTTCCCATTTCTGCTTTGCTCATGCCCACACATTGTGTTGGGAATATCTTCCTTAAATTTAACTTATTGATCTCAAATTGTATTATTTAATCCTCTTCATTGAAATATAATTTAGTTGTAAGCTCTGACAGAAATAAGGTGACATAAAAAAAAGAAAAGAAAAGGAAAGAAAAGAAAAGAAAAGAAAAGCTTTACCTGGATATCAGTTAATTTGCTCAAGATGCGGCTTGCCAGCTTAGGACCATTCTCCATAGTTGGAATGTGTATTGTCTACAAAAGAAAGGGAAATGAGATAATTTGAGGGTACTCATGTATATGGTGATAACAGATAAGACACTCAAGCAATTCTGCTATACTAAGGCAATTCCACTGAAGTTAAGGAATAGCACTAAAACCTACTGACTCTGAGTGCTAGCACCTTATGCCAAAGACTTTCATATCCAAAATTTGAATAAAAACTAGCCAATGACAGGTTATACATTGCCTACCTACCAATTAATTTTAGGGCATAACTGGTTTGTATACCAGCCTTCAGGATCATTTGAAGAACCAAGGAGGAGCTACAGTTACCTAAAATAGTGGCTAAACTTAAAGAACCCTACCTCTTCCAAGATTCTGAGAATCTGTAAGGATGAATGATTGTCTTCTACATATTAACCCTCTGGCTAATATGAGAACTCAAAGATATTTTGCCACAGTTTAATGCAAGTCATTCTGGGAGCATAAATTAAAGCAAGTCTATGACTTCATAAAAGGGGCTTCTATACCTATCTCTGGCCCAAGGTAAACTTCCAGGGGCCACTACCTCCACAATATTGGATAGCATGATTAAATGCATGGCTGAAAGAGATTTCATGCTTCTAATTTGTATCTGAGTCATGCCTACTCATGCCTTGCTGGCTTGCAGGTTTTGATAGTTTGATTTTAGGAGATAGTCTGTGCTCTCAAACACTTTTCATATTATACCCTTTAGTATAATATGATAATTATATATACTTACTTTTTGGCTGTAAATGCTTCCTAAGCCTGGATCATTAAAATTATGCTAAACTTTATAAACTTCTTATTTCTAGAAGTGAAATAATAATTCAACTTAAAAAAAATCTGGCCTAATGACAACTTCAGTGGATGGATCACATTACCTTGATGCATTCTTATCAATGTAAGTATTGACATGAAACAGAACAATTCTTCTCCCATGAAACAGTCTATCTGTTGATGCAATTATGTCAAGAGCAATCCCTTAAAAGCAAGTTCTAAAACCTCAACAAATGAAGCAGCCATTATTAAAGTCAGAGGAGTTGAGCAAAACTCCAATCAGCTGAGGGAAAATAACTCTAAAGTAAAATTTGAAAACCAGTGGAGTTTGCATTTACGGTTGACACTTGAACAACACGGGTTTGAACTACACAAGTTCACTTATACGTGGACTTTCTTCTGCCTCTGCCACTCCTAAAACAGCAAGACCAATCCCTCCTCCTCCTCCTCCTCCTCAGCCTACTCAACATGATGGACAATGAGGATGAAGACCTTTATGATGATCCACTTCCATGTAATGAATAGTAAATATATTTTCCCTTCCCCATGATTTTCGTAACTTACTTTATTGTAAGAATACATATATAACATACATAACATACAAAATATGTGCCAATCGACTGTTTTTGTTGTTGATAAGGCTTCCGGTGAACAGCAGGCTACTAGTAGTTAAGTTTTTGGGAAGTCAAAAGTTATATGTGGGCCGGGCATGGTGACTCACGCCTGTAATACCAGCACTTTGGGAGGTCAAGGCAGGTGAATCACTTGAACTCAAGAGTTTGAGACCAGCCTGTGAAACATCTTGAAACCCCGTCTCTACAAAAAATACTAAAATTAGCTGGGTGTGGTGGTGCACACCTGTGGTCCCAGCTACTTGGGAGACTGAGGTGAGAGGATCGCTTGAGCTTGGGAGGCGGAGGTTGCAGTGAGCCGAGATTGTGCCCCTGCACTCCAGTACAGGTGACAGAGAAAGACCCCGTTTAAAAAAACAAACAAACAAAAAAAGTTGTATGTGGATTTTTCAACTGCATGGGGGTTGACACCCCTAATCCCTGTGTTGTTCAAGGATCTGCTATAATATGAATAACTTAAGCCAGTTCACATTATAAGACTAATACTTACATGCCTTTAAGTTATAAAGTTAGATGCCAATGTTAATCATAAGTATTGGAGCTTTGTTATAAAGTGAAAAGCAAAACAATTTGACAAGAAAACAAAAGTATGGCACATATAAAATCAGACTAATTTACTAAGAGGAGAACATTTCTTCCAACCAAATCCTCAAATTCCTTTTGTAAGATTTTAGTAAATGCACCAGGTTTGCCAATGAATAATTCTTGTAAAGTGGTCTACTTACTATTAATGATAACAGCATTAATAGTAAAAAAAAATCAAGGGATTGACCACTCGAATGCATTTTCCATAACTATTTGCCATTCCTAATCCAGTGGTTTGGAAGTACTTTTGGTTAACCAGAAACTGAAATGTAACTACCTATAGAGCCTTCCCTAGTGAGCTGGTAGGAAGGAAGAGAGAAGAGTAGAAGACTGTCGGCATAGCTCCAATCCCGACATGTAGGTAAGACAGATCTTACACGTGTCCAAGGACAAAACTAACTTCCCACCATGTTTAAGCTTACATGAAATCACTGGAAACATAGTAGATATATGCTAATACAGTTTCATCTGGATAAACTGTCCCAGTTATTTTTTTTGTAGTGCCAAGTTAAAAAACAAAAACAACAACAAAAAAGACCTAGCATGGTGCGGTGGCGCACTCCTGTAATCCCAGCAACTCAGGAGGCTGAAGCAGAAGGATTGCGTGAGCCCAGGAGTTTGAGGCTGCAGTGAGCTATGATCACACCAGTGAATAGCCACTGCACTCCAGCCTGGGCAACACAGCGAGACTCCATCTCTTTAAAATAAAGAAAAACAACAACAACGACAAAACTTTTGCATCTTGGGTCTGGGTCCAGATACAATTTTATTCATACACTTAAATTAAATGTAATTTAATGTGATTGGAAATGATAGGAAATGAGGAAATACTTGTCGTACCTCGCCTTTGTACAGTATATCAGAAACTGGGCAAACAACACAGGCTGTACCAGAGCCAAACATCTCTCTCACTCTGTTCCCCTCCAGGGCTGTTGTCAAGTCATCCATGGTGAGGTATCTCTCTGACACCTTAAATTCACCCTGCATGGAATATAAAAAATAACAAGTATATTTTAAAGGAAAAGGCATGCAAAACAATTGCAATACTTACTGTTCTGCTTAACATTCTGATTGCACTTAGACAAGGTCACAATCATCCTTTAAGGGAAAGCTGGAAGTGGCACACCATCTTACTGGTGAACACATCGAGGTGTTAAGTAACCTACTTCAAGGTCACAGATTTATATATGAGATTATCAGAATATAAAATATAAGATTATCACCACAAGACACATGGTATACTTTAACATATGCCTTCTTTTTTGCCTTCTTATTTGTTAACTTGTATAAAGTCTCACAAAATTGATGCATCCCAAATGCTGCTTGATGCATGCTCCGTGTTAACAGTGTCTTAGGCCGGGCACGGTGGCTCATGCCTGTAATCTCTGCATTTGGGGAGGCTGAGGCAGGCAGATTACTTGAGGTCAGGAGTTTGAGACCAGCCTGGCCAACCTGGTAAAACCCTGTCTCTACTAAAAATACAAAAATTAGCCAGGCATGGTGGCGGGTGCCTGTAATCCCAGCTACTCAGGAGGCTGAGGCAGGAGAATCGCTTGAACTCAGGAGGCAGAGGTTGCAGTGAACCAAGATCACGTCACTGCAGTCCAGCCTGGGTGACGGAGTGAGACTCTGTCTCCAAAAACAAAACAAAACAAAAAAATCAGTGTCTTAAAACCTACTTTACCATAAAGGAGAACAATGTATTATATAATATTAATAATTATAGCTACCATTTATCAAGCACCCGCTATTATGCCAAGTTCTGTAATTTTAAGGGTGAGTACTATCATCCCCATTTTACAGATGAGGAAACTAAGGTTCAAGGAGGTTGAAGGGCATCTCCAGGGCCACAAAGGAAGTAAGTGACAGAAACTCAATTTGAACCCAGGTCTGATCTGATTGGCTCCAAATTTGGTACTCTTTCTACGTTTGTCTCTTTCTTTTTTTTTTTTTTTTAAGACAGGGTCTTGCCCTGTCACCCAGGCTGGAATGCAGTGGCATAATCTTGGCTCATTGCAGCCTCGACCTCCCAGGCCCAAGTGATCCTCCTGTCTCAGTCTCCTGAGCACCTGGGACTACAGGTGTATGCTGCCATGCCCAACTAGGTTTTATATTTTATATTTTATTTTGTAAAGATAGGGGTCTCCCTATGTTGCCCAGGCTGGGCTCATGTGATCCTCCCACCTCAGCCTCCCAAAGTGCCAAAGTGCTGGGATTATAGTTGTGAGCCACTGTGCACGGCTTACCTATATCTTTTATGGAATAAAGAACAGACTGAGTTCAAATATCTGAAATACTCATTATTTTTAAACGTTGAATGTATATTTGGACTTTATTTGAGAAATTGTATTGTATGTATTTTTTTTCCTAATATGACTAACAGTTGACTTTACAGTGACAATTCTCTTCCTTCTCTTTCAGTATCACATTCAGTTGATTTTCATCATGGAATTAGTGGTATAACCTCATTGACTTCTGCCAAAGTGTTTGAATATATTCTTTGCTCAAGGATAGGAAATGGGAAAAAGATCCTTTTAAGCTATGTGTTTAAACTATCTGTTTAATTCTTGTTCTTTTACCTCAGTGGTTCAAGTTCAAAGTTTGTCAACAAGTTATTTGAATAAAGGGCAATAAAAATAGAGAGGTTTAAAAAAATAAGATGAGTATTTTTTCTTAATTTATAAACCCACAAGAGATAAAAATGGAAATCAAAGCTCTTGGCAATATTCAAAATATTTGAATATTTAAAAGAAGAACTCATGCTGTAAGTAGATTTGGAAGAGCAGGAAAATATATCTGCAATAGAAATATGGCTCTTTGAAAGTTTCAATTTCTCTCAGTCTACAATTGCAATTATGTTGTTCAAAAGTAAATGAACTGCAGAAAATCAGGCAAATTAATTGAAAACAAGCTGAGTTCTGTGTCCTGAAAAAGAAAAGAAAAGAAAACTCTTTTGTAAATAAGCAGAATTGTTTTTGCTCTGCTCACCCTTACTTATCTTTGGACAATTTCCCCTATCTGGCAAATAGTGGTGACCCCCTACATGCCTCTTGGCATTTCACGTCTCATGTTTTAAAATAGCTTTTAAAATAAATTACAGCTATGAAGTCAAGAAAAAATTTCCTCCATAATAACCTATTTTTCATGCTAGCAAATCATTAGTGTGGGAAAGTATTTCCACTTGCAACTTGTCGTCGAACCTTCTGTACTTGGTTGATATTTTTCTTTAATAAAACAAAAATTACTGAGCTTCAAAAATATCTTTCCAATTGCAAACATATTTAGGACAGGGCAAGCTGTTTGAAAATTATACCAACGGTTTGTAAATGTCATGCCCAATGCGCCAGCCAGCATGTAGCAGTTGGGTCTTGTCTACTTCAGGGTTTTGTAGAATTATTTATAGCACATTTCATCTATTTTGAAAGTCTTTTCCAGAGAAACCATGCTGGTATGCTCCTAGATAACGTGTGTGTTTCTAAACATTTGTCCTATTACTACTAGTACTCTTTGACCACAGTAAGCTCAAAGCCTTTTCATGTTCTTTGGAGACCATTTTAACACCTGGGTCAAAAGTTCCATCCAAGAACCTTTACCAGACACCCAATTCATTCAATAATTTGTCTTGAATACATTACGTCATTTCCAAAACCAAACCTTTTTAAATTTTATTTTATTTATTTATTTATTTATTTATTTATTTATTTATTTATTTAATTTACTTTTAGAGACATGGTCTCACCCTGTATTCAGGCTGTAGTGCAGTGGCTTGATCATAGCTCACTGCGACCTTGACCTCCAGATCTTATGCCATCCTCCCACCTCAGCCCCTCCAAGTAGCTGGGACTACAGGCATGTACCACCATGTTCAGCTAATGTTTTTGATTTTTTTGTAGATTCGGGGTCTCACTATGTTGCCCAGGCTGGTCTCGAATTCCTGGGCTTAAGTGATCCTCCTGCCTTGGCCTCCCAAAATGCTAGAATTATAGGCATGAACCACTGCACCCGGTCCACCAAATTGTTTAATATGCTTGCCTGTGTCACACGAATTTGAAAGTCTACTGAAAACAACTTTACATTTGCTTGCATGTTCTGATTTTAAAATAGGCATGTATATGAATTTTGGAGGATGGGGGTAGGACAGAGAGAAAAAGAAGGCAGTCAAACCAATAATGTTATATTAGTAAACATTTATATGTCAGTGAAATTATTTCATTTCTACGGCAAGCATGGTTACACTGGTATAAATAAAGGAAAGGAAGAAGTATCATTGCCATTTGGAAGCAACACAGACTTGGGAAGTTAAGGAATGTCTGGATGGAAGCACATCAGGTATGAACCAGACAAAAGTTGGTGGGAGATACCTGGTAGACTGAGACTACTACTAGAATACTTCTCCACTATGACATCTTGCTAAACTGGTTTCTCTCTGCCCTTGCTATCAACAATACTTATTTTAATAGTCTTGCCAAGAAAGCCCTTCTAGAAGAATACTTTTCATTCACGTTAGAATTTAAAGATTAGATAACATTGGTTGGAACCACAGGATATTATTTCAACACTAGGCTGGGCTTATTTTGATTATTTTTTATTTCAGGCTTACAAAAGTTGTTCATATCAAAGGCACCCACCCACTGATGTGCCAGGTCCAGAATGCACCGCCTTGTCACTCCTGGAAGAATGATGCCATCTAGTGGAGGAGTTGCCAGTTCTTCTTCTGTCAATCAGAAATTGGGACATTTTCAAACTTTCACTACATTAGGCATGCCTTATTATCAATAGCCATTTTTTTAAAAAACCATCACAATTTTGCTAGCAACAAACATAAAGAAAATTTTACTGTTCTGCATGATCAAATTTCCCAAATCAGTTCACACTTCAGGTAGACCCTTATTTAAAAAAAGAAGAAAGAAGGAAGGAAGGAAAGAAGGAAGGAAGGAAAGAAGGAAGGAAGGAAGGAGAGAGAGAGAAAGAAAGGAAGGAAGGAAGGAAAGAGAAAGAGAAAGAAAGAAAGAAAGAAAAGAAAGAGAGAAAGAAAGAAAGAAAGAAAGAAAGAAAGAAAGAAAGAAAGAAAGAAAAGAGAAAGAAAGAAAGAGAGAGAGGGAGGGAGGGAGGAAGGAACGAAGGAAGGAAGAAAGAAAAAAGAAAGAAAGAAAGAAAAAAGAAAAGAAAAGAAAGAGAGAAGGAAAGAAAGAGAGAGGGAGGGAGGGAGGGAGAAAGGAAGGAAGAAAGAGAAGGAAGGGAGGAAGGGGGGAGGGAAGGAAGGAAAGTTATCTAATCATCTTCAGTTTACCCTTAACCAGTAAAATAATGAGATGGTTTTCCACCAACAAACAGTAAGAGTTATTGCATGGTCTTAAGAGGAATATTCTGAAGTGAAAATTTACCTTAGCAGATGAAAGGTGGTTACTAATTAGAATAATGTAGATAGGGTCTTACTCAGAAAAACTGGTCATTACCAAACCTTCTAAGAATGCTATGGAGGAGGCTATCCCCAAGAAGTGTGCGTGCCTACTCAGGCTGGTCACTGCTTCCACGCTGCCCTTGGAAAGTCTAATTTTTTTTTTTTTTTTTTTTTTTTAGGTTACCCAGGCTGGAGTGCAGTGGCACCATCTCAGCTCACTGCACCCTCTGCCTCCCAGGGTCAAGTGATTCTCCTGCCTCAGCCTCCTGAGTAGCTGGGATTACAGGTACGCGCCACCACGCCTGGCTAATTTTTGTATTTTTAGTAGAGACGGGGTTTCACCATGTTGGTCAGGCTGGTCTCGAACTCCTGAGCTCAGATGATCTGCCCACTTCGGCCTCCCAAAGTGCTGAGATTACAGATGTGAGCCACCGCACCCAGCCTAAGAGTCTATCTTTAGTGATTTTCAAACCTGGTGGAGCATCAGCAACAAGTATGGAGATGCTGCCTTTGCTCTCTGAGATTCAAATGTAATGGGCTTATCAGAGTGAGCTCAAGCACGTGTACGGTTAAAAAAGAAGACATTCAAGAAACAAAACTCCAAAGCTGAGCTACTGCTCTACTGTGAGATGACTGCAGACATCCCTAACTACTGTGAGGTCTAGTAGGACAATTGTTCACAGGCATCATGCATGATCCATCAGCTGCACAAGCTCTCCTTACAGTACCCTCTGGCACTCAGCATCTCCCTTTCCTCCCCACTTCTGACACCCAGGAGTCTGAATCTAGTGAGTCCTGACACTGAGGCCACCACCCTCTCCCTCAATACATGGTGGTTCTAGGCTCGCCCACTCCACTGGGGTTACATCAGACATGCCCAACAATCAAGCTCTATCTGGAATACCAAACTCTATCTTCATCCTTCTATCCTCAAAACTGGGCATTGTGCCTAGCCCAGAGTGTATATAATAAATGTTTTTGAGTAAAAAATAAACGAATAAGTTATCTTTGCTAGGATACAGCAGTATGGCTTTTTTGAATTTTGTTTCTGAAAATCATCTGCTGAAAATTGCTTTCTGGAAAGGAGAAAATTTGTTCTTGGCAATGTTCTTAGGGCTACTCTTTGTCATGTTTAGAAGTGTTGATGATCTCAAAATAAACATGTGTTTTGCAATAGCTAGCCAACTAGATACATAAATGTATGGATCTATTTGTGTGTGTATATATATGTACACACACACACACACTTCCAGTGCCCCCAAACCGGACCTTTCCTAAAGCTTGCTGAGCCCTGAGACTACATGAAGTTAAATGAAAACAGCAGCCCCGCATGTGCAAGTGCTGTTTTGTGAAACATGTTTAACACCCAGAACTGTAACCACTAGCCTGAGGTCAAGGAACAGAACATCTGCTTCTCTGGTTGCCAGACAGAGATGATGACATGACAACATTTGGGTGAGAAATATTCATTTTCCTCTGCAACCACAAACATACTTACAAGAGCCAGAAATCACTCCAGATTGCCCAACATGAGGAAAACAGAACCTACAAATGCAGCTTGTTTTTGACAAAGAAGTCATTTTTAGGAGATGAGGAATTTAGAAGCAATAACAGCAGGATTCATCTGTGACTTCCCAAAGTCAAACACTAATGGAAACCAGGAATGTAGGTCTGCATAAGTGCCCTAAACACCATCAGCACAATTAGCCATTTATTCTACAAATACATATTGAGTGCTGTTTACCGTTTTAAGCTCTATGAATACAGCAGTGAACAAAACTGACATATCTCCCTGCTTACTTTCTAATAGACACAGGTAAACATTTATTGTGTTGATAGTATGTTAGACTACACAGGGGGAAACAAAGAAGGAAAAGCAATGGAGAATGCTGGAATGCTGAGGAGAAATGGGAAATGGAGTTTATGATTTTGATTAAGAGCTCAAGGAAAGCCAGACTGAGAATGGGATTTGTAAGCAAAGATTTGGAGGATGTCAAAGAGCAAGCGGTACAGACATCTGAGGAAGAGTGCTCCAAGTCGAGTCCGTATACACGCCTGACGTGTCCGAGAAGACTCATGATGTGGCCTGAGCAATACCGAGATTCACTGCTGTGGTTGTTTTCCCAAAGTGACTGTGAACTCAACCACAAGGCCTGGGTCTTATTTTTCAGGGTATCTCCAGGGTCCAGGATATGATACAATGCTTTGTTCAAATGGTGAATAGCAAGCGTATGGGTTAAATTACTCATCAACAGAGTGATGATGTGTGATCTTGCCACCATGGGTGCTGTTACTGAAATCAAAACTCCCATGAGTTACAAGCTGAGTGCCACACATAGTGACTGTGCACAGCACTGTGCTTTGAACACACACTATCCACCACCCCATCCACCTTCCTGCACCAGCCATCTCAACCAACAGGAGCAGTGTGTGTGGGCGCTCATGAAAAGACGGCAGGCTATTACCGAAAGAACTCTGTTTATACCTCCTATCGGTAACGTTTGTGAAAATCAGTATTGTGCTGATTTTCAACTCGTTTGTTCATTGTATTTTCTTAAAATCATATGATATAAATCAAAGTTACTTCAGAATTGCATGTCTTTTTTTTTAGCCCAAAGGTTTTTCCTAACATTCTATTTACTTCAAATATATATTCTATTTCCTTTCTCCTTATTCTGAATTTTATTTGTTCTGTTAGATGAACATCCCCAAAGTGAAGGAGTATATTAAAACTAAAGTTATCCCAGGCAACCATAATCTGAATAGTAACTAACAGTCTTAAGGTCTTGTATATTTTGCAAGAGGCAGAAGACAAACTCACTCATTTCTATTCTGACCTTTAAAAGCCATGGTGGAAATGTTTCATGATTATTGTTTGGATAAAGAACAATTTTCCACCAGGACAGTTTCTGGTGTTTCTGGTTAAATCATGTAGCTCTGATTCAGAGTGTACTTAAATTCTGACATCTCCCATCCATAAAAATAATGATGGTACCACCTCTGAATGATGTAACTGTTTTTGTTTTGAGCTGTGTGGTTTTTTGGTGGAGTTTGGGGTGGGGGTAAGAGTGGGCAGATGGGAAGAAGGGTTGAATCGGCCTATTATCTTCTAAGTGCAGAGGTCAACACTGGCTACAATCTTCCAAGTGTAGCTTTTGTTATATGTCACATACAGTAACTCAAATTTATAAATCATAAATATTCCTGTATAAATTTTATTTTCAAACAGTGCCAAGTACAAACAGCAGGAATGGAAGGATGAGAATGATCTGTATCTGGTTTTTCATATGCCAAGGACTACCAATGGCCAAGCCCAGGACAAGGCTTACTCACCATATCTTCTGTTTATTCTACCTCTGACTGCAGTATAAGACTCATCTTGTTAGTCTCTGCAACTAACACTAAAATTAGTACTTAGCTCTGAATTCAGCCACATCTAAATTACCATTTTCCTCTTTTTGTAGCCAAATAACATTAGAGCAAGAGAGGCTACTGTAGCTACTTTCAAATATAAACTGCATTTTAAAAAATTTAATTGAAACTACTAACACTGAGACTTCATAAGTATTTGGAAACATCATTTATATTTCTAGTCTCTATAATTACTACTGTGAAATGAACAACCTAAGAATGTAAACAAGTCTAAAAATACGCTTCTAAATTTGGTATGATTATCAAAATTCTAATAGAAATAAATGCCTGTTTTTCTCCCACCGTTGGCCATTTAATTCAATATCATACACGTTGCCAACACTTCACTGAACCCCTATGGTCTCTGCCAACTAATAAAAAAAAACAGCAAAGAAAAGTAATGAGTACTCAGGATATTAAAGATAATAGAGAAATATTGATATCTATAGTGGATATATGAAATTGTCTTGAATGAACCAGGATCTAGTTACAATCCCAAGATACATTGATTTATCTTTTAAAATGGTGCTCTTTAATCAGATTGAGTTCTAGAGTAAATTTGGAGAGATTGTGATACATTTTCAAAATATGTAGAAAAGGCAACAATTGTTAAAACAATTACAGCCAGAGAGTACACAAAATCCTTCCAGTAGAATCAGTACACTGCATTTATTACTCTAGCATTTTATATACGGTATATGGTGAATGACCATTGACCTGATCTGAGACCTGTGTCTCAATGCAAGGTGTTCAGATAGGAAAATTGTTGGGGAACTGCAGAAGGGATAAGGAAGCAAATCTTCCAATCATGGTAACTTAAATCCCTTAATGTGACATCTCAGTATCTCAATAATCAGTACATCTAGAGCCAGAAAAACAAAAAACGAAAAACAAAAAACCTCTAGAGCTTCTTTAAATCGAAACTCGGCCGGGTGCAGTGGCTCACACCTGTAATCCCAGCACTTTGGGAGGCCAAGGCCGGTGGATCACCTGAGGTCAGGAGTTCAAGACCAGCCTGACCAACATGGTGAAACCCTATCTCTACTAAAAAAAAAAATACAAAAATTAGCTGGGCATGGTGGCAGGCTCCTGCAATCCCAGCTACTCGGGAGGCTGAGGCAGGAGAATTGCTTGAACCAGGGTGCAGTGAGCTGAGATCACACCATTGCACTGCAGCCTGGGTGACATAGTGAGACTCCACCTCTTTAAAAAAGAAAGAAAGAAAAAAAAGAAACTTGTGTCTATTTGGGCAGCAAAAGCACAGTAGTCCTTACTTAGCCTTTGGAACTGTGCTACTTACTCCCTTGTACTAAGTTTCTAGCTCTTGTCTTTCTGGTCCTGTTGAAAATGACTGAGAAATGCACACAGTGAAATCTGAGTGGATTACCTCCATCTTCATTTATCCAGTAAAGAAAAAGATTCATAGTTCCCACTTCAGTGATCTGATGGTCCTCTCCATAGAGCCACAGGACCTGCTGACACCCATTATCTACTGCTTCACATTGGGCAAAAAGAGATGAGCCGTAATTCCTTTAAGAAAGAGAAAATACACAGGTTACAAACATACTTCATCCCCACTCCCTCATCTTCTACCCTCTGATAGCCTCAAGCTCTTAATTCACATGTGGACATAGTGAAGGTATTATGTTCTTAATATATATACACTCTCTAGTCAACTGCATAACATTAAAGGAAAACTCATTAGAAAATCTAAGTGATTTAACTGCATTCATTGGAGAGAGAACAACGTGAAACCTTGAAATTTTAACTTGAAATGTAATGATAGAAGAACACAGGTAAATAGCCAAGTTAATGAGAACAGTTAAAAGTTACTATGTTTCCACACACCAAGCAATTTTACATGAATTATTTCATTTAAATCTCACACCAATACTATGAGATAGACACTATCATTATTTCCATTGTTCAGATGAGAAACTAAGGTTTAGAGAAGTAACTTCTGTCAAGTTGCAATAGAAGAGCAGCAAGTGTGAGCGCTCTTATCTAACACCTTTTAATGTATCCAAGGAATACATAATGCCCAATGTCTAAATTCCCCTAAAAGATAGGACAAATGTTAAAAGTCTCGATGTTGACCAAAAAGTATTTCAAAAGCCTATTTTTCTCAGCCTGCACCATTCATCTCAGATTATTTAAAATGAAAGGAACACAGCACATTTTCCCGGAATGACAATTTAGTGTTATAATACTTTTAAGGTATCATCTTTTATCTAAACTTATATGGGAAAATTATGGAGTATATTATAAAATAAGGATGAATATTTTAGACAAAACATGAGAGTCCTCAAATAAATGTGATGACTGCTTGCCTCCCTACACCCCTGGTTGTATAACTCAGTAGGTCTGAGAAGTACTGCCGTAAGACAGTCAGGGATCGGGAATAAACTCTAGTCCTCCTGTTGCACCATGAAATCCCCAGAAATACACAGAAACAAACAATGAAAAACAACTAAAACAACTACAAATGTAGTAATGTAAAACTCCTACATTACATTACATTACATTAATGTAATCTACCACAAAATATCTATTTAGGTCTCTTAGACTCTTTTACATCTGGGTAAAATTACAATTTGTACTGTTGTCTAAATAAAAGTTGAGCATGAGGCCAGGCGCGGTGGCTTATGTCTGTAATCCTAGCACTTTAGGAGCCTAAGATGGGCGGATCACTGAGGTCAGGAGTTCGAGACCAGCCCGGCCAACATGGTGAAACCATGTCTCTACTGAAAATACAAGAATTAGCTGGGCGTGGTGGCGGGTGCCTATAATCTCAGCTGCTAGGGAGGCTGAGGGAGGAGAATCATCTTAACTCGGGAGGCAAAAGTTGCAGTGAGCCAAGATAGCACCACTGCACTCCAGCCTGGGTGACACAGTGAGACTCTGTCTCAAAAAAAATAAAAATTAAACATTAGAGCCACATGTTAGTGTATATCTACTGTTTTCATCTGCACTATATTCCATACTCTTATAAAAACATAGTCTTTCTATAGAGCTATGTCATTCTGCTTGGACTGATAATATAGCATCTTGCCCTACCACAACTGATGACAATATAGCATCTTGCCCTGCTGCAGCTGAGTTAAAGGGTGGGCATATAACCTAAGACAGTCACATGATTCCTTTTTTGGGTGCATTCACTCATTTTAATGTCTATAACCTGAAATACAGGCATTTTCTCCCTTCTGGGGTTGCTTACTTGGTATGCTGTAAAACTGGGGTCGGCTGTGTCCATGATCACCACACTTCACAGAAGAAAGCGGCTGAAGTGGGAGAGCCCTAGGCCAACATGGAGCCAGAAGCTCTGACCAGAGGCAGAGGAAGAAGGGAAGAAAAAGGGGGATGTGCAAAGGACACAAGAAACTTGGAAATAATTGCTTTAGCCCCTAG
Organism: Homo sapiens; assembly: GCF_000001405.40. Taxonomy (NCBI): domain Eukaryota; kingdom Metazoa; phylum Chordata; class Mammalia; order Primates; family Hominidae; genus Homo; species Homo sapiens. The sequence continues at coordinate 24,844,103 of NC_000012.12, forward strand.
CATCCTAGTTTCATAAGCCCTTGTCTGCTTAAGATCATTTCCAGGCCGGGCACGGTGGCTCATGCCTGTAATCCCAGCACTTTGGGAGGCTGAGGTGGGCAGATCACCTGAGGTTGGGAGTTTGAGACCATCCTGACCAACATGGAGAAACCCCGTCTCTACTAAAAATAACAAAAAAATTAGCCGGGAGTGGTGGCCCATGCCTGTAATCCCAGCTACTCTGGAGGCTGAGGCAGGAGAATTGCTTGAACTCGGGAGGCGGAGGTTGCAGTGAGCCGAGATTGTGCCATGGCACTCCAGCCTGGGCAACAAGAGCAAAATTCCGTCTCAAAAAAATAAATAAATAAATAAATAATAATTTCAAGTTGGTTTTCTGACTTGCAACTGAAAGAATATTGACTAATAGCTGAAATATTCCAGTAAGCTGTGGAAAATAGACATCATACTATGGTGATTGCCATTGGAGCACGATGAGGTTGACTCACACCAAGGTAATGTTAAGAGTCCTTAAAAGGGCCAGGCGCGGTGGCTCACGCCTGTAATCCCAGCACTTTGGGAGGCGAGACGGCCGGATCATGAGGTCAGGAGATTGAGACCATCCTGGCTAACACGGTGAAACCTCGTCTCTACTAAAAATACTAAAAATTATCCGGGCGTGGTGGCTGGCGCCTGTAGTCCCAGCTACTCGGGAGGCTGAGGCAGGAGAATGGCGTGAACCCGGGAGGTGGAGCTTGCAGTGAGCCGAGATCGCGCCACTGCACTCCAGTCTGAGCGACAGAGTGAGACTGTCTCAAAAAAAAAAAAAAAAAAAAAAAGAGTCCTTAAAAGGGCCAGGCACAGTGGCTCATACCTGTAATCTCAGCACTTTGGGAGGCTGAGGTGGGCAAGTTACTTGAGGTCAGGAGTTCCAGACCAGCCTGGCTAACATGGTGAAACCCTGTCTCTACCAAAAATATAAAAAACTAGCTGGGTTTGGTGGACCACGCCTGTAATCCCACCTACTCGGGAGGCTGAGGCAGGAGCACCACTCACACCAGGGAGGCGGAGGTTGCAGTGAGCTGAGATGGTGCCACTGCACTCCAGCCTAGGAGACAGAGCGAGACTGTCCCCTCCCAGCAAAAAAAAAAAAAGAGCCATTAAAAGACGCTTAAAACATATGCTTCTAAATACAGATGACAAAATATAAATTCTTGGTCAATGTGGAGATGAAGCAAGTCTGGTATACAGATAGGAAGCTATTAAAAAAACAATAAAATAAATAAAAATTAAAAAGACAAAGACAACAGATAGGAAGCTATTGTTTAATGACCATAAAAAGTCAAATAATCCTTATTCATAACTGATAGTAAATAGATAACTGAGTTAAATTACAAATGCTTTTTAATAATGAGTATAAACCAGATTGCAGGGGACGTCTGGTAGAAAGACCACAGGTTTGTTGTTAACAGACCTGAGGACAGCTCTTGCATTTCCACTATTTGGTATATGTGAACTTAAGCAAGTTAGTCCTTATTTTTCCCTCATTTAATTATCTGGCAGATAAAAATATCTGCTTTATATATCTCATTGGGTTGCTTGGAAAAAATAAATAATAACAATAAAAGCCAAAGGATGAGTTACATGAGACTGTTACATCCTAATGAAATTAAGTTTTTTAAAAAATAACTATTTCAGTGGGGTGTGGTGGCTCATGCCTGTAATCCCAGTGACTCAGGACACCGAGGCAGGAGGATGGCTTGAGGCCAGAAGTCCCAGACCAGCCTGGGCAACACAGCAAGACTGCATCTCTAAAAACTAATAATAATAACTATTTTATTTGAATTTTTTCTCATTCGTAGACACAACTACGAAGTAGTGAAGCAGTGAAGTTTTACCCTACCTGAAAATAAATTATTTTTTCATATACAAAATGCCCTTTAGACTGTATTAAAAAACACATAGAGAATTCTTACAGGATGAATATTTAGCCTTTCAAAGAAGCTTCTAAATACAAATGCATACACATTTCTGAAAGTGTAGCTGAATTAAAACCATGGCTCCTCAGCTTCATGAAGCACTGAGCAAGGAAAGAGGATTAAAGACAGTGACTATTTCAATGCACTGAAAAGAAAAGGGTTTTTTATGTTTAAGTTTTAATTGATTGATTGATGTATTATTATATTCTGTAGATGGTCTTTATTCCCCCAAACAAGTTTTAATTTTCCCAGAGTTCTCTCACAGGTGTAAGCTGTATTATTAATGTCCACAGGATAACTGATACCATGGTAATATAGTTGGGTTCCCGCCCATGTGCTGCCAATATTCATAAGAGAAACATGTTCTTGGAGGAAACAGAAAAATGAAAAAGTAAGAAAGCTGTTGACATAGAAACATTTCAATATGGTTTTAAATAGGTTATCTGGGAGAATAGACATATTAAATACATCCCTCCAAAAGAATAAATTCTATTATGTAAAATTTAACTGATTTCTTCTAAGATAAAGAGAGTCCAGGAAATGAAATGAGAAAGTGAGAAAACCTCACAACATCAGTGACTGTGAGAGTTTACTACAGGTTGAGGATCCCTAATTTAAAACTTTGAAATGCTCTAAAATCTAAAACTTTTTCGGTGCCAACATGATGCTCAATTTGGATTTCGAATTTTTTGGATTAGGGATGCCCAAAGAGAAATACTCCAAAATTTGAAATCCAAAACACATCTGGTCCCAAGCATTTCAGATAAGAGATATGCAACCCATACCTGCCAGACTGGGTGCTAAGTACTTAACTACATTATTTCATTGAGTCATCTAAAAACAACCCTAGACTTTATTGTTCATTGGAAGACTTGGAGAGAGGATTCAGTTGTAGAAGATCTCACAGATAGTTAAGTGTGTAACTCCCAGACATTTGACTCCTAAACCCAAGCTTTTAACCATTAGGTTATCATACTGCATTTGCTGAGAGCTTTCTATATGCCAAGTACTATCCTAGGCACTTTCTATTATCTCACTTAATCTGTGCAAGGTATTATTGCCTCAACTTTAAAAATGAGGAAACTGATACATAGAGCAGTTAAGTAACATGCCCAAGGCAATTAGGTTGGTTTGTTTTTAAAGACTTCAGGTTTTTTTCAGAGCAGTTTTAGGTTCCCACCAAAACTGAAAGGCAAGTACAAAGATTTCCCATATCCCTTTCTCCCCATCCAAATGAATAGTTTCTACCATTACCAATGCCTCACACCAGAGTGGTACATTTGCTGAAATTAATGAACCACATTGACATACCATTATCACCTGAAGTCTAGAGTTTTCATTAGTGTTCATTCCTGGTGTACATTCTATGGGTTTGGACAAATCTATAACGACATTTACGCACCATTATGACAGTTAGGTTTTTAAGCCAGGTCTTTCTGACTTCAAAGCTTGTACTCTTAAATGCAGAATCAGAATGCAAGGAAAAAAGAAAAAACTAAGAGAGATAATTTGTGTGTGTGTGTGCACGTGTGCATGTGCAAGAGAGAGAGAAAAAGAGAGAAAGAGAGAGAGAGTGACAGAAAGCCTTATTCCTCCCAAATTAACCAAGGAATCACCTGGAACTAAAGCTGTTTCTACAGTGCAAGACCTTTCTCTAGCTCAGTGCTTCTCAAGCTTGGCTGCATGCTAAAGAATCCTGATGCTCAGTCTCTGCCCTAGATTCACTTAGATAGAAAGCAGAAAGTTCTTGACTTTATGAGACTCAATAGTTATTTAATAATACCAGTTGACTACAGGTGTCAAGGGTAACTGTTGACTTAATTAGGTTTACAGATGTAATAATACACAAAACTAAAGTTGACTCCAAATGTCTTTGCCAACTCAACAGGATAATATTAAATGCGGAATATTTTGTTCCCCTTGTACCTCTCCAGGTCAGAAGCATAGGAGGAGACGGCCCTAGAACTTTTTGGAAGTGATAGGCATATAGGTTAAATGCCCATCCTTTTGGTTACCACCTTCCCTCTTGCCATTTTTAATTTATGAGTTCAATACTTTCTTCTCCGGTCTCTTCCTTTCCTAAGAGATTTCAAGTCAATTTCCATGGATCATAGTCCACCTGAGCCTAATGAATCAAATATTTTTATAATAGATTTTATTATTTTAGAGTACTTTTAGATTCACAGAGAAATTGAGCAAAAGGTAACAGAATTCCCCTATTATACCCCTTCCCGAACACCCTCTCAGTTTTTCTTCTTATTATCATCTTGCATTAGTGTGGTCCACAAGTCCACAGTTTACATTAGGGTTCACTCTGTGTGGTACTGAAAACATTAATTTTTAACTGGCCTACAGTGATCATGTATTCTGCAATAGTGCATTAAATCATTGTTTACAAAATAAATTACAACCTGCCCAAATACCGGTTAATAAAGATTGCCCTGCAATTTCTGTGTCCCCAGGTTATCTTTTTCCTAAACAGGTCGGGGAGCTAGAAAGCAATATTTTAAACAGGGAAACTTTTTCCTTATTACTTTTCATCAAGACTGTTTATTTACTCTCTATATATGGTATATATATGGTATGCAGTGGTACATAGGCACATGCTCTGCGAAGAAGTTTGAACCAGTAAAAAAAGAAATCAAGAGTCAAAAAAAGGAGTTTTCAACCTGGCTAGCCTAGGACACAGGAAGGTGTGCTCTAAGCCAGAAGGAGAATAGACTTCCTAGTTTTAATGCACTCCATTTGGATTTCTCTACCCATTGAGGGAATGCAGTTGCTAAAGTTGCCAGTGGGGATGACTTTTATAACCGTTCTTTTTTAATTTGGGTAGGTGAGGAGAGAAAAGAAAAAGGAAATACAGCAAGACTACAGAGGGGTCAAAGCCAGTGGTCATTGCCTCTAATACCCCAGCAGCACGTCATGTGACTCTCCCCTGCCTCCTGGACCTAAATGTCCTACCAGGGCCCACAAGACTGCCATGGAGTCACCTTCTAGGACAGCTGCTGCCCTGAGTATGCAAACAGCACCATTTGATACATGCAAAGCAAGAACCCATGCTGCTTAAACCAGTTATTCTCGTTCACCCATAGGGGCATTCCCAACTCATGGCCAAGTCCACCCCTGAAATCGTCCAACACTTTTCAAATGCTCTTTTATTTCCTGCCAGCTACATATGGCCTATGAGACTGGCCTGACAGAGCCAAAGCAGGGCTGTCCCGCAGCCAGTTGGCAGCAGGTGTGGCCACAATCTGTGGCAATGAAGACAGCACTTCAGTGAAGCGGGCACCTTCCCCAGACATGACTCCCTGGAGCCAACTGAGAGCCTGGGTCCCAGGACCAGATGCTTTTTAATGCCAGCCGTCAGCCTGCAGCCAGAGACCAGCGCCCAGGGGAAGTTTATCCAAAGCACCGATGTGATGCTTGTTGTAGTTTCTTACTTCAGTTCTTCCCTAGATATCATATCCAGTGTTTCTCCCTTACAAAGGGCCATGGGCTATCCTTTAAACTAGCACATCTAAAAGCGAGGGCACTGAATTCATACTGCGTTTATATAGGAAAAGCTACTACAGCTGGCTTGCTGAAAGATTAAACTGAAAATTAACCATGAAACACAATGAGCATTAAAGTTTGAAAAGTATTATATGTGTTCATACTGAAGTGAAATGGCACTAACTAAATGGTCATGAAGGTGTCTTTCCTTTAGACAGAGACACAGATTTACTTACCCTCCCATCTTGCAGTCCCCAGTTCCACCTTTCCAGGCTCTTACATACTTGGGATTGGCCCACAGGGACACTGGATTAAAGGTTCCACTTGAAAAATAAGGTCCCACTGGGCTCAAGAGTACAAAGAGCAGGGCTTTGGTAGGCTTCTTGACTCCAAGAGAAGGCTGCAACAAAGTAGAAGTACATACAACTGTAACTTAAAATGTGGACACCAGTCTTAAAGTCTAGAATAGATTTATATCTGTCTCCCAGAAGAAGCCATCGAATTACAGGAGCTATTACCATACTTTTAAAATTGAGTTACACAAAGCCTAGTGGTTTTTAAGAAGGAAATCCTGAGAATGGAGTACATACATTTCATTTTGCTTTGCTTTCTGAGTTGTTAGGATTTTAGCAAAAAAGCTAGATTTGTCCATTTTTGCGTGTTAGTAGGGTTTTGGAGGACAGACATATTTCTAACAACTATCTATATAACACCTTTCAAGGTTGCATGATTGGGAATTGAGAAAGGGGAGAACCTAGACATGGTTTTAGGCTTTGGGGGGTAAAATATAATATTTACTTCTCTAACTCATCCTTCTGTTTCATAGCCTAAGTGACTGCTTCAGGACATGGCAGGGTCTTCAGCAGGTGGTAGGTGCAGGCGAATGTGTCATTAGCACACCTGCCCACATCAACTAGCAGGTAGCAAGAGTGCAATTTCAACAGAGGGATAAGTACTGTTAAATCAAGTTTAGCCTACAGCTGCCTCATTACATTTTAAGCTCAGCTTAAAGGTTTCTTTGCACATCATGAACTATAACCTAAGTGGACATTATAAACAGATGGTAGCCTACTCTTGTGCCAATTACTGAGTTTTGGCCAATCAAACGTGGCCAACTGTTCAAACCATGTTCAAATAAGGCAAACGCTGAGTTATAACCAATTCAGCTGTTTCTGAATCTCTTTTCTGTTTCCTGTATGTCACTTTCCTTCCTCTGTCCATAAATCCTCTTCCACCATGTGGCTGCACTGAAGTCACAGGGACTACTCTGGATGGGAAGGCTGCCCGAATTGAGAATGGTTCTTTGCTCAATTAAAAACTTTTAAATTTAATTCAGCTGAAGTTTTTTTATTTAACAATATCTTCAAAAAAACAGGGAATGAATGACTTATAAATAACAAAGATAGAAGACCATCTTTCCCACAAACACTGTAAAGCCAGAAGCCCACAATGCAAAATCATGCCAATTCCTCCATCACAAGAGCAGTTATAAATAATTAGGGTTCATTGTTTATTAAGGAAGAAAACTGAGAGACCCAACGTTTTGAAGGCTACATATTAAGGTAGAAATGATCACTGGGCTATCCTCAGCAATATAAGACCACATGAAGTAAAAAAACAAGGCAGGACTCTTAGGTTAAGAGCTTCGGGATATAAACCACTTGTGTCCAATCTTCACTAGAGCCTGGTCTACCTGGATAGGAATGGGGATCTGTCAGGAGAAGAAAGAGAATCTTTACAATAGAAGACTCAACTTCAGCTGATTTTGTGGCTTTGTAATGTTTCTGGAGGGATATTTTTATCTGAACTTCAATTAAACTTCCCCTTACTACCCATTGCCCCACCATCCCTCACCCACTGCTCAACACTCAGATCACCAAAATCAGGCAGGTAAAATATTCATGAGCACAAAAAAATGTGTTTACACAAGCACACACCAATGCCATCTGAAAGGCATGTCACCTTAGGAAATGGGAAGGTAATTTCATTAGCATTCCATGGGAACATGACGACCAAAGGGCCTGGGTGGCCACAACAAACCTATGATGGTTGATGGAAGACTATGTTAGAGAAATCCGTCAGCAAGCAACAACAGGTTTTGATTGTTAGCTTGTGTTTGTTCTTTAACAGAGACTGAAGATTAAAGGAGGACCATCCTACCAGTAAAGGATAAAGCGCCTTAAAGCTTCATTTGCCTTTTTGGGTTTCATTGTTTGGGAGGAAAAACCTAAGCATAATACACACACCCGCTTTTCTTCCCAGCTACGATAAAACTTAACCATCTTATCTCTGCACTTTTATTTAACCTCTCAGTTAAGAAATGACACCTTCATTTCATGGGTGCCTTGAAGCAGAACATGTTAGATTTTTTTAACAAATCCTATGATACGGTTTGGATTTGTGTCCCTGCCCATATCTCATGTCAAATTGGAGGAGGGGCCCAGTGTGAGATGATAGGATCGTGGGGGTGAATTTCCTCCCTGCTGTGCTTGTGAGAGTGAGTGAGTTCTCCTGAGATCTGATGGTTTAAAAGTGTGTGGCACTTCCCCTGTGCTCTCCCTCTCCTGCTGCCATGAGAAGGTCCTTGCTTCCCTTTCACCTTCTTCCACTGTATGTTTCCTGAGGTCTCCCAGTCATGCTTCCTGTTAAGCCTGCAGAACTGTGAGTCAATTAAACCTCTTTTCTTCATAAATTACCCAGTCTCAGGTAGTTCTTTATAGCAGTGTGAAAATGGACTAATACACCCTAGTGATGAGGAATTTAGAGAAGCTTCTTAACATAATTTAGAGATATAATATGCTGGCATCATCTCAATAATTTACCTAGCTTCTAAGTTTCTGAATAGAATAGCTTATTTGTGGACAAACTAATAGCATTTTAATAGCTATCACAAAAATGGCTGGGACTTTTTTCACTCCAAACTAATGTATTTTATGCAAACTACATTATACTAAAAGAAGTAACAATAACGTGTTATGAAAATTTTTTCCTGAAATAAATTTCCCCTGGTTCATTTTCTTCTCCTGATTTTGACAGGTAAATTTGCATTTTATTCCACTAGGTGGTAGTATACAGAGCACAGATAGAAAATGGAATAATTCTGTACATTAAATCCATTTGTAGAAAAAAGGTCTTGATAAACCTCTAAGTAATATTTTTATTCTTAGCAAGCAGGTAAATTATAGACTATAACTTTTCAATGCTGAGAGAAAATGTGTTTATGTATACTAATACTTTATTTTCTGCAATTTAACCAAGGTCAATTCATGTTTTACAAGTACTTCAAGTACTGGTGTTGATCACAGACTAGTCACCTTCATCCTCAAATGATTACTTACACCAATTCATTGTCTTTTCATGAATAAAACTGTGATTTCACTGAAAATGGTCACAGTGCTTTAAGACAATGAATAAGATCTAACACTAGGCAGAAAGAGAGGAAGAGAGCTTTATGATTGGGTCTGTTTCTATGCTTAGGAGTCATTATTTTTTTCTATGTTTCAATTATCCCTTCTAGCCTGAAAAGCAATCTAAATTCTGTGCTACTGTTAAGAGTATTTTATTATGAACTGTTATACAAAAAAAGGTAACTGCACTCATATGTTTATCACAGCCCTGTCCACAACAACAAAGACATGGAATCAACCCAGGTGACCATCAATGGTGGACTGAATAAAGAAAATGTGATACATATAAACCATGGAATACTATGCAGCCATAAAAAAGAATGAACTCATGTCATTTGTAGCAACACAGCTGCAGCTGGAGTCTCTCTATCCTAAATGAATTAACACAGAAACAGAAAACCAAAATATCACACGTCCGCACTTATAAGTGAGAGCTAAGCATTAGGTACATATAGACACAAAGATGGGAACAATAAACACTAGGGATTCCAAAAGAGGGGGAGGGGAAAAGTGTTTAGAAATACTACCTATAGTGTACTACGTTCACTACTTGGGCAATGAGATCCTTAGAAGCTAAAATCTTTGTATCACAACATATACCCATGTAACAAACTTGCACATGTAACTCCTGACTCTCACATAAATTTTTTTTAATTAAAAAAAGTCAATTAACTTGTTTCACACAAGAGTATTTTATTATATAATATTAAACAACTACAAGCAAAATCCCACGATGATAAGTTCAGTCATCTGATTAAATAAAGCAAAAGCCACATAAATAATGAGAACATATGGATGACAATAGCTGATGAATTGTGTGAGTCAATTTCGATGAGTCACATTCCTTATAAACACTTTAACACTTTGGCTTTTTACTCTACTAGCTTCCTGGAATATTCAAATACATGAGGAATTAAAAGGGGCTTTAAAAAAAAACATGAAAAATGAGAAACATAAAATTTCAAATGCAGCATATTTAACTTCTCAAGAGACCACATTGACTTTGAAGCTGAAATGATGATGTGTTTAAAAAAATAAAGACTTTTTTTACTTCACGAGCTATACCTCACAAATACATGGCAAATACATATACAAGGGTTTTTAAATACATGGATATGTTGCATAGAAGGACAAGACACTGAGTGTGATGGAAAATAAAAAGACATGTCACAGAGAAAATCATCACTTTCCTCTGATCAGTCAGAAATTACTTTATCAAAAGGCAGGATTTCAGAGGTGATTTGAATGACGGCAGGAAAGAGCTCAGTGAGCTGAGAAGAGTACTATTAGCCTATGTTTTGGCCTAGAAGCCAGAGAGGCACAGCAGCATGTGCAGGCTTGAGAATAATTCTGCCTAGGCAAGGCAGATGAGAGGCAGAAGAAATAAGATAATTGGAAAAGACAGAAGAACATTTTTCCTAAAGCAAGACAATTTTTTTTTTAATTTGAAGAGTAGCCTGTTTTCTTTTTTAAAAAACTACTGCCAGTTGTTTTGAAAGAAGTTTAAATTGTTAAAGGGGAAAATAGTAAAGAATACTGGACTAAGGGGTGCTTCAAGGGAGAGCTCAGCGGTCCATACAGGGCTTGAATGCTGTGAGGGTCAGGAAAGCGAGGGCACTGAATTCATACTGTGTTTATATAGGAAAAGCTACTATAGCTGGCTTGCTGAAAGATCAAAAAATAATAATAACCCCCAATAGTATGCATTGCTTTTTGGCTCCAAAATATTTCACTGTCATTATCTCATACAACAGAACAATTCAAAAAGTTATAATTCCTATTTTTAGGTTGAGGAAACTGAGGCTTCAAACAATTTGCCCAAATGTCATGGTTATTAAGTTCTAGTTCTTCTCCTCTTAATCCAGAGTTATTTCATACTTTACCAAAGCTTGAAAAAAATATTAATAAAGTACCCAAGATCTCCTTACTTTAAGAGAGTTCCAACTGGTATCTAGCTTTCTTCCCGCTGAGCCTTCACCCATAGTGAGACACAGCGGGGATACCTCTTAGGGACCTGCTGAGTGCCCCCCGCCCCTGAGCATAAAAATAAAGGAACAGCTTGAGTTCCTTCAAGAGAAAGTCCAGTCATCCTGCTAGCCTTGAGAAGTAAATGAGCAACTCGATAAGCAAAAAGGGAAACAGTAGCTTAAAATAATCACCAAGGAGGTCAGAGTCAGAAGATGTTTGGTTTCCTATAGAAACTAAAGATAACATCTTAACAGATGTTCCAGAGTTGTTTTTCAGAACCTGGATCACCATCATATGGATCCTCCAGACCACAGATAACGAGGGAACTGAGACAACTCTGGACATACTGGCTATGAGGTAGCCCTGCTCCGCAGGAGCAGTTAAAAAAAAAAAAAAAGAAAGAAAAAAAAAAGAAAAGGAATTGAGGACTGAATTATCACCATTCTTTGTTTTCCATTTTGTTTTTTTAGATGGAGTCTCAAGTCTCGCTCTCTTGCCCAGGGTGGAGTGCAGTGGCGCAATCTTGGCTCACTGCAACCTCCACCTCCCAGGTTCAAGCGATTCTCCTGCCTCAGCCTCCTGAGGAGCTGGGATTACAGGCGTGCACCACCACACCCGGCTAGTTTTTGTATTTTTAGTAGAGATGGGGTTTCACCATGTTGGCCAGGCTGGTCTCAAATCCCTGACCTCAAGTGATCCACCCTCCTCAGCCTCCCAAAGTGCTGGGATTACAGGCGTGAACTACCACGCCTGGCACCATTCTTTGTCTTAAATTTCTTTCTGAGAAGTCTGGAGGAAGTCCGCCCATGGGCCAGACCTAACATTCCTTTCTGCTGATTCCATCTTTATTTTTTTTCTTTTTCTTTTTTTCTTTTTTATTTTTTTTAGAGACAGAGTCTTGCCATGTTGACTAGGCTGGTCTTGAAATCCTGGCCTCAAGTTACCCTCCTTCTTCAGCCTTTCAAAGTGCTGAGGTTACAAGCATGAGCCACCACACCTGGCCTGCTGATCCCATCTTTAGACAAATATCCCCTTCCTTAAACAATGTGCAAATCAGAAAATATTTGGATTTACCTGTAACCTGTAAGCCCCTACTTCAGGATATCCCACCTTTTTAGGCCAAACCAATATATGGCTTCCATGTGTTGATTGATGCCTTTGCCTGTAACCTCTGCACCTTACATGTAAGCCACTGTGGAGTTCAGGTCTTAAGCATGAGCTCCCTGATTCTGTTTGCTTCTTGACCTGCAAATAAACACCCTCCTTTCTCCCACTGTAAAACCCCGGTGTGGATGATAGAGCTTACTGCACTGGGTGAAATAGCCTTCACCCTCTACACACCCCACGCTCAAACCATACTGAACCCCTTCCATTGCTCCTCACTTTCCTACTTCCATATGCTCTACTGCACTACTTCCTCTGCCTGGAACACTCTCCTTCCAATGCCCTCCTATTATGGGTTGAATTGTGTCCCTAAAATTCCTATGTTGAAATCCTAACCCACGGTGTGACTGTATTTGGACATCGGGCCTTTAAAGAGGTAATTAAACTTAAATGAAGACATGAAAGTGAGGCCTTAATCCATAGGCCTGCTGTCCTTATAAGAAGAGGAAAAGACACCAGAGATAGCTCCCTTGGCCAGATAGAGGAAAGGCCCAGAGAGGACATAGGGAGAAGGTGGCCATCTACAAGCCAGGAGAGCTCTTACCAGAAATCAGCTTTACAGGCACCCTCATCTTGGACTTCTAGACTTTGGAGCAGTGAGAAAATAAACACCTGTGGTTGAAGCTGCCTAGTCTGTAATATTCTATTATGGCAGCCCTAGCTAGCCACAGGATAGAATGCAGGCCTAGGAATCCTACAAATCTGGTCTTCAAGCTGGCCCGCAAACTGGTCAGTTACAAACTTTTCTGCAGGTCCCTGAAACAAAAACTGGATGAAGTTTCCCTCTCGTCTTGTTTTATGTCCTTGAAAGCTTGACCTTGTAACCACGTGGGGGTACTTTCTCCTGATCTCTGCCATCCAGAGGGTGTGAATTTTGGGGTTCCTGTCAATTAGTCCTAAAAATTATCTTGAGCAGTTAAAAGCCTTTGCAAGCTCAAAATTGGCTGCTCTAGGCTCCTTCTCGGAGGAGCAATGGAGACTGTGCAGTACTGCAGCTCAGTAACTAAGGCTTTGCTATTTCACAGTGGTGGCCTGGATTCAATTCCTAGCTTCGGGAATGAGTCCTTTCTGGTTTGATATCTATGTGACCTTTGCCATTTATTAATTATCTTCCCCTCATGAACAACTTCTGACTCCCTGTCTTGAATCTTCCTTTCTCTGAGCTATGTTTGGAGGTTCCAGATCTTGTAAAAACTGCTTACCACCTCTTTGAAAATACCTCCCACACCTGTGGTTAAATCATAACCTTAGTTAAGGCTTATTGGTTTCACCTGGGAGGTTACTTTTGGTAAAGTTCAAAAGCCAGAAATATTAGCTGTTTGTCCTGGCTAGAGTCTGATAATAAGAGATTTGGTTAAAAGTCAGCTTAATTAAAAGTGATGTCCAAGATTATCTATCTATCTATCTATCTGGCAGGTTTTATATTGATTTTTTTCTAGATAAAAGTTTTTTCTTCTCAGTCAACTGAATTGTTTTTCTCATTTTGTTTTCTTGCCACTCTTGATGCCCACATTGAGAGGACCTAAGATCATTTCTAACAGCCTGGGCTTCCTTAGAAAAAACTGAGGGAGCACCACAGGCTCCATTTTGGGAAAAATCTGTTTTCCTCATGGAACCCCAGGAATTGAAGGCAAGCAAATCCCTCTCAAAATCCAAGGCATTGCTCTGATTTGCATTGTGTTACCTAATGTTTTTTACTTGTAGGGGTATCAGAAATTACTTTGCATTATGGGAGAGCTTTTAACCTTGGTGTGTAATAACTAGGCAGGAAATATGCTTTAAGGGAAGGCTAATAGCAGTTATAGGGGAATACCCCACTCTGTGCACGTTTGGATCAGAGAAGCATGCTCTTGGCCACCTAGAAGGTATGGAAACATTCTTCTACACCTTCCAAAACTCCCAGAGGGGATGGGCTGATTCCCTCTTTTTGGGATCCAGAATCCAATATAAAAATGAGATCTGTAATTTTGGGGAATCTGTTTTGCCTTCTAACTGCACCTGTTTATTAGGCCCCAGAAACTGCATGTTTTCCCGGCTCTGTCCCCACACGTTGCTCCACCCTGAAGCCAGTAATCCAATTAAGATTCTTAAAAGCTGGCAAATGAAAAAATTAACAGCTACTGGGTCTTCTGTCTGTGTATTTTTGTGTGTTGTATGTGTGATATGCATAGAAAAGAGCTCTAATTAATTGGCTTGAAAAATAAGCACTTAAATTGAATATTTTGTCAGAAAAATAAAAACTTTAACACCTTTTAATTCATGGGACTTTAATAATCTTTGGGAAATAAAGAGAATCAAATATATTGGTAAAATAAAAATGTCTTCAAAATTTAGACATCTGGTCTAAATTAGGTCAGATTAAATTAGATTTGCTGAATGCTTCAATGCCATAAACTGCTTCTTTAACTTGATAATTGTTCAACTCACCTGCTTTGGAGCCATTAGATTCTAGGTAGGGCCTGGGGACATGTGGAGTTGGCCATGCCCCCTAGCTATGCTGGAAAGACTCAGACCTTATCTGCACTTCTGTCTGGCGTCCTAGGCTCCACACCTGGTACATAATTAAAACCACTTATTTATCAGACTTTTCACCAAATATAAAAGTTGCTAAGAGTTAACATTGTAGCACATGTAATTGAGGCTACCAGAGAAACAGTGTTACCTGCAAGGCGTGTAAGGAAAATAGAATGTGTTTTTGGTAAAAGATTATAAGAAGGCATGGGAATGTGGTCTTATTGCCTAGTTTACAGAGTTAAAAGACTGTTTTAAGTTACATAGGATAAAGCTAAAGGTTTGAGTAAGTTGTGGGAGGTCAGTGAAAATTAATCTTGTAAAAGAAATTCTGTGTGTTAAAATATTAGCTAAAGTTAAAGGGTATTATTCAGTTTTTCCATAAATAGAACATTGGAATAAAAGCACAACAGGGTTTTCTTAGAGCATTAATCTGCTCTTTAACAACAACAAAAAAAAATTGTAAAGGACTACAAAAGGTTTATGAGAATCTTATCTCATGGTAAAATTGATTAAGATTGAATAATTTGTCTACAAGGTTTTCTTAAGAATTGGATTTGACATTCATTAATGCAAAGATGAAATTTGGCTTTCTCTCTTGAACAAAATTTTCATGTAATATTAAAAGATCATGGAAGATTTTTGTTTGCCTTTTGAATAAACAACAAAATAAAGAAGAAAAAGTGAGACATTGTTTGGAAAGCTGTCTTCCCTCTATCAATGAGTAAAGGATTTTGCTTGCTGGGCGCAGTGGCTCACGCCTGTAATACCAGCACTTTGGGAGGCTGAGGCGGGTGGATCACGAGGTCAGAAGATGGAGACCATCCTGGCTAACATGGTGAAACCCCGTCTCTACTAAAAACACAAAAAAATTAGCCAAGCGTAGTGGCGGGTGCCTGTAGTCCCAGCTACCCCGGAGGCTGAGGCAGGAGAATGGTGTGAACCCGGGAGACGGAGCTTGCAGTGAGCCGAGATGGCGCCACTGAACTCCAGCTGGGCGACAGAGCCAGACTCGTCTCAAAAAAAAAAAAAAAAAAAAAGGATTTTGCTTTTGGAAAATCTTTGTATTATCATTTTGGCTAAATAAATGACTTTACAGTGACCTGGGATTCGATTTTATAATATCAAGTGTTTTAAATCTTTGATATTTGACAAACTTTCCAAAATCAAATTCTATATTATGCCTTTTCCTGATCTGGTCAATACTTTAGATATGAGGTCCCCTTAAGTCCAAAAATGACATATTTGGCTTACTTGGTATATTAAAATCATACAGGAAGCACTGTCAAATATGAAATGGTGTTTAGCTTTCTTTGAGTTGTATTTGTATAAATATGTTATTGGTATGTGCTCCAAAATTATGGGAAACTCCTAAATTCTGATATGACTTAGTTTATGTTATCAGTAATAATTATAACTGTTATGTAAAATTGTTGTATGCCACAGAAGTAACCAAAATTTCTAGTCAATTGTGTCTTTAACCACGGCTTTCCTAAGACTTTATGTTATCCACAGAAAATTGTTGTCTTGTTTTGATCCTCTTTAAAAGATGGTTTATAATCAGATAGAGGGCTCTTAAATGCAGGTTTCTGAAAAATTTTGTAAAGTGTGCCATTAAGATAGAGAGGAAAAAAACTTTCAAGAGTCTCCCTTGGGAAACCAATATGTTCATAAATATTGAGCAAACAGGAATTAACAGCATGGACTAAACTAATAAAAGAACAAAATAACCTTCTAGTGACTTTTTGCTTAAAATGTTGCTGATCCTTTGTTTCATTTTTCAGAGTCAAGAAACCTTTTTTTTTGAGCTATTTACAGTTGTTAAAAATTGAGTAAATTATACTCCTATGAGAAAACTTTGGAGCATATTTCTTTCTACCTGATTTCTCAAGAATTTGAAAACTATTTGTGAGTATTCTTAACTTATGGCAGCATAGTAATTTGCATATGTGCAATAAAAATCTGTTTTCCTTTGTAACAGGACACAATTAGAGACACTGCCTGTTTTACCAGGGCTTTGACTGGAATGGCATTCTTTCAAATATAAACAGATTGCTTTAAGGAATCAAAGTTGACTTACAGAACTGATGAAAGCCTCTGGGAAAAGCTGGCCTCATACCTTGTCTATTCAATTCCTTTACAGGGTTCCTGACCTGTGGTAAGTAAAGAATGTCACTTTCTGACAGGCCTAGGAGCTCCAGTTATCTTGGGATCTCAAAAGGAGAATTCACACAACTCATACAAGTATTTGCAGGCACAGATAAATCTGTGTCTCAGCTCAAGGCTTTAGAAAGTCTAATCTGAGATTTCTTATGGAACAAAGTTACATCAAAGTCAATTTTTAAAAAGCCTACGTGGCAAATAATTATTATTGCTATGCTTTATACAAATAACCAGGCCAAGCATAATAAGACTAAAGCTTACTGTGCAAACAAATCAGTCCTACCATGATTTGTTTTCAATAGAAATGGGAGACTGGAGAGAGAAAAATTATGTTTCAGAAACTATGGTATACTTGTTATTCAACTCTAGTCCCATTCATTGTTTCGAGTTTTTTCTGCCATTTAGATTGACCCTGTTTGTTCCTATGAACCAACCAGTGATCTCTAGCTGCTGCTCAGAAGAAACAGAAGGGTAACATAAATATCTGGATCAGTATTTTAATTCTGAACATGTGTTGGAATTGGCTAGCAACCCCATATAAGCTTGGTTCCAACAACTGCCTAGTTCATGGAAAGGCTTGTTATTTAGTTTAGTTGGGATAATTATACTTATTTTGCTTTACTGTTGTAGAATATATTGCTGTGGTACTCTTTGTGTAGCAATGCAGGATAAGACTACTCAACGTTTTCTTAAATTGAACACTTATTAATCTTCCAGATATCACCTTTTGTGAGAACTCGGGAGTTAGGAATGGCCTTCACCATACTGATGCTTTCTCACTGAGCTCCTCTCTACCCTGAATAGTTACGCAAAAATATCATCACCTGTATTCAGCCAGAAGAAGCTACAGAAGATGGATCTTCATCTGTCTGCAAATTTTGGGATTAAGGGTCCCTTTGGGGGTATTGGGGAAAATATGTCAGAACTATTTAAACCAGAGCAACTCCATCTTGAATAGGGGATAGATAAAATGAGCTGAGACCACCTGTGCTCCATTCCTAAGAGGTCAGGCATTCTTAGTTACAGGATGAGATAGGACATTACAAGACAGATACAGGTCACAAAGAACCCACTGAAAAAACAGGAAGCAGTAAAGAAGCCAGCCAAAACTAAGATGGTGAGGAAATTGACCTCTGGTCATCCTCACAGCTTATCTTAGGCTATTTATAATGCATTAGCATGCTAAAAGACATTCCCACCAGTGCCATGGCAGTTTACAAATGCCATGGCAACATCCAGAACTTACCCTATATGGTCTAAAAGAAAGAGAAACCCTCAGTTCTGGGAATTCCCCACCCCTTTCCAGGAAAATTCATGAATAATCCACCCCTTGCTTAGCATATAATCAAGAAATAACCATAAAAATAGCCAACCAGAAGCCTTCAGTGCTGCTCTGCTTATGGAGCAGCCATTCTTTTCTTTCTCTACTTCTCTAATAAACTTGATTTGATCTTACTCTGTGGACTCACCCTGAATTCTTTCTTGTGTGAGATCCAAGAATCCTCTCTTGTGGTCTAGACTGGTATCCCTTTCCAGTAACACTCCAATTAAGCTTTCTTCTCTAAAAGTTAAACAGAAACCAGTGCTTCTGAAAGACTGGTATCAACCACCTGCCTGACACTGCCCCTCCCTTTTGCAGTTTCAACACAACAACAAGAATTCTTTCCTGATAAGAGACCTCTGACCACAGAGTGGTTCTGGCCAGTCTACAGAGGCTGAACACAGAGGGCTTTCGTGTCCTCTGCTTCACCTTTTGATGTATAGGCCCTAACTGTAATACATTAAATGTTAAGGCTCCACCCCAAAGTGACTTGTGATGCATGCTGCATACACGTTAGCCTACTATGTATGTGTGTGCCACCCCTTCGTGAATACTAATAGCTCCTCCTATAGCCTGTTGAATATATATACTTAGCCACCCTGCTCAGCATAAATTCCCGTTCTCTTTTCCCCTCTCTCTCCTTTCCAAATTTATGAGCCCCATCATTCTTCAGTTAACAATATTTAGGACTGCCAGAACTAGAGGAACTTCTACCACACTTCAATTATTTTCATTTGTAAAAAAAAAAAAATCTGATGCTAGTCCTAACATTTTGCATTGACTGACACCCTAGAGAAAATGTCCTTTGTCTCTTGCCTGATTTCCTTTAGTTCTAGCCAATAAACTAATGGGCAATCCATACATAGGCATTTGAAAATGTATCACTGGGGAAGCTGAAGTCCAAATTTTCTGAGACTTGCTGTAACAGGGCTAAGGGATAAATCCAGGTTTATTTGCCAGCCCTGTTCAAAGAAAAAAGATGGTATAAATTTAACACTTGATAAAAAGGCTGATCAACTCTTTTAAGTTTTTAGATAAGAATGACCTTAGAATTTAAAAGAACAGCTAAGAGAAAACTAAAGACAAAGTGGAAAAGACTAAAAGAACACTTAACACTCTTCTCTAACTTCCTCCTGTGTAAAAGAAGTGATAATGACTACTCACAGGGTTAATATAAGGATTACATTAGATAATATGTAGAGAGCGCCAGGGCTCGATATTTTTAAGCACGCAAAACTAGCAAGTGTTATTGTTTTTGCAAGAAATCATTGCTAACAGAAATGGTAAATACATTCCATATGTACAATACAAAGAGCATAAAAATGACTGTAAACATGACCACAGAACTTCAGTCAACACTCAACGTTTGAAGAGTGGAAAATGAGCATTTGGGAAAAAGACAAGAATTATCATGCCAGTTATTTGGGAAATACAGGTTGGCAAATTTGGAATCAATCCTAAATATGGATTTTAGAATGAATTATTTAAAAAGTGGTCCAGGATACTTGATAGGAAAGTACTCAGGAGGTGCTACAGTGAGTCACCCTTAGAAAGGCCATGCTTTGGCTGGGCACAGTGGCCCCCACCTTTAATTCCAGCACTTTGGGAATCCTGGGGCAGGAGAATCACTTGAGACCAGGAGTTTGAGGTGAGCCTTGGCAACATAGCAAGACCCCATCAATACAAAAAATTTAAAAATCAGCCAGGTGTGATGTCACATGCCTGTAATCCTAGACACTCAGGAGGCTGAGGTGGGAGGATTACTTGAGCCCAGCAGGTCAAAGCTGTAGTGAGCTATGATGACACCACTGTACTCCAGCCTGGGTGACAGAGCAGGACCTTGTCTCAAAAAAAAAAAAGAAGCCATGCTTTTATTTCACTTTCTGGAATGATTCCAAATCAGGAGTCGACAAACTTCAGACTGCTGCCTGTTTTTATTGCTTTTATTGGAACATGTTCATTTATTTATGAATTGTCTATGGCTGCTTTTGTACTATAAAAGCAGAGGTGAGTAGCTATATAGCCTACAAAGTCAAAAATATTTACTATTAAGACCATTACAAAAAAAGTTTGCTAATGCCTTCTCTAAGTGACAAGAAAATGCTACAGGATGGTTATTATCGCACCAGGAATGACCTCAAAACCAAGATCTCCTCACTGGCTCCTGCCTTTGACCTTGTGGTTATATCCAGTTTGGCTCAGTTGACTAGGCCTCCCACTGTGCTGGCCCTAGAATAGAAAGACAAAGAAGACCACAAAGGATGCTAATATCTGCAATGAAGATATACCCAACAACCCCAGCTGAGAAGATGAGGAAGAAGATATTGAGTCAAGTAATGAAGAGCTCACACCAAGACACTATGGTGTCAATGGAGCAGTATGTGTGTGACCGTGCAAGGTGGGGGTTGGATGCTGCTCTACTTAGTCACATGTCCCTGCCTGCTTACGTGGTCACCCTTAGAAGGAGAACTATGATAGGAATGTGAGAAATCTTTTGAACATTTTAACTATCAGTTTTCCCTTCCTTCTGGCTAATTACTATTAGCTTAGAGATATGCCATAATATCTCCCAACTAAGACACACACTCCCTTTAGCATCTATCCCATTCCAGGGAGGCGTCCATTCTCTGTCCCACTGTGCAGCAGAATTCCTCCTGACATTTATACATATTCAGCATCACAGCTACCCATTCTCTCATTCTCTCTCAAATCCCAAACACTGCAACCCCACCACCCTACTAACACATGCTTATCAAGATCACCAAGGCCTTCCACATTGACAAATCCAATACTCAGTTCTCAGGCCTCATCTCACTGTGGCAGGATTTGCCACAGCTGCTTGTGGTTTCCAGGTTCACTTGGTTTCCAGTCCACTAAACCTCTCTTGTTTTTCTTTCTACCTTGCAGGCTGCTACTTCTCAGACAGCTTAGCATTTTACAAACTCCCTTTCTTCTAAATGCTGACCTGCCCCAGGGGTTAGTCCTTGCCTTCTTTTCATCTCTATCTACAGTTCTCCCCTTAAAGATGTAATCTAGTTTCTCACCTTCAAAGGCATTTTTATGCTTAAAGACAAGAATCTATCCCTTAAATTCCAAACTCTCCCCTGAATAATAGACTTTCACATCTATAGTACCTACATGCATGACTGTTTTAACTCTTTATTCTACCCATATCACTCCAACAAACAAACAAAAAAAGACTTCTTTCTCATTCTTCTCCATCTTAGTAACTGATTACTATCCAGTTGCCATCGCCCAAAAGGAAAACAGCATCTCTTCTCTCACACCCACATCCAACCTATCAGCAAATTGTGTGAGCTGCAGTAAGTATCCTTGAATGTATGTCTTCACATGCAACAGGGGATATAACTATAACATAAATTTCTTGAAGAAAACCTACATCTTTAAGGCTCCCAAATGTAATTTTCCTGCTTTATTCAATTTACTAGTAACAGTTCTTATATTTGTTGTATCAACAATATAATAGTTGATTAACAAGAAACTGAGAGTGAAATTATATTGGCTGTGTGTGTGTATGTATATGTGTATGTTATATGATACATATACATGTTATAAAATATAGAATATAATATATAAAATCTGGTTAAATACATCAAATATAATTGTATCAACAATATAACGGTTGATCAACATTATAACCGTTGTTATCAACAATCTAATAATGGTTGATCAGTAAGAGACCAAATTTAATTTTCCTGCTTTACTCAATTTACTAGTAACAGTTCTTATATTTGTTGTATCAATAATATAATGGTTAATCAACAAGAGACTGGTTATATAAATTATGCTACTGAGAGATGACAGTGCTGGCAGCCCTCCCAGCCCTCACTCGCTCTCGGTGCCTCCTCGGCCTCGGCGCCCATTCTGACCGCGCTTGAGGAGCCCTTCAGCCTGCCGCTGCACTGTGGGAGCCATTCTCTGGGCTGGCCAAGGCCGGAGCTGGCTCCCTCAGTTTGCAGGGAGGTGTGGAGGGAGAGGCATGGGCGGGAACCCGGGCTGCGCATGGTGCTTGTGGGCCAGCTGGAGTTCCGGGTGGGAGTGGGCTTGGCAGGCCCCACATTCGGAGCGACCGGCTGGCCCTGCCAGCCCCGGGCAGTGAGGGGCTTAGCACCCAGGCCAGCAGCTGCGGAGGGTGCACCGGGTCCCCCAGCAGTGCTGGCCCACCGGCGCCGCGCTAGATTTCTCGCCGGGCCAGATTTCTCGCCAGGCCTTAGCTGCCTCCCTGCAGGGCAGGGCTCGGGACCTGCAGCCTGCCATGCCTGAGCCTCCCGCCCCCCGCCACCGCTGTGGGATCCTGTGCGGCCTGAGTCTCCCTGACGAGTGCCACCCCCACTCCACAGTGCCTGGTCCCATCAACAGCCCGAGGGCTGAGGAGTGCGGGTGCACGGCGCGGGACTGGCAGGCAGCTCCACCTGCAGCCCTGGTGCAAGATACACTGGGTGAAGCCAGCTGGGCTCCTGAGTCTAGTGGGGACTTGGAGAATCTTTACGTCTGGCTAAGAGATTGTAAATACACCAATCGGCGCTCTGTATCTAGCTCAAGGTTTGTAAATGCACCAGTCAGCACTCTGTGTCTAGCTCAGGGTTTGTAAATACATCAATCAACACTCTTTATCTAGCTAATCCAGTGGGGAGGTGGAGAACTTTTGTGTCTAGCTCAGGGATTGTAAATGCACCAATCAGCACCCTGACAAAACAGACCAATCAGCTCTCTGTAAAATGGACCAATCAGCAGGATGTGGGTGGGGCCAGATAAGAGAATAAAAGCAGGCTGCCTGAGCCAGCAGTGGCAACCTGCTGGGGTCCCCTTCCATACTGTGGAAGCTTTGTTCTCTCGCTCTTTGCAGTAAATCTTGCTGCTGCTCACTCTTTGGGTCCACACTGCCTTTATGAGCTGTAACACTCACTGGGAAGGTCTGCAGCTTCACTCCTGAAGCCAGCGAGACCACGAACCCACCGCAAGGAACGAACAACTCCAGACATGCCGCCTTAAGAGCTGCAACACTCACCGCAAAGGTCCGCAGCTTCACTCCTGAGCCAACGAGACCACGAACCTACCAGAAGGAAGAAACTCCGAACACATCTGAACATCAGAAGGAACAAACTCCAGACACGACACCTTTAAGAACTGTAACACTTACCGCGAGGGTCCATGGCTTCATTCTTGAAGTCAGTGAGACCAAGAACCCACCAATTCCGGATACGCTACCATGTTTTACAGACTCGAAAATATCTTTTTTTTTTTTTTTTTTTTACCTTTAACATGTTTGAGATCTGGACTCAGCATTCCACAATTGTTATTGGCTAAGCAGCAGTTATGGCAAAGCTGTCATTGCCAAACGTCATAGCTGTTGACACTGATGATACTTCCAGTGGCTATGGGCATTGGTGACACATGTTGAGTGTGCCATGTTAAATGTCTTTAAAAACTTATGATTTAGCACTGAGAAGAAAAGTTACTGCACAGAAAAGCTCAAAAGCAGGAGCATGGCATGTATTTGATGTTAGTGAAACAAATATTTATAAGACTATTAAACAAAAGCAAGTCAATGTTTTCTTGCAAAGCAACAACCAAGCCCTCTAATGAAACCCACAATAGGAAGAAACCTTTAAAAAGATAAAGCTGGCTGGTGGCTCACACCTGTAATCCCAGCACTTTGGGAGGCTGAGTGGGGCAGATCACCTGAGGTCAGGAGTTCAAGACAAGCCTGACCAACATGGTGAAACCCCATCTCTACAAAAAATACAAAAAGTAGCCGAGCATGGTGGCACATGCCTGTAATCCCAGCTACTCAGGAGGCTGAGGCAGGAGAATCGCTTGAACCTGGGAGACAGAGGTTGCAGTGAGCCGAGATTGCACCACTGCACTCCAGCCTGGGAAACAGAGCAAGACTCCGTCTCAATAAACAAAAACAAAAAGAAGATAAAGCAGTGTTAGCATTTGTTACAAAATTACATGCAAAAATAAAAATGCCTATCACGAGCCAAGCAATGCAACTCATGGCAGGAGAAATGGCAGATTCCCTCAGAAAACGTACACCTCAAAGAAATAAGAGGCTAGTATAACTAACTCATGAATCACTCAGGATGATCAGGGAAGTACTGCGTTGCAGTTTGATTCTCCATCTCAGTGTATAAAATAATGTTACATCTTGTAATTTATGACATTCTATATTAAATTCAGTACGGTACATATGTCCAATGGATACCCCACATCTAGGAAAATGGAAAAAAAAATAGGGGTGTATCCGTATGTGCCAAAATGAAAAGATCTCCAAGACAAATTTTAAGTGCAAAAAACAATAATACAAACAAAATTGTTCATAGTATCACCACTATTTATATTTTTTAAAAAGGAAGGTACAGATAGAGAGCCCCAAAATATTCTTCATCTATGGAAACATGACATATCAAAACTGGCACTGTAATCAGTGAGGAAAGGATAGACCACTCAATAAATGGTGATGGGACAACTTGGTCTCCGTGCAGAAAAATAAAAGAAATTGTATATGTTACTTGATAACAAAGTTCACTTTCATATGGATTTCATTTAAATGAAAAAAAGCAAAACTTTAAAAGAATGTTCTTGGAGTAAGAATTTATTTAACCTGTATGACCTTGGAGTAACAAAAAATTTCTTTAAAATGCATAAAAAGTATAAAACATAAAGAAAACTTTAACTACTTTAAAACTAAGTACTTCTGTTCATCAAAAGATATCAGTAAGAAAGTGACAAAGCAAGACACAGACACAGAAGCTAGCCACAGACTGGGAAACTATTTGCAGTACGTTTATCCAACATAGGATTTGCCATAGACTAGGAAGTTATTTGTGATATATGTATCAAAGGATTTATACCTAGAATATACAAAGATGCAAAAAATTAAAAAGACAAAAGACTTGCAAAGGCACTTCACAAGAGGACTTCTGTAGCTGGTAAACCTATGAAAAGGTACTCAACATAATTGGTTCTCAGGGAAATTAAACCACAAATAACACAAGACTGTATACATTAGAATGAGGAAAGTTAATAAGACAGTATCAGTATTGGCAAAGAAATGAAGCAAATACATACACCACTGATGGGAGAGTAAACTGGTATAAGCACTTTGGGAGTTTGGCAGTGAGACAGCCAAGTGGGAAGAAGACCCCAGAGAAACTCCAACCGGCCTGCACACTGGGAGGAGTGCACACTGGGGAGCCACAGACGGTCACACCATTCACAGTGGGGAGGAGCCTGGCCCCTCCTCTTCCTGGGTGGTACCTGGGATTCAATCTGCAAGGCAGGAAGCATGCTAGCAGGACCCTGGCTTTGTGGGGAGTCCCTGTTTCCCTTTTTTCCCAATAAGTTCCATTATTCTCACCTTTCAAATTGTCTGCGAGCCTAATTTTTCATGGCCTTGGGACAAGGACCCCATCTTTAGCTAAACTAAGGAGAAAGTCCTACAACAGCAGTATCTACTAAAGTGAAATATACATACACCCTGTGACCCAGCACTTCAACTCCTAGGTAAATACCAAAGAGAAGCAACTACATATGTCTGCCAAAATGTCCATCTGCAGTAAAAGAGAATACCATACCAGATGGGAGATGGGGGGACATAAAGAAGGAAGTGCTATAACCTCCAACGTGGTTGACTCTATTGGAGAGGGAACGGAGGCAAAGGAGAAAGGTACACAAAGGCTTTCCATTGAACCCATCATGCTCTCATCTTAACCATGTGCTGGGTCCTTAGATTTTCACTTTCACTCTTTTCTTTAAATTGTATGTTTATAGGTGTGTAATTTGTTTTAAAATTTTTGAGTAGTGGCAGAAACAGGACAAAGAATCACTGCCAATTTTGTAAAAAGAGAGATAATGTACAAACACATGTAAGGGTGTGTGTGTGTGTGTGTATATATGTGTGTGTGTGTGTGTGTGTATTTCTGAAAGGGTATAAGAAAAGCTGGCAATAGGAATTGCTTGGAAGGAGATGAATTGTAGAACCCTGGATGGAAATGAGAGTGTGAGAGTGAAAAGGAAACTTCCCATCTATTGTATACCTTTGGTTCTACTTGAATTTTTTACCAGATAATTTCTCTGCCAAAATGAAAATGAATAGTCCTAAACTTAGAAGCATTGTAATTGAACTTGAGACTTAATTGGCTGTGTGTATGTATGTATATGTGTATGTTATATGATATATATACATGTTATAAAATACATAATACAATATATAAAATCTGGTTAAATACATCAAATATAGTTGAGAGCAAGAAAGCTGATAGCTCAGAAAAGAAAAAAGTAGAGATGAAAGTAGACATAGTAGAATGAGATGGGAAAGAACTTAGTCGCCCCCATTGGGGCTATGTTTCCATGCTAACCATTCCCACTTCTTCACAGCAGTGACCGCCATCAATATGCACTCATTTAGTGGGTTTATATTATGAAAGTCTGACCCCCTGCCAGACACTGAGCTCTGTGAAAGCAAGAAGATAGTTTTTGCTCAGCACAGTATCCCTAGACTTAGTGCAGGGACTGACACATAAAAGATGTTGCGGGATGGAGGTTAAGAGAATACAGGCTCTTATTTCACCGCTTTGGACCTTACTTTCACATCCCTAAAATACTGCATAAGCACCTGCTCACAAGATTGTTATCAGGCCAAGCTCAGTGGCTCTTGCCTGCAATTCCAGCACTTTGGGAGGTCAAGTGGATCACCTGAGGTCAGGATTTCAAGACCAGCCTGGCCAACATGGTGAAACCCCATCTCTACTAAAAATACAAAAATTAGCCAGGTGTAGTGGTGCACGCCTGTAGTCCCAGCTACTGGGGAGGCTGAGGCAGGAGAATCGCTTGAATTTGGGAGGTGGAGGTTGCAGTGAGCTGAGATCACACAACTGCACTCCAGCCTGGGCAACAGAGCAAGACTCTGTCTCAAAAAAAGAAAAAAAAAAGATTGTTATCAGAGTTAGTGCATGGAAAGCACTGAGTACAGTGCCTGACAAGTGGGGTCACTTCTGATGCCAGACGACAGTGATGAGAACAGATCAAATGCCAATTTCGCCAAGGAGACCAGGCCATTCCCGAAAAGTAGCAGTACCTTCTTGGGGTGGAAGTGTAAGATGGGCCTGGGCCTTTTGCTGGGATATAATCACTTTCAATAATTCCTTGGGTTGTATGATTTTCCAGCTGTTCACTGGAGCATTGTGTGAGGTAGCAGGGAACTGGGATTCCAGTTAGGGAATTGGGATACAATGTGGAAGATGCCTCGCATCATGAACTATGCAACAGTTAGAAATGATGGACTTGATGTACACATAGTAGACTGGATAGAAATGGAACACACAGTGCTGGGCGAAAAAGAGAAGAAACACAATGAAATCTGTAGGACAAAGTCTCTTACATAAATTAAAATTACATGTATAAAAAGCGATGAGATTTTTAAAAACACATATAAGCCAGAATAATATTAATTTGATTCCTGAGAATTATTTCTAGTGGAGAGAGAGGAAATGAGAGTGGTGAATGAAGATAGAAGGGAATAAAACAAAGACAGGGACCTTATATGCCCCATGATGGAAGTACCATGAATCAGGAGCATAATTAATAACCTGGTGTACCTAAACTCCAAAGAGTAAAAAACATCCCCTGTGACAAGTTGAAATGAGCAAGAACAGCCTCAAGATGATACTCACTGGTAAGAGTGGCCAGATAATAATAAGCTGATTATAACAGGCTAAAATCAAGGCAAATAGACTGTATCTCTAAAAACAGACTCGATGTCTTAAGACACTAAAAACGGAGCTGTTAATATAAAATATATTGAGTTATGCAAATAAAACTGAATATTGTTTATAAACAGTGGAATATATATATATGTATATGTATTTCACATAGGACTATGAAAAAGAACACATTAAATGTATAGACAGTACCCAAATTAATGATTTATAAATTGCTGCTGTGCTAACTAGTCTTTAAATCTTTCAGATTCTTCTGTTCATAGAAACTAATTGTAAAGTAAAGGAAAAAGATGATCAGATGTATAAGCACAAATAGAGGCAGTGAATAAGGAAAATATTTTTCATGGGAATTGATATGATTACAGGCTGAATTGTATGTTCAATCTTAAGATTTAACAAGGTGATAAAAGGAAAAGAAAGGCATGTCTATGAAACGCACATGTCCTTAAGCTCCCTGTGGAGTGAACCAGAAATGAAGGAGTGAATCATTTGAGACAGACAAATCTCATCTCCAGCCTTTCTTCTGCCCACTCACAAAATGGCAGCAGGGTTTTAAAATGGGAGTTCTAATGAACATTTCATAATGTAAGATTTCCCAGGAAGTTGCAAATGGGGAAACTGCTTATGAGAGATGATTAAAATGTTGCTCTACATTATTCAAATTATATTGTGTGCATCCAATGCTGGTATTAACTAAATGCAGACAGCTTCTTTCTAGTTGAGCTCAACTCCAGAGATGTACTTACAGACAATCTAAGTGTAGGAGGATAAAGTTTACTGAAAAAGAGGAATTAATTAATTTCTGCATTAGCCAAAGTCAGCTTGTCTTTGAGTACATTTGAAAAAGTCACATCTGCAGGTAGCCTGCAAATCTGTGGTGGACAGCCTGGGATCTGGTCACAGTCCTGGTTGGGCTAACTCCTGACAGTTTCCAGGGCTGTCTCTAGCATCACAGATTCGACCCTTTTCAAAGACACTTATTCTCAGCCCTGGTATAGTTCAGTATTGTCTCACTCTACCACCTCCCAAATGGAGAGAGTGGGTGGGATGAAATGGGACTGACATATGCCTAAAAAGTGGAAGGCTAAGAGCAACAATCAAATGGAATTTCAGAGCTTGTGGTTGTGCATATTTCTGCTATTGACTATGGTCAAGACACCTCTACACTTACCAGAATCCCCGAGGAAATAAAGGTCTGGGTCTGTGTGTCCACATGTGTTTGTACCACTGTACCTGCATGGAGTTACTCAACAGGACGAGGTTAAAATCAGCAAAACCTGGCTTCCTTGGATGTAGTGTTGTTAAGTATCCAATATTGAACATGACAGTCATATAATTTTAGTTTCTTGTCTAGTAAAGTGAAAACTTAGAAATCATTCATGTAAATGTTTTTATTTAAATATTATGATCTGAGATTTTCTCTTAATTCCCAACTGATATGTAATCAGCAGTAGTTTAGAGCCCTCCAGACTGTAGTTTCTCTTTTAGATTTAACAACCCATAAATAAATACTTTAGGAGATACTGATTAAAATGCTGCTATAATCCTTTTTATAAATATGAGAAATCTTTTGGTAATGTGAATGATTTTACTCTCTAAACTTTTTACAAGAAGTTTATATAACATAATATCCAACAAAGTACATGGATTTAAATATTTGTGTACCATACTGATGCTATACATTCAGGTCAGTGATTATCCTGTATTATGTATTTATGTATTATAGGCTATACCTTATCCAAAAAGCTTCAGTCCAAAAAGCTTGGACTATCCCTTATCCACAAAGCTTCTGACCAAAACTGTTTTTGATTTAGGATTTTTTTCAGATTTTGGATTAATCTGCATTATGCTTACCAATTCAGCATCCCTAATCTGAAAAAATGAAATCTGAAATGCTCCAATGAGCATTTTTAGTCATGTCAGTGCTCAAAAAGTTTCAGATTTTGGAGTATTCTGAATTTCAGGTTGTTGTTTTCTTCAAATTTCCATGCACTGGTAGCCTGGTATTTTTAATTGCCAATCCCTACTCACTGGTTATATATGAACAGTTAATTAAACATGTTTCAATAATACACACTTCCATTTATTATCATCATAAATCTATAAGGATTTTAGTAATTGATTTAATTATTTATCATGAGGAACTGCACAAAAACATTAGTACAACAAGTATGTATCTATGAAGATTATTAAAAATGAAGGAGGCCGGGCATGGTGGCTCATGCCTGTAATCCAGCACTTTGGGAGGCCGAGGTGGGCAGAACACCTGAGGTCAGGAGTTTGGGACCAGCCTGGCCAACATGGTGAAACCCCGTCTCTACTAAAAGTACAAAAATTAGCTGGGCATGGTGGCACGCACCTGTAGTCCCCGCTAATCAGGAGGCTGAGGCAGGAGAATCACTTGAACCTGGGAAGCAGAGGTTGCAATGAGCCAAGATTGCACCATTGCACTCCAGCCTGGGCAACCAAGCGAGACTCTATCTCAAAAATAAAATAAAACAAAATAAAAATGAAGGATCAGTTAATTATAAAACATGTAAAGAGACAGAGCTTGGCAAACATAATGAAATATTTTAAGTCCATCCAATAGCAGAGCCACTCCCTAATTATATGGCAGTGACTGAATCTTATTTTATGTGAAAAACAATAATATTAGACTGTTATATCAGGGCCTATGGAAGTGAACTCAACACTGCCATTAGGATGAAGTTTAGCTTTCAATTATATAAATATTTCCACTTTGGTGCCATTAAAAGTTCAGCTTTCAATGACTTAAAGCACTGAAATTACTGGCAGACATATATTTCATTCCTTAACAAGGTTTGGGATGGTGAGTCCTTTAAAAGTGGTTATGAAATCTCTGGAGAGTTTGTTGAATGCAGAGTCTCTGATCCTGGCTCTAGAAATTTCGATTTGGGTCTGGGCTGGGGCCCAACACCAATGTGTCCATTGTAGAATCCTCAATGTTCTATAAACACAGCAACTACCATACCAGGGAATAGAGACTGGACACAAGTGATCAACTAGGTGTCTATAAAACCTAATACAGTAGCCTAACATAGATTTATTCATTCAAAGAAATCAAAATATCTCTTGGACATAAGACCCAGTTAATCTAACTATGAAAAGGACATGAAATAAAAACATATAGAAGTCAGCCAAAAGCAAGACAGGACCAAAAAAAAAAAAAAAATCACATAACTGACAGAGTTGAGCTTGCAATTATACTATGAAGACAATGACAGGATAGGCCCATCATAGAAACATGCAACATAAAAAGATAAGTAAAGCTAGTCATCTCTGATGAAAGAATCCCAGCAAACCTGAAGCTACTGGCACCAGTCTTCCAGCCAGTACTTCACATATCAAATGTAGCCACCACGAAAACCTAATGAATGATCATTACCAACATGAATTGCGTAACATCTGTAGGGGGCAGATCTATTTAAATCCATATACATTATTGGATGTTATTTGTATCATGTTCCTTTCTGAATCACAAGTGATGGTTTATTCTGCCTATACCATTAATTAGAAAATGATAGTTGATACAAATATACCAACCAAATATAAATAATGTCGGCTCCCCAAATGGTATTCGTTAATAAATAATGTTGACTCCCCAAATAGTATTCATTATTTCCTTCAATTCGTACCTCACAACTTAGGAAGTAGATTTTTAAAAATTATTGATTTTGAGGTCCAAAGTGTGATCAAGTACATAAGTTGATAGAGTGTATAGTGAAAGAGAACCATTCAGCAGGGCTTTTGTACTAAGGTTCTTGAATGTGGGCAGGCATCACAATCACTCACCAGATCTACTCAGAGTCTCTGGAGCTTGGATTCCATATGTGTATTTTAAATAACACCTCGGTGATTCAAATGCAAAAAGTTAAGAATTCCCTAATAGTGAGAATGATCATGACTACAAGATGGACCACAAAACCTGATTTAAGATCTTGTCTAACTCTAGATTACAGGATTTTGGCAGTCTAAAGAATTTACTGAATCATGGAATTAGATACATAGATGTTCCTCAACTTGTGATGGGGTTACAACTCAATAAACTCATCCTAAGTTGAAAATATCCTTAAGGTGAAAATGCATTTAATATACCTAACCTACCAAACATCCATCGTATCTTAGCTTATCCTATCTTAAATGTGCTCAGAACAATTACATTAGCCTATGGTAGGGCAGAATCATCTAAAAGTGTATTATTTTATAATAAAGTATTGGTTATCTCACATAATTTATTGAATACTGTACTAAAAGCAAAAAAACAGAATGGTATGTGTACTCAAAGTAAGTTTCTACTAAACTCATATTGTTTTCAAACATCATACAGTCAAAAACTCCTAAGTAGGACCATCGTAAGTTGGAGTGCAGCTGTATTAGAAAACTAGATCAAGAGGAAGAGGAGGGAGATGTAAAAAAAAAAAAAAAAAAGAAAGAAAAGAAAAATGAAAACTAGATCAATATATTTCATGAACAGTGAAACAAAAATTCTTAAAATATTAGCAAACTGAATATAGCAAGATAAAAAAATGGATTATTCACAATGACCAAGTAGGATTTAGCTTAGGAAAATAAGGTTGATTTAACATCCAAAAATAAATTGATATAATTCATTCATTAATAATGTAATAAAGTACAAAACCACATAATCATGTCAAGAGATTCAAAAAAAGCAATTGACAAAATCCAACATCCATTCATGACAAAAACTCTCAACAAACCAGGAATAGGAGTATCAGATCTTAGACTGAAAAAGTATCTCAGAATAACTGGAAGGTAGTGCTTTGAGATCAGTAACAATGTTTCAACCAACTTTAAAAAGTACTCCTTCCTATCATAAAGTTAAAAATAATATTAAAAGAAAACCAAACACTGCATGTTCTCTTATAAGTGGGAGCTGAACAATGAGAACACATGGGCACATGCAGGGAGCAGCACATACTAGGGTCTGTCGGAAGGGGCGGGAGGAGGAAGAGCATCAGGAAGAATAGCTAATGGATGCTGGGCTTAATACCTAGGTGATGGGTTGATTTGTACAGCAAACCACCATGGCTTACATTTACCTATATAACACACCTACCTGCACATGTACCCTGGAACTTAAAAGCTGAAAAAAAAAAATTCAATTATCTTAAAATGTCAAAAAACTTATGGAAGTAGATGACTTTTTAAAATTGTTCCTATTCTTTAAAACTTGTCAGAGAGACTGCAATTCACGAAATTCATTATCTAGATCCTTACACGGCTTTCGAAAGGTATCAAGGATACCAAAGAAAACACTTCGGTATTTATTCCATGGCCCTATATATCTCTCTACCTTTTGCATTCATACAGCCTAGTAGAAAACCTGGTAACCCCGCAACACTTAGTAGAGAACAGAATGGCTAGGCTATAGCAAAAGCGCTCTATCTCACACTCTCTTATTCTAAATATCTCCATATGTTCCCTATCTCTTTACCTGCCAGCCACATTCAATCTCCTTCCATCAATTATCC
Organism: Homo sapiens; assembly: GCF_000001405.40. Lineage (NCBI taxonomy): Eukaryota > Metazoa > Chordata > Mammalia > Primates > Hominidae > Homo > Homo sapiens. Next base: position 24,877,343 of record NC_000012.12, read on the forward strand.
CTCAATATCACACTCTCAAGCCACAGCTGCCTAGCAGATACCAGAGACAGGTGACAGGGTCTTCATATAAACATACTCGTCCGCTCAAAAGGCCTTGGCCCCTCCAGGCATGCCCAATCCATGCCTTTATTCACAAGGGCACCCAACCAAGAGACTGTGACCCACCAGGAAATCATAAGGTCATGTTATTTAAACCTACCATCCCAGCTCTTCAATTTCCTTCCTTAACTCCCACTGTGAACTTTATTTTCACCATTTTTCTATGTGGGAAGGGGAACCTCCATTCTCACTCCATGCCAAGTAATCCCAAGACCTCATGAAAATGAAAATTAGCAGCTCTCCCTCCCCTAAATTTTAAAACCATTTCTACCTCAGAGAAGTACTGCCACAATGGGAGGCACTGCACTTGTAAACTTAGAAAATAATGACTAGTCTTAATTGGGCAAGGCAAACAGCACTGCATTTACTCATTTATGTGCTGTCTATGGCTGCTTTAGTACTAAAATGGCAGAGTTTAAGAATCCTCTCCGGTCAGGTGAAGTGGCTCATGCCTGTAATCCCAGGACTTTGGGAGGCCAAGGTGGGAGGATTGCTAGAGGCCAGGAGTTTGAGACCAGCCAGGACAACAGAGTGAGACATCATCTCTACAAAAAATTTAAAAATTAGCTAGGCATGGTAGCACATGCCTGTAGTACTAGCTACTTGGGAAGCTGAGGCAGGAGGATCACTTGAGCCCAGGAGGTCAAAGCTGCAGTCAGCCGTGATTGCATCACTGCACCCCAGCCTAAGCGACAACGTGGGCAAAAAAAAAAAACCAGAGAGAGACCTCAAAAAAAAAAAATCATTTCCTACCTAAGGTCACAGAGATATTTTGTATTTCTTAATAAACGTCTTAGTATTTTGTCACATTTAAGTATATAATCGAATTATAATTGATTTTGGGGTATGGTAAGAGGTAGGGATCTAATTTCTTATTAGAAACTATATGGCCACAAAGCCAAAAAATATTTACTGATTGGCGCTTCACAGAAAATGTTTGCTACCTCTAATCTTGACAATCAGAAGGAAGAAGTCATTAATGATGCTACTGGGGGGCTACTGCAAACTATATGCTAGAAGTTTCAAACAACAATAAACAATAATAACTTGCCCAGCAAAGTACCCCAAAATAAAGAGTCAGTTTGCACCTCAGTTCCAATGAATGTAGGACGAATATACAGACTAGCAGATGTTGAATATGGGACCCATTCTTGATCCAATTTCACAAGCTGTTGAATACACTCTAAGAGCTCTTCTTTGTCAAATACCTGAAAGAATGAAAAACATAATAAATGACAGAATTTTCTCACAATGTGGCAATAATAAATGATCCTCACTGAAGCATTTAAACTGTTAAAAAATTAATAATCCCAACACAAAAAAATAAGAAATGTTTGAGGTGATGGATATCCTAATTATCCTAATTTTTATTTATTTCTTTCTTATTTGTCCTAATCATTACACATTATATGCATGCATGAAAACATCAGTGTACCTCATAAATATGTATAATTTATGGTACCAATAAAAAAAATTTTAAAGTAATAATAAAACCAAACAATTTTTTCTGATTTTCCCCCCAAAAATTGTGATGGGATGACGAGCTATCCACATGTGAAAGATAAGATTAGATCCCTACATCTTACCATACCCCCCAATCAATTCTAATTAGATGATATACTTAAATGTGACAAAATACTAAGACTTTATTTAAAAAGTACAAAATATCTCTGTGACCTTAAGGTAGGAAAGGATTCTTAAGTAGGAGATGTAAAACACAAATCATGAAGGAAAAAAATGGATAAAATGTGACTATTTGAAACTTAAAGACTTCCGTTCTTCAAAAGATGTAAAGCAACAAACTGGGTGAAGTTATTGGTAGCATGATCAACAAAGAATTTTAACTGGTATATATATTTGGATATCCCCAAAGTCAATGAAGAGATAGATAACCCAATAGGAAAATGGGCAAAAGCAAAGAGCACTTTATTTCTAAAGAAAAAAAAATTACATCTACTAGATGGGTGATACTTCATAAAATAATTTAGTCTCTGCTCACTTGCAAAGTAGAGAAACATACTTTCAGAGATGTGATGGGTCACCTAAGGTAGAAATGAGTCAGTCATAAGCATCTGAGTAAAGCTCATGAAGTCAGAATTTGTCTATTTAAATATTGACCTGTAACAGCAATAATAATGTAGTAATGTTATAGAAATTGGGACTGCCAATCATATAGGTGAACCCTGTAGCACCTGCCTCAGCCCCTGGTATTGCTGTCTAGAGACAGAATTCAGTGAGAAGAGAACTTGACCAGGAATAAAAACACCTGGATCTAATTTCTTGCCCTGTCCTTTTGCTCTTTGTGACTTCAGACAAGTCATTTAATCTCTCTGGACTCAAGTTTTCTTCTCTGTACAAAGGCACTAATAAACTGTACAACAAATAATCTTCTTAGCAACGCCTTACTGCTGTGATTACACAGATAAGGAATGTGAAACTACATAACACAGTTTGGTAGCAAAATTGATGTCTAACAAATATTACTTCCCTTTCCTTCCAGCCCCATTTTAAAGACTTTTCCCCAGTGATCTAGCTGTAATGAGAAGAAGAGCGAAACTATGCCCTAGTCCAAAGAATTTACCTTAATTTCCCCTCTGCTACTATATTATGGCCTCCAAAGGAGATGGGTGAAATGCGGGTTACAAAAATAGGCAGAGGAATGAAGAACACTTGGATTTAGCCGTCCTCAGGCTTCCTGAATGCATAGGTTGGGCTAAATCCCTGAAGCTGGGCACGGTGGCTCATGCCTGTAATCCCAGAACTTTGGGAGGCTGAGGCAGGCAGATCACTTGAGGCCAGAAGTTCAAGTCCAGCCTGGCTAACATGGTGAAATCATGTCTCCACTAAAAATAATTTTTAAAAAAATTAAGCTGGGCATGGCTGCGTGCACTTGTAATCCCAGATACTAAGGAGGCTGAGGCACAAGAATCACTTGAACCCCGGAGGTGGAGGTTGTAGTGAGCCAAGATTGTGCCACTGCACTATAGCTTGGGTGACAGAGTGAGACTCTCTCTCAAAAAAAAAATCTAACCCATCTTACAATGATTTCTGCTCCATAAGAAACATTGTGACAGCCACGATTCAATGGCCATGAGAAACCATTTTGATATCTTTTTATCTCAAAACATTACTTAAGATAAAATATCAAAATAATTAAGTTACTATATCTTGCTAGCATCTAAAGCAATTAGGCAAAATATCCGCAAAATACCTGTGCTGCACACCATATTTTCCATTTTCAATATTAATTTCATGTGGTCTTCAAATATTATTTTAGGTTGAGATACATTTTTCTTCCTTACTCTTTCATCTCTCACTTGCATATGAATCCCCCACAGACACTGATTTTAAAAAATTGTGGAATTGCCAAATGATATTATTTTCTTGGGTTTTTTGTTTTTTGTTTTTTTTTTTTACAGAGTCTCACTTTGCGGCTTAGGCTGGAGGGCAGTGATGTGATTATCTTGGCTCACTGCAGCCTCCACCTGCCAGGTTCAAGCAATTCTCATGCCTCAGCCACACCGATGGGACCACAGGCATGTGCCACCAAACCCGGCTAATTTTTGTATTTTTTGCAGAGATGGTGTTTCACCATGTTGGCCAGGCTTGTCTCCAATTCCTGGTTTCAAGTGATCCACCCACCTCAGTCTCCCAGAGTGCTGGGATTATAGGAGTGAACCACCGTGCCCGGCCATTTTCTTGTATTTTTACCTAACTAAAGTAGATCAGAAATAATGTTAATGTTCATATGGTTTGTACTGAATATTTATCTAACTATTCAGAAATTATTTATTTGGTGGTCAACACCGTGACCCGTTACATTAAAAGAAACACAAAAGAAACTCCTACACTTACATACCGGCAGAGTTGCCCTCACAGCAGAGCGATACATTCTATCCATGTTGAGGTTTGGCTGAAACAGTCGAATTTTATTATCTACTCCTCGAAATGCCTTCAATCCTTCAAATAACTGGAGATCAAAGAGAAAAAATCTTAGAGGGTAACCAAAAGAAAACAACCCGTGTTCAAGAGACTGACTTTCCTATGGGCGTTCATCTTATTCATCCCATAAAGCTGTTGACATTGACCTCAACTTGAGATCATTAAATCCAGGAAAGCTAACAGTTGACAGGACTGGTAAAAACAATGGTTGAGGTGGAGGAAAGTTATTTTATTATCAGAATTTGGTAGGAATTCCGAGTTCTCCTCTGCTTAGCAGGAGCCACACTGCTGAATAACACATTTAGGTGTTATTTAAGGGAGCAGGAAGAAAACATCTAGAATCACACAGCACAGGTTAATTCCCTAGGCAATGGAGATCGAAACCAAAGGCCTTGTGGCACCGTGGCCCCCAAAGAGTACCCCCATATCCTTTCATGTAATCTGGTTCATTTGAATGCTGGATAGTAGATAATCCAGATGTGACCAGAGCTGGTTCAGTCCCTAAATCACAGAAACCAGGCAGCTCAAGACCATACTATGTTAAGCCACGTCACCTCCCTCAATCAAAGTGCTGTCCTGAACAAACCACTGATCAGGGATTTGAAAAGACTTCAGTAGATACATACTGATAAATACAGAGAAAGACAAAAATCAATAATTTTAGTGGGAAAATTTAACACAGCTTCTCTAAGTAATTTATAGAACAAACAGGCTAAACCTTAGTAAAGATATGCAAGATATGAACAACAGGAAGAACAAACTTCCCTAACTGATACAGAGAACTCTTACACAGACCAGCTGTAGAATTCACATATTTTCCAAACACAAGATAAGCCAGAAATCAATACCAAAAGTTTGACTGGACACCATCCATATTTTGGAAAATAAATCCACCACTAACTAAACCATAGGTCACAGAAGAAAAATGGAAATTAGAAAATAAGTTAAACTGAACGATAATGAAAAGTAAGGCCTTTAAAGATGTATACCCTAAAAACTTACATGGGAAAAAAAGAAATACAAATCATGTATAATTAAAAAGCATAAAATTAGATGTTGTATTTAAGTGCAAATATATTATTAGTTTATTAAATATAACAGTACTAAAGCTTCGGTTAAAATATAAGTTTGTTAGATTGGACTCAGCTGACAATATCTGAATCAAAAAGACAGAAAAAGATATATCATGCAAATACTTTATTTTTTATTATTTATTTTTTTTTTTTGAGACAGAGTTGTTTTTCTCTGTCACCCAGGCTGAATGAAGTTCAGTGGCAAGATCTTGGCTCACTGCAACCTCTACCCCCTGGGTTCAAGCAATCCTCCCACCTCAGCCTCCAGAGTAGCTGGGACTACAGGCGCGCACCACCACGCCCAAGTTAATTTTTTGTATTTTTTGTAGAGACGAGGTTTTGCCATGTTGCCTAGGCTGGTCTCGAACTCCTGGGCTCAAGTGATGTGCCTGCCTCGGCCTCCCAAAGTGCTGGGATTACAGGCATGAGCCACTGCACCTGGCCTGCAAATACTTTCTAAAATAAAACTGGCAAGCTTCCATTACTATTTATAAAACAAAAGAATTTAAGCCAAGAAGCACTACTGAAGATAAAAAAGGCAACTTCAAGGCTGGGTGTGATGGCTCACGTCTGTAATCCCAACACGTTGGGAGGCCAAGGCTGTTGGATCACTTGAGGTCAGGAGTTCGAGACCAGCCTGGACAACATGGTGAAACCCATCTCTACCAAAAATATAAAAATGAGCCAGGCATGGTAGCATGTGCCTGTAGTCCCAGCTACTTGGGAGGCTGAGCCAGGAGAATTGCTTAAACCCAGGAGGCGGAGATTGTGGTGAACCAAGATCACGCTGCTGCACTCCAGCCTGGTGACAGAGTAGCAACTTCCTAAGGTTCAATTTAAACTTCATAATTTTAAAACTATACATACTTAGAATGGCTACTATCAAAAAGATAAAAGATAAGTATTAGTGAGGATATGGAACCCTTGTATACTGAGGGTAGCGGTGTAAATTAGTACAGTCATTACTTTTTGAGATTCTTCCCAACACTAAAAATAGGGCTGAGTGAGATGGCTCATTCCTGTAGTTCCAGAAATTTGGGAGGCTGAGTTGGGAGGATGGCTTGAGGTCAGGAATTGGAAGCTGCAGTGAGCTATGATTGCACTGCTGCATTCCAGCCTAGGTGCTAAAAATAAATTAATTAAACTAAATTAAATTAAAATTAAAATTAAACTACCATATGCTTCAGCAATCCCACTTCTGGGTATATATCCAAAAGCAGCAGTCCCCAACCTTTTTGGCACCAGGGACCAGTTTTGTGGAAGATAATTTTTCCACAGGGATGAGCGTGGGGAGTCTTGCAGAGTGCAATCATTCTACCTCAGATCATCAAGCATTAGATTCTCATAAAAAGTGCACCACCTAGATTCCTGCAATGCACAGTTCACAATAGGGTTCACACTCCTATGAGAACCTAATGCTGCCACTGATCTGAGATGAGATGGAGCTCAGGTGGTAATGCTCACTCGCAGCTGCTCACCTCCTACAGTGCGATCCAGTACCTAACAGGCCACACATACCACTGCTGTTCCATAGCCTGGGGTTTGGGGACCCTTATCCAAAGGAATTGAAATCAGCATGAGGTATCTGTGCTCTCATGTTTATTGTAGCATTATTCACAATAGCCAGGATACAGAAGCAACCTAACTGTCCATCAACAGATGAATCGATAAAGAAAATGTGGTATGTATACATGATGGAATGTTATTTAGCTATAAAAAAGAAAATTCCATCATTTACAATGACATGGGGAACCCGTTGGACATTATGCTAAGTGAAACAAGACAAGTACAGAAAGACAAATACTGCACGATTTCACTCATATGTGGACTGAAAAAGTCAAACTAATGGAAGTAGAGAGTAGAATGGTGGTTACCAGAGGAGGCTAGGGGTTGGGGAATTGGAAGATGTTGGTCAAAGGGAACAAAATTTCAATTAGGAGGAATAAGTTTTTGAGACCTATCGCACAGCATGGTGACTGTAGTTAATAATAATGTATCATATATTTCAAAATTGCTAAGAGATTAAATTTCAAATGTTCTCACCACAAGAAATGATAAATATGTTCAGTGATGAGTATGCTAATTAGCTTGATTTAGTCACTCTACAATGTAAACATATATCAAAACACTACATCGTACCCCATAAATAAATACAATTATTTGTCAATTAAAAATTTAATAAAAATTGTATGCACTTAATGACATGGCTTCAAATACATGTAAAGAGTATGATAATCTCATTCAGTATTATAGATATAAGATATACAAAAGGCTAATACAACATGACTAAGTTGAATTTATCCCAGAAATGGAGATTGGTTTAACATTTAAAAAAATCAATTAATGTGATTCATTATATTCACAGTTTATGGGAGGAAAAAAACTATATGATCATCTCATTAGATGTAGCAGATGTATCTGATAAAATCAAACTAACTTTTCTGATTTTTTAGTTTCCTAGATAACTAAAAAACAAAGATAACTTCCCTAAGTGACAAAGGATAGCTATAATAAGCTCGCAAACGTTATACTTAATGGTAAAATGTAAAAGCTTTCCTTATCAAATTGGGAACATCGCAAATTGCCTACTGCAATCACTCTAACTGAATATGTACAACCAGTATAAAGCAAGAATAATGAAATTTAAAATATCAGCTTGGAGATGAAAAAATATAACTGTCATAGATCATAAAACATAGATGATATGATTACAGAGATAGAGAACACAGAAAATCTGACAGATAATATTTTGAAATCATCTGTTTAGGCAAGCTGGCCAGATGCAAAATTATATTCCTATGTAATAGCAGCAGTTAAAAAATAAAAACACTATTTACAGTAGAATTAAAAGATACAGTACTTAGGTGGAGAAAAATCTAACAAAAGAAGTGAAAGATCCATAAGGAAAATATAAAACTTTACCAAGTTATTAATGTAGAAAGCAATTTCATGCTCATGGATAAAAAGCCTCAATATTATAAAGATGTTGATTTTCCCCAAACTGATTTATGTATTCAATGTAATCCAAATTAAAAAAAATCACATTAGGGCACTTTATTTTCTTTTAAAAAACTGCATGACAAAAGTTTATCGACTTGATAAACCAAATCTAAAAATTATATGGAAAGAAAATGACCAAGAATATCCAAGGCACTCTTGGAGAACAAAGTAGAAGGACCCTTCCTAGCAGGCAAGGCTCATTATAATGACTGAGAAACCAAGACTGTGGCATTTATGCAGACAAGTAAAACAACTGAACACAAATAGAGATCCAGAAGCAAACTCATGTGTACATGACAAAGGTGTCATCATGACATATCAGAGGGGAAAGTACCGCCCGTTTAAATGGTGCTGGGAAAACTGGGTATACATAGGTGGAAAAAAATAAATTGGGCCCTTACTTCATACAAAAATCAACTTCTAGGATTAAAGACCTAACTGTGAATGACAATATCAATACTATAAGATATCTTTATAATATAAGGGCAGGAAAAGAGTCTTTAAAGACACAACAAATTCCAAACATAAGGCAGATTGACAAAACTGCCTTTAATTTAAACATATTTCTTGTCATCAAAAAATTATAAAGACAGCAATAAAAAAGTGAACAAAAAACTTGAACAAGTGGGCACTTCAAATAAGAACATATTTAGCAACCCAATAAACATATGAAAAGGCGAGCTGGGAACCGTGGCTCACGCCTGTAATTCCAGCACTTTGAGAAGCTGAAGCGAGAGGATTGCTGGAGCCCAGGAGTTCGAGACCAGCCTGGGCAACATGGTCAGACCTTGTCTCCACAAAAAATTTAAAAATTAGCTGAGCATGGTGCTGCACACCTGTGGTCCCAGCAACTAAGGAGGCTGAGGCAGGAGGATCACTTGAGCCCAGGAGGTAAAGGCTGCAGTGAGCTGCACCCCAGTCTGGGTGACACAGCAAGACCTTGTCTCAAATAAATAAATAAAAATCTGCCAAATGGCCAAATCTGCATTCATATTCATACTTTGTTATTTCAAGTAAAAACGGTGCTCGATGAAAAAAGTAGTTCCACTTACAAACTCAAGACAATCACACAACTCCTTTTTCTTCAGACAACCATAGTACTTAAGTATGTAAAAGCACTTTATGTGACATTGCTATTTTATCACACAGAATATTAAAATGACATTTGCTCAAGAGCCAAGATTTAATAAAATTAATAATTGTTACTGTTTCACCAAGAATATTCTGAGGGAAAACTGTTATTCTTTTTATACTGCAATGGATGGCAGTAAAGAACATAATGACTGAGCCAGCACTTTGGGAGACCAAGGACAGAGGATCTATTGAGGCCAGGAGTTCAACACCAGCCTGGGCAACATAGTAAGACCCTGTCTCTTAAAAAAAAAAAAAAAAGAGGCCGGGCATAGTGGCTCACATGCCAACATGGTGAAACCCAGTCTCTACTAAAAATACAAAAATTAGCCAGGCATAGTGGCACGTGCCTGTAATCTCAGCTACTTGGGAGGCTGAGGCAGGAGAATCGCTTGAACCCAGGAGGTGGAGATTACAGTGAGCCAAGATCACACCACTGCTCTCCAGCCTGGAAGAACGAGAGAGATGCTAGCTAAAAAAAAAAAAAAAAAAAATATATATATATATATATATATATATATATAAAGCTGATAAGCCCCTCGGGTTTATCATCCCAAGAGCAGACACCACTAGTAGGGTACCCAGGCCTAACTCCAAAGGACAGGCAAAGGTCATCTGCCTGCAGGTGGTATGGGTACCTATGCAGTGTCTGGAAGACCCCTTGTAGCACAGGGCAGAACTGGGATGGGAACAGATATGGAGTGGACCATGTCATCTCTGTCTATACTTAGGTCCCAGGCCCCACAAATGTTAGGTTGGTCCTTCCTGGTTAGATCTTACATAATACTAAGCTCAAACAATAAGGGGTATTCACACGTGTGCAAGCACACACACACACATGCACACAAACACAAAATATATACATTTTTTCATTTACATGAAGTTCAAAAAGAGGCAAAACTATAGTGTTAAGAATCTACACACTCCATAAAGGAAAGCAAAGAAAGGTTATCACAAAAGTAAGAATAATGGTTACCAGTAGAAAGATAGAGTTTGTGATCTGAATGGGACACGCGAGGGCTTCTGTGATGTTCAACTGTTCTATTTCTTTATCTGGATGGCAAATATGAGCATTCATTTATTAGTACACATTAAATAGTACATACATGTCTTATCCATTTTTTAAAATTATGCTTTATTTCACTAAATATTTGTTATAATCTGAAAATGAAGTGCCTATTATCAACTTTTCATTTCCTTCAATCCGCGTTCCCTACTCGCAGTTTGCGTCTCTCCTCCACTATTTGAAACCTTCAAATATTATCACTATTTGAAACTTTCAGATATTAAAAATTACTTTCAGATATTAACAGAAACCACATGTAGTTGGAGCTCTCAAAATAAAATGGATTCTAGACTCAATAGGTCCGATGAGTGAAGGAGAAACATGTTCAAGGATATTACTCCTATTTAATTTTGCATTTAAAAAATGAAACTATTATTGAACTTAAAAGTCAGGTTGACATTCAATCATGTGATGTCCTAAGTCTGTCAGTCTAAGAGAAACAGTAATATCTATGAAAAAGCCTGAAACATAAATGGACTAGATGTTTCACCACAATATTTGGGAAGAAACTCTTTGAAATTAAATCCCTGCCTAACTTTCCATGTGGGGGTTAAAAAAAAAAGACAGAAAACAGGCCAGGTGCAGTGGCTCATGCCTGTAATCTCGGCACTGAGGCAGGCGGATCACTTGAGGTCAGGAGTTTGAGACTAGCCTGGCCAACATGATGAAACCCTGTCTCTACTAAAAATACAAAAATTAGCCGGGCATGGTGGTGGGCACCTATAATCCCAGCTACCTGGGAGGCTGAGGGAGGAGAATCTGTTGAAGCCAGGAGGTGGAAGTTGCAGTGAGCTGAGATCAGGCCACTGCACTCCAGCCTGGGCGACAGAGCAAGACCTTGTCTCAGAAAAAAAAGAAAGAAAGAAAACAATTCTTTGAGAGCAAGGTCATGGTTGGTTTGCTTGCCATCCTATTCCAGGCACCTTGCACAGCCCTGGGCACATAGTAGCCACTCAACATTTATTAAACAGGTAAACAGGGAATGAAATGAATATGATTAGTGAGAAAATCCAGGGACCCTGAAGTTCTCTCCAGAAGGCAATCACACTTCCTAGATTCCTATGACACTATAATAATGATACAGGAGTTAAGAAATCACCTGCAGATAGTGAGGGTACAAGAGTCCTCAGTAAGGTTTTTGTTTTAATGAAAAGCAGCCCCTTTCTAAAGAAGAGCAGCCTGTAAAATCAAGCTGCAGACATAGATATCCACAGCTGCGTCAATCATGTTCAAGATGGCGGCTCCATCTTCCCTTCTCTTTGTCAGCCACCTGTACAGTAAGGAGCAGACAAGATAGCTCCAATCAACTAGGAAAGTCCATTTGCATAAAAGGATTAGGGTGGGGCAACCAGACTTCCCGGTGTGCTATGTAAACGTCATACCTGATCAAACCAACCTGTTAGCCCTAAGTAAATCAGACACTTCCTCCTCAAACCTGACTATAAAATCCAGCTCATCTGCTGCTGGATGGTCTTTTCCCTCGAAGATCCCTCTCTCCCTACAGAAAGAACTGTTTCTGTTTCTCTTCTGCCTATTAAACCTCCACTCCTAAACTCCTCGTGTGAGTCCTTGTCCTAAATTTTCCTGGCACAAAATGACGAACCCCAAGGTATATACCCCAGACAACGTAGCCACTTCAATAATATCTGGCCTGTGAAATCTTAGAACCCAATTTGGCACTCAGAGGAAAACAATACATCCACCATATCTCCCCATTTATCACTGATGTCTATTACAGACTGTATTTTCCATGAAATGGCCGAACAATATTTCCAGTCCCCCATGCTCTTCCAGAACCCTGACCTTCCTCATCAAGAAGTGGAGTGCTTTTTTCCTCCTTTTGAACTTGGACAGGCCTTTGTAACCATCATGACTGATAAGAGTAAGGCAGAAATAATACTGTGTGATTTACAGTTCCTGGCTGGTAACTCCCATAGCCCTTGTTACAGTCTTTTGTTATAATGCTGGGTGTGTTAGGCCTCAGGGGCAGGAAGCAGAATCTCTCTGACCTTCTCCTGCCCTCCTTTCTAACTGTGAGTCTTAAGATCCTCTCCAAAGGGGCTGGGTGGCTCATGCCTGTAGTCCCAGCACTTTCGGAGGCAGAGGCGGGAGGCTTACTTGGGCCCAGGAATTCAATACCACCCTAGGCTACATAGCAAGACCCCATCTTATATTTTAAAAATAATGAAATAAAATAAAAGACCCTCTCCGGTGAAGGTCCTGCCTCATACCCCAGGGGAAGGAATATTGACGTGAAGCTTCCATAAAAACCCAAAAGAATGAGTTCAGTGAGCTTCCGGATAGCAGAACACATGAAGGTTCCTAAAGGGTGGCACACCCCGGGAGGGCATGGAAGCCCTGCACTCTATCCCCCGATACCTCACCCTACACATCGCTTCATCTATACACTTTGCAGTATCCTTTATAATAAACCACTAAACCTAAGTGTTTCCCTGAGTTTTGTGAGCTGCTCCAGTAAATTAATCAAACCAGAAGAGGGGGTCATGGGAACTCCAACTTGATGCCTCTCAGTCAGACATTCCAGAGGACAGGACTTGTGACTTGTGTCTGGGCCAGGTGAGGGTGGTTAGGGTCTTGGGGAATGAGCCCTTAACCCATGGGATCTGACACTATTTCCAGGTGGATAATGTCAGAGGTGTTTGGACCAGAGCGACTCCATCCTGATTAGGGGCTGGGTAAAATAAGGCTGAAACCTACTGGGCTGCATTCTCAGGAGGTTAGTATTCTAGGTCACAGGATGAGATAGGAGGTCGGCACAACATACAGGTTACAAAGACCCCACTGATAAAACAAGATGTGGTAAAGAAGCCAGCCAAAACCTGCCAAATCCCATATGGCAATGAAAGGGATGTCTGGCCGTCCTCGCTGCTCATTATAAGCTAATTATAATGCATTAGCATGCTAACAGACACTCCTACCAGTGTCACGACAATTTACAGAGGCCATGGCAATGGTGGGAAGTTAACCTACAAGGTCTAAAAAGGGGAGGAACCCTCAGTTCCAGGAATTGCCCATCCCTTTTCTGGAAAATTTATGAATAATCTACCCCTTCTTTAGCAAATGATCAAGAAATAACCATTAAAATAGCCAACCAGCAGCCCTCGGAGCTCCTCTGTCTACGGAGTAGCCATTCTTTTTTTCCTTTACTTTCTTAATAAATTTTATTTTACTTTGTGGACTCTCCCCAAATTCTTTCTTGTGCAACATCCAAGAACCTCTTGGGGACTGGATTGGGACACCTTTCCCGTAATAACAGTGTGAGAATTGAATTGGAGGACACCCAGCTGGGGTTCACTGCTTGGTGGTGGGGAGAAATCCCTACACCTTTGATCATAGAAGTCTCCTATGTTGACTATTGTTGTGGTGGTGTGAGAGTAGAGGAAAAACTCGGTTGGAGAATTTTTCTTGAAAGAGTAGTTTTGAGGCTAGGGCGTAAACAGCAATAGAGCTTCCATCTGGGCTCAGTCAACTGACACATACAGATTTTGGGCCCTAGGTCAGCACATAAGAAGGCTGCCTACTCTGTGACTGCCATCCTGAGGAGACCACATGGAGAACAAGTAATGCCGGAAGAGCCTTCAACTCCTTGAGTTTTGCAGCCCAGATGGCAATGAAAGTGACCTCTGGTCATCCTCACTGTTCATTATACACAAATTATGAAGCATTAGCATGCTAAGAGACACTCCCTCCAGCACCATATGAGTTAGGAAGCCTGTGAGCTGACTCTAACCCCAGCCACTGACAGCAACCGTGTGACGGACCCCAAGCAAAAACCACTTAGCCATCCTAGTCAACCCCAGAAACATGAAAAATAATTTTAAAATGACGCTTGTAATTTTAAGCTATTAATTTTGTTACATAGTGGTAACCATGCAATATACAATCCAGTTATTAATACAAAACATTTATTTTACTTATATTGTAAGCAGAAGACTAATAATAAAAGATTTTGGTTTTTAACAAAGGATAACAGTAATTTGAGAGTTTTTTTAAACTACCCTAATTACAAAAATCTAAATTGGCAAAACCAATCAAAGTAGCATTCCAACTCATCTAAATAGATGGCCAAAGAGGTTTTTGTTTTTTTTTTTTGAGATGGAGTCTTGCTCTGTCACCCAGTGTGGAGTGCAGCGGCGTGATCTCGGCTCACTGCAAACTCCGCCTCCTGGGTTCACGTCATTTTCCTGCCTCAGCCTCCTAAGTAGCTTGGACTACAGGCGCCTGCCACCACGCCCGGCTAATTTTTTTTTTTTTTTCTATTTTTAGTAGAGATGGGGTTTCACCATGTTAGCCAGGATGGTCTCGATCTCCTGACCTCGTGATCCGCCCGCCTTGGCCTCCCAAAGTGCTGGTATTACAGGCGTGAGCCACCTCGCCTGGCCGTTTTTTGTTTTGTTTTGTTTTGTTTTGTTTTGTTTTGTTTCAATAGAGTCAGGGTCTCATCATGTTGCAGCCCAGTAGGTCTCAGCCTTATTTTACCCAGCCCCTATTCAGGATGGAGTCACTCTGGTTTGAACGACTCTGACATTATCTACGTGGAAATAGCATCAGATCCCATGGGTGGAGGGCTCATTTCCCAAGAACCCCATCTCCCCGAAACTGCTGAAATTACAGATGTGAACCACCCCACCCAGCCTTCAAAGAGTTTTCAAAAACCAGTGACCACCAAAATCTTTTTTAACTTCCAAAAATGACATTAAATCATTTCTCATTTACTTCCCATAGGCCAGCAATTCCCAAAATGTGGTCCCTGGAGCGACAAAATTAACATGATCTGGACACTTGTTAGAAATGAGAAACTCTGGAGATGTAGCCAGCTGATTCTGATGCACATTAAGTTTGAGAACCAGTGACCTGGGCTTGGGCATATTATTCCTTTCAAATTTAAAAGCACATAGCCAGGAGCAGTGGCTCATGGCTGTCATCCCAGCACTTGAAGAAGCCAAGGCAAGAGGATTGCTTGAGCCCAGGAGTTTGAGACCAGCCTGGGCAACATGGCAAAACCCAGTCTCAACAAAATATGTAAAAATTAGCCAGACATGGTGACATGTGTCTGTGGTCCCAGCTACTCAGGAGGCTGAGGTACGAGGTTTGCTTGAGCCCAGGAGTTTGAGGCTGCAGTGAGCCACGATCGTGCCACTGCACTCCAGCCTGGGTGACAGAGCAAGAATCTGTCTGAAAAATAAATAAATAAAAGCACTTCATTTCACCTGTTCTTTATTATACCTTATGACATGGTGAGGGCTTGTGGCAAATAATGAAAGAACTCATTCAAATTGACATAACAGGAAGAGCTGGGAACAGAAACTTAGATTCCTAAATTCAACATTTTGTGGATACATATGGACAGTGAATATCTTTCCAAAATTATATGAATTTATAATTTTGAAGGAGTTAATTGCAAAAGCATCCTAGTAATTTTGGTGTATACATGTAGGGGCTATATAACAGAAAGAAGCTTCTCATTGGAACCTTAGCTCCACCCTTACTGCTGTGTAATATTAGTCAAGAAACAACTCTTCTGAGCCTCCTTTTATAATGGATGAGACCACTGCTTCAAGAGTTAATTATTATTGCTAACAACTGGGCTCTCGCTATGCACCAGATATGACTCTATATGCTTAGATAAATTACTTTATTTTATACTTATGAGATCACTGTAAGATAGATATTATAACTACCCCAATTTTATAGATAAAGAAATTAAAGCACAAATGATTAAATTCCTCAAGTCATAAAGGTTCCTATGGAGCAAATGAGACCGAATTTGAGCCCAGGATGTCTGACTTCAAAGCCTGAATGCTTAATCACATGCCTTCTCACTTAAGGTAATTAAATGAGATGATTCATATATGGAACATAATACAGAACGTATTGCAGGAATTCAGTAAACAAAAGTTGTTATTTTATCATTAATCTATTAATATTTTACTATTACCATATTTTAGCACTTAATAGGAAGACTATTATTATTTCCAGCACCCCTATTATTCTGGGAAAGATGTCCAAATCATTCAAAAGTAAAATACAATGAGAATCAAGACAATGGGAAGTATACTGTGCATCTGGTTAATTGTGCACCCTGAAAAGGACCAGAGAAAGAATTCTTTAAACATTTTATGCTTAAAATTATTTCAACTCATGGCTGAAGGAGGACATTTAATTACATGTCCCTTAACATGCATAACTAGACATTATTACTGGTCATAAAAATGTGGAGTTAGCATTAAAATCAAATCATAATATTGTTCTCAATGACCCTTTCTCAATTATTAGAAGATCTAAGAAGAAAGGTGACTTATTAAATTATCAACAGTGCTGGCTTTTTAATTGCCAATTTTCCCACCAGCTGTCCTTTCTATTTGCTTTAAATAATTTTTTTATTGACGTCACAGAAAATGCAAGATTATCTGAAAAATTAGCTGCTAAGATTTATCTTCAATCCAACTGTCTATAGGAAAACTTTTAAAGACATTTTCGGCTTCCTCTGGTAAATATGATAAAGCCCATACTGCCCAAGAGCTATTTTAGCAGGAGAAGCTACTTAGTACCCACAGTGAAGTGCAAGCATGTCACTCTCTTTAATTCCCATGTACTTACTTCCACTGCATAGTGCAAAGCTGATGAGCCAGGGTGCAATGACAGGTTCTGAAGAGGCTTGATATGAGGTTTCTCCCATCCAAACTCTGAGGACCACTCCACCGTCAGCATATGATCCGTGAACACAGTTCCAAAAACCAGATTATTGGGGTCTGGTTTTTCCTTTAAAATGGTAGCTGGTGTGACTATTAGGTCTTTAGCCTGGGGAAGAAAAATCATCACTATTTACAGAAAAGCTACTGAGCATTCGCTGGCTAGATTATACAGAGGGGAAAAAAAAAAAGGAAATCAATTGACTTTTAAAGGTTAGCAGCTAACACAGAAATTTAACACTCTGAGCTGAACAAATCATGCCTGCATTCAGAATTCGGCCAGTTATTCATAATCTCTGCAATGTACACTGCCTAATAGAATATCAGAACCAAATTTCAGTGATATATAGAAGAGGGACAAAATAGCAGATGGGGTAAGATGATGCAAAAAAAGAATACAACCCTTTTTCACTCTCACCATAGGACTCATGTTGAGTATTTGGGAAAGATGAAAGAGATGTTTTCCCTAATAAAAAATGGCAACACTCACAATGATTTGTTAAACTAAAATGAATGTCATTAAGTACTGAACTGCTATTTAGCAATGGTTACACTCCAACTGCCCCAAAGAATTGTTGGCATAAGCCTTCAAAATCCTCTGGGTGCACTGGAGAAGAAATGAGCAAAGTGAAGCAAATGTTTTCCTCTTTGAAAACAGGAAAGTTGAGAATGAACACTAAGATATAAATCCTCTGTTCTGTGTGGAGGAAACAGTGAACAAAGGAACTCTTATTTAAACAAAGATAAATCAGAGTAATAGGAAACAACTCCCCACAAGCAGCATCTCACCAGCTCCCGACATAGCCAGTTTGCCCACTGCAAATGGCCAAACATTAAGCGTACAAATTGCATGCGATACCACCACTAACTTTATAGCATCTGTGGAATGCTGACAAAAACACAGGAGACCAGCACTTTGGGAAGCCGAGGCATGCAGATCACAAGGTTTGGAGATTGAGACCATCCTAGCTAACATGGTGAAACCCCGTCTCTACTAAAAATACTAAAAATTAGCCAGGCGTGGTGGCATGCACCTGTAGTCGCAGCTACTCAGGAGGCTGAGGCAGGAAAATCACTTGAACCCGGGAGGCGGAGGTTGCAGAGAGTCAAGATCGCACCACTGCACTCCAGCCTGGGAGACAGAGCAAGACTCTGTCTCAGAAAAAAAAAAAAGAAAAGAAAAGAAGAGAAAAGAGAAGAAAAAAAGAAACACAAGAGAAGGAACTTTTTGATCAGTTAAAAAAACAGGGGCAAGTTCAACCTGTAACAGGTTGTGAAGGGATGTCAAACTCCATCTCTTTGAATATACAAAAAAAGTCTTTTCCCTCCCAAATTAAATACAGACCTTCACTTTACATCATCAGCTCTTATCATTATTTTTAAAATGATCTAATTCTGTTTAATTCACTGCCTTGCAGCTACGTGAGTCATTTGATATATTATGAATGATAGTAAATTGTATTTTTAGAATAATATTCAGGCTGAAAACATATTCCAAAACAAACAGAAAGCTCATATTACAGTGACACAAAAGGCATTAAGGACAGAATATTACTGTAATGTTCAGGCTAGTCTAGTAATGCTACTTTGTAATATGCCAATAAAATGCCAAGTTTCAATAAAAAATTGACTTTGTTCTACCATTATTATTATTATTTTGTATTTTTTTTAGAGATAGGGACTCACTATGTTGCCCAGGCTGGTCTCGAACTCCTGGGCTTAAGCAATCTGCCTGCCTCGACCTCCCAAAGTTCTAAGATTACAGGCATGAGCCACTGTGCCCAGCCTGTTTTACCACTATTTAATTCAAGTAAAAACGTTAATTTAAGACTTTTTACTAAGTATAATAAGTTTATTTAAAGAAATATATTCCAGCTAAATTATTTTTATCTTTGAATCCCTTTTCTCTCCCGTTGTCCTCTGGACTAGGTAGGGGGTCAGGCAGACTTTACTTGCAGACCAAATGCAGCCAGCTGGCCTGTTTTGAAATTAAAATGTTATTGGAACATAGTCACGCCATTCTTGTATCTTCAGTGGCAGCACAGCCAACTAGTTGTAACAGAAACCTGATGGCCCTCAAGCCTAAAATATTTATCATCTAGCCATTTAAGAAAGTTTAGCAGGCCGGGCACAGTGGCACACCCTGAATCCCAACACTTTGGGAGGCCGAGGCGGGTGGATCACCAAAGGTCAGGAGTTTGAGATCAACCTGGCAAACAGCACAACCCTGTCTCTACTAAAAATACAAAAATTAACTGAGTGTAGTGGTGGGCGCCTGTAATCCCAGCTACTTGGGAGGCTGAGGCAGGAGAACTGCTTGAACCTGGGAGGCAGAGGTTGCAGTCAGCAGAGACACACCAGTGCACTCCAGCCTGGGCAATAAGAGTGGAACTCCATCTCAAAAAAAAAGAAAGAAAGTTTAGCAACCCCTATTCTGGACTATTTAGACAAGAAGTCTGGCTAGAGTATTCACAGTTGAATTCCAAAGCTAACACAGTGCCTAGCACACAGAATAGTAAAGGGTTTCTTAAATACTGAAGATGTCTGGCTGCTTTCAGATACACTCACAGAAGATGTCCAGGATTTAAAGAGAGTGAAATTCTAACACAAACTTTTTATTACATGAATAGTTTCACAGTATTCTTGCACAATAAACACCTGTGATTTACCTTAGTTAGCTTTTATCAGTGAATGGGGAGGACCCTGGGCTAAGAAACATTTGGAGCCATATCAATACAGTACGACAAACTTAATGCAAATTTTCTTCTACTAAGACTACTTAGTAAAAGGGGAAGGGTAGTAAAACACAAAACAAAAACAGAAAGATGAGAGTGGGTGACAAGAATGATTATGATCCAGTATATATAATTTTTAGTTTTCTGAGACCTCTCCTTAAAATACCCATAGGACCCACAATAACCCACTAATCCAGAGAGATCAAATTAGCGGCAAAGCAGGGATAGAATAAGGTAATTTTTAACCTCAAATAAGTGTTCTTATAATTAGAACTTCATAATATCAGTTAAATTTCTGACAATTAAAGATAAATTATTACATTTCTAGGTATGACTTCTATTTCAGTAAACTGCTACATTCTTTCGTAAGACACATTATTTCTTAATGATATGAATAGCAACCTCTAACTTTCTGATTTGTACCTAAGCACTGCCCTGTATCCAGTTTTGTTTTGTTTTGCTTTTTCTTTTAGATGGAGTCTCACTCTGTCACCCAGGCGGAAGAGCAGTGATGTGATCTGGGCTCACTGCAACCTCCGCCTCCCAGGTTCAAGTGATTCTCCTGCTTCAGCCTCCTGAGTAGCTGGGACTACAGGCATGTGCCACAACACCCGGCTAAGTTTTGTATTTTTGGTAGAGATGGGGTTTCACCATGTTGACCAGGCTGGTCTCGAACTCCTGACCTCAGGTGACCCACCCACCTCGGCCTCTGAAAGTGCTGGGATTACAGGTGTGAGCTACCGCGCCCGGCATATATCCAGTTTTTCAAAGTAATATACGATTAGGTGGCTTCAGAATCTCATCATGAACTTTTCTCTACTTGAAAAAAAAATTCTGCAACTCTGAAAACTAAAAATAACAACTTTTAACCTGAGCTCAAAGAGAAATTACCTAAGAATACTAAATTACTAGGTGATAGAATTGAATAAAGTTCAAACGTAAACAAGCAATATTAGCTGAAGACATGTGACTCGTTTGGGGCAGATATGAAATGTAGTTTTAAGGGAACGATTTGTTTCCTAAAGGAAACAAATTTTATAAACAATTTTTATCAGTGTTCTTTAAAAAGTATTTTCTTTTTCTAGATTTCCTTTCCAAAGATAAATAAAAATAATATTTTGTCAAATGATACTTTCTTCTGCATAATTAATCTGTCTCTTTCCAATGCTCCACATTCCCTGATGACATCGAAGTCAGGATGTTTCACATCATATGTTTGTGGAAGAATTGGAATGCCACAATAACTGATTGTGAAATGGCAAGAAATATTGAGAAAAACAGGGCATATTAAAAACAACTTCCTAATTCAAAGTTTGCAGTTGGGTAATCATTTGTTCTGAAATAGGGAGGCTCAGGGCAGGGAAGTGTAAATTTGTTGAAAGCACCTGAAAACTGTTTCAGCCAGGGTTCAGTCAACACTTTTTTTTTTTTTTTTTTTTTTTTTTGCTCTGTTGCCCAGGCTGGAGTGCAGTGGCACAATCTCGGCTCGCTGCAACCTCCGCCTCCCCGGTTCAAGCAAGTCTCAAGCCTCAGCCTCCCAGGTAGCTGGGATTACAGGCATGTGTCATCGCACCTGGCTAATTTTTGTATTTTTAATACAAACAGGGTTTCACCATGTTGGCCAGGCTAGTCTCAAACTCCTGACCTCAAATGATCCACCCACCTCAGCCTCCCAAAGTGCTGGGATTACAGGGGTGAGTCACCATGCCAGGCCTGTCAACACCTTTTGCTCACCATCGTATAGCACATTTGCTCTTCTCTTCATTGGCCACATTTTTCAAAAATCAAGTCTGTATTACAACTGTATCAGACATTTAATAACTTTATTCTAGGTTCTTGTGCATTATTCTTACTCCATTTGGAAAGCCTTAGGCACTATGTTCATCTTTTGGAGATACTCTTTTAAAATCTAATAAAGAGGATCATGAAGAGAACTGCAGATTTGCAGTGTTGCATTCTGTGGAGATATGTGAAGCTGGAGGAATTGGAAGAAATAGATGGCTGACCTCTTGCAAATGAAGAGGATCCTAGAGTCCACAGAAAGATTCGCCAGGATGTGTAACAACGTATCTCATTGCTAGGCCCTGCTGCAAAACTGCATCCTCATGTAATATGACTGCATCATAAATGGGGAGGGGAGAAGAAATACGAAAACTACCCAAGAGAGACCCAAAAGGCCATATGAAATGTTATAAATGATGTAGATTAACAAAAAGGTAGAGAAATATGTCAAAAGCAACCACAGTTAGAATGGTTATTATTAGAAAGACAAAAAATAACAGATGCTGATGAGGATACAGAGAAAAGAGAACGCTTATACACTGTTGGTAAGAATGTAAATTAGTTTATCTACTGTGGAAAATGGTATGAAGCTTTCCAAAAAAAAAACTAAAAGTAGAATGACCATATAAACCAACAATCCTACTACTGGGTATTTTCCAAAGGAAAGGAAATCAGTATATCAAAGGGATATCTGCAGTCCCATGTTTATTACAGCACTATTCACAATAGTCAAGACATGGAATCACCTAAGTGTCCATCAATGAACAAATAAAATGTGGTGCATATACACAATGGAATACTACTCAGCCATTAAAAAAGAGTAAAATCGTGTCATTTGTAGCAACATGGATGGAACTGGAAGTCATTATGGTAAGCGAAATAAGCCAAACACAGAAAAAAAAAAAAACCCAGAAAAACAAATATTGCATGTTCTCACTCATACGTGAGAGCTAAAAAAAAAAGTTGATCTCATGGAGGAAGAGAGTACTCATAGAATGATAGATATCAGAAGATGGCAGGGGGTGGGAAGGGTGTAGGTGGAGGAAGAGAGGTTGGTTAATGAGTACAAACATACAGTTAGATAGAAGCGATAAAGTCTACTGTTCATAGCAGAGTAGGGTGATTATAGTTAACAACAATGTAGGCTATATATATATATTTTGTTTGTTTGTTTGTTTTTGTTTTTGTTTTTTGAGACAGAGAAAAGTATATCAAAAACAAAGATGGTCTATAAAATCTACCATTTTTATTCCCTAAATTATCAATATCATTTTTACACATGCCTTATTACATATGTGCTGTGAATACATCCACCATAACTCATGTTTTGATGTGTAAATACATGAGTGTAAACAGGCAATTCCCCTAAATAAAACCTAATATACAGAAATCTAAATTAACAAATAAAAAAGATTATTTATGGCCAGGCATTGTGGCTTATGCCTGTGACCCAGCATTTTGGGAGGCCGAGGTGGGAGGGTTGCACAAGCCCAGGAGTTGGAGATCAGTCTGGGCAACACAGGGAGATCCCATCTCTACAAAAAATGACGAAATTAGTTGGGCCTGATGGCATGCAAGCCGATAGTCTCAGGTACTTGAGAGGCTAAGAGGATCACTTGAGTCTGAGAGATCAAGGCTGAAAGTGATACCTAATTGATGGTGCCACTGCACTTCAGTCTGGGCAACAGAACAAGACTCTGTCTCAAAAAAAAGAAAAAGAAAGGAAAAGATTATTTAAATTTGAGTTGATATTTTTCTTTGCAAAGAATTCTTCAGGCTAGGCTTGGTGGCTCACGCCTGCAATCCCAGCACTTTGGGAGGTGGATTGCATGAGGCCAGGAGTTCGAGACCAGCCTGGCTAACATGGTGATAACCCCATCTCTACTAAAAATACAAAATTAGCTGGGCGTGATGGCACATGCCTGTAATCTCAGCTACTCAGGAGGCTGAGGCAGGAGAATCACTTGAACCTGGGAGGCAGAGATTGCAGTGAGCTGAGATCGTGCCACTGCACTCCAGCCTGGGTGACAGAGCGAGACCCTGTCTCAAAAAACAGAAAAGAAATTGCAATATTCTAATTTTGCTTTTTAAAAAATCCTTGCTAAGATGACAGCAAGAGAAGGAAAAAGAAAAATAAAATAAAAATTCCTTGCAAGTAGAGACCTAATCTTGAATTCACCTTTGGATGTCCAATGCATGGCACAGTCTCCAGCACACTGTGAGAGAGCTCAATGTGTGAGAAACTGATGAGTCAAGTTTCCTTCCCTCTCTGAACCGCCAGGATGTGAGATCATTAGGACACTCTGTGTCAATTGTCTGATGACAATTGACAGTGACTCAAACAGGCAGAAGAGCAGCACTAGGCATAAAAAGAAGAAGCTAAAACCTCCACGAGGAGGGAGGGTAGGAGATAGACTTATAGAAAAAATAATATTACATCTTACATTTGTATTTGTACAGTTTTCAACGTGCTTTGTTTCTCACTGTTTGAAGTATGAGCTATTTACTATATAAACCCCGCAATTCAGATAGAAAAGAAGAAAATGCAACACTTTCACTGTAGAGTGTTATGTGCTACTGAAAGAGAAAAATCACAGTTTAACTTTTTCTACAAGTAGACTGAAGGTTTGTACGTATTATGGAATCTGATAAACAACTAGTTTAATATTTACGCATTGACTATTTTTCAAGAAAAATATATGACTCAAAATAAAATCAGCAATTAGCTGCTAGATAATTTTTGTTGTGATGAATGTACTGTCACTCTCTAAATGGCTTTTTTTCCTCTAAGAGTGGAATTTTAAAAGTCTGGCAACACAACCTAGGAACTGGGTAACCCACACAGTGAAAATTTCCCCGAATCTCAACAAGAAATGGATTTATTCAGTTGAACGTTGCTTTAGACACTAAGCCTCTGGCAAGCAACTTACCTTAAAAGTCCCCACCACCTCTTTTGATCCTCCTTCTCCGGTACACTCTGCGGAGCATCCGTTACTGCAATCCTTAAAGAAGAATTAAACCACCATTAAGTAAATGCAGGTGGGTAAGCGGGACCCGGGGTAACCTACGTGACGCTCACCATGATACCGTGCGCTCCTCTCCAGGACCCAGGCAAACACAAAAAAGGAGGCTCAGACAACCAAGCACCCAGGCCCGAACCTCCAACAAGCGTGTCTTGGGAGCGCTGCCCTGCACTTCCCACCCTGCCGGGGTCGCGGCGGTTTTTGTCCTCCTCCGCCGGCTCAGGGAAGACTGGTTAAATTCCAGGTCAGCCCTACAGAGCCAGGGTTCGCCGGCAAAGAACAAAAAAACAATTGTCTCCCTTATATCCGAGCAAATAGTCTAGACTGGGGTGTTAAGCCATTTATAGAAAAATCTCCAGGGCGCGCTCAGCCTCGTGGTCTTGTCAATCACAGACGCACAATAGCAAGCCTGCAAAGGGAACGGGGACGGGCGTGAACCATTTCCTCCACCAGCAGGGTCCTCCGATGCCGCAGCATCCACCCCACACCTTAAACCTCATGGTATTAGTGGGCAATTTAAAAGATAAAGACACAGGGAAGCGGGACTAATTGGGAAAACCTGCAGACATTTGTTTTAATGCGTAATCTGCTAAATAACTACGGGGGTGGGGGTGGGGAAGGAAGAGATCCAAGGAGGCAGAAGGCTGCGGTCAAAATATTTTGGGGTGGCAGAGTCACGTAGGATGTGGCTGTGGGTTCTGGCAGCCCAGAGATTCAGCTCCCGCCTCCTCCCTCAGAGCGAGTCCATAGCTACCCTCACGTCCCCCGTGGCGGTCCTCGCCACGCTCCGGAGCGGGTTACCCATGAGGGTGCTAGACCTGGGCAGCGGGAACCTCGAAGAGGTGGAGATTGCAGGCTGGGACTCCAGATTTCGGGCAGGGATGCGGGGAAGGGAAGACGCCTCGCTGGAGGCGGAATGGAGGGCAAGGCGAAGGAGGATGGTGCAGGAAACGGCGACAAGGCGCCCGGCCAGGCCCGCGAGCTACCGAGACCCGGGTTCCAATCCTCCCCCCTTCCGCAAACGCCCGGGTTCGAGGTACCTGGCGGGCAAGGGCCGCAGCGGAGCGAAGCGGGCTGGCCATGGGGAGGCTGCGGGGACGCGGGGCTGCAGAGAGCGGCAGTGGCACGGAGCGCGCGGCTGGAAGCGAAAGCAGGCGGTGTGGCCAAGCCCCGGCGCACGGCCCATAGGGCGCTGGGTACCACGACCTGGGGCCGCGCGCCAGGGCCAGGCGCAGGGTACGACGCAACCCCTCCAGCATCCCTTGGGGAGGAGCCTCCAACCGTCTCGTCCCAGTCTGTCTGCAGTCGCTAAAACCGAAGCGGTTGTCCCTGTCACCGGGGTCGCTTGCGGAGGCCCGAGAATGCGCGCCACGAACGAGCGCCTTTCCAAGCGCAGATATTTCGCGAGCATCCTTGTTTATTAAACAACCTCTAGGTGAATGGCCGGGAAGCGCCCCTCGGTCAAGGCTAAGGAAACCTCGGAGAAACTACATTAGGGCAGCTTTTCCACCGACTCCAAATCCAACTGACAAAAAGCAGTTTCTGCCCTCGAGAGTTTGCGGGCGGGGATTGACATTTGTGCGTCTGCTCTTGTCTGCCACTGACCGCTATGTGCAAACTGAAGGGGGAGAACGTGAATCCAGCTTTTAGATTTCCCTGCGCCACCTACCCAAACCGAATTTGTAACTCGGGGTGTTATGGGGCTACCAGGCTCGCATTCCCTAAGGGCCATTTCTGCCCAAAGATCTCAATGCCTTTCATCGTTTTC
The DNA here is from genome assembly GCF_000001405.40 of Homo sapiens. Classification (NCBI taxonomy): domain Eukaryota; kingdom Metazoa; phylum Chordata; class Mammalia; order Primates; family Hominidae; genus Homo; species Homo sapiens. The sequence continues at coordinate 24,903,675 of NC_000012.12, forward strand.
AGGCAAAGCAGACCATCAAGAGCTCCAATCATACTGTTTTCATAGTTTTCCGATGTAGGCTCGTGATCGCAATATTTAGAAAGAGGACTGGAAAAGTGATGTTAGAAGTACTATTCGGTTTAGAAAGGGAAAGGAGGATTGGAATAGCTATTGTCTTATATGCAGTGTTCGCCTGGGGCAACGTCAGCCTAAATTATGAGCCTTCCTGGTTTTTAAATTAATAGGAAGTGGTAACTGGGGCTGACTTGATCTTGGAAAGAGGGGGAGGGCAGTTTATTCTGGGTGAAAGCGGTTAAATCCGGTTTGGTTTTTTAAATGGTTTCATACAACGCTACTGATAATATACTGTAGCTCTAATCTTATCAACTCAGAAAACCTACACTTTTCCTCTCCTTTATACAAGGCACAGAAAGGCCTCTTACGCTGGGGTGGGGTCCCAAGCTCCAAAGACCACAGAGTCCAGGCAGGTCACGTACCACCATAGAGCGGCGAGTGTCCCTGGAAGTCCAGGGTCGCTTATAAGATAAGTTTTGTCCTTGTTGTTTTGAGACGGAGTCTCGCTCTGTCGCCCAGGCTGGAGTGCAGTGGCGCGATCTCGTCTAATTGCAACATCCGCCTCCCCGGTTCAAGCAATTCTCCCATCTCAGCCTCCCCAGTAGCCGGGACTACAGGCCTGCGCCACCACGCCGGGCTAATTTTTGTATTTTTTGTAGAGACCGGGTTTTGCTATGTTGCCCAGGCTGCTCTCAAACTCCTGGACTCAAGCCACCCACCTATCTCAGCCTCCCAAAGTGCTAGGATTACAGGCGTGAGCCACGGCGCCCGGCCTCCATCTGTATTAACTGCTTCTATTTCCTCCCCATTAAGGGCTTCTGTCCAATTATTCCACCTAAATAAGGTCTCTAATAGCCTTCATTTTGTTCCTGCCAATGGTTTTGCTTCTCGTGCATTTTCATGGCTGCACCTATGTGCTGATGACTCCCAAATATATTTTTTCAGTCCATCTGTCTCCTGAGCAGTAGGTACTTGCTACTCAAAAATCTGTCTAAAATAAAAACGGTGTATCTATCCACCATGTTCGAAGCACTGGGCTAGTTGCTGGGGGAGGGTTGAGAGCATACCATCATCCTGTTATCATGCATTGCCCCCAGCCAGAGAGAAAAGTGTTAATTGTGTTAGAAAGTGTTAAGGAATCCCACAGACAGATGTAAAATTATAACAAGTGCTGCCTGTGCTCTAAGAGCCTCTAATAATGGATTGTATTGACTCAGAAAGGCCTGGAAAGGCTTTCAGCAAGTGATCCTTGAGCAGAAATCTGAAAGATTAAAGAAATTTACTAAAGGAAGAAGGGATGAAGAGCACCTGGTATGAAAGTGAGTTCCAGGACAAAAGAACTTCTCTGAGGAGGGCTGGAACAAAGGGCCAAAAGAGAGCCTGGGGCTGCGGTAGACAGAAGAGGATGGAGCTTGGGCTAGTGAGTAGCCAAAGGGCCAGCCAAGTAGTGCCTTAGGGAGAGCTAAAGAATAATTTTAAAAAGCAAAAATAAGGTAAAAGCCTGACTGTCATACAGGTATAAAATAAACTAAATTATAGAGTTTATTTAAATCATTTAATGAAGTTACCAGGCAGATATAAAAACTGGTTCAAAGAACAGGCATGTTTATAGGTCAGAAATATTGAAATGAATATGCAAATGAAATTGGCTTCTTCCACAGTAGGGGAGAGAAGTTAATTGAACCCTGACCTTCAGATTTTACTTGCATGACTGCATGCAATAATTATTTTGCATTTCTATCAGTCATCTGTAAAATAACTCAAAAACAATGAAACAATGTAAGACCCAATGAAAGGGCCCATGGAATCAGAATCAGATAACCTTAAAGGTTTGCTCTAAATAATTCAGTTTTCCATTGAAGTACAAATTTTTCCCTACAGTACGGTAATATAATTTCTTCATTCAAGAAGTGCTATTAGTCAGCAACAGCTGAAGTAAACCAGACATAGTAGTCACTGTACTTACTAGTTACACTAAGAAGCTGTAGCTTTAGCAGTTTTCAATTTAGCTTAACCTAGGGGCAAGAGAAACCATTGAAAGGTTAAGGATTAGGTGGAGTATGCAGGAGCGGTGACAGAATTGAAGGTATTGGCTGCAGTTTGGAGATTGGAAGAGGGTCTGGGTGGAGAGGAATGGATTTTGAAGAAGCTATTACAGAACCCACATACGAGATGATCCTTTTAATAAGTCAGATTTGGCTGGTGGTTGGTAATAGAAGTGGAGAGAAACAGCCAGATTTCAGCAAGAATGGAGATAAGGTGGCAGCCTGGGCAACATGGCAAAACCCTGTCTCTGGTAAAAATACAAAAATTAGCCGGGCTCGGTGGCATGTGCCTGTAGTCCCAGCTACTCACGGGATTAAGGTGAGAGGATTACCTGAACTTGGTGAGGTTGAGGCTGCAGTGGGCCAGGATCACACCACTGCACTTGCCTGGGTGACACAGTGAGACACCATCTCAAAAAAAAAGAAAAAGAAAAATAGATGATATAAGGTGGGACAAGGATGAGAGAAGTGCCAAGGAGGCCTCCTTGGATCTGACTTGCTTATCTATTTGGTGATGTTCACTAAGAAAAAAGGAATGTTGAAAAAGAATGTGTTTGAGGGGATGAGGAGGAGTCTGGTTTGGGACCTATGATTTCTGAAGTGTCTCCAAGACTGGCTGTGAGAGATCTGCCTGTCTGAAGCTCAGAGAAGAGGTCTGGATTAGAGGTATTATTGAATCATTGGCATAGAGGTGGTAACTGAAGCTATGGGTGCGAAAGAGAATCTCTATGTCAGTTTTCTCCGCTGTAAAATGAGACAATAGCAACACTTCATGTTTGTCAACTGGGATAGATGAGCATTAATATATGAAACTTATGTATATTACTTAGAACCATGCCTGATGTCAGCCATGCAGAATAGGTGAAAGAACGGGCATGGCTCTGTTTCCATTAAACTGTATTTGAAAAACGGGACAGAGCAAATGTGGTCTGTGGACTGTAAGTTGCTTACTCCTGCTCTATGTAGTTGCTCTAGTAGAAACATAGCAGTTGTCCCTCAAATGCATCCAAGTGATGATCACCAATGTCTATCCATTCTTGCTCCAAATACCCTGACAGTTGCCATTTCTCCAACCATGTTATCCGCATCCTAGTACCAAACAGCTTCCAAGCAGCTCCTCTGACCCCAGCCTTGCTTCTCTTTAAGCCATTCTTAGCATGACAACCAGTGAAAATGTCTCAAACGCAAATCTGAAGACATCTCCTCTTGGTCAAAAAACCTTCAAGGCTTCACATCACCCATTTGACAAAATGATTGGCAAGCTCCCAGCCCATCCCAGATTCTGCCTTCTGCCTCTGACTCTCCAGCTCACCTTTTGCTAGGCTCTTTCTTTCTCTCTCCCCCCACACATTTAATTTATTTCAGTCCTTTCGGACATCAGGCCTTCTCACAGGTGCCCAAATACCTGTAACATTCCCTGCCTTTGCCAGGCACTGTCATCCTTCCTTGTTCAGTCCCTGTGCCATGTCCTTGGCAGGAACGTCTCTGAACCCTGTCTAGGCTACAGTGGGTTCCTCTGCTGTTTATTTACATACAATGCTTGCCATTTCAAAATAATGGTAATATTTTATTCTAATCATTTGATTAATGCTCTTCTAATTTTATGATGGGAAGTTCATGTCTGTCAGGCCTCTGAGCCCAAGCTAATCCATCATATCCCCTGTGACCTGCACGTATACATCCAGATGGCCTGAAGCAACTGAAGATCAACAAAAGTGAAAATAGCAGGTTCCTGCCTTAACTGATGACATTCCACTGTTGTGATTTGTTCCTGCCCCACCCTAACCGATCAATTGACTTTGTGACAATACACCCTCCCTGCCCTTGCGATAATGTACTTTGTGATATTTCCCCACCCTTGTGAATGCACTTTGTATGATACACCCTCCCCACCCTTGAGAAGGTACTTTGTAATATCCTTCCCTGCCCTTAAGGTACTTTGTAATATTCTCCTCGCCCTTGAGAATGTACTTTGTAAGATCCATCCCCTGCCCACAAAAAATTGTTCCTACTCCACCGCCTATCCCAAACCTCTAAGAACTAATTATAATCCCACCACCCTTTGCTGACTCTCTTTTCAGACTCGGCCCGCCTGTACCCAGGTGATTAAAAAGCTTTATTGCTCACACAAAGCCTGTTTGGTGGTCTCTTCACACGAACACACATGACAATGCCTATATTATTCACCTAGCCATCCCACCTCACCCAGTGCCGGACATGCTGTGGAGAGTTAAAAATCTGTTGAACTGCAGCTCTCTAATATTTTAGAAAGCATGTACTTAATATACTTTGGAATTTTAACTGCCAAAGTTTAGAATATAATAGACTAACATGTTCTCAGGGTCCACTCCACTCCTAGATATGAGCTTCTTTTCTTCATAGAACTGCTCTCCCTCACCCTAAATCTTTCTTCTTCCTTTTTTCCTATTTTCTGCCTTCCTCTACTCGTTGTCTTCCCTTGTACAGTCATAATAAGGACTTTATATGCATTGTGACTGTTCAAAGAGATTGGATCAATGCTTTCCAGTAGAACTTTCTGTGCTGATGGAAACGTTCTATATCTGCCAGGTAGCCACTAAGCCACATGTAGCTACTGAGCACTTCAAGTGTGGTTAGTGTGATTGAGAAACCGAATTTTTAATCTTGTTTCATTTTAATTTATATTTAAATGTAAATAGCTGGGCCGGGCATGGTGGCTCACACCTGTAATCCCCCCACTTTAGGAGGGTGAGGCAAGTGGGCAGGTCACTTGAGCTCAGGAGTTCAAGACCAGCCTGGGCAACATGGTGAAACTCACCTCTACCAAGAACACAACAAATTAGTTGGGCGTGGTGCCATACACCTGTGGTCCCAGCTACTTGGGAGGCTGAGATGAGAGGATCACTTGAGCCCAGGAGGTGGAGGTTGCAGTGAGCCAAGATCACACCACTCCACTCCAGCCTAGGTGACAGAGCAAGACCCTGTCTTAAAAAAAATAATAAACATTAAAAATTTTTTCAAATGTAAATAGCTAACTACATGGGGCTACAGTCTGAGCACCGGTTTGGGCATTGAAGTCCCTTGGTTGAGATTCGTTATCCTGGTTCTATCACTTATAAGCCCTATGACTTTTGGCAAATTACTAACCTCTTTTGAGTCTCATATTTAAACTCAGAGTAAGTAATGGGCAGTGACGACACTCAACATGAAGATATCTATAAAGGACTTAGCAGTACTTAGCACTTAGTAACTGCTCAGTACATGTTAGCTAGTGTTATATACCATGTTTTAATTTTTTTAAGACCCATTTATTTTTCAGTTATATGTAGCCCTTGGATTACGGTATACTGATGATTAGGATATTATGTGAGAGAAACCTTAAAAATATACATCTAGTGTTTCTAGGTTTTTGTTTGTTTAATAAAGTTTCTTTAAAAAAAATAAGGCCCAGTTTGGTTCAGAAAACAAACTGCACAGCTATTATTTACATGCTTCCTGGTTGGTATTGGGAAGACAATGACAGATGAGTATAATTCCTACCTGCCAAACCCTCCCCTTACTCCTGCCATGTCACGTCTCTGGAAAAGTGAGCCATAAAAAAATCTTGACAAAAGAATTCTCATTTGGGCTTATTCAATGCCAAGTCCCATTCAACGAAGTAAAATGAGCAATTCTATGTACTGTGTATGTAGTTACTGTATCATTTGCCTAGGACGGTAGTAACAAAGTGCCACAAACTGGGTAGCTTAAACCCACAGAAAGTGATTGTCTCATAGTTCCAGAGGTGAGGTGTGGACAGGCCCAGCTTCCTTTGGAACCTGTAGGGGAGAATCCTACCTTTCTTCTTCTAGCTTCTGGTAACCCAGGTGTTTCTTGGCTTGCAGCTGCCAACACTTCAATCTCTCCTTCTGTTGCATTGTGTTTTCCCTTCCTGTCTGTCTGCTTCCTGTAACTGCTTTGATTAATGGACTATGGAGAAATATGGAAGTGACACTGTTCTAAGACTAAGCATATACACTAACTGGCCAGGCAGTTTCTGCTTTCTTCCTCTTGGAAGGATCTTGGAACTACCCCACCTAGAACCCAGTCACCCCAGCTATAAATAGCCCAAATCACATGGAGGAGCCACGTGCAGGCTCATTAGTCAACAGTGCAACATCCAGCATCACTGTCAGCCCTGTGAGTGGCTGTCTTAAACATCCAGCCCAGTCAAGCCTTCAGATGATGCCGGCCCCTCATGACTGATTAAAAACACATGAGAGACCATAAGGCTGACTCAGACTGCTCAGCCGGGCCCAGGCAATCTAGAGACCATGAGAGATAAAAATAAATTATTGTTGGCCATGCACAGTGGCTCACACCTGTAATCCCAGCACTTTGGGAGGCCAAAGCAGGCATATCACCTGAGATCAGGAGTTCGAGACCAACCTGGCCAACATGGTGAAACCCCGTCTCTACTAAAAATAAAGGAAAAATTAGCTGGGCTTGATGGCGGGTGCCTGTAATCCCAGCTCTACGGGAGGCTGAGGCAGGAGGATCACTTGAACCCAGGAGGTGGAGGTTGCAGTGAGCCGAGATCATGCCGCTGCACTCCAGCCTGGGTGACATAGCGAGACTCTGTCTCAAAAATAAATAAATAAATAAATAAATAAATAAATAAATAAATAAATAAATTATTGTTTTAAGGCCACAAAGTTTGGGGTGGTTGGTTATATAGCAATGTTAACCAAAGCAGCATGCAAACCTAACATGCTTATTTCATTATTTATTTAAAAACCTAATAATAATAAATCATGCCCAAAAATAGGGATAAAAGGGTGAGATAAACATGAAATAAGTAATCCTTTAAAATATCTTTCTAACTATGGTTATTTTATTGTACCAGCCCTAGCTAAAGGCCCAGTATACACAAGGGCCAAGTAATCAGTAATGACAGTGATACAAATCCTTCTTTTAAAGTCTTCTTGATGATCAAAATTGTGTCACCCACTATTTGTCAGTTCCGATGAAATCATTGTTGTTTTTTTAATCTCATGATATGGTTAATGGAGAACTTATAATAAGAACTGGGGCCAGGCACAGTGGCACACGCCTGTAATCCCAGCACTTTGGGAGGCCAAGGCGGCCGATCACCTGAGGTCAGGAGTTTGAGACCAGCCTGGCCAACATGGTAAAACCCTGTCTTTACTAAAAATACAAAAATTAGCTGGGCATGGTGGCGAGTGCCTGTAAACCCAGCTACTCAGGAGGCTGAGACATGAGAATTGTGTGAACCTGGGAGGTGGAGGTTGCAGTGAGCCAAGATCGCACTACTGACTCCAGCCTGGTGACAGAGTGAGACTGTCTTAAAAAAAAAAAAAAATTGAAAAAATATTAGTTATCATGAAAAACATGACACATTTCCTTGTTTTACATTACTAATATTTTCATTATTATTCTGGCTTTATCCTTTTAAATTTTTATTTATGTTTGTTTAGAGTTTTTTTTGCAGACATCTCTTAAAGCCAATGTCCCTTTTGCAAAGATTATCAGTTAACACCAGATGACATAATCTGTAACTCTCCTTAACCAGGCTCACACAGACCGCCACAAATCACAACCCTCTGGAAGAGAATGAATGCGCAGGGCTACACAGGCAACCCCCTGGGAGCAGGAGCTATGCCCTCCTCTCCCCTCAGGACCCTGCTCGAAGTTTGTGACAGCGTGGCAGGGTGACACACAGAATGAGCACGTGCCAATCTATGTGAGTTAAATACAAATACAGTTTAATCTTTCCCACATGTTAGAGGAAAAATAAACATAAGTTCTTCTGACATTCCAGTGGAGTCTGTTGCATATCTCAATATATACACACCACGATGAAACTCACTCTGCGAGCAGACAAAGTGCAAATTCCTGAGCTTAGTCTGTGGGCTCCTGCACTTGCTGAATCACCTGACTCCCTCTTCCCTCCCCACCCCTCGTCCTCATTTGCACTTCCCATCTTCTTCTGCACAGGGAGGAAACCCTAAGCGTGGCAAGCCTCTAGGTCATCTCCAGGTACCTTAAAAAGGAGTGACAGATGGACAGAGAGACAAACACATGAAGATTCTGGATAAAAAGATTAGGAATTTCATTTCCTGTGTGGAAAACAATTAAGCTTATAATTTTGCGTTTTACAGAAACAGAATCACTTAACTTCTGAAAGGAGAAATTAATCCTAATTAAATGAGGCTGCTTTTTTAAAATCCAGATATTATATACTGGATTGCTTTGGAGAAAATTTTGTTTTATACCAGTACCTAAATAGCTTTTAAGAGTTCAGGTTAACCTATGCTGAGGAAATTAATAGCAAAAAGAAAAGGCCACAATCAAGACGGAAAGGATTTAAGTTTTATTAATGATTATTAAGTGCATTATTTATAGTAGAATCCACAACATATGCTCACGAAAATAAACCAGTTCTAGTAAATACATGATAAATATAAAAAATTAGAAGAGGGCTGGGCGCAGTGGCTCACACCTGTAATCCCAGCACTTTGGGAGGCCGAGGCGGGCGGATCACGAGGTCAGGAGATTGAGACCATCCTGTCTAACACGGTGAAACCCCGTCTCTACCAAAAAAGAAATACAAAAAAATTAGCCGGGCGTAGTGGTGGGCACCTGTAGTCCCAGCTACTCGGGAGGCTGAGGCAGGAGAATGGCGTGAACCAGGGAGGCAGAGCTTGCAGTGAGCCAAGATTGCGCCACTGCACTCCAGCCTGGGTGACAGAGTGAGACTCCATCTCAGAGAAGAGAAATGGTTGATGCCTGACAATGAGCAATATACATACACCCAAAGGAGAAAATGGGGCCGGGCGTGATGGCTTATGTCTGTAATCACAGCACTTTGGGAAGCTGAGGTGAGAGGATTGCTTGAGTCCAGAAGCTTGAGACTAGCCTGGACAACACAGTGAGACCCCATCTCTAAAAAAAAAAAAAAAAAATGGAGAACGTGGGTATTTGGGAAGACAGTAATCTTTTGGAAAAAGTGTTTTTCCTATGAATGTGATATATGTTCAAGAAAATAGACTGACTTATCTGATATATACCTTGTGGCAGCAAAGGGAATACTTCCCCATCACTTTCTTCAGAAGGTTGCTCAAAATCATTGACAAGGGGCAGATTAATAGGAGAAAAGTCATACAAATTTATTTGATCATAATTTTATGTGACACGAGAGCCTACAGAACGAAGACCCAAAGATATAAGGGAAACTGTCCATTTTTATGGTGAAACCCTGTCTTTACAAAAATACAAAAATTTTAATGGACAGTTTTTGTTTTGTTTTGTTTGTTTTTTTAAGAGCAAGGAGAGTATGCTTTTTAAATGCCATTGGTTCATGTGCCACAGAACCTAAAACAGCTTCAAATGGACACCAAGTAAAAAATACCAGTTTTCAGAAGTCTGTCATTATGTATTTACACAAATTACATAATCCTGTATGTATTTACAATTACAGATTATCAAGTAGATAACACAAAGTTGTAGTGTTAATGAGACAAAATAGAATAAAAACACCACAAGGAAGCCATTTGCTTATCTACCAAGCAGGACCTAGCAAGGCCGATCCTGGCATGTGCTTCAACATTGCTTGGGGACATTTATGTGACAGATGGGAAGATTTGTTCAGTCTGTGCTAGGTAAGTCTTTGACCACAGTGCAAACGTTGGCACCAAGTAGATGGTAGTTTGGCTGTCTGAGTATCTATTTGTGAAACTGGAACCCCCCTTCCACGATGGCTCAGGGTTGCCATCCAACAGGCTTTGGGCCTTTTACAACAAGAACTGGATGCAAACCCATGAGCTGGGGATGACTCACTCTATTCCCCAACAGACAATGCCCAGGCCAAAACCCTGAGCCCCCTTAGGTTAGGTTAAACAAAGTATGGAGAGCCACGTAGAAATATGATTGGACAAAAAAGGTATGGTCTAATGCTAATAGACTGAGCAGGGAAATCCAGCACAGCCTGTCTGTCTGGACCCTTCTTGCCTCTCTGAGCATGCATTTCTTCCTTCTGGGTGTGGTGCTGGACCCTCTCTGGAATGGGGGTCTTATAACCTTCAGTCAAACAAAGTGAGTCAGATAATTTCTTTATGGCCTTACACAGACAGGCTGGGGGTGGTGGAAGTTAGAGTACTATTTTTAGGTTTTATGGTTGGCTTTGGGGAAAAGGGGTTTTGTTTCTATGGCCCACTTTGGGGAAGAGGGGTTGTAGTCTTGATGGCTAGCCTCAAGGGAGAATGAAAGGTCAGAGACAGGAGAGCAGGAGCCCAACATTCCCCAGTTGAGAAATTGGGTTGGTAGATTATCTTTTTTTTTTTTTTTTGAGATGGGGTCTCACTGTATTGCCCAGGCTAGAGTGCAGTGTCATAATCTCAGCTCACTGCAAGCTCTGCCTCCCAGGCTCAGGCAATCCTCCCACATCCACCTCCCGAGGAGCTGGGACCACAGGCACATGCTACTATGCCCGGCTAATTTTTTATATTTTTGGTAGAGACAGGGTTTCACCATGTTGCTCTGGCTGGTCTCGAACTCCTGAGCTCAAGCAATTTGCCCACCTCAGCCTCCCAAAGTGCTGAGATTACAGGTGTGAACTACTGTGCCCAGCGGGTGGATTATTTTATAAGCCATTGAACTAGTCTTGCAGTCGTGAGAACAGGCCGCTCCAATTAAACGGTTAACAGTTATATCTCATTTCAGGCAGTGGTGTTGCTTCCACCAAAGTCAGGCCTCTATGAATCAAGCAATCAGATGTTTAATAAAAGGCATTTCCATGAAAACAAAAGAAAAACAAAGATTAACATCTGGAGTTGTCTATAAACTAATTTTCCTAGAGTCTCTGAAGTAGCTTCAGATTGCAGTGGCAATCTTACAGATATTTCTGGATTATAGTTTGAATCAGGTGTTCAAGTAAACCTTCTGAGTAATCCATACATCAGCTGACATGAACACTGCTCATATATTAAGTTGCTGTCATTATTTCTTCCAAAGTTTATATCAAGTTGTCTAGCTAAAGCCTGCAGGGCTTGGTGATTCCAAGACAGAAAAATGGTAGAAAAATTAGGAAACATTAGTTTGGAGACTTGTACCCAGGAAGGAATTCAGGATTCAGCCCAAATTGTAGGCAAATAACAAAAACTCAAAAAAACAATTATCAAGACTAGAATCTAATAACAAGTATGGTATAATTTTCTTCTGAAATATAATTTTCTCTTCTACAGTCATCCCAACTTTTACCCACAAAGATAATAATAATAAAACTAATTTATTTGCAAAGTCAGTTTAGTCTCTGGCATGATTATCTGCTTAAAGTGCAGTAAGAATGGTGATTTATCATGAAGGCTCTTTTTTTTTTGCTTTGATATTTTTTATTTATTATAAAAACTGAGTTTTCAACAAAGGCAGTTTAGCAGGACTATAGTTGTGAAAATAAATCTGAATGTAGCCATTCTTTAAACTTAAACTAAAAATCATTGTAGAATAAAATGTCAAGCAAGTGAAAACTTTTCTGTGATATATACAGAAATGATATAGACATAAATATCTTCACATAAACAAAAGCAAAGATCAAGAAAAAAATTAAATATCTTGGTGGGCAAGAGAAATACACAGATTAAAAAGGTTATTTTTATTTTACTTCAATGCTTCTATTGAGCACGCCTGTCAGAGCAATAGGAATTAGATAAATCTTTACATTTCTTCAGGGAATTACATACAATAAAGACACCTCTCTAGAAGAAAATATATTAGCATCATTAGACTCCTGAAAGTCATGACTTTCAATTAAGTTACACTTTTTGCTCTACCGTGAAGCTACATGCTTTATCAGAATTTTGCCAGTTGAAAGAAAATAAAGCTAACCCTGGTAAGATCCAGCACAGACACAGGTGGCAGCAAATTAGGCACAATGATGTCTGGATTTTCCTCTCAAAGTGGATTACCCATGCCTAGGAGATAACGGCTTGCAACGCAAAACAAACATTGTGGCATAAAACAGACGATATTTAAATAGATATATTTTCTACAGGGATGGCTCTTAAGTTGGCTTTGTTGGAATTTTTTCATAAGGAATCTCAGATTAAGACTTTTGAAACCTCTCAAGGGCTGGGCACAGTGGCTCACGCCTGTAATCCCAGCACTTTGGGAGGCTGAGGTGGGTGGATCACCTGAGGTCAGGAGTTCAAGACCACCCTGGGCAACATGGTGAAACCTCATCTCTACCAAAAATACAAAAAATTAGCTGGGAGTAGCAACACATGCCTGTAATCCCAGCTACTCGGGAGGCTGAAGCAGGAGAATCACTTGAATCCAGGAAGCAGAGGTTTCAGTGAGCCAAGATCTCACCACTGCACTCCAGAATGGGTGACAGAGTGAGATTCCGTGTCAAAAAAACAAACTCTTGAAGCAATGAAGCCAAGCCAAAGATTCGCCATCAGACTGTGCCTGTAAAACCTGTATGAATTGGGTGAATTGCTCTCTTTTCAACGTCTCCAAAATATCTTGAGGTCCCTGGGCCTGTCAGAAAGTGACATTCTTTACTTATTGCAAAGTTAGAAACGCTATAAAGGAATTGTGTGGGCAAGGTACCAGGTGTGTCTTTTTCCAAGTCTACTGGCTGTATAAAGTCAACCTCAATCCCTCGAAGCAGTCCGGTTGCACTCAAAAAAAAGACATTCCAGTCAAAGCCTTGGTAAAATAACCACTGTTTCCATGTGTCCAGTTACAAAAGAAAATAAGCTCTTTTTTTGTTTGTTTGCTTTTTGTTTTTTTGTTTGTTTGTTTTGAGATAGAGTCTCGCTCTTGTCCCCTAGGCTGGAGCGCAGTGGTGCGATCTCGGCTCACTGCAACCTCTGCCACCCAAGGTTCAAGCTATTCTCCTGCCTCAGCCTCCCGAGTAGCTGGGATTACAGGCGCCTGCCACCGCGCCTGGTTAATCTTTGTAGTTTTAGTAGAGACGGGGTTTCACCATCTTGGCCAGGCTGTTCTCAAACTCCTGACCTTGTGATCCACCGGCCTCGCCCTCCCAAGGTGCTGGGATTACAGGCATGAGCCACCATGCACAGCCGAAAATAGGTTCTTATTGAACTTATGCAAATAACTATATTGCCAGAAAATAAGAACACTAATGAATAGTTTCCAAATTCTGAAGAATTCAGGTAGAAAGAAAGGTAAATGTTTCCATTTTGCTCACAGAAGTATACTTTACCCCAATGCTGTAAGCTATAAATAGCTCAAAAGAAAAAAAATATTTTCTTGAGTCTGGAAAACAAAACATAAAAAAAATCAGTAATGTTTCAAACAAAAACCCTTTAAAATAGTAATTTCAATCCTTCATTCACTCAGTCCCATGTAATTCTCGTTCTCCTTGATGTTGGGTTAGCAATCTGCATGAATGCATCAGTTTTTCATTAGAGCTTTGGACTTTTTTTTTTTTTTTTTTTTTTTTTGAGGCTGGAGTGCAGTGGCGCGATCTCGGCTCACTGCAAGCTCCGTCTTGCCGCTTCGCGCCATTCTTCCGCCTCAGCCTGCCGGGTAGCTGGAACTACAGGCGCCCGCCACCACGCCCGGCTAATTTTGTTTTTGTGTTTTTAGTAGAGATGGGGTTTCACCGTGTTAGCCAGGATGGTCTCGATCTCCTGACCTCGTGATCCGCCTGCCTTGGCCTCCCAAAGTGCTGGGATTACAGGCGTGAGCCACTGCGCCCAGACGAGTTTTGGATGTTTTTACCTAGTCCAAAGGTGTGATCTCCAAAGTTATCAGAAACCTGTATTTAAGACTACTTGTCAAGGTCCCTTTCATGAATTTCCTTGAATACACAGCACTTCAGGATTTGCAAAAGGCTTTTAGAAAAAAAAATCAGAATAAAGCAATTTACTGCATATACCATGACATATCAGCCTTTTATTTTTATTTTCACTTTTTATTTTTGGAGTAATGTGGAACTTTTTAATTTGGAAGGCAAAAGGTTACAGTTAATTGAAGGCAGAAGTCAGGTTAATAAATGTTACAAAGTTGTTCTGACAGAGAGAGGGAACTTCTCTGGGCTCTCCTCCACACCAAATCAGTTGGTAGTAAGCACAAATTTGAAGAAAATTCATGTGTCAAACAAGCTGCCATCTCAAGAACTCTTAACTCTTATCCAGGAAAATCAAAGTGAGCATTGTTCCAGTCTCTTACTCTTCAATTAAGTAAATGGGAATGATTCAGCCAACAAAGTTCATGACGATAAGGTACAAGATGGTGCTAGCAAAGAGAAAGAAGCAAAGTCTCACTCCAAGGAGATGCTTTCGAAGTCCACTTTGTTCTGTGGGTTCACCTGTATTCTCAGGCAAACTACTAGGATGAAACTCCCCACCCAAGATGTGAAACCCAAGAGGAAAGAGTTGAAGGGGAAGGTCCCCATGAGAAGACAGTAAGTAAACTGCAGCGCCCTAGTCAGCAGTTTATACAGCAGGTATATATCCAGCAACTTCAGACACTGCAGAGTAGAGCTAAGTACTCTTCTAAGAACCATCGGGTGCCTGACACTACCAACGCTGACATGAATGGATGCAAGGTAACCGGCCAGTGCTCCCTAGGCTCATAGAGGACCCAACAACCACACTGGATGTCCATATCAGATTTTTAGGAATCTCATACAATGTTGGAACACATATTAACAACATATCCATATAAATATAACTCAAAGAAAGTGTAACACCATTTCTTATTTAACAACACTTCCTGTATGATTTTAACATACCAAATAAGCCTCATGTCTCTCTTGGACTTCCAGGGGTCCTATTTATTATTAATAATATATGTTAATGTATTATAGTATTATGTTCAAGTTAGTTAAGGGCAAAAATACTTAATTTTAGAATATGAAATTTGATTTTCAGAAGTATATCATATATCAAAAGTTTAAAACCCTTGCTATCAAAATAAAGATTTAAGACCTATGTTCAAAATAGAATCGCAAGTCACTGTGACCTGATCGAGGACCTGGGAACTGACTGGTTTCCTAACACATTCCTGTCCTGTGTACTTCTCTGGAAAGTCTTCCTGTATCCCCAAGAGCACAAGTTTTGCATGGTAGAGATGCTAGTTTAACATTGCATGTAATAGACTAGTTATGACACTTGATTATTACCCTGCTTGTTTATGTGTCAGCCTCCAACTGTCTAGGCAGTGACTTCATTCTCTTTGGGTTTCCAGTGCTTAGTACACAGTCAGATAAATGTGTGAGCCTCGATAAATATCTACTCAATAAATTGATTGAATATATTAATCTACCATGTTTTTGCTTAAATTAAAAATTGATCAATGGGCTGATATATTTTATAACACATGCATACACACATAAGTAGAGACAGAAAGAGAGACAGAGCAGAAAATAGATACCAGCATAAAGTCAATTGTGTTAGGCACAAAAGAACCAAATTAGATTTTAAATATGGCTATTTATTCAGGCTACTTACTGAACTGCCTTTATCTGTCTATGAGATACTTTGCCTTTTCTCCTAACTTCCTCGCATTTCTGGATAGACAGTGAAATGTCCGCAGGACTTTTCCCAAATCTTATTAAGCCATGAGTTCTGAGCTCATTAGAAGATTTTGTTTTAAGCTGTAGCTCCATTGTCCAGCTGGGTGTAAGTTCTAGCTTTATTGTCAGATAGACAATTATCTAGTATCTAGTAGATAAAGCTTGGGTAAACCACCTAATGTCTCTAAACCCCACTTTAATGTCCCTGAACCTCGGCCTCCTCCCCTGTAGGAGTCAAAAGGAAATGCAAACTACTGAACAGAATATGTCATGGTTATTTGTTCTAACATAAGGTTATCAAGCTTATAGGTAGACCCTATAATATACCAGTAAATCACATAGACTCTGGAGTGACATTGGCAGATTTAATTCCAGCAATACCACTTACTAGCTTTGCAAGGTTTGTCTAATTACTTACTGATATGGGTTAGCTATGTCTCCACACAAATCTCATCTTGAATTGTAGCTCCACGTGTTGTGGGAGGGACCCAATGGAAGATAACTGAATCATGGGGGCGGTTTCCCCCATATAGTTTCTGTGGTAGTGAATAATTGTCTCATGTTACCTGATGGTTTTATAAGGGGAAACCCCTTTCGCTTGGTTCTCATTTTCTGTCTTGCCACCACCAGGTAAGAAGTGCCTTTTGCCTTCTGCCATGATTGTGAGGCCTCCCAGCCATGTGGAAATGTGAGTCCATTAAACCTCTTTTTCTGTATAAATTACCCTGTCTTGGGTATGTCTTTATTAGCAGCATAAAAATGGACTAATACACTTACCCTCTCTGTGCTTCCATTTCTCTATCTGTAAAATAATATTAATAATAGAGTTTTATGAGAACTAAATGAGATAAATCATGTAAAGCCTATTTCAGCATCCAGGAAGATCTCAATCTGTGTCAGTTATAATTGTTAAGTTGAAGATTCATATTGAGTCTTTAGACCTTGTGAGGTAATATGGCATGTTTGGAAGCTGCGTTATTTATAATTTTAGAGAGAAGAATGAATCCACAGGAACTCCACCTCTCTGCAAACCGCACTCTGTGGCATGGCTTAATTAGAGGCCTGCTGCAGGGCTGAGAAGTAATGCTTGACCTTAGATGCTCCATAAATCCTCTTGGCAAACTGACCACTCCAGATTTTTATTTTTATTTTCATTTTTTATTTTTGGGGTAGCATATTTTATTTTTGGAGTGTTTCTACCACTATACTAAGAGGGGCTGTTTCCCGAAAAACTCTCAAACCATTTTTCCTCTGCTCTCACACAAAAACAATCAACACGGAAGACTTCTGGACCCCAAAATATATAGGGATTTCTCCCCAGCAGGAAGCAAGCAATCAGTTCTGCAGTGGACACAAGCTAGGTGTCCTCCAATTCAGCTCCAACACTGTCTACCCAGAGATAGCATCAGATCCACAAGTTGAGGGCTCAGTCCCACAAGAGCACCCCGTCCTTCCAACCAGTCATAAGTTCAGGTCTCTGGAACTGCTGACCAACAGGTTTCAAGTTGGGGTTGCCATGACCCCCTCTTCCGGTTTGATTAATTTGCTAGCGTGGTTCACAGAACTGAGGAAGACACTTACATCTACCAGTTTATCACTCAGGATATTTTTTAAAATACAAATAAAAGCCAATGAAGAGATACAAGGTCCAAGTCTGGAAGGGTTCTGAGCACAGGAGCTTTTGTCCTCGTGGAGTTGGGATGTGCCACCCTCCCAGCATGTGAATGAATTTTTGCTTACCTTCCCGTGACCCTCCACGTGTTCAGCACAGGAGGCTCACGGGAAGGTAAAAAACACTTCTTAGAAGCTCCCCAGTCCATTCCCTTTGGATTTTCATGGAGGCTTCATTACATAGGCATGACTGATTAAACCACTGGCCATTGGTGATCAACTTGACCAGCCCCACTCTGAAGCTATCAGTCAACACTAATATACAAAAAGACAGCACTTTGGAGATTCCAAGGATTTTTAGTACTTGTATGCCAGGAAACAGGAACAAAGACCACATATATGTATTTCACAATATCACAGGGACACTGGCTTTTTTTAGGCCTTTCCTCAGATCGCTAGAGCAGCATACAGGAAAACCAGTTTTCCACTAGGGTTCCTTAGATGTTCAGACTTGGTGTGATCCTCCAGTGAGTTAAAACATACCTCCTCCAAAAGTCTGATTCATTTATCTCTCTACTTAGAAAAAACTGCTATGGAAACTCTTTTTCACCAATGATGATGACATACATTTTTCCCAGTAATGTAAGCCCAATATATGCCAGTCTCAATTTACAAGACAGATACATCATAGGATCTTTGATACACATACCTAGGAAGATCTTTGAATTACTTAATAAAACATTCAGGAATATTCCCTCCACCCCAGAGCTGACAAGGAACAACAGTTATAGAAAAATAGTTGTAGAGGCAGTGAATATTTAAGATGGGTTGGTACCTTTTGTTTTAATAGCTTCCATTAGTCACAACTTGATAAACTGTAACATTCCTTTCTAAATCTGCTTCCTGCTCCTTCCTCACCTCTGTCATTTTCTGCAGCAGAATATGTAGTACACATTGGCTCTATAAATTGCCAGGTGCACATCAAAGGAAAGCATGAAAAAAATAGTAATGAAAAAGTAAACCTCCCAAAGGACTTCGTCGTTAGATAAGAAAACTAGCACACATGTGCACACATACACACATACACACACACATACACACTTTAATGAAAGAACTAGGGGTCCTGATAAGCTGGCACATAAACCTGTTGTTCCCATCAAATGAATAATCAAAGATTTGAGAGTTAATTTGAGTGACTGTGTCAGTATTATTCCAACAAAGACATGAGCACACACGCAAACACAAGATTGTTCCTTTTTTTTGAGACAGACTCTCATTACATTGTCCAGGCTGGAGTCCAGTGGCTATTGATAGACGTGATCATAGCGTACTACAGCCTTGAACTCCTAGGCTCAAGCGATCCACCTGCCTCAGTCCCCCAAGTAGCTGGGACTACAGGCATGTGCCACCTTGCCCAGCTACAAGATGGTTTTTACCTGAAGAGTTAATATGATCCGTAATAATAACCACCCACTGTATGACTCATCCTACATCCGGCCCCTAGTTTCACACATATTTCACCATATTTTTCATACTTAAAACAACCCTATAAGGTAGATATCATCATTATTATAGCAACCCATTTTACATATGAGAAAATTGGAAGCAGTTTGGTGATTCTCTAAGTTGATTCACAGGACTCAATACTTTCGACTATAATTTATTACAGGATAAAAATTATGGCCAGGCACAGTGGCCCAGGCCTATAATTCCAGCACTTTGGGAGGCCGAGGCAGGCGGATCACGAGGTCAGGAGATCAAGACCATCCTGGCCAACATGGTGAAACCCCGTCTCTACTAAAAATACAAAAATTAGCCGGTGTGGCAGCGCGCGCCTGTAGTCCCAGCTACTCGGGAGGCTGAGGCAGGAGAATTGCTTGAATCCAGGAGGCAGAGGCTGCAGTGAGCCGACATGGGGCCACTGAACTCCAGTCTGGGCAACAGAGTAAGACTCTGTCTCTCAAAAAAAAAAAAAAAAATTTACAAGGCAAAAATCAGCAAAAGGAAAAGGCACATGGGACAAAGGAAATCAGACATGTGCTTCCCAGAGTCCTCTCCCAGTGGAGTCACACAGGATGCACTTAACTCCTCCAGCAATGAGTTGTGATAATATGTGTAAAATATTACTTACTAGGGAATCTCATTAGACACTCAGTGCCCAAGGTTTTTATGTGGGGCTGTCATGTAAACACCCCTACCTAGCACATCCTAAAATTCCAGACTCCCAGAAGGAAGCAGATGTTCAGCAGAAACTTCATTGTTTGTACAAATATTTTAGGCATCGTGAGCCATTCTTTTCAGGGAATGGTGAGAACCCTCCAGAAATTCAAGTTCCCAGACACCAGACAAGGGCCAACTTTGCAAGCCTTTCTAAGACTAGCAGCCTCAGGCCTGCTTTAATTCTTTTCTACACAGGAGTAGACTGAGAAGCCTTGGTCAACTGTGCAGAAGCAGAGGACGGGGCTGTCACTGAGCAAGGGACATGAAGCATTCAAGTGTGTGTATATATATATTTTAGACAGGGTCTCTCTCTGTCACCCAGGCTCCCAGGCTGGAGTGCAGTGGCACAATCTCAGATCACTGCAACCTCTGCCTCCCAGGATTCTCCTGCCTCAACCTCCTGAGTAGCTGGGACTACAGGCGTGCACCACCATGCCTGGCTAATTTTTTGTTTGTTTTTTGTAGAGTTGAGGTTTTGCCATGTTGCCCAGCCTGGTCTCAAACTCCTGAGCCCAAGCGATCCTCCCACCTCGGCTTCCCATAGTGCTGGAATTACAGGCATAAGCCACCATGCCCGGCCTTCAAGTATATTTCTTATGCTCAAATCAGAGAGAACCAAACTGAGTATCAAGAAGATTGATTGCCTTGACCAAAGTAACACACCTGTCTGCAGAGGGAGAGCTGGTACTAGAACCCAGGTCTTCAGACCACACAGGGCAATTAACAAATATCAGAGTGAAAAGCAGAATCTGCTCAGTCCATCCCCTTCTCTGCCATTAGTGAAGATACTGATCAATTAATTTAATTTTTATTCATACACTATAAGGATTTATTAAAAATCAAACAAAACAAAACAATACAAGTTGATTTTTCACAGGTGGCTTTTTAATCTGCATGATGGCATAATTACAGCACTAGACATTTTCAACCGATTATGTCGATAATATACATTCTCGTTTCCTCCCTTTTTTTCCCCTCAGCTTTCTGACCCATCCTCCCTTTTCTAGAGTGAGAAGACCATAAATTACCAATGATTTATTGAAAAATACTGCCTTTGAGTAATTCTTAGTAACTTGTAAGAAAATAACAGTAACAAATTATAATGAGAGGAGGGAGAGAAAGAGAACCCCTTCTTTACACAAGAATGCTACTCAATGCCAAGAATGATATAATTAGATCAGTTAATGCTAAAGTCATCAGAAGAAAGGTTGTCAGAGAATGGGATATTTACACAGTCTCAAAGTCTTGTGCCACAAATTACATATTAATTTAAAAGGAGAAAATGTCCCTTTACAAGAGTGAGAAATGGTGGCGACCACCTTCACCAGCTAATCAAACTTAACATGACTAATGCAGGAACCAATGCATATCATGTGTCTTTGATGCAGGGCAATTAGGAGTACACAACCTCACTTCAGTGTTATTCTTGCCAAGAATTAGAGCCTGGCTCTAATCATAAAGATAAAATTAGAGAAATTCAGGATGTGAAATAGCCAATGAGCCTGAATTATTCAAAACAATGTCATTAAAAAAAATAGCAGCAAAAACACACAAATATTGATCCGTATTAAAAGAAACATAACTATAAAGAGTAATATGTAAACAAAACAAACACATTTTGAGGTCAGCTAGGGAAAATTATATATGAACCAGATATGACATGATCTCTCTGAATTAATACTAATCTTCTTAGGTGTGCTATGTAGGAGAATGTCCCATATGAAGTATTTAGATAGGAAATATCACAACCATAATTTATTTTCATATGATTCAGTACTTGGGAGAAAGAGAAAGCATATAGAAAGGTTAACCATTGGGTGAATCCGTTGATAAATGACGGATTCAAAAACAGTTGTTTTTTGAAACAGTAGTTCTTTCATCTCTACAGAGTGATGGTTAATTTCATGTGTCTGCTTGGCTAAGCTATAGTGCCCAATTGCTTAGACAACACAAGTTCAAATGTTGCTGTGAAAGTATTTTTTAGATGTGATTACCATTTAAATCAGCAGACTTTGAGTAAAGCAGATTGCCCTCAATGTGGGAGGGCTTCATCCAATTAGTTGAAGGCCTTAACAGCAAAAAAGACGGAGGTTTCCTGAAGAAGGAATTTGGCCTCAGGACTGCAATTGCAATAGATACTGTACCTGACCTGCCCTGCAAATTTCAGACTCACGACTGCAACATCAACTCTTACCAGAATTTCCAGCTGACCAACTTGCCCTATGGATTTCAGACTTGCCAGCTCCCACAATCACATGAACCAATTCCTTAAAATAAATCTCTCTCTCTCGATCTCTTGATAGATAGATAGAAAGATTATAGATATAGATATAGATAAAGATATAAATATAGATATAGATATGCCCTATTGGTTCTGTTTCCCTGGAGAACCCTGCCTAACACAATAGGTTTGGAAATTGCTAAATAAAAAATTGCAGCTCCCCCTCCCCCTCTCCCTCTCCCCACGGTCTCCCTCTCCCTCTCTTTCCACGGTCTCCCTCTGATGCCAAGCCGAAGCTGGACTGTACTGCTGCCATCTCTGCTCACTGCAACCTCCCTGCCTGATTGTCCTGCCTCAGCCTGCCGAGTGCCTGTGATTGCAGGCGCGCGCCACCATGCCTGACTGGTTTTCGTATTTTTTTGGTGGAGACGGGGTTTCGCTGTGTTGGCCGGGCTGGTCTCCAGCTCCTAACCGGGAGTGATCTGCCAGCCTCGGCCTCCCGAGGTGCCGGGATTGCAGACGGAGTCTCGTTCACTCAGTGCTCAATGTTGCCCAAGCTGGAGTGTAGTGGCGTGATCTCGGCTCGCTACAACCTCCACCTCCCAGCCGCCTGCCTTGGCCTCCCAAAGTGCCGAGATTGCAGCCTCTGCCCGGCCGCCACCCCATCTGGGAAGTGAGGAGCTTCTCTGCCTGGCTGCCCATCGTCTGGGATGTGAGGAGCCCCTCTGCCTGGCTGCCCAGTCTGGGAAGTGAGGAGCGCCTCTTCCCGGCTGCCATCCCGTCTAGGAAGTGAGGAGCGTCTCTGCCCGGCCGCCCATCGTCTGAGATGTGGGGAGCGCCTCTGCCCTGCTGCCCCGTCTGGGAGGTGAGGAGCGCCTCTGCCCGGCCGCCCCGTCTGAGAAGTGAGGAGCCCCTCCACCCGGCAGCCGCCCCATCTGAGAAGTAAAGAGCCCCTCCGCCCAGCAGCCACCCCGTCTGGGAAGTTGGGGGCAGCCCCCGCCTGGCCAGCCGCCCCGTCCGGGAGGGAGGTTGGGGGTGCCTCTGCCAGGCCACCCCTTCTGGGAAGTGAGGAGCCCCTCTGCCCGGCCGCCACCCCGTCTGGGAGGTGTACCCAACAGCTCATTGAGAACGGGCCATGATGACAATGGCGGTTTTGTGGAATAGAAAAGGGGGAAATGTGGGGAAAAGATAGAGAAATCAGATTGTTGCTGTGTCTGTGTAGAAAGAAGTAGACATAGGAGACTCCATTTTGTTCTGTACTAAGAAAAATTCTTCTGCCTTGGGATGCTGTTGATCTATGACCTTACCCCCAACCCGGTGCTCTCTGAAACATGTGCTGTGTCCACTCAGGGTTAAATGGATTAAGGGCGGTGCAAGATGTGCTTTGTTAAACAGATGCTTGAAGGCAGCATGCTCTTTAAGAGTCATCACCACTCCCTAATCTCAAGTACCCAGGGACACAAACACTGCGGAAGGCCGCAGGGTCCTCTGCCTAGGAAAACCAGAGACCTTTGTTCACTCGTTTATCTGCTGACCTTCCCTCCACTATTGTCCTATGACCCTGCCAAATCCCCCTCTGCGAGAAACACCCAAGAATGATCAATTAAAAAAAAAAAAACTGCAGACAAATTTTTAAAATCCTCACTTGTATGTTACATGTGGGACAGAATAATTTTAAAAAACACATATAATCTCCAAACCCCAGTTCAACTATAAGTTATAATCTTTTCTCCCTGATTAAGATTTGTATTTGAAACAATAGTCATTTGCTTTGAGTTAAATTTCATCTCTTGGATGATAATGAAATGAGTAAAAATCAAGTTATAAGATGTCTGTAATCCCGGCTATTTGGGAAGGTGAGGTGGGAGAATCACTTGAACCCAGGAGATGGAGGCAGCAATGAGACGAGATTGTGCCACTGTACTCCAGCCTGGGTGACAAAGTGAGACTCTGTCTCGAAAAAAAAAGAAAAGAAAAGAAAAGAAAAAAATCAAGTTATAAGAGAGAAACAGAAGAATGCAAGGTGATCTACATAGACAAGCTACATAGCAATACTGGAAAAACCTAGAATGTTATTTTTCCTTAAAAATCTACCAGTGACTCCAATTAAACATGGTAGACTGAACACATGAATCTTTCTCCACATCTTTTTAGATATTCACTTAAACAAATACCATTGTCTTTTAAAGTTTAAACCATAAGGGAAAGAGAATGGGAAACATGATAATGAGTGACATTAACACATTTTGGAAGGTAGAAAGCTGACAGTAGAGAAGGAACTAACTCTGTAGATTAGAAAGAACTGAAACTGTATTGCACAAAGAAGGAGATACTGATGAGAAGCCACCTTTCCCTCATCTCAGAAAGTCTCAGAATAGAGAATCCAGGTGTTTCCAAAGGTGAGGCTGAAAACAGGGACTTTTGATGCAAATCTATATAACCATTCATTGAATGACCTTGACTTGGGAGAGTACAACCAGAAATAGTTTTATTTTTCTCTCATTACTGCCCTTCACACCCACTTTCAAAAATCTACCATCCCTATCTGGAGAAGATCACACTGATCCTATTGAGTTTCCAGTCACTTTTAAGTATTAGGAAAATCTTGCTGCAAGTACTTAAAAGACCGGTATGATCTGTAATAAAACTTTGACCTCACATTGCATTCAATGCTTTACTGTCTGAGCAGCCACCACCACCAGCCCCCAGCAAGCTGAGGTTGTTAACATCTGTAAAAGAAAACAAAATTCTTAAAACTCTCTAAAATTATTTATTATGCCAAGGGAGAAGTTAAGTACTGGAAACTGAGTCACATAGCATGTTTGCAATTCTGCTTCTTAGGTTATAGATTCACTCTCTTCTCATCGTTCTAGTTCTGTAAATGACTAGGAGAGACCAGAGACCAGACCTTCCCCCTTCACTGATCTTTGTTATGGATTAATGGATTAACTGCCTCCTTTATTGTCCTGTACCTAACTCACACCAGTTGGCACAAAAGACCCCATGGGATGAGCACAGTAGCCCATGCCTGTAATCCAGGCACTTTGGGAGGCTGAGGCAGGAGAATTGTTTGAGTCCAGGAGTTTGAGACCAGCCTGGGCAAAAGGGGGATCTGGTCTCTATAAGAAATAAAAAATAAATTAGCCGGGTGTGGTGGCACATGACTGTGGTCCCAGCTAGTCGGGAGACTGAGGTGGTAGGATCACTTGAGCCCACAAAATCGAAGCTGCAGCGAGCTGTGATTGTGCCATGCCAGCCTGCAATACAGAGCGAGACAGTCTCAAAAAAAAAAAAAAAAAACCAAGAAAAACGAAAATACAAACCCATGACTGTTACACCTTCAGTGTGAAATGTTTGTTGTTGTTGTTGTTGTTGTTGTTGTTGTTGTTGTTGTTGTTGTTTGAGATGGAGTTTCATTCTTGTTGCCCAGGCTGGAGTGCAATGGTGCAATCTCAGCTCACCACAACCTCTGCCTCCCAGGTTCAAGCAATTCTCCTGCCTCAGCTTCCCAAGTAGCTGGGATTACAGGCACGTGCACCATGCCCGGCTAATTTTTTTTATTTTATTTTATTTTATTGTATTGTATTTTTAGTAGAGAAGGGGTTTCCCCATATTGGCCAGGCTGGCCTCGAACTCCTGACCTCAGATGATCTGCCCGCCTCGGCCTCCCAAAGTGCTGAGATTACAGGCATGAACCACCGCTCCCAGCCCGTGAAATGTTAAATATGCCTTTCTCAAATGAAAGTGACCACCTTGACTAATCAGATCATTGTAACTAGGCATTAAGCCTTACACAGAAAGATGTTGAAATTCTGTTAAGCTTCCCTAAACTCTCTCTCTATAAACAATCCCAAACTTCTAAAGTTCAGAACGCTGACTTCCATTCTTTGGGATCCGTGTTTCCCTAGCACTGTCCTTAAACTTTGCACTTGAATAAAGTATCTTTAAACTAGATTCTGACCCTTTTGATTATTTTAGGTTGGCACATCCAACAGAAATGGGGTTCCTGTTTTTTCAGCATTGGAGCTCAGGACGCACCATCCCAAAATATGACCAGAATATGCCACATCAGGATATGCTTATTTGATGTATTTCCAGTTAGTTATTCTGAGACACTGTAGACACAGGAGTAGCTCTGAAAAACTGTCTTTTTGTAAACAAAATTTATATCTATAAAGAAAAAAACTTTGATAAGAATCTCATCAACCAGGGAAGATTTTATCACCAGGGAGAAGATTGGACAGGTAGACCTTGTCACAGGCTATTACCTATTCTTCTGATGGGGGACTCTGAGACAACTTTTATCACCTGAGAGACTTTTTATCTGCATAACAAGACAACCTATGCTTGCTATACACTTCCTCTCCTCACCCTCTTATAACCTGTCACCACCTCCCCTCAATAAGCCCCAAGCCCTGATTCCTTTTCTGTAGCTCAGGAATACTATATAAACTTCAATCATCTGGCCTTTCTTTGAGTCTCATATTTTATGGGACTCCCATGTGTACGCACAAAATAAATTTATGTCTTTTCTCCTATTTATCTTTCTACTGTCAGTTTACTTCATAAACTCAGTTATGAAAAGGGTAAAGAAAGTTTTCTCTCTCCCACATCACTTTCCTCTCCATTCTCCAGCTGCTGTTTCCAGGACCCACGGGGTTAAGTGTGGACCATGAATTAGAGGAAATGGTTAAAAATCTCATTTGTCTGTGACCATTATAATCTGGCACTGGGGGCCCTCTCCTATGGCAAATGCCCAAATTCTGGCTTTCTATTGCATCATGGTCACTTACGGATTCTTCACAACCTCCCCTCCCCCTTGTCCTCACCTCCTGTGGAGACCACTGCCTTGCACAGCCCCACTGCAATGATGCACATTCTGTCTCACCTCTAAGGATTCTCCTTCAACCCCAGCTCTGGCATTATTCCCTACACAGCCTCTGACCCCTGGGGTCTCCTTGCCCCAGCAAGTAGCCTTCTTAGACAGTGTCCTTTTGAGGTGTTTCTATGACACCTTTCCTCAGAGTTCACATAGTTCATGACGTCTTTGCTCTACTAAACTCTGGAACTGCAAACTGCACCCACTGAAGACCCCTCTCTTGACTCTAACCACAGGCAGCACCAGCCAGCCTTGACTGTCCCAGGGCAGAGCTGACACTGCTATGTTCCGTACACCAGTGGCACAAGTCAAGTGTTCGCAAGCTACAGATCCTCTAGGCAAAGCATTTCTCACTTAATTTTTAGTGAATGCCCTGTTGGGGGAATGGGAGAATCACTTTTTTACCTCTTCCAGGGTAAAGAAGTTTCCAGAAATGCCAAGCTCTCCTTGCTTGGCTGACAATTTTTTATTTCCAAATAATCTTATTTCCTTTCTGTTCAATTTCCAGCCTTCTATTAAATATAAATTGGAGATAAGTTAGAGGCTAAAGCTTGCAGAATTAGTTTAGTCATCCTTTAGAAGGTTCTTTAGATGTGTCAAACGTGTTTGGAATTTGGAGGTAGTATCCCTCCATGCTCCGCACTGAAGCCTCAGTGGAACAGGGCCCTTTTTTTTTTTTTTTTTTTTTTGAGATAGAGTCTTGCTCTGTCACCCAGGTTGGAGTACAATGGCACACAATCTCAGCTCACTACAACCTCCACCTCCCAGGTTCTGGTGATTCTCCTGTCTCAGCCTCCCAAGTAGCTGGGACTACAGGAGCCCACCACCACGCCTGGCTAAGTTTTTGTATTTTTAGTAGAGACAGGGTTTCATCATGTTGGCCAGACTGGTCTTGAGCTCCTGACCTCAGGTGATCCACTCCCCGCTCAGCCTTCCAAAGTGCTGGGATTACAGGTGTGAGCCACTGCACCTGGCCCAGGATGCTATTTTTTTAAAGGATTAATCAGAAGAAATATGAAGAGTAAAATTTTAAAATTCAGGGGAAAGGCTGAAAGATAACATTGATGAGATCTTTCTCCCACCTCAAAAATTGGACACTAGGAGAGAAAAATTAAATTAGAAGATCAAACAAGGAGGTCTAATGTCAAACAAATAGAAGTTTAAGAATGAGAAAAGAGGGAAAGCAGAGGAGACGAAATCATCAAAGATATAGGAAAGGAAAATTTTCTAGGATGAATGACTAAGGACCCATGTTATGATAAAGCTCCCCAAATTAGCAATAAAAAGAGACCCTGAATACCTCAAGGAACAAAAAACAGGTTACACATAAAAAGGACCTGAAATACGAGCCCCTTTGGACTTCCTATCAGTAACACAGGAAACTAGACAACAGAAAAGCAATTCCCTTAAAATTCTGACGAAAAATCATTTCTAACCTAGGATATTATTCAAAATCAAGTATTAACCTAGAGCAAAAGTAGAACAAAAAGTCAGGCATGTAAGGAATCAAAACATCTACCTCTGATGCACTCTTTATCTAAAAACAACTAGAGCATACGTGCAACACAAATGAGGAAGTAAAGTAAAAAGGAGAACGCCACACGATTCAGAAAACCGGGGATGTAACACAGAGAGAGGGTAAAAGATGCCAAGAGGAAGTCTTAGGCAGGCAGCTGTGCAGCTGGCTCAGAGAGAAACCAGCACAAATTAGTGCAAGAATGAGAATGGTAGCAGAAAGAGTACAGAGACAAAAAAGAAAATGAACTGTCAGATACATTTAACCTAAGTAAAATTACATTGAGAGGCTGTCAGGAAGTTGGGAATTGGAAAGAATTCATAATAAATATATAGTAAGGTAAGTAAATAAAAGGAAATAATGCAAGAATTAACTGCAGGAAAAACAAAATGAGGTATAAGGGGAAAAAAATGTAACCATAGTACACTACTTGACTCACCAGTGACTTTTAAAAATGGAATTCCATCTACTACTCAAAACCTCTCAGGGGCATTTCACCACACTTAGAATAAAATCCACACTTACCAGGACTAAGGAACTTCAATGATGTGGCTCCACTCCTGAAATCTCCCCTCTCAGATTATGCTCTGGGAAGTTTCATTTGCTGTTCCATATGCATGGGACACTCTTACCTCCAGACCATGGTACTCAGGTGTCAGCTGAAAGTTCACCTTTTCTGTGAAGCTTTCCCTGACCAGTCAGTATAAATTTGTACCAGCTTTCTCTCAGTTCTGTCACTACTGCATCATTTCATTTTATTCATATTGCATCACTGACTGAAAATATTTGATATGTTACTATATGAGGATAAATTGTAATAATATTAGTTAATACTTACAGTACTTACATAGTACTTATTTCAGACCAGACCCTGTTATAAGTGCTTTATATTTGTTTTTGGATCTTTGTTGCAGACTGTCTCCTTCTATCGCACAGGCTGGAGTGCAGTGGCACAATCTTAACTCACTGCAACCTCCACCTCCTGGGTTCAAGTGATTCTCCTGCCTCAGCCTCCTGAGTAGCTGGGATTACAGGTGTGTGCCACCATGCCTGGTTAATTTTTTTGGTTTTTTTGTTTTGTTTTGAGATGGAGTCTCGCTCCGTCGCCCAGGCTGGAGTGCAGTGGCGCAACCTCGGCTCACTGCAACTTCTGCCTCCCAGGTTCAAGTGATTCTCCTGCCTCAGCCTCCCGAGTAGCTGGGACTACAGGTGCCCACCACCACACTTGGCTAATTTTTGTATTTTTAGTAGAGACGGGGATTCACCATATTGGCCAGGCTGGTCTCAAACTCCTGACCTTGTGATCCACCCGCCTCGGCCTCCCAAAGTGCTGGGATTACAAGCATGAGCCACCACGCCTGGCCTTTTTTTTTTTTTTTTTTTTTTTTTTTTTTTGTATTTTAAGCAGAGATGAGGTTTCGCTATGTTGGCCAGGCAGGTCTCAGGCTTCTAACCTCAAGTAACCCTCGGGCCTCAGCCTCCCAATGTGCCGAGATTACAGGTGTGCACCACTGTGCCTGGCAACATGTTATTTTATTTAATCCTCACATCATCCATGAGAGGTGGGTTGTACTAATACCACCATTTCATAAACAAAAAAACTGAGGCACAGTTTAATAACTTGCTGGTGGTCACTCAATAGCAAAGCTGGGGCTCACACACCTGCAGTCCAGTCCCAGTTTGTGCTCATAACCATGTGTTATATGGCCTTTCCCTGCAAGTTGCAGGAGAGCTGCAACTTTACCTGCTCTTCACCCTCTGATATGGTTTGGTTTGGCTCTGTGTCCCTACTCAAACCTCATGTGGAATTTTAATCCCCTCACGCCAGGGGAGGAACCTGGTCGAAGGTGATTGGATCTTGGGGGTGAATAGTGAGTGAGTTCTCACTTAAGTGGCTATGTTTTCTGGGGTATATACCCCAGGTTCATCCTCTCATGCCGGGAAAATTCAGAACAGACACACACAGGGAGTTTAGGAGCACAGGTTAATAGGCAGAAGAAGGAGAAAGGAAAACAGCCCTCTCTCTAATGAGAGAGAGGGGACTTCTGAGAGGAAACACCGGCGGGTGGCGAATGCACCAGATTTTATAGTCAGGCTTGAGGAGGTGGTGTCTGATTTACATAGGGCTCACAGATTGGTTCAATCAGGTATGATGTTCACATAGCGCACTGGGAAGGCTGGTCACCCCACCCTAATCTTATTATGCACATGAATTCTCCTCTTGGCCGGCACCAGCTTGTCTGCTCCTTACTGTACACTTGGCTGGCAGAGAAGGGAAAATGGAGCCGCCATCTTAACGTGTCTGGTTCCTAGTTTCTGCCGGCATTCACCCGTGCAAGCTCCCAGCTTGCTTGTCTATGTGTGGGGCTGCTTTTCATTTAAAAGAAAAGCCTTACCAAGGACTCCCGTACCCTCACTATCTACCTAAGTGATTTCTTCTTAACTCCTATATCATCATAAGATCTGATGGTTTAAAAGTGTGGCACTTCTCCCTTCTCACTGTGTCTCCTGCCACCATGTAAGATGTGCCTTGCTTCCTCTTCACCTTCTGCCATGATTGTAAGTTTCCTGAGGCCTTTCTGGCCATGATGAACTGTAATTCAGTTAAACCTCTTTTCTTTATAAATCACCCAGTCTCAGGTAGTTCTTTATAGCAGTGTGAAAACGGACTAATACACCCTCACAGCCTCAAGACCTTGAGCAGTGTCTGATGCTTACATAATGAGTACTCCTCAAATATTTGTTCAATAAATGCATTATAAGAATCTCAGTTATCCTGAGGCAAGAGAAAAGAAGAGGGTACAAACTTTTCTTTTTATTTTTTTGAGACAGAGTTTAACTCTTGTCACCCAGGCTGGAGTGCAGTGGTGCGATCTTGGCTCACTGCAACCTCTGCTCCCAGGTTCAAGCAATTTTCCTGCCTCAGCCTCCCAAGTAGCTGGGACTATAGGTGCACACCACCACGCCCAGCTAATTTTTGTATTTTTAGTAGAGACAGGGTTTCACCATATTGGCCAGGCTGGTCTCGAACTCCTGACCTCAGGTGATCCACCTGTTTCAGCCTCCCAAAGTGCTGGGATTACAGGGGGATACAAATTTTTCCTCCTTGGCTATCAGTTGTACCACTTGCCACATCTCAGTTTTTTCCACATTTTGATACCAGCTGCTCTGGTTCTTCCAGTTTTAGGGTCTCTTGATCAAGATATTGTGGTTTCCTCTCTAGAAACAGGCTCCATAACATTCTTCTTCTTCTCTCTCTCTCTAATTAAGCTATTGCTGTATTAGCACTTGTAAGCTACCCAGTGACTGCAGGACATGACTGCCTCACCTTCTAGTCTGTGCCCAAGGTGAAATGGATGTGGTAGTGATTCTTCCACAGACCAAGTGGATCCAGTGAGTTGCCTATAGGACATCCAGAAGACTCACTGACGGAGTGTTGTGGGAAAGAGCAGAAAGCTAGAAACCACCTCTCATTGGATCTTTAGTCCAGAGAGGAATCCAGCACGCAAAATGCAGAAAAATATGATTTGTCCTCACGTGGACATGAAGCCAAGGCATTCTGGAGAGAGTCAGGGATATGGTCAGAGAGCTTAGGTGGCCAGGAAAGAGAGCTCTACATGTGTTTCCACTTATGGAATCAAGGAACTCAATACAAAGTCCCAACAGAATCAACTCATTCCTCTCTATTTTCCCATACCCCGTCAGACCCCTAGTCCAAGTCACCATCATCTCTTCCCTGCATCCCTGCCACAGCCCCTAACCTACGCCACAAGGAACTCACCCTTGGCTTCCTCTCCAGAGCACACTTTCCTGACAATGAATCTTCTAATTCTAGCATCTTTTACAAACCAGGTATCCTGAGAATTTCCCAAGTCATCATGTCTTTGTTCCTTTTTCTTAACAGTTCCTACCTCAATTTATCCCTTTTTCTCGGGCATTTTACTATAAAACAGCAAGAGAAAACCAGGCTACACCTTCAATACTTTACTTGGAAAGCTAAGCCAAATATCCAAGTTCAAACAAATTCTGCTTCCCATATAACTGTAAGACACAATTCCACAGTTTCATTCCACTGTATGACAAGGATCTTTTTCCTCCAGTTTCCCTAAACATGGTCCTCATTTCTTTCTCAGCCCTCACCAACAACACATTATGAAAACCTACACTTCTGCCAACCTTCTACAATGACTTTGATATTCTCTAAAATGAAACACATTTTCTTTACCATGCTCTTCACTTCCAAGTCCTCACCAGCAGCGCCTTTAACATCCCTACTTCTACTAACAGTCTTTCTAAGGCAAGCTAGGCTTTTCCTATCATGCTTCTCAAAATTCTTCCACATGCTGCCCAACACCCAATTCAAAAGCCACTTCCACATTGTTTAGGTATCTGTTACAGTAGCACACCATTTCCAGGTACCAAAATCTGTATTCGTGTACTACTGCTGTTGTAACAGATGACTGCAGACTTTGTGGCCTGAAATTATACAAAATTATTCTTTTTTTCTGACGAAGTCTCACGCTGTAGCCCAGGCTGGAGTGCAGTGGCACAATCTTAGCTTACTGCAATCTCTACCTCCCGGGTTCAAGTGATTCTCCTGCCCCAGCTTCCCAAGTAGTTGGGTCTATAGGCGTGCACCACCACACCTGGCTAATTTTTGTATATTTAGTACATACAGGGTTTCACCATGTTGGCCAGGCTAGTCTCAAACTCCTGACCTCAAGTGATCCACCCACCTTGGCCTCCCAAAGTGCTGGAATTACAGGCATGAGCCCAGCCTCAAAACTACACAAAATTATTATCTTATGGTTCTGGAAGTTCCAAATCAAGGTGTCAGCAGAGCTGCATTCCTTCTGGAGGCTCTAGAGTGAGAATGTTTTCTTGGCTTCTCCAGCTTCTACAAGCCACCTGCATTCTTTGGCTCATCCTTATCCTCAGATCAAGTAATGGAGCTCTTTAAATCTCAATCTCTCTCTCTCACACACACACACACACATACACACACACATACACACACACCCCTTTGCTTCCACTGTGGCATCTCCTTCTCTGATTCTGCTTTTGACCCTCTGCCTCTCTCTTATAAAGACGCTACTGATTATATTGGACCTATTTAGATAATCAAGGATAATCTCTCCATCTCAAGATCCATAACTTAATCACAATCTGCAAAATCCCTTTTACCATGAAAGCTTCTGGGGATGAGGCTATGGGCATCCTTGGGGGCTATGACTCAGCCTACCACATTCACCAACCCCCTATTATGGGCCAAGCATTGGACGACATATGGTTGCACAGTGGTAAAAAAACTGGATATGCTCTCTGCTCTCAAGAAATGTATGGTCTAGTGGAAGAGTCAGATATCAATCCCAAAGTCATACAAATAATCACCCCAATACAATCATTACAAGTTGAGATGAGGGCACTGAAAGCCTGGGAAACATGGGAGTCCCAAGGGTCTCTTTGAGGAAGTAGCATCCAATCTGAGGTTGGCAGGGCAGGGTGATAAGGCACCCCTGGATGGGGAATCAGAAGAAGACCTTCCAGGCAGAGGCATCAGCAAGTGCAAAGGCCCTGAAGAAAAAGAGTTTGGGGGATGAGGGAGGTGGAAACGGCAAAACAAGATGAGGCTGTAAAGATGAGAAGGACCAGATCCCTTGGGAACTTCTGGAGCATGGTGGGGACTTTAGCTTTTATTCAAAACATAACAGGAAGAGGTTGAAGAGGTTTTTTGCTTAATAAAAAATTTTTTGTTGGTTTTTGTTTGTTTGTTTGTTTGCTTGTTTTTGAGATAGGGTGTCACTCTGTAGCCCAGGCTGGAGTGCAGTGACGTGATCACAGATCACTTCAGCTCCTCCTGTGCTCAAGTGATCCTCCCACCTCAGCCTCCCAAAGTGCTGGGATTACAGTGCTGGGGCTGTGAGTCACCATGCCCCACCGGGTTGAGGAGTTTTTATAGCAGGTGACTGATGTGATCACTCTGCTCTGGAGAACAAATTGTGTCTGGGAAACAAATGGGGATGAGAAAAAACAGGAACACATATATTCAGTGAAGAGAAGACAGTGGCCTAAACTGGGCACATGGTTGTTAAAATAGATAGGACTGCATAGATGTAAGATAGGTCTTGGACCAAAAATGACTCATAGGACTTGATGGAATTTGGTGTGTGATTCAAAGGTCTGGGATATGGCCATAGGGGTAGCTGGCATATGAGGAATGTAGCAAATTAATGGAAATGAGAAATTAAAGGGATTAAGATGCCAGGAAGGGGAATGGGCCATCCACATGCACCTTAAAATAAATGGGAAAACAGCACATGGGAGGGAAGAGAGGAGGTAAGTGCTAAAATCTACAGTGGATAATGGGGCCAGAGGGACTGGGGTGTCTTCCAATGATGGTTAGAGGAAGAGAGAGCACAGACTCCTGGTCTGAGTAGCAGAGAGCAGATGCTATGCAAGGAGTCTCATGTGGAAACAGTACTGGGCAGGGTGAAGGGCATCAGTCCCACTCCAGCCCTGGATGAGGGACAGAGAAAATGAGCAGCTTCCACTTTAAAGGCTGGCAGAGAAATGACCTCACCTAAGACCAGGAGGAGCAGGAAACCCTTAGGGAAGATAAAGTGTAGTGCGGTAATATTGGTTGCAAAGGTTATTGGGGGCAGATTTGAGTGGGAGGGTCTACTGTGGGTCGAGTTAAGAGAGAAAATGCAGAGCATCAAGAGAGTGAAGGTGATGGGGACAATGTGGAAACAGTGACAAGGGGAATTTAACTGGGTGCTGGGTTGCCAATGCTTTAAGTCCCAGTGGTGTATTCCCTGGGGGATGTTGGGTGCTTAGGCCTCTCTGTATTTACCAGTGGGCTGGAAGGGAACCCCAGCATGCTTTTCCTCAAGGTCTTCTATGATTAGGGAATGAGCAAGTGAGTCTGAGCCCAGGAGTATGGGGTTGTGTACAAGTGCTCTTACCCCCATGTTCATCAGGTCTTCTTTCGTGATTCTGCTTAAATGTCACCTCCCAATAAAGCCTTTCCTAATTTTTCTGACTTGTCTTTTCCACATACACAGAACCTTGTGCAGACTTCTACTGTAGCACCTACTATATGCACATTATTGCCTTTGCTATTTATTTATTTATTTATTTATTCATTGAGATGGAGTCTCGCTCTGTCACCCAGGCTGGAGTACAGTGGTGCAATCTCAGCTCACTGTAGCCTCCACCTCCCAGGTTCAAGCAATTATCTGCCTCAGCCTGCCCAGTAGCTGGGATTGCAGGTGCATGCCACCACACCCAGCTAATTTTTGTATGTTTAGTAGAAACAGGGTTTCACCATGTTGGTCAGGCTAGTCTCGAACTCCTGGCCTCAAGTGATCTGCCTGCCTTGGCCTCCCAAAGTGCTGGGATTACAGGCATGAGCCACTGCACCCAGCCACCTTTGCTTTTTATGTATATCTCCCTAAATAGAATTGTTTCTCAAGAGTGAGAATAATGCTTGAATTATTTCTGTTTTCCTGTTACTGGGTACAA
This sequence comes from Homo sapiens, assembly GCF_000001405.40. Taxonomy (NCBI): domain Eukaryota; kingdom Metazoa; phylum Chordata; class Mammalia; order Primates; family Hominidae; genus Homo; species Homo sapiens. The sequence goes on from NC_000012.12 coordinate 24,939,270, forward strand.
AGTCTGGTAGCCTTGGTAGGAGCTACACAAATGTCTAATTAAGTAAAACTTAGCCATTGTTTGCTGGTCATTATTGTACTATATAAATGGTAGATTTGAAGAAAAGTTTAGACACTCTTCATATAATGGTTACTATGAATCATTATAATGTGTATACTATGAAGTATACACATTACATTTAACTTGCTTTCTTAATAGATAATTTTCAATTAGTTAAATTAAATACAACACTTCGGAAATACTGTCAAAAATATGTTACTGGTCTTAACTAAAATTTGCTTAAATGGCCGGGTGCAGTGGCTCACGCCTGTAATCCCAACACTTTGGGAGGCTGAGGCAGGTGGACCACCTGAGGTCAGGAGTTTGAGATCAGCCTGGCCAGCATGGCAAAACTCCGTCACTACTAAAAATACAAAAACTAGCCAAGCATGGTGGCAGGCATCTGTAATCCCAGCTACTCGGGAGGCTGAGGAGAATCGCTTGAACCTGGGAGGCTGGAGATTGCAGTGAGCTGAGATCACACCACTTCACTCCAGTCTGGGCGACAGAGCAAGACTCTGTCTCAAAAAATAATAAAACTAAAAATAATAAAATCAAATGTGCATAGGTACCAGTATTTCAGATTTTCTTGATAATGACTCTGGTGTCAAGCTAATTTCATTAAAAGGCTTCAATTTTTTTCATTCAATCTTGATTATAATAAACTCACGTGTCAAAAATCAAATATATAAATATATACAGTGAAAAGGCTCACGGTAACTTTCTTTTTATCTCTACCTGAGAGCTTACTGGTTCTTTCCTCAATTGTTTTCTTTTAATGTCATTATTTTTTACGCCTAATGACTATGCAAATGACTTCCACTCTTTGTAATCACAAACAATGCTGCAATAAATAATCTTGTTGATAAGTCATTTCACATGTGTACAAGTTAATATAAGGCACTTTTAATTAAACTAAATATTAACAATGATGTTGAATCATTAAATCTATTGCAAACTATGCAGTTACGTTAATATGGTTAAAACAATCCCTCATTTCAAGCTTCGAAGTGTTGTCCTTGAATATCAAGTGGTAGACTAAAGTACTCCTGTACATACTGTTCTAAGAACATTGATCAAAAGGAGGGAAGGTGCCAGTTAACCAGCAAATACAACATTAACACACTCAGTTATTAAGGGGCATAAACTTTATTGACATCCTACATCTATATATTCATGGAACTACTGACAATATTAATAAAATATTTGCTCTAATGTTATTGAATTTTTAAAAGCCAGTTTAGTTAATATCATGCTTTATAACCAAGTAATGGTTATATGTTATATGATTAATGTTATATGATTTCTTTTAAATAAGCATAAAGAATCATGGAAAACTATCAGCAGAGCCAACCATGAATAGTTGATGTGTATAACCAAAAGAAAAAGGAAATCAGTTATCAGGAGACTTTCAAAAGTGAATATAGTAGGTGCCAGAACTCTCCACAGGGAATTTGAGAAGTCCTATTTCTCGAGGCATTTAAATGGAATAGAACTGAAAGCTAGAAAAATAAACTCAAAAGAACAATCCTTCTTCAGCAGAAGTAAAAGCCCAAAATGACCTAATAGATTTTTTCTTTCAAAATTCTAGGATTCAATGAACACTGCTCTAAGTACCTCTTTTGTTGGATTTGTTTGTCAGGGTATGCATTCATTAGTTTGCTTAAAAACTGCATTGTTTGCAACAAAGAAAAACATGTTGAACAGTATTGGAATTGGTTAAGATTCCCAAACACATGACTTTGTTCTATATTCTAAGACCATTCCAAGGATGTTTCCCTTTGCATACTGCCTTAATCTGAAAACTAGTGATTGAACAGGCTGGCATTACTGAGTTTGTTCATTACGATTTTTGTGGTGTTCAGTTTATATTCCTATGTAGCATCTTTTTGTATGAATTTTCCTACAATCAATTTAAAATCAACCAGCTATGTGAGTTTTCCAGTAGACATATATAGCAGCTATATGAGTTTGGCAATGGGCATTAAGCTACATGAGTTTGCAGCTATATGAGTCTGGCAATAGGCATTAATAGCAGCTATATGTGTTTGGCAATAGGCATTAAGACCGTGTAAATACTTTACTGTTCTCTGTGTTTTTATAATCCTCTGTCTTTTGGAAGTCAATTAAAGCTTTAACTTCAAAGAAATCCAAGTGTGGAAAGATGTATGTGCCATTCAAAAACAGAGAAGTATAAAACAGAATCAATTAATCTGAATCTTGAAAGTCCAGAAATAGGCTCTCGATTTAACTCAACCAATATCTGTAAAGCACCAACAATGGTGCAAGGTTCCTGCCATGGTAGAAGAAAAGGTAAGTGCAGAGGAGTTGCAGCATATGATCAATATCTTTTTGGGGCAAGGTTCATGCTACAACAGAGGAAAAGGTAAAAAGCACAGTCGAATTAAAGCATTGATCAGTATCTTATTTCCTGACTTCAAAATGTAAATCTATGCATACCTTCCCACCTTTCGCCCATGTTCATTCCACTGCAAAAACATGATCACTGTTCTCACAAGGTGTCTGGGGAGTGGGCTGCATGGTGAGCAACATGGTGCAAATTATAGATAGGATGGAGGGAGTTAAAAACCAGTAAATGCAAATATAAGAACACATTTTGAGATAGATCAAATCCTCTCTTATGACTAGAGAAATGCATGCACATAGAAGAGGTGTAGGTAGATTTTAAACGGTCTCATGCACTAAACTAAACTCAGGAGACAATGGAGAAGCCATAGATTTTGCGTGGTGGAATGACATCGAACAGCACATAATGAAAATTAAGCTTCAGACCAGTTGGGAGACTTTTGGAATAATTCAAGCGAGAAGTAATGAGAGCATAAACCAGTATGCAGGGCAATGGGAAAGAGAGAACCTATAGATTCAGAGAAGACAGAGTCCACAGGACGTGGTACCTGCTTGAATATGTGGAATAAGAGAATAAGAAAGAAGTAAAAGATGGCTGGCTGGGCATGTAATCCCAGTAGTTTGGGAGGCCAAGGCGGGCGGATCACTTGAGGTCAAGAGTTCTAGACCAGCCTGGCCAACATGGAGAAACCCCGTCTCTACTAAAAATACAAAAATACAAAGCCAAGCGTGGTCGTGGGTGTCTGTAATCCCAGCTACTCAGGAGGCTGAGGCAGGAGAATTGCTTGAACCCGGGAGGCAGAGGTTGCAGTGAGCCAAAATCACACCACTGCACTCCAGCGTGGGTGACAGAACAAGACTCCGCCTCAAAAAAAAAAAAAAAAGATGGCTGGACTTGGGCCAAATATACACCCTTGTTACAATCAGCTGTGGCTAAGGTGGAGTCACCTGCAAAGAACATGGCCATACTGGCCTTCTCCTTTGACAGGTACAACAGGTAGGGGAAGTTATCTAAGTGGGAAGTAGGAAGGCTAGGCACCCCAAACTCCTACACTCCACTAAGAAATTGCATATTAACCTTGGCTAAGAAAACACCCACACACACTTCCAAACTAGTTGAAGATCGAAGAAATTAGGGTGCATATGGTATGAACCGAGTTCTATTCTGTAACTATACACCTTAGATCTTGATGGGATGAAACAGAGAAGAAAGTGATAACTTATGTGCTGTGAACAAACAAACCATTGGTTGTTTATCTCTTGAACTAAAAGTGGAGATTTTCAATATTCAAATGGCAGCGTGAAGCTTCTGCTTATATAGTTTCATATCTCAGCTGACTGCAAAGGCAAGAGCCAATAGCCCTCCACTGCTCTGAATAACTAAACCATTTCAGTCTTTTCTACCTGTCTTCCATGCTATATGCACTCTATTGTCCTGGCTTTAATAACCAATAATTTAGATATAAAACTTTGTGTCTATATGTGTTTGCACATTTTGCAAAAGATTGGCCATACTTTTCATAAGATTTACAAACTGGCCCAGTGCAGTGACGGATGCCTGTAATCCCAGCACTTTGGAGGCCAAGGTGGGTGGATCACTGGAGCCCAGGAGTTCAAGACCAGCCAGTGCAACATGGAGAAACCCCATCTCTACAAAAAATACAAAAATTCACCGGGCGTGGTGGCACATGCCTGTGGTCCCAGCTACTCAGGGAGCTGAGGCAGGAAGATCACTTGAGCCCAGGAGGTTGAAGCTGAAGTGAGCCATGATTGTACCACTGCACTCCAGCCTAGGTGACAGAATGAGACCCTATCTGGAAAAAAAAAAAAAAAAAAAAAAAAATTTACAAAGTGGTGTCAGACCCAAGAAAGCCTAGAACCTGGAGAGATCAATAGCACAATAGACTAGGAGTCTGTCTACTTTCTCATTTTGCTCTTTTATTTGTATTATTTATTTATTCTTAAGCAATTCTAGTAAGTTTTCTGATGCTTTCCTTAGAAGAATGTTTTCAGTTAAAGTAGTTTGAGGCCGGGAGCGGTGGCTCACGCCTGTAATCCCAGCACCTTGGGTGGCCGAGGCGGGCAGATCACGAGGTCAGGAGATCAAGACCTTCCTGGCTAACATGGTGAAACCCCGTCTCTACAAAAAATACAAAAAATTAGCCGGGCGTGGTGGCGGGCGCCTGTAGTCCCAGCTACTCAGGAAGCTGAGGCAGGAGAATGGCGTGAACCCAGGAGGCGGAGCTTGCAGTGAGCCGAGATCGCACCACTGTACTCCAGCCTGGGTGACAGAGCAAGACTCCGTCTCAACAAAAGAAAAAAAAAAAAGTAGTTTGCATGGCATTTAGAAAATGGAAAGCAAAAGCACCAATTAAGCAAGGAAGTCTTGCCTCAAACCTGCATGTGTTTCTTCTATAAACACCAGCACTATTCTTATAAGTGTACAGAGCACTCACCGACACTGAAAACCATGGAACCCTGAGTCATGTATTATGCTTCCCCATGTAGACTTCGCAGCTGTCTTTTAACTCTACCTTTTATCTTCAAAGTTCAAGGAAACATTTATTATGATTTCAAATTCCTGAACTCACATCTAGTCCTAAAGTCAAAACAATATAACTTGGTATCTAAATCAACTGAAATGAAATGAAATGCACTTGGCAAAATCACCCTTTTATGTAGTGGTGGAATGCTAACAACTGCCCTGTGACCATCCTGTGCAAATCCACCCTTGGCCTCATCCCAGGATATACCCAAACTTCGTCTCAACTGTGTCTCTTTGTCAGTCACGTTAAGAGACAGCTGTGGAATGTTTGGTCTAGAATATCCCAACAGGTGCTCCTTCCGTCTCAACTTCTATGGAGTCAAATAGAATTTGATCTGTAATCCTATGTCCCAGGCTTCCTAAGTCTTCCTAAAGCAGATATCCATTTATAGTCAAAACAGCAAAAACAGTTCTCACACTGAGGGATAAACCGTAAATGCAATTGATGAAACATTCAAATCTACACACCGAAATAAAGAACTGACAAATGAATTTGTTCTTTTTAGATTAAAGACTATTCTTAATGGAACTAGCTGAGTTTTGCAAGTATTTCACAACTTTCAATAAGAAAGAGCCATATGTTTTTCAGTATGACTTCAGTTTATTACTTGTAATTTCCTCTATTTTTTTCTTTATTGGTCTTCCCTGTTTCCATTCTTCCATTTTCCTGTATTTTTGGGACATAACTGTCTCTTTCTTTTAGAGTTTGTTTTTCCCATTAATTACTGAACACAAGAAAAATGTTTTGCAAAATAGTCTTTCCCACCAAAAAGGTATAACAGTAGAAAAACGTTTATGTGACATGCTATGCTGTATTCATAAGGTAATCTAATTTCCAAGCTATTTTAAGGATATGAGTACTCAATTTTTAGGGGAAAGATAATTTAGCTTTGTGGACTTTAGAGCACAAATTATAAGCATAGTTGAAACTGATACCTGAACCTGGTGTTCCAGAAAAGACAGATTCTCCTTTGCGTTCACCATTGACATTGTGAGTCACTGACAAGGTCTTATGATGAAACTGTTTACCAATATTTGCAAAGTCATGTTTATGAATAAAAGCACCTAAATGCTTAATTTTGAAACATTTAAAAAATGTGAGTTGCACCTCACATTTATTTCTTGGCTGAACTGCATACAATCCCATTGCAGTGGCCTTAGTTGAATGGACAGAGGCTCAGGAAAGGCCAACAGTAGGAACATTTACCATATGTTAGGTGAAATGTATAGACCAGTTGGACAGCTGTTAAGGGGATAATGTTACAATACAAAAGCTGCCTATATTTTTGACAGTAAAATGAGCAGATCAGCCATAGTTTCCTCCTGTGCTCAAAAAGAATGATAGCACATGCCTGTAATCCCAGCACTTTGGGAGGCCGAGATGGGCAGATCGCTTGAGGCCAGGAGTTCCAGACCAGCCTGGCCAACATGGCAAAACTCCGTCTTTACAAAAAAATACGAAAATTAGCTGGGCATGGTGGTAATCCCAGCTTCTCAGGAGGCTGAGGCACAAGAATTGCTTGAACCTAGGAGGCAGAGGTTGCAGTGAGTAGAGATCACTCTGCGGCACTCCAGCCTGAACAACACAGTGAGATTCTGTCAAAAAAAAGAAAAGAAAAAAGAATGATAGCATCATATAGAAAGTAGAGGATAGCTGGCACAATTATGTCTATCATGGAAGGTCCCAGATTCTCACTCTCCAGTATAGCAACCAAACCTTCCTGAGCATAAGGCTGATCATGCCACTGGGTTTCCCTGGGGTGGGCATCTGTTATTTAAAGAAACTGTGGTTACCAACACTAAAGGGAAATAAAGAAAGTTCTTTATTTTCCAACTTCCTATACCAGTTGAGAAGAGGCCATTTAAAGAAGCTGGCAACCTGAAACCCCAAAAGATGTAACTAATACAAAGGCTCAACATAGCTGCCATTTAGAAACAATCTTTCATTTATGCACAGGAATAATTTACTCATAAGCCCAGCCCTCTCAGTTAGGTTAATAACACCACTATCAGTTTTCCAGCTGTTTACTTCCCTAGCTTTATTTCTAGACATGAGAAATAAGGAACAAAATATATAATTAGGAAAACAATTGGAATGTCAGCCTACGGACAAAACTGAGACAAAATTTATATAAGTAGAGAGTATATTGAGGTCAAATTTGAGGACTGCAACCAACGAAACACCAAATCAAGTTGCCCTGAATATATACAGCAGTTACAAGTGGGTTTTTAAAAGAAAAAAGAGGCAGTTTCTAAGTTGAGAAGAATTTATATTAAAATAACATAAACTATATAAACTATTGATAGGCTAAACATTGTTTTTTTGTATCACAAATTCCAGGAACATAATGAGTGAGGCAGTTAGTCAGGAACAAAATGTCTTTAAATAATTACTCCTGCGCATGCGTACGGGGGGACGTGACTGAAGTCTCACACTCCTATCTCTCTGGGCCTGATAAATTGTGTAGCCTTCACAAAGCTCAGATCGCTCTGCGCTATTTTTCTTTTTTCAGGGAGTTGCACAGCTACTGACAGAAAGCACATCTTGGTTTTAGTCCATAGTACAAAACTCAATTGTGATCGAATGTTTTCAACTTCCTTTCATAATAAGGTTTTAAACTCATTTCAAATAATTAGATCTGGTTCTAATGAGCTGAAAAGCAAGAGAAATTCTTGCGTAAAAAAGGAAAAATATTTTTCCCCTTTTCTCTCTGTAGTTCTGAAATCCAGTGAAATTACTCATTACTGAAACTTATCAGATGAAAATATTGGCCAGCATTAAATTCTTTTCCTCCCCAACCCCCACCTCTTTTTTTCCTTTTTCTAACCACCACCCTTTTGTTAGGCCAGCTTAACTAGCTTTACATCTCTGAGCCTAGCCTGAGGGGCCACATCCTGTGTCTGGAATGTAAAACCTCTCTCCCCACTAGGCCTCCCGTCTTCCCTCCACACACACACACACACACACACACACACACACACACACACACACGGACTTCCCTTGCCTCCAATCCCATTTACATGTGTATCATTTTTAAATCCCCATCTAAATTTATTAAGTCATAATACTCACTTACCATTTTTGTACACATGCTACTCAGTGTATATCCTATGTTTCTTATCCAAGTTGCCCATTCTGCATGTGTCTGTCTTAAAATACAAGCTCATGCATGACTTAAGCCCGGAGAATTTGCTGAGGACAAAGGCAATCAAGATGCCATGTGCAAATAACATTTTTTTAAAAAATCAAGCTTGTGATAGCAATACATATTTAAGAGATAAGTGGAAAGATGTTTGAAATATTGTGATAAAACTAACTTAATGGAACCTTCCATACTTCTTCGATCATACCTAGAATACAATCATTTCTTTCTTAATCTTAGGAAATATCAGGAAACAGAAAAGAGACTACTTGTAGATATCTTACCTAGTTCCCCATGTTATAAAAGTATCTTGTGGAAGGGACAGGGGTTTTTGGACCTACAAAAACGCGTAATTAACCACAACTGCACATGGACAGGAAAAAGCTGGAAAAGCAAGACTGTTCATTCTTAGTTTTCTCCTTTTACTTACTAAAGCTATAATCAACTAAAGTGTGTTTTTCATCTGAAATGAAACAAGCATGAGGAAGCCAGAAATAGAACCTCTAACTATAGAAGAAAAGTTGTGTGATCTCTGTTGAATACAAAAACGCATAGTTTCCACTCGGTTACTGTTTAATTGTAGTGAAAGTTTTTGTTTGGCAACAAAGGCGCTATTTACATATTATTTCTTCTAAGTGAAACTATGGTCTGGGATGGGTTGTAGATAAGAGCAGTTGAGAACCACGCTTCATCTCCCTCCTTAGAAACTCTGAAACGAGGCTTTATTCCTACCAGAAGTTCAGATTGCATTATGGTCATCTCAATTCCAAAATGTTAGATGGCAAGAATATCTGCCCATCCTTCACTTTCCTTGGAAAAAGTTGCTCTTCGGGTTTTATATGCGATTGCAGTTTTCCAGTGTGTGAAACTAGGAAAACAAAACACTCAACGGTGTACATCCCTACACCTAAATAGTCAGAAATAATAGGCAGCTAGGCTAATTATCCTTGATTAGCAAGATCAGAGCCATTAGGGTGCTCACTGGTTTAACAAATGAATGCCCTTAGGCGTCTATCATTTGTAACTCCTAGAAGCTTTAATTTCCACAAGAAACAAAATAAGAGGGGCCTTCTGCTTTTAACAGTGAAAAGATCGTTCTCCCTCCCCTCTCCACCCGGGTCAACTCTTCCAGCCGCTCCCTCCTGCATCACGAACACACGCTGCAGGAAAGCGCATTTACAGCCCGGGACATCCCCAGACCTCCTCTCCAAAATTCCCCACCTCCTGTGCATAGGAGAAACTGAGAGAAGCCCTCACTTCCTTTCCAAACTTCACAAGCAGGGGAGGGAGCTGTAGCAGACTTTCACCTCCGTTCCCAAAAGCGAATGTGAAAAAGTCCGAGAAGGCACGTCCTGCGAGTGGAGGTTAAACCGAAATCTGAACAGAATGCACGGTCCCCGCAAACTACGATTGATAAAGAAGATACTGAGACGTTTGCGGGGGATATAAGCCATGGTTGTCTCGCCTTCCTCCCCTCCCTGCCAACTATGTTTCTTGGAGAAATCGCCGGTTCGATTCACGCACACATTTTTGTAAAACACGGACAAAACCATAAGTAGTTACCTTCATTGTTCCGTCGGCCACGAGGGAAGCTCGAGCTGAGCGGAGGGCAGATCCCAAGGGTCGTAGCCCCTGGCCGTGTGGACCGGGTCTGCGGCTGCAGAGCGCGGTCCCGGCTGCAGCAAGACCTGGGGCAGTGCCCGAGGCGGCGGCGAGTACACGTGGCGGGCTGGATTGCAGACCGGCCCTCTCGCGGCGGAGACTCGCGACCTAGCGGATTGCATCAGCAGGAAGACACTAAGGCTGCTCCCCCAGGCCGCCCCCAGATGGTGGAGTCTCTCCCAGCCCGAAGATTCGGAGCCAGCGCCCAGACCCGAGCCTCACTCACTGCTCACTCCCGGGGTGCAGGGCAGAGGTGCCAGTGTTGCAAGCAAATGACACGGTTACCCCCGAATCAGCCACTGTGGGTGCGTATCCGAGTGTGGGGATGCCCGTGTAACATTTATATGGAGACGTCAAGGAGGAGGAAATAAACAGATCAGAGGTCAAATGTGATTGCCATTCCGTCATCACTGGCTCCTGCCCACCTCCCTACTGTCCCCAAAGTAACTTTGCTGCATGCTGAGAGGACCACGGCACAATCCTGCCCAAAAGTATACATGTATCCCCCGCGGCTACTTTAAATGTACTTTTGCAGTAGTCAAGAACATGTGCCTGGTTTGCCGATCTCTTTCCCAGAGTTCCTTAGTCACCCTCAAATATAACCATTTTTGCCAATTTATTATGTACATGGGGGAAAATTTTTAATCCTTTAATTTGAGCATATAAAATTCTTTATAATGTGAAATTGCCCAGTAGCCTAGTTGGTCCCCTGTAAGTTCCCTCCCCACATCTATACAAAGCTCCAGGATTGCTACTTTTCCATGTCCAGCGCCTAGGTCAGCCTCCATGACTGCTTAAGTGTGCTGCTGGTTGACCTCCGCTGCCTCTCTGTCAAGCTGGCAAACTCCTATTTTTGTAAATTTCAACCCAAGTCTTTGCTGTGGAAGTTGCTTCCAATGCCCTCAAACAGAACTGGGCCCTTGGTCTATGTGCTGCACTTTGTCCACATCCTTTCTCAAAATCAATTATTTTATTTTATCATTTTTTAATGGAGATGGGGTCTCACTAAATTGGCCAAGCTGGTCTTGAACTCCTGGCCTCAGCAATCCCCTCGCCTCCGCCTCCCAAATTGCTGGGATTACAGATGTGAGACTGTGCCCAGCTTCTTAATTTTACTTTAATTATTTGTTTGCACAGTTGTCACTTCAGTGGATTATGAGATTCGTAAGGGCAGATCCTTTGTCATATTTATCTCCCATACCAAGTGGCCTGCCGTGGAAGAGAGGGAGTGTTGAAAACAAATGTGTCAGTGCTTAATGACTGTTGGTCAGGTGAATGAATGGTTAAATTATGTGTTCAATAAATGTACTGAGTGATTTCTACATGCTAGGCTGGTATATAACAGTGGTTTGTAATCTGAAATGTCTCAAAATGGAGCCATTTATGACAAGGGTTTCAGCCTCCAGTGAAATTGCTGACCCCTCAAATTGATAAGCATATGTATGGTGGACTGAGGTGATAAGATAACACCTGCTGTGGCCTGGCACCATTGGCAAGAGAGTAAAGAGAGAGGCAGCTGAGATAATGGCTATGGGCACTTGCGGATGCTGTGAAAACCAAAAAGTAATGAAAACCTGAAAGTAACTGACCACAGCCAAAATGCTTGCAGAAGTTCTGCCCTGAGAAATCTGTATCTGTAAGCATTTAATCAGCCATTGAGTCCTTGTGAAACCTCCTGGCCCCCGTCAGTGAAAGCACAGCTAGATAGATTTGAACCTGACACTGACATGAGACAGGCAATGTGCAAAATGCTAGGGACTGAGTGGGAAACAACAAAAATGTTCTTACCCTCATTAAGCTCATATACTAGTGTGAGAAACAGAAAGTAAGCTTTAAATCAGGTAGCAAAATGTTTATCAACTGAGGAATGGCTAAATAAAACATGGTATCATCCATACAATGGAATATTATTATATTCTGCAATAAAAAGAAATGAAGTACTGATTACATGCAGTCACATGGATGAACCTTGAAAACTATGCAAAGTGAAAGAAGCGTCTCACAAATGACTACATATTATATGATTCCACTTATCTGAAATGTGCAGAACAGGAAAATCCATAGAGACAGAAAACACATAGTTGTTTTCAATCTGGGGACAGGGTGGAATGCAGAGTGAATGTTCATGGGCGTTGGATTTCTTTTTGAATTGATTAAAATGTTCTCAAATTAGATTGTGGTAATGGTTACACAACCCTGTGAACACACTAAAAACCACTGAATTATACCCTTTAAATAGGTGAATTGTATGTTATGTGAATTATATCTCAATAAAGATGTTACTCTATGGCCCGGCATGGTGGCTCACACCTGTAATCTCAGCACTTTGGGAGGCTGAGGCAGACAGATCACTTGAGGTCGGGAGTTCGAGACCAGCCTGGCCAACATGGTGAAACCCCGTCTCTACTAAAAATTAGCCGGGCGTGGTTGCGGGGTGCCTGTAATCCCAGCTACTCACAAGGCTGAGTCACAAGAATCGCTTGAACCTGGGAGGCAGAGAGGTTGCTGTGAGCCAAGATCATGCCACTGCATTCCAGCCTGGGCAATAGAGCAAGACTCAGTCTCAAAAAAAAAAAAAAAAAAAAAAAAACAGGTACCATGTGGTAAATTTTATGAGAAAGAGTAATAAGGGGATAGAGAGTGATGGGGTCATAGATATAAATGCATTAATAAGTTCTAGAGCAAGCCTGGCAATTACTCCTAGATCCAACGACCGCCCCTCGCCCCCCTCTCCCTCAATGCAGGATTTTTCTCAGTCCCTTTGCCAGTCAAGGACCTCTAGCCGGCAATGCCGGAGGCCTAGCTCGGGGCATACTACCTGCTGCAGGAGGCACCCCACGCAATTTGCCCGCCTGAGACAAGTTTGCCTTGCACATTGGTTCCTGAGTTCTTGCCCCATGCCCAAGAAAAATGAAGATGTGCTGACAATTGAAGAGTGAGCAAGGCGGGGAGTTTTACTGAGGGATGAAACAGCTTTCAGCAGAGAGGGAAGCGGGGGTGGTCCCCCTACCCGAAGGCAGGAAAGTCTCCTCCATGAGGCTGAGTCCTGGGGCTTTTTATCGGCTCAGAATAGGGGAGGGGCAGGCAAACAGGAACAGAAATTCTCACTCTGCGTCATGGATTTCATCCAGGACCAGCAGTCTGGTCTTTCAGCCTTCAGGCTGTTTTTGGCTTGAAGGTACAGTTTCACCTCCAACCCTGTTGCTGTTACCCCTACTTAAGGATTCTTTTGATGTTAGCAACAAAGGAAGAGAGAAGGTAGTATATATTTAAAAAAAAAAAAAAAAAAAGAGCTTGAAGGGAAGTGAGAAAGTTAGGGAATTAACATCCACAGAAGAATATGAGGGCCGGGCGTTCACGCCTATAATCCCAGCACTTTGGGACGTCAAAGCAGGAGTTCAAGACCAGCCTGGGCAACATAGCAAAAGCCAGTCTTTACAAAAAATGCAAAAATTAGCTGTTTGTGGTGGTATGTGCCTGCAGTCTAAGCTACTCCCAAGGCTGAGGTGGAAGGATCACTGGAGCCCAGGAGATCCAGGCTGCAGTGAGCTGTGATCACTTCATACTTCACTGCACTCCAGCCTGGGTGACAGAGTGAGACATCATCTCCAAAAAAAAAAAAAAAAAAAGAAAAAAAAAGAATATAAGAACAATCTAGCTATGTCTCTCCTCCCATTTCCCTTTAGTGTTGATAGAAGGGCCCCACAGTTCTCCCTCATTGTCAACTGTAAACTCCCAAAGCTTCTCTCCCAGACAACACACATGCTTTTCCCAAATGATGAGGCTCATGATCAACGAAGGTTGTTACTCTGACAGTGGCACTGTACTTCAAACAAGTCACAGTAAAAGATATTTAAGGAAAACTGGATCCAAACTGGATATATACCATATACCCATCTATGGGCAGTGTCTTTTACTGAAGAAGAGACAGCATTTCTAAGATTTCTAATAGACACTAATTTTGAGGTTGACTCCAGAGCGCCAGACAGTCCAGCTTCATTTTGTCCTCACTGTTATTAACAAAGGCTTTTATTGCCATCATTATGAAAAATATGTGCCAACTACCTGCAGAATGTCTTCCCTGTATCTTACTAAATTTTCTCTAGGAAAGCAGAAACTCACAAATATTCTCTGCCTTGAGTTATTAACAGTTCCTGGAATTTGAATAGGAGAGTTTACATAAGGCAATGATACTCTGTCTTAAAAGAGGAAAATCTACTCTAAAATTCTACTCTACACACTCAGAAAACAATGTCATTCTCTTTCTCTATTTCTCATAGTAAAAAATACTTCAAAATTGTACTGTTTTTATATTTCCTATAATACTTGCATTCATTGCCCATTACATACATGTGCACACACACATGCATACACACACAGACACACACCAAGTTCAATACTCGAAAATCATTTATACTGTACTTTTTGGGAAATTTCCCATGACAATTTTGACTCACTGGATTTATTTTTATCCTTGTTGTACACACTCTAGTACCTAATCCCCATGTAAAATTAGATTTACTGGGTTGGGCGCGGTGGCTTATGCCTGTAATCCCAGCACTTTGGGAGGCCGAGGTGGGCGGATCACGAGGTCAGGAGATCGAGACCATCCTGGCTAACACGGTGAAACCCAGTCTGTACTAAAAATACAAAAAATTAGCCAGGCTTGGTGGCAGGCACCTGTAGTCCCAGCTACCGGGAGGCTGAGGCAGGAGAATGGCTTGAACCCGGGAGGTGGAGCTTGCAGTGAGCCGAGATCGCACCACTGCACTCCAGCCTGGGCGACAGAGCAAGACTCCATCTCAAAAAAATAAAAATAAAAATAAATTAATTCCTATCTATTTTGAAAGGATATTGTAAAGTCTTCTTTCTGCTAGTTCTCTAGAACCTCTCAGGGTACTTTCCACCCTGACGCACAAAGCTATCCTCCTTCTCCTTGAAACTCCTCCCTTCCACGATAGGATTCTGAATCTCCTCCAGCCTCTCTGGCAGGTCCTTACACCTTATTTATGATCACCTCATGCCCTCTAAATATAGGCAAGGTGTTCATCCCACCTGTATCTGATCTTGAATCTCCTCTTTATACTCTGTCCTCTAGTGTCTCTACTATGACCTGTAGTCTGATAACTTTTAAAACTATACTAGATCTCTGGTTCATCTCTATTCTAACAAGCCCAATTAATCCAAATCCAAGCACATAATCTTCCCTTTTTAACCTGCTTCCCTCTCTCTGCTGATGTCATTAATGTGCTTCCAATTATCCAGCCTCCAAACTTTCATATAGCTCCTATCTTTATAGATAGTACTTAAAGCAAGAGAGAAAGATATGAGCCTCCCCCATCCCGTAATCACTAAGCCGTCCCAATTGTATCTCCACAAAATCTCTTAGTCATCCCCCTCAGTTCCCACTCTCACTGCCCTAGTTTGGTCATTCATTGTACTTTCCCTCTGGATTACTGTTATCCCTGCCTTTAATCTCTCCCTGCCCCAATCCACCCAACACACAGATGGCTAGTAATCTCCCTAGTCCTCCGTTCTGATTAGATTTTTTTCTCCTGTTCAAAATCATGCAACTTGCACTCAGATGCTCTGGTGAGAGCCTGACATGAGTACATGTTGTGTGCCTAAGCACACCTGAAATCTTCCATCATTGTTTCTGCACAAATGCTCCTTGGAATTTCTTTTCCTCCGACTTTGCTTGGCTAAATGATATCCAGTCTTGGAGATCCGTTTTAATTACTATTGCCCCATTTGCAGCCTTTCCTGAAGCACTCCTTGTTATAAACCAGTGATTCCCAATTAGGAGTGATTTTGTCCCCCTGGGGAGATTTGGCAATGTCTGAAGACATTTTTATTATAATACCTAGGGAAGTGGGGGAGATTTGCTACTGGCGCCTAATGGGTAGAGGCCAGGGATGCTGCCAGGCATCCTACAATGCACAGGACGAGCTCCCACAATAAAGAGTTATCTGAGCCAGGCGTGGTGGCTCACACCTGTAATTCCAACATTTTGGGAGGCCGAGGCGGGAGGATCACCTGAGGTCAGGAGTTCGAGACGAGCCTGACCAACATGGTGAAACCCCGTCCCTACTAAAAATACAAAAATTAGCTGGGCGTGGTGGCAGGCATCTGTAATCCCACCTACTTGGGAGGCTGAGGCAGAAGAATTGCTTGAACCCAGGAGGTGGAGGTTGCAGTGAGCCAAGATCATGCCCTTGCACTCCAGCCTGGGTGACAGAATGAGACTCTGTGTCGAAAAAAAAAAAAAAGTTATCTGGTCCTAAATGTCAATAGTGCCAAAGTTGAGAAACCCTGCTTACAGACCCACACCAACTTTTGTACTTGATATGGTTTGGCTGCATCCCTACCCAAATCTCATCTTGAGTTGTAGCTCCCATAATTGCCACATGTTGTGGGAGAAACCCAGTGGGAGATAATTGAATCATGGGGGTGGTTTCCCCCATACTGTTCTTGTGGCAGTGAGTAAGTCTCATGAGATCTGATGGTTTTATAAGGAAAAATCCCCTTCGCTTGGTTCTCACTCTCTCTTTGCCTGCTGCCATCCATGTTAAGATATGACTTGCTCCTCGTCTTCCGCCATTATTGTGAGGCCTCCCCAGCCATGTGAAACTGTGAGTCCATTAAATCTCATTCTTTTATAAAATTACCCAGTCTTGGGCATGTCTTTCTTAGCAGCATGAGAACAGACTAATACAATACTGTTTCTATAATTACTGGTGTATAAGTCTTAGCTACTCTTCTCTTGGATAAATTCTGTGAAAACACAGAACCATTTTCTTTGTAATGACCATGGTGTTAGCCTACTAACTACCTCTCAAGAGTCTGCCTTCTCAATCCTTCACAATCTCTTTTACCTCTTAACATCTCTTCAAATAGTGTTCTCCCTTAGGGTTTCATCCCATGTCCTTAATTTTTTTTCTTTTTTTTTTTGAGGCGTAGTCTCGCTCTTGTCCCCCAGGCTGGAGTGCGACGGCGCGATCTCCGCTCACTGCAAACTCCGCCTCCCAGTTTCAAGCCATTCTCCTGCCTCGCCACGCCCCGCCCCCTCCGCCCCCGCCCCGGGGAGCTGGGATTACAGGCGCCTGCCACCACGCCCAGCTAATTTTGTATTTTTAGTAGAGATGGGGTTTCACCATGTTGGCCAGACTAGTCTCGACTTCCTGACCTCAGGTGATCCACCCACGTCAGCCTCCCAAAGTGCTGGGATTACAGGCATGAGCCACCGCGCCCGGCTATTTTTTTTTTCTAATTCATTTTAAATCCTCTCCATAAGGAAATCCATCTACTCCTTGGCTAATACTCTTACTTATCTAGCAACGGGCCATTTTTTACCCAGGCGTGGTGGCTCACACCTATAATCCCAGCACTTTGTGGGGCCAAAGCAGGTGGATGGCTTGAGCCCAGGAGTTTGAGACCAGCCTGGCCAACATGGCGAAACCCCATCTCTACAAAAAATACAAAAATTAGCCAGGCGTGGTGATGCATGCCTGTAGTCCTAGCTATTCGGGGGACTGAAGTGTGAGAAGCACTTGAGCCTGGGAGGTTGAGTGAGACGTGATTGTACCACTGCACTCCAGCCCAGGAGACACAGAGAGACCCTGTCTCAAACAATAAAAATGAAAATAACAAAAATCCATTGTTCTTCTTTTTTCTTCTAATAGAGCCCTGGTTCTTTTTTCTATGGTGAGGATACAGAATATGCCTAGTCCTGGGGGATTAATAGTTAATCTAAGGCAGTGATGACAATCTCATTGTACTTTGCAATATATTTACTTTCCCATACTCTCTTGAGCTAGAGAAGATCAAATAATCAAGTTCGGATCAATGAGACTTAAGAGAAAGTCACCCGAGGAGCTTTTAAGGATTTCCCTTTTGATTAGGAAAACATAAATCAGGCAAGGAGAGCTTACTGGTGCCTCCTTCTTTTCCTTCTTCCTTTCCTCCCCCTACTCCCTCTTCTCCACCTCCACTTCCTCCTCCCTCTCTTTTTCTGCTTTCTGCCTTCTTCTTAATTTTATTTTAGTAAGTATGCTTAACAGCTCTATCCTCTTAACAGATGTTTTTTTTTCTTTTGAGACAGAGTTTTGCTCTTTTTGCCCAGGCTGCAATGGCGTGATCTTGGCTCACCGCAACCTCCGCCTCCCGGATTCAAGCGATTCTCCTGCCTCAGCCTCCCAAGTAGCTGGAATTACAGGCATGCGCCACCATCCCCAGCTAATTTTGTATTTTTTAGTAGAGACAGGGTTTCTCCATGTTGGCCAGGCTGGTCTTGAACTCCCAACCTCAGGTGATCCACCAGCCTCAGCTTCCCAAAGTGCTGGGATTACTGGGATTACAGGCGTGAGCCACCGCGCCCGAGGTTTTTGTTTTGTTTTGTTTTGTTTTTTCTTTAGACAAGGTCTTGCTCTGTCACCCAGGGTGGAGTGCAGTGTCGTGGCATGGCTCACTGCAGCCTTGAACTCCTGGGATCAAGTGATCCTTCAGCCCCAGCTTCCCAAGTAGCTAGGACTAAAGGCGTGCACCCCCACACTCAGCTAACTTTTGTATTTTTTGTGGAGACAGGGTCTTACTTTGTTGCCCAGGCTTGTCTTGAACTCCTGGGCTAAAGTGACCCTCCCACCTCAGGCTCGCTAAATGCTGGGATTATAGGTGTGAACCACCGTGCCTGGCCCCTCTTAACAGATTTTTAAGTGCACAATTCAGTACTGTTATTTATACGTACAATGTTATACAGCAGATCTCTAGAACTTACTCATCTTGCATAATAGAAATTTTATATCTGTTGCCATTGATTAGCAACATTTTCCCCTTCCCCCAGCCCTGGCAATCACAATTCTATTCTTTGTTTCTCACCCCATTCTCTTCTTGTTTTAAATGTTGTATACAGATAAATGTTTCAGAATGCTGCCACCAACCATCCTGCAACCATGAGTGGCAAGCCCAAGACCAAAAACCAAATATTGAGGATGGCAAAGAAAAAAGAAAGAGACTGGACTGTTGGGGACATCACTGAGCCACTTTGCCAAACCTGGAGTTGCCTACCTTCAAAAGTTTTGTTATATGACATAATTAATCTTTACTGCTTTGCCACTTCTGGTGGAATATTTTATTACTATCACCAGAAGCATTTCTTGGCTTCAATAACACACATACTCCAGTGTCACCTGCTTCAAGAGCACTCTACTCATAATTCTGACTAATGTACATTTCCACATGTCTGACCCAAAGGCATGTATAACTCAGTAGACTTTTATCGTATATATAATTAACTTATATTTACTCTTAAATCCTTCTCTGTGTGTGTGCATGTGTGTTTGTATGTGTGTGTGTGTCTTGCTACTATGTGTTGCATGCTTGGTAGACTCTTTTTGAATTTTCTTTGTTTTGTTGTTTTTTTTTTTTTTGAGATAGAGCCTTGCTCTGTTGCCCAAGCTGGAGTGCAGTGGCGCAATCTCAGCTCACTGCAATGTCCGCCTCCTGGGTTCAAGCAATTCTCCTGCCTCAGCCTCCCTAATAGCTAGGATTACAGGTGCACGCCACCATGCCCGGCTGATTTTTGTATTTTTTTGTAGAGATGAGGTTTCACCAGGCTGGTCTCAAACTCCTGACCTAAGGTGATCTGCTGGCCTCAGCCTTCCAAAGTGCTGGGATTATAGGCATGAGCCACCAGGCCCGGCCTTCTAGCTTTCTTAATAACAACACTATTAAACCAGTATCCCAAACAACAGTCAGTCAACATTAGATCCTACCTTTCCTGAACTCTCTTCAAATCTGATCATTTATAATGTCCCTTTATTATTACAAAGATTCCCCTTTATAATTTCTTAAATTTGTCTTTCGCTCTTCACACTCATTAGAATATCTTATTTCAAACTTCTGTCATCTCTCCTTCAGCCATTAGCTTCTTTTTTTTTTTTTTTTTAAAGACGAAGTCTTGCTCTGTTGCCAAGGCTGGAGTGCAGTGGCGCAATCTCAGCTCACTGCAACTTCCACCTCCTGGGTTCAAGCAATTCTCCTGCCTCAGCCTCCCGAGTAGCTGGGAATATAGGTGCCCGCTACCATGCCTGGCTAATTTTTGTATTTTTAGCAGAGACAGGGTTTCACCATGTTGGCGAGGCTGATCTTGAACTCCTGACCTCAGGCAATCCACCCGCTTCGACCTCCCAAAGTGCTGGGATTACAGGGGTGAGCCACTGCGCCCGGCCCAGACATTAGCTACCTAACTGGTATCCTCACGACATTTTGACATATTAACCTATCTTAGCCTTATTTTCCTTATCTGTAAAATGGGGAAAATAAAGCCCATGGTTTTCATGAGTATTAAGACTTAATATGCATGAAGTAATCAAAATAGTGCCTCGCACATAGTAAATGTTCAATAAATATAAGCTCTTATTATCATCTTCGATCATAATGCTTTTTAAAATTATTCTATGAGATTTTTTTTCTACAAAATAAAACACTTTTCACTCAATCACCATTGCCCAAATACTCTTCCCTTTACCCAAATCAAATGTACTGATGGTTCTAAAGATAATGCTTAGAGCATACTGAATTAGGTTCAAGTCACTCTCTTTTATGTCCTCTCCACACTATTATTTATTACCTACTTAGGCTCTCTCTTTTAAAAAGATGAAGGTTTCCTTATTTGGTTCACAAGTTTCCTCTCTATCCAGAACCTTGCCATTATCTTAGGTCTTCAAGTGAGGACCAACACCTAGAATCTGGATGATCTTTATTTCTACTCTACATAAACCATTCGTTTCCATAGTTATACCCTTGACTTCTGCTAAAGATGCTCTCCCCCAGGTCCCACCCAAGATCTACTGATTCATAATTACTGGGGAGTAAGGTATAGGAGTAAAACACAAACATCTGCATTTTAGTAACCACCTGAGATACTGATATATTATTGTGCATACCAAAGTTTAACACAACCGAACTAGATCTTTTCATCTCCCAGAATTACTGTATCTCTAAATTTTTCATTAAAACATTATCCTTCAGGAGGAAGAGGCAGAGCAAGACGGCTCAATAGAAGCCTCCACTAATTGTCCTCCCCACTGGAACACCAAATTGAACAACTATCCACACAAAGAAGCACCTTCGTAAGAACCAAAAATCAGGTGAGTAATCACAGTACTTGGTTTTAATTTCACATCACTGAAAGAGGCACTGAAGAGGGTAAGAAAGAAAGATGGTCTTGAATTGCCAATACCACCCTTTCCTCATCCCTTGTCAGAGGCCATATGGCATGGAGAGAGATTCTATATGCTTAGGGGAGGAAGAGCACAGTGACTGTGGGACTTTGCGTTGGAACTCAGTGCTGCCCTGTCAGCAGAAAGCAACACTGGGCAAAACTCAGCCAGCACCAGCAGAGGGAGCATTTAGATCAGCCTTAGCCAAAGATGAATCACCCACCCCAGTGGTTGGAACCTGAGTTCTAGCAAGCCTCACCACAATAGGTTAAAGTGTTCTGGGGTCCTAAATAAATGTGAAAGGTGGTCTAGGCCACAAGGACTGTAATTCCTGGGCAAGTCCTGGTGCTGTGCTGGGCTCAGAGCTAGTGGACTTAAGGAGCATGTGACCTAGTGAGAAACCAGCCAGGGCAGCCAAGCAAGTGCTTGTGCCACCACTCCCCTAACCCTAGGCAGCACAGCTTGCAGCTCTGGGAGAGACCCCTTCCTTCAGGCTTGAGGAGAGGAGAGGGAAGAGTAAAGAGGGCTTTGTCTTGCAACGTGGATACCAGCTCAGCTACCATAGGATTGGGCACTACAATAGGATAGGCAGAGTCTTGATGGCCCCATTCCAGGCCCTAGCTCCCAGAAGACATTTTAAGCACACTCTGGGCCAGAAAGGAACTCACAACCTCAAAGGGAAGGGCCCAGTCCTAGAAGAATTCAACACCTGCTGACTAAAGAACCCTCCTTGGGCCAGGCCAGGTGCAGTGGCTCACGCCTGTAATCCCAGCACTTTGGGAGGCTGAGGCGGGTGGATCACGAGGTCAGGAGTTCAAGACCAGCCTGGCCAACATGGTAAAACCCTGTCTCTACCGAAAATACAAAAAATTAGCTGGGCATGGTGGCGGACGCCTGTAATCCCAGCTCCTCGGGAGGCTGAGGCAGGAGAATTGCTTGAACCCAGGAGGTGGAGGTTGCAGTGAGCCAAGATCACGCCATTGCACTCCAGCCTGGGTGACAGAGCAAGACTCTGTCTTGGGGAAAAAAAAAAAAAAAGAAGTCTTGGGCCCTAAATAATCAGCAGTGGTACCCAGGCAATACTTGCCATAGGCTTTGAGTGAGACTCAGAGATGTGATGGCTTCAGATATGACCCAGCACATTCCCATCTGTGGTGGCTACAGGGAGAGACTCCTTCTGTTTGAGAAAAGGAGAGGGAAGAGTAAAGGAGACTTTGTCTTATAGCTTAGGTACCAGCTTGGCCACAGTGGGGTAGAGTACCAACTAGACTCTTGGGGTCTCTGATTCCAGGTTTTGGCTTTTAGACAGTATTTCTGGACCTGCCCTGGGCCAGAGGGGAGCCCGCTTCCCTGAAGGAACAGACTCAGAACTGCCAACATCACCAAAAGCTGACAGAAGAACCCTTGGGCCTTGAGTGAACATCGATGGTAGCCAGACAGTATTTGCCATAGGCCTGGGGTGGTGGTGGTCATGGGGAGAGACTCCTCTGCTTGTAGAAAGGGGAGAAAAGAGTGAGAAGGTCTTTGCCTTGCAGTTTGGGTGTCAGTTCAGCCACAGTAGAATAGATCACCAGGTAAATTCCTAAGGTTTCCAACTCTAGGACCTGGCTCCCAGAGGGCATCTCTAGTCATGCCTGGAATCTGGAGAGCTAGTCACTCTTGAACAAAATTCAAGATAACACAGGACACAAGCCCAGCTGGCTTCACCACCTCTTGATTGTAGAACCCTGGGGTCTTGAACAAACATAGGCTGTCACCAGGCAGTGGTTACAGTGGGACTTGAGTAAGACCCAGTGCTGTGCTGGCTTCAGGTCTGACCCAGCACAGTCCCAGTGGTGGTGGCCACAGGGGTGCTTATGTCACCTCTCCCCCAGCTCCAGGCGGCTCAGCACAGAGAGAGAGACTCCATTTGTTTCAAAGAAAGTAAGGGAAAAGAACAAGGGCTCCTTCTGGTAATCCAGAGAATTCTTGCAGATCTTATGCAAAACCACCAAGGCAGTACCTCTTGAGTCTGCAAGAGCCATAGTGTTATTGGGCTTGGGATGCCCCCTAATGCAGATAAGTCTGCAGTAAACAAAAACTTAGATCCCAACACCTAACTCTCTTTGAATACCTGGAAAGCTTTCCCAAGAAGGGCAGGTACAAACACGCCCAGACTGCAACAACTACAATAAATAAAATAAATACCTAATTTCATGAATGCCCACACATCAATAAGCTCCACAAGCATCAAGACCATCCAGGAAAACATGAATCCACCAAATGAATTAAATAAGGCACATATCTCTGGAGACACAGAGATATGTGACCTTTCAGACAAAGAATTCAAAATCGCTGCTTTGAGGAAACTCAACAAAATTCAAGATAGCACAGAGAAGGAATTCAGAATACTATCTGATAAATTTAACAAAGAGATTGAAATAGTTAAGAATCAAGCAGAAATTCTGGAGCTGAAAAATGCAATTGATATACTGAAGAATGAATTACAGTCTCTTAATAGCAGAATTCATCAAAAAATACTACACACATGAAGGAGAAATAAAGACTTCCCTAGACAAAGAAAAGCTGAGGAATTTCATCAACAGTAGACCTATCCTATAAGAAATATTAAAGGGAGTTCTTCAGTTTGAAAGAAGAGGATGTTAATGAGCAATAAGAAATCATCTGAAGGCACAAAACTCACTGGTAATAGTAAGTACACAGAGAAACAGAATATTATAAAACTGTAATTGTGCTGTATAAAATACTCATATCTTGAGTAGAAAGACTAAAAGATGAGCCAATCAAAAAAATAACTACAACTTTTCAAGACATGGACAGTAAAATAATACATAAACAGAAACAACAAAAAGTTAAAAAGTGGAGGAATGAAGTTAAAGTGTAGAGCTTTTATTTGCTTTCTCTTTGCTTGTTTGTTTATGCAATCAGTATTAAGTTGTCATCAGTTTAAGATAATGGGTTGTAAGTACTATTTGCAAGCCTCATGGTAATGTCAAATCAAAGACAATATAACAGACACTGTGAAAGGCAAATAAATCTTGGGACCCCAAAATCACTAAGCTAAAGGGAAAAGTCAAGCTGGGAACTACATCAGGCAAACCTGCCTCTCATTCTATTCCTAAGTAATATAACTACAAAGATGTTTTAAAAGCTATATACGTCCATCACAATTCGCTCATAAAGAAATCCTTCTGGGCCTCAAAATCTTTACCCTAAAACAATTCTGTTGAATTTCACCCTTGTGATGTAAATTGATACCTTATCTTCACAGGTGCCAGACAGAAAGTCATCTCTCTGCTCAACTGAGACAAATGCAGATTCATTGAGCCAGACTAAGGCATAAGTGACTATTCCTCTATGTTCCCCAACATGTAAATTGTGGATTCAGTGAAAGGCTGATTGAAGAGTCAGAAGAATGTAACTTTTTGTCTCTTATCTACCTGGAACCACACCTTATCTACCTGGAACTGTCCCCTCCCCGCCCCCCCAATCCCGCCCTGTTTTGAGTTGTCCTGCCTTTCTGGACCAAATCAATGCACATCTTACACATATTGATTGATGTCTCATATCTCCCTAAAATGTGTAAAAGTGAGCTGTACCCTGACCACCTTGAGCACATGTTGCCAGGACACAGCCTCCTGAGGGTACATCTTTAACCTTGGCAAAATAAACTTTCTAAATTGATTAAGGCCTGTCTCAGACACTTTGAGTTGACAATACACAAAAACTAAAAAGGAAGAAATTAAAAGATACCACCAGAGAAAATCGCATTCACTAAAAGGAAGAC
Organism: Homo sapiens; assembly: GCF_000001405.40. Taxonomy (NCBI): domain Eukaryota; kingdom Metazoa; phylum Chordata; class Mammalia; order Primates; family Hominidae; genus Homo; species Homo sapiens. Next base: position 24,964,032 of record NC_000012.12, read on the forward strand.
CACAAAACAACCAGAAAACAAATAACAAAATGGCAGGCATAAGTCCTTACTTATCAAAAATAGCATTGAATGTAAATGAAATAAACTCTCCAATCAAAAGACATACCATGGCTGAATGGATTTAAAAACAAGACCCAATGATCTTTTGCCTACAAGAAACACATTTCACCTATAAATATATGTATAGACTAAAAATAAAGGGATGGAAAAATATATTCCCTGCAAGTGGAAACCAAAAATGAGTAGGAATAGCTATACTTACATCAGATAAAATAGATTTCAAGACAAATGCTACCATGCCCAGTTAAATGTTTTTTTTTTTTAAAGTGTTTGTAGAGACAGGGGTCTTGCTAAGTTGCCCAGGCTGGTCTTGAACTCCCGGTCTCAAGCCATCTTCCTGCATCAGCCTCCCAAAGTGCTATAGGCATGAGCTACTGGGCCTGCACTGTTTTTCTTTTAATATTTTAGAGACATTGTTCTACTATCTGCTGGCTTGCATTGTTTACACTGAGAATCTTCTGTAATTCTTATGTTTGTCCCTCTGTATGTAATATGCCTTTTTTCTCCTGCATTTTTAACATTTTCTCTTTGCCACTAATTTTAATCAATTTTTATTATGAGGTGCCTTGGCATAGTTTTCTTCATGTTTCTTTCACTTGGGGTTTGTTGAGCTCCTTCAATCTATGAGTTTACAGTTTTTGTCAAATTTGGAGTTTTTAGCAATTATTTTTTCACATTTTTTCAGTTTCTTCTCTTTTTTATTTATTTCTCTTTCTTTCTTTCTTTTTATAAATAGAGTCAAGCAGGTCTTTCCCTGTTTCCCAGGCTTGTGCAGTGGTACAATCATAGCTCCCTGTAGCCTTGAACTCCTGGCCTTAAGCAATCCTTCTGCCTAAGCCTCCCAAATAGCTAGGACTACAGGTTCATGCCACCACACCTGGCTAATAGTTTTCATTTTTTGCAGAGTTGGGGCCTCACTCTGTGGCCCAAGATGGTCTTGAACTCTTGGGCTCAAACAATCCTCCTGCCTTGCCCTCCCAAAGTGCTGGGATTACAGGTGTGAGCCACCACACATAGCATATTTTTATTTTTTCTTAATTTTTGTCTTTATTTTGCTTTTTAGTTTTTCTTTCAATCAGCTTTCTGAGGCTGAATGCCCTTCTCTCTTGAATAATTTAGAGACTATAATTTTATATATATTAGGCCTCTTGAAGTTGTCCCATAGCTAATACTGTATTTATTTTCCATTACTTTTTTCCTTGTCTCATTTTCAATAGTTTATATTTCTTTCTTTAAGTTTACTAACCTTTTTTCTTTTGTAGCATCTAATCCACTGTTAACGTAGTCTCTATTTTATCTCAAATATTATCTTTTTTATTTTTTATAGTTTCACTTGAGTCTTATTTTTTTCTCAGACCTTGCAGGGATGAAAGAGTCATTTAAATATCTTCTTTATATTAACATACTTATGTTTCCTCTATCTTTGTGAACATATAAAACATAATTTATAATGCAATATAAATATTCATTGTAACTTTTAGTATACTTGCTTATGAATTCTATTCTCAATCTCATTTCTGGATCCCTTTCAGTTATTGATAATTCTCCCCATTTTGGGTCATATTTTCTTGCTTATTTCCATGTCACATGATATTTGTTGGATGCCAGACATTGTGAATTTTGTCTTGTTGAGTAATAGGTATTCTTGTATTGCTTTCATTTTGATATTCTTGTGCCTTGTCCTGGGACACAACTGTCAGTTGGAACCAGTTTTATCTTTCCTTTCTTTCTTTTTTTTTTTTTTTTGAGACAGTCTTGCTCTGTCACCCGGGTTGCAGTGCAATGGTGCAGTTTCAGATCACTGCAACCTCCGCCTCCCAGGTTCAAGCAATTGTCGTGCCTCAGCCACCTAAGTAGCTGGTATTACAGGCATGCACCACCATGCCTGGCTAATTTTTGTATTTTTAGTAGAGACGGGGGTTTTGCCATGTTGGCCAAGCTGGTCTCCAACTTCTGACCTCAAATGATCTGCCCACCTCCGCCTCCCAAAGTGCTGGGATTGCAGGTGTGTGAGTCACCAGGCCCAGCCTATCTTTCCCTACTTTTAAACTTTGTTAGATGTGACCAGAGCAGTCTTTAGTCAAGAGTGATTTTGTCCCACTTCTGAGGAAATACTCTTCTGAGTTCCATACCCAATATTCCATGTATTACAAAGTTTTCCCACTCTGATTGGTGAGAATGTCCACTATTCTAGGCTCTGTGTTTTTTTGTTTGTTTGTTTTTTGAGACAGAGTCTCGCTCTATCACCCAGGCTGGAGTGCAGTGGCGTGATCTCAGCTCACTGCAACCTCCATCTCCCGGGTTCAAGTGATTCTCCTGCCTCAGCCTCCTGAGTAGCTGGGACCACAGGTGCCCACCACCACGTGCAACTAAATTTTGTATTTTTAGTAGAGACGGAGTTTCACTATATTGTCCAGGCTGGTCTCGAGCTCCTGACCTTATGATCCGCCGACTTCAGCCTCCTAAAGTGCTAGGATTACAGGCGTGAGCCACTGTGCCTGGCCAAGCAGTGCTTTATTGAGTTGTCATTAACCTTGGGAGGAAGCAGCAGAGCTGCCTCTCCATGCTCCAGGAAACCGCGGCTTGCAGGTACCACATCTATCCCATCTCACTTTACAGAAAAGTCCTGAGGCTGGGCGTGGTGGCTCATGCCTGTAATCCCAGCACTTTTGGAGGGCAAGGCGGACAGATCACCTGAGCTCGGGAGTTCAAGACCAGTCTGTCCAGCATGGTGAAACCCAGTCTTTACTAAAAATACAAAAATTAGCCGGGCGTGGTGGTTGGTGCCTGTAGTCCCAGCTACTCTGGAGGCTGAGGCAGGAGAATCGCTTGAACTTGGGAGGTAGAGGTTGCGGTGAGCCAAGATCATGCCATTGCACTCCAGCCTGGATGACAAGAATGAAACTCTGACTCAAACAACAACATCAACAACAAAAAAAAACAGTTCTGAAGCTTAATTATATAAAACTACTATACACGAAATTTACATTAGAAAAAGAGAACTGGGTGTAGGAAAGCCGGGTGTGGTGTCCTCTTTAAGCGAAGGTCTCTCCGCAGTTGGGGCATCTTCGCTTCCTCAAGGCAAAACGGCAGATGAACCCAAAGGGGAACAGGATGATGACCAAGAAAATGCCCAGGGAGCTGAAGCAGTCCTCCAGCACCCCCGACCCTGCAGACGGGACAGCTTCCCATGACCATGATGGAGTTGGCAGGGTACCAGGTGGTGGTCTGGCTGTGGATGTTGTAGACCCTGGGGTGGCGGGTGGGTACCCCTGTGACGAGGTAGGGGTAGGGCCTTGGCGGGGGCTGGCAGGGTTGGCGCCATAGCTGTGCAGGCAGCATGCATAGTTGACCTGGACGGACTCCAGGTTGTAGGCCAGAGGCCGCTTCTGCAGCAGAGGTTTGTGGTCCATGGCAGACCCACTCAGCTCAGTCGGCCCCAGTGGGGACCCTAATCTTGAGGAGCTTCCTCACAGATGTGTGCTGACCAGTACCTGCATAAGGGATGGAGGGATCCATTCACTGCAGATCCGCAGAGTTCTCCTTCCCCTACTCCTCTTCAGCACTGTGTTCTGCAAACCCTGGCTGCATTGGCCTCCCCATACTCCCGACAATGTCTCCTCAACTCATTGACAACCCAAGTATATTCTCTATGCTGTAGTCTGGAAACTCTAGGCAGGAAGCTGGGTCAATCATTAGGCTCACTTCATTTGTTTTCCTGCTCTCAGGGATTACTGCTCTGTTCTGTTATTCAATGTCTGAAAACCATTGTTTCAAATACATATTTTTTGCTGTTTTAGTTATTTAAGGCAAGAGAGTTAATCTGGTCCTGTTACTCCATCTTTTTTACAGAAAGTACTAGGTGTGAGGGCAGGGTTGGGGTGGCAAGTAATTTAGAACTATTTGTCACAAATAAGCATTTTGGCACAAGAGCAAAGCTGGTAAGTGCGCCTAATATGACCACTGCTCCCCACCATCAGATATGTGCTTTTTAAGCCTTTTAAAGTGGTAACATTGAGCTCATGCACAATTACATAATGCAAAGTACTAGCCATGCTATTTCATAAAAATAAAGAGCAAAAGTATATATTAGCTCCCAAAATTATATTTGGTGATTTATGCTTCAGTATTTTATCTTACTTCAAAATTACCCAGCCATCCAAAGATTATCTATTAATTAATTCAATTTACTATAGTCCAAAGACTTAATTTAACTAAAGATTTTAGGTATTATGCTTAATCTAACACATTACAAAATATAATTAATGCTGATATAAAAACATGTATCAGAATTATAATTCAGCCAGGCGCAGTGGCTCACACCTGTAATCCCAGCACTTTAGGAGGCTGAGGGGGGTGGATCACTTGAGTTCAGGAGTTCAAGACCAGCCTGAGAAACATAGCAAAACCTTATCTCTACTAAAAATACAAAAATTAGCTGGGCATGGTGGCACGTGCCTGTGGTCCCAACTACTCGGGAGGCTGAGGTGGGAGGATCACCTCAGCCTAAGGAGGTTGAGGCTGCAGTGAACTGAGAGTGCACCAGTGCACTCCATCTTGGGTGACAGAGTGAGACCTGCCTCAAAAAAATAAAGAAATTATAATTCAGTGTCATTGATTGTATTATTTTATCTTTTCAGTATTCTTAAACATTATGTGGGGTATAATGTTATCTGATCTATAAATAGTATAAGTTTAGGAAGCTCAGATTAACTAGTCTCTTCATTAGAAAACAAACTCAATCTTATTTTTAAAAATTATATGTTTGTATTATACTCCATACTGATAAAATTGAGGAAAGACAATGCTGTTTTTTAAAACATTATCAAACTAATTTGTCTAAGGATTCTGGTGATCTTTGAACTCAGCTTCCTATATCAAAATGCTCCTGAGCAAAACCTTCTATGAGAATACTTTGTTTTTTTTTTTTTCTTGGCACTTCCTGAGTAGTGTATTACAAGTTTCATTTCTTTATTTTCAAGGACTTCTAGGAATATTAAATTTATATAAACATTTAGTATTCCCCATAAACCAATAAAATCAGAGCTCTTTATTAAAAAATCATAATCTAATTTATTAATACTTTATACCCTAATTTACTAATATTTCATCTTCCATCCAAAAGAGGTAAAGGCTGTTTCAATTGCAGACACATGGACATCAGAGGGCACGCAGTTCAGTTCTATAATCTCATCCACAGGTCAAAAGTCAGCTTGGTAACACAATAACACTCTGGCCAGATCTCAAAGAGTTGTTCTCCTTTTCAGTGAGCATTAAATATTGTTTTAATTGGCTTGCATTCACAATAGACAAACAGAAACAAAAAAGACTAACAAACCATATTTTCTGTTTGTCATATTTCACCCAATGGAAAATAGTTCCTCATCATCCTAAGAGAGATCACCAAGGGGACAGGCAATAAAACCAGACTCTTAATTATTGCTGCCAACAGTGAGGAATTAATTATCAGTTGTGTTCAGAACCCAGAGAGCCTCAGGTTCTCGTATACATAGCGGGTGCCTGATGACCAGTCTGGTAGTGCATTACACACAACTTCCTTGAACATGCTGTAGAAAAAGACATGGCTCACACCACTATTTTCTAAGAACACATGAATATATGAGGTGCTCTCTTGATTATGAAGCCAAGACTGGCCTAGTGGTTCATTAGCAGAGGTGTGCTGTGGCTGGGCCCCACTGGCTCATGAGAGACTATTGTGCTCAGCTCTTCCTAACTGTGCATTCAGTGATGTCACATTGGTAGGTTAAAAGAGTCCATGTTACCAGTATTGATAGCACAGAATTTAATAAATGTTGAAAATCGGCCCCTCTCGCCACCTCAAAGTGAAGCAGCTGTGTTGTCTGGGATGACACCTGAAGTTCTTGGTTTCACAGCCAAGGAAATCAAGGATGTGGACACACCAAGGGTGAAGTTTAGAACAGAAATTTAATAGGTGAAAGAAAGAACAGCTTTCTGCAATAGAGAGGGGTCTTGGAAAAGGGTCGCCTTTTTTTTACAGTTGAATGCAAAGGCTTTTATAAGAAACCCATGAGGGCTGGGCATCTCATTTGCATAAGGTGCAAACTTCTGGGGGCCCCACCCCATCCTCCTAATGCACATGCAGGCCCTTAGCTTGAGTTACTCTATATTCCTTTGTTCCCCTTACTGTGCACGTGTTAGGGGATAGAATTTTCCATTGCAGGCATACCTGGGCAAGTCACTCGAGTAGCCTTTCTTATCTGTGGGCAAGTGTTAGGCTAGCCCCCGTAAGCTCCCTTATCTGTGCCTGCAGGCTGTTCTTTTGTTTGAAATAATTCAACCGAGGACCCACCCTAACTGCCTGCCTGACTGGGTTTTTTCCTTTCTCCTCTCACGAAAGAACCAATTGTTAAACATTTACCTGCATATTATTTTTTTTTACGCACTAGTTCCTGAATCTGGGTAATGGAAAAAGAAATGGCCCAAATCACAAATTAGAAAAGACAGATTAATAGAGTTGTCCAACAAAGTAAACAAAAACAAAAACATGGAATGTTAAAAAAAAAAAAAAAGGAAGGAGGGGAACAGTCAGCCAACTCAAACTTGTGTTGCCACATACCTGGATTTCAGCAACCCATAAGGTAAATTTTTAGTCAGTTTAATTGTCTCAGCCAAGTGAGTCTACCTGGACATTTCAGTGAGACCTCCAAACTGGTTTTAAAGTATAAATTGCAAAAACTAGTAACATGACTCTCACATACATATAGAATGAATATGTGTCAAAAAATTTATTCAATTTATCAATGAGAAAGCCAACAAGGGATTCAAGCTCATTCAAAGACGTATAGAAGAAATTTTGCATAAATATAACCAAGGCACCATTCCAAATATATCTGGTCAACCATTAAAAGCATTCTCCCAAGTCTCACTTAGTTTTTGCCCTTCCTAGCGCCTTTGATAGCCATCTTGTTATTACTAATCTGGTCCTTGCTTGTTTAATCTCTTGGTAAAAGTCTGTGTCTTCTAGATTACAACAATTCCAGATAAAGATGATGCTAACGCAAGGCTTCTAACACATCCCATCTTCTGAACCAAGAAATAAAGATATCCTGCCTTTCGGTCCCTTAGATCAGGCATCCAGAGATTTTTACACCTCCAATACTAGGCAAGGCCTACGCCCATCAAATCATCAGGCCATCACACAAACAAGAAGCTCCCCTGCCTCCCTAGAGGCTGACTGCAAGCTCTTATGAGAGAATCCTGTCTCTAAGGTCAATGTTCACTGACAGCAGGAAGAAGTTACAGAAGAATGACCTTCAGCTGGGTGTGGTAGCTCACATCTGTAATCTCAACACTTTGGGAGGCCGAGGCAGGAGGACCTCTTGAGCCCTCAAGTTCAAGACCAGCCCAGGCAACATAGCGAGACCCTGTCTCTACAAAAAATACAAAAATTAGCTAGGCATAGTGGAGTGTGACTTTGATCCCAGCTACTCAGTAGGCTGAGGTGGGAGGACAGCTTCGGCCCAGGAAGTCAAGGCTGCAATGAGCTGTGATCGCGTCACTGCACTCCAGCCTGGTTGACAGAGCGAGACCTTGTCTCTAAAAACAACAACAGCTTACATCTGTAATCCCAGCACTTTGGGAGGCCAAGGCAGGTGGATCACTTGAAGTCAGGAGTTTGAGACCAGCCTGGCCAACATGGTGAAACTCTATCTCTACTAAAAATGCAAAAATTAGCCAGGCATGGTGGCAGGTGCCTGTAATTCCAGCTACTCGGGAGGCTGAGGAAAGAGAATTGCTTGAACCAGGCAGAGAGGCAGAGGTTGAAGTGAGCCAAGATCGCGCCACAGCACTCCAGCCTGGACGACCCAGTGAGAGTCTGTCTCAAAACAAACAAACAAACAAAACCAAAAACAAAAAACAAAAAAACTAGCAACAACAACAACATCAACCTTTGTCCTTCATCTCCCTTTAAGATGAAGAATTGTCTCATAAGTAGAGGGGGGATTATGTTAAGGAGGCAAGAGCATAGGAGAGCCAAGGTGACACCATTTTACAATCAACTCCATCTTAAAACCAGCAAGGTGCAGTCCTTGCCAGTGAGAACCCATGATTATAAGATGTTCACAGCTAAAGAAATAGCTTAATAATGTCTGTAAGGACTGGTTCCCAAGACAATGGGTCACATGACCCTACTGATAAGACAGGTAGTAAACCTGTTGTTTAGGAGATAGTAAACAACAGGTAACAAGACTCTGCTGCTAAGAGAAGAGACAGTAAAGAAACCAGCCCAAACCAGCCAGAACCAAGAAGGTGATGACAGCAACCTTCACTGCTCATTTTACGCTAATTATAATGCATCAGGATACTAAAAACACTCCCACCAGTGCCATGACAATTTGCAAATGCTGTGGCAACGTCCAGAAGTTACCCTATATGGTGAGGATGGGGGAGAAACCCCAGGTTTGGGGAGCTCCTCTGCCCTTTGCCAGAAAACTCATGAATAATCCACCCCTTGTTTAGCATATCATCAATAAATTGCAATAAAATAGCCAACTAGCCCCCTCCCACCCTGCTCTGCCTATGGAGCGGCCCTTTTTATTACTTTACTTTTTAATAAACTTGCTTTCACCTAAAAAAAAAAAGTATAGAAGAAACAGAAATATTTATAGTCAATGAAAGAAAGAATGCAAAAATACGATTGCAAAGTTAGATACAAAGTAGTCAATTTCCTACAGGGCCTATTGGAAAATAAATATTTCATTAGCTATGAAAGCTGTAAATAATAGCTGTAATTATTATCTCACTTGAACAATCTTGTTTAAAGAGTCTGTTTCTTGTATCTTCACTTTGTCTGAGCTGGACCCTGGCAAAGAAGAAAAGGAAAATATTCATTCTGACATAGGTTCCTACCCCTGAGAAAAGAAAAAAATTAGCTTCTAATAATGTTAATGTTAATTGGGATGTCCTATACAAAAATGATGTCATAGCTATTTTTCCTTGTAGATGTATCTGGTTTCTGTTATTACCAGTGACTGAGATTATAGAAAAATATGGAATAGACCAGTGTTTATCAAAATTTGAACTCACACACAAAGAATGTGTTAGCTTTAGCAACACTTTACTAAAAGCTGTATTAGTCCATTCTCGCACTGTTATAAAGAACTACCTGAGACTGGGTAATTTATAAAGAAAAGAGGTTTAATTGACTCACAGTTCTGCAGTCTGTACAGGAAGCATGGCTGGGGAGGCCTCAGGAAACTTACAATCGTGGCAGAAGGGGAAGGGGAAACAGGCACGTCACGTCCTACAGGGTTGGAGCAGGAGGAAGAGAGGGGAGATGCTACACACTTTCAAACAACCATATCTTGTGAAACTCTATCACGAGACAGCCCTAGGGAGACAGTGCTAAACCATCCGAAACTACCCCCATGATCCAATCGCCTCCCACCAGTCCTCACTACCAATGTTGGGGATTACAATTCAACATAAGATTTGGGTGGGGACACAGACCCATACCATATCAAAAATTAAAACATTGTTACTTAAGGTGAATCCTTCAATAACGTGATTATAAATACACACTTAAATGTGGGCACTGAAATCACGATAGTTTTTGGCCACAAGATGGTCATTAGAAAATGTAGGGGATAGTGAAAAAAACAGATATATATGAACACATACATATATATAGTTTTGTTTTGTTTTGTTTGAAATGTAGCCCAGCTCTGTCACACAGGCTGGAGTGCAGTGGCACGATCTCGGCTCACTGCAACTTCTGCCTCCCAGGTTCAAGCTATTCTCCTGCCTCAGCCTCCCGAGTAGCTGGGGATTACAGGCACCTGCCACCACGCCTGGCTGATTTTTTGTATTTTTAGTAGAGATAGGATTTCACCATGTTGGCCAGGCTGGTCTCGAACTCCTGACCTCAAGTGTTCTGCCCACCTCAGCCTCCCAAAGTGCTGGGATTACAGGTGTGAGCCATCGCACCTGGCCCCAAGTGTGTTGCCTTTAAGTGGCGTGTTTTTCCAAAGACTGAAAGCCTTTTCCAAATTCCAAAGTTTGAAATTTGTCCCCTCCTACATGGCTGTTAGAGTCCTGGGAAATTGTTTATTAAATGATGCACAACATATTTTGAGTTTAGATATAAAAAGGAATTAGGTTCTGGACTCAGGTAATTACACTTTTTCCACCTCCATGGCTTTCTGGTGAGACGTTGGAACACCAGCCTATTTATCATGCAGTTAACAGCCTACGAGTCTAAATTTTAATGTGTAACTAGCAGAACAAGTGCAAATTTTCTGAAGATATAGGTGAGCATGAGGGGCCCCTCAAAATTTGCTGTCTCAGCTCTTCAGTTGTAAAATATTTAGAATTTTTGGGAAAAGCTAATGAATGTGGAGGTATGTTGGTGAGGATGTTTTGGAAAGAGGCAAATTGGACATACATCCTGCTTAAGTTCCTATTTAACAAGACAACGATAACCCAGGGAAAATTTTTGGTTGTTGTAATTATTCACCTTTTAAGACATAATAATGTGTTAATTTCTCAGGAAAGCCAATCCTGGTTCTAGCCAGATGAATTATTCCACTTAACACTTGTTTATGGCAGTTTTCACAATAGTAATTTAAATAATTACTTATATAATTTTATTTGAAACCTGTCCCCTAAAAAAAAAAAACCTGTCCCTCCATTGTACTGAAGGCAGCAGGAGGGGTAAGACAATAGTATTATCAGTGCCTAGTACAGTGCCTGGCACATAGATGAACCCAATGTTTTTGCAGAATGAATAGACAAATATCAGAAGCATTATAAAATTAATAAAAAGTCTATGAAAATGGCTGTATAAATTGTAAGACACAATATTTATCTTTGTTTTGGGACAGCTTAAAATCTGCATATATTTATTTATTTATGTATTTATTTATTTATTTTGAGCTGGAGTCCCACTCTGTCACCCAGGTTGGAGTGCAGCAGCACAATCTTGGCTCACTGCAATCTCCACCTCCCAGGTTCAAGCAATTCTCCTGCCTCAGCCTCTCGAGTAGCTGGGATTACAGGCGCCCACGACCACGCCCGGCTAATTTTTGTATTTTTAATAGTGACGGGGTTTCACCATGTTGGCCAGGATGGTCTCTAACTCCTGACCTCAGGTGATCTACCCACCTCGGCCTCCCAAAGTGCTGGGATTACAGGTGTAAGCCACCATGCCCGGCCATTCATACACTCTTATAAAGAGAGCCGCTGCTCCCAGATCTGTCCTATTGGTGCCTTTTAAGGTAGGCTTGTGTCATAATGAGACAGAACTGGAGTGAGATGCGGCTCTTCTTTTGCCTATTTTTTTCTTTTTTTTTCCTTCTCTTTTCAAAACCTCCTTTACACTACTACCTTGCTGATGCTGTACCTGCTAACCCTGAGGCTTTAGTCATAAAAGGAAACTAGCCAGTCCTCTGTGCTCTCATAGTGTCTAACCAGGCCTGTTACTTAAAGAACTCCAGAAACTGTCATTAGGAGAGCCAAACAGCAAACCAAGGTTGTGGAGTGTCCCACCTTGGAAAGCAATGCTGAACAATTGATTTATAGCCTTGTTGCTGCCAGCCAGACCACAGATGGCCCATTACTCAAGATAACTATGGCAACCAGATATGCTGACCTGCACACTCTAACCCACCCTAGCCTTGCTTACCCTACCCCTGATGTCAATTCCCACACTTTGCCTCATAAAAAATCCCTACTGGCTCTTTTCAGGCTGCCAGCCAGAGAACCCTTGTGCCTCTACTGCCTCCCTTGTGCTTGAGCACAAGCCCCAAAGTAGAGCCTTGTCTGGGAAACGTACTTGGTCCCGTGTTAATTTCCATTACACAGGGAGCCTAAGAGCCTGTGGGTCTGTAACAAAAATTAAATACTTAGGGAGAGAACCCATCTGAAAACACTTGTTGCAAAATTCAAGCTGCTGGGGCTCTTTCAGGAACCTTCCTTCTCTTCAGCTTATGTCACCCAGGCATGATTATTTAAACTAAAGTTTAAACTAGAATACCAGCTGGGTGCAGTGGCTCACATCTGTAATCCCAGAACTTTGGGAGGCCAAGGTGGAAGGATTGCCTGAGGCCAGAAGTTTGAGGCTGCAGTGAGCTATGATCATGCCACTGCACTCTGGGTGACAGAGTGAGACCCTGTCTCTAAAAAAATAAAAATACAGCCGGGTGCAGTGGCTCATGCCTGTAATACTAGCACTTTGGGAGGCCGAGGTGGGTGGATCACCTGAGGTCAGGAGTTCAAGACCAGCCTCGCCAACATCGTGAAAGCTCGTCTCTGCTAAAAATACAAAAAAATTTTAGCCAGGCATGGTGGCGCATGCCTGTAGTCCCAGCTACTTGGGAGGCTAAGGCAGGAGAATCACTTGAACCCAAGAGACAGAGGTTGCAGTGAGTTGAGATAGCACCAGTGCACTTCAGCCTGGGCAAAAAGAGTGAAACTCCATCTCAAAAAAATAAAAATTAAAAAAAAATTAATTAATTAAATAACATACCAAAATAATTTCTCAAATAGAAATATAATTTGATATCAGGGTTTTGATGATCCACGATATTCAGGAAGGAATGTGATATTACACTTTCTTTAACAGATGGCCAGGCGTGGATCATGCCTGTAATCCTAGCACTTTGGGAGGCTGAGGCAGGAGGATCACTTGACCTCAGGAGTTTGAGACCAGCCTGGGCAACATAGTGAGACCCTATCTTTAAAAAAAAAAAAAAGTTAAAAACCTGTTAATGAATGACAATGGCACTACTCAGACTACTAAGATGAAAAAGACAAGCTGCTCTCCAAGAGCTTATCAGGTAATGGAGATAGATATGTGCAGAGACCTCTCTAATAGATGGCAGGATTTAATACCTGCTGAAAAATGAAGCAAAGTGTTCTAGAAGGTTAGGAAAGAGAGATATTTGTGCTTTTAGCTCAAGACATTTGATACTTTACTTGCTGAAAAAAACTTGAATAACTTAATTTTGGCTGACATTCATTGAGCACTACCTCCGTGGCAGGTACCATTTTAAGCACTTTATACGTTTTAAGTTACGAAATGTTTACAGAACCTCTTAATATTGGTAGCATTATCATTGTTGTTTTACTGATGATTAATTTGAAGCACAGAAAGGTTAAGCAACTTGCCCAGAGTCACACAGCCAGAAAGTATTAATAGCATAACTGAGATCTGAAACCAGGCATTGCAAGTCAGGACTTTCACCACCATGCTCTGCCACTAAGGAAGAAAGGAAGTTGCAGGAGGAAGTGGAATCAGAGAACTCCATATGAAAAAACTGGTCTTTGTGTTTTGTTTTGTTTTGCTTTTTGAGACAGGGTCTCGCTCTGTTGCCCAGGCTAGAGTGCAGTAAAACAATTACGGCTCACTGCAGTCTCAACCTCCTGGGCTCAAGCGATCCTCCCACCTCAGCCTCCCATGTAGCCACCATCCCTGGCTAATTTTTAAATTTTTTGTGGAGACATGGTTTCACTTTGTTACCCAAGATGGTCTCAAACTCCTGGGCTCAAGCAGTCCTCCTACCGTGGCCTCCCAAAGAGCTGGGATTACAGGCATGAGCCACGAAGCCTGGCCAAGAACTGGTCTTTAAACAGAGTCTCCCCATAAAAGCAGAATCCTATGTTAAAGGAGTAATTCCTTTTATGCAAAATGGCAGGAAAATGTCTGCATCTACAGAAGTCCTACATCATTATTATTTTTCACTCATGTCATAACCTCCACTGAGGGGGTTTATGGGAAATTTGGAATGCCAGTGAAAAGTAAGGTAACAGATTACTGTAATTCACATCACAGTTCTAGAAAGTGAACCCCCTGAAGGCATTCCTGAGGTCTCATTCATTTTTGTAGTCTCAGTTCCAAGAGATAAGAAAAAACTCTTATATTATGTACACATCTGTGTCAGAGAGTAAGTAACCAGCATTTTCTGATATCGGGCAATCTTTTTATAATAGAATGAAGCTCTGTAAAGTAAAACTTTCTGTGATAGATAGTTCTATATTCTACACTGCCCAATATGGTCACTAATGGCCACATATGGCTGTGGAGCACTTGAAATGTGGCTTGTGTGACTGAGGAACTGAATTTTAAATTTTATTTAGTTTTAATTAATTTAAATTTAAATAGCCACACATGGGCAGCACGGATTGCTATATGGATTTGAGTTCTTCCAAAACCTCTGGTGTGGTTCCAGATAATGGGTGGTGTGTGGACTGGGCAATAATCCACTGATGGGTCAGTGTAGAACAAGCAGGATCTGCTTTTAGTCTGGAAGTGACTGTCACAGCAATTCCTCAAGCTTAGGAAATATAAAGGTGGAATGCATAGGTTTGAGAACATATTTAATTCCTGTTTAATTAACTAATTTTTGCCACTTGGGAAAACACTTTTAAAAACAGGCAGCATTGGCCGGGCGCGGTGGCTCATGCCTGTAATCCCAGCACTTTGGGAGGCCGAGGCGGGTGGATCACGAGGTCAGGAGATCGAGATCATCCTGGCTAACACGGTGAAACTCCGTCTCTACTAAAAACACAAAAAATTAGCCAGGCGTGGTGGCGGGCGCCTGTAGTCCCAGCTACTCGGGAGACTGAGGCAGGAGAATGGTGTGAACCCGGGAGGCAGAGCTTGCAGTGAGCTTAGATCGCGCCACTGCACTCCAGCCTGGGCAACAGAGCGAGACTCCGTCCCAAAAAAAAAAAAAAAAAAAAGGCAGCATTTCAGACATGCTGCGTCCACAGAAGAATGACCAACCAATCTTAAACCTGGAAAAGATACAGGTTCTTAGTTGGGCTATAGATTTTGAGAGAGATTAGATTGTCACTGTGTTTGTTCTAGAACAGAACAGGCTGCCTATATAATGATGTGAAGGGGCAAGAGCGGTGGCTCACGCCTGTAATCCCAGCACTTTGGGAGGCTAAGCTGGGGCAATCTCTGGACTCTAGGAATTTGAGACCAGCCTGGGCAACATGGAGAGACCCCATCTCTACAAAAAGTGCAAAAAATTAGCCAGGGATGGTGGCATTTGGTCCCAGCTACTTGGGAGGCTGAAGTGGGAGGAACGTTTGAGCCTGGGAGGTCGAGGATGAGTGAGCTGTGGCTGTGCCCCTGCACCTCAGCCTAGGAGACAGAGCAAGACCTTGTCAAAAAAAAAAAAAAAAAAAAGGCCATGAAGGAATTTTCTAGGTTTAGATGTTACCATTGTGTCCATCTCACTCCCCCTAAATTTATACCTTGAAGCCCTAACCACCAATGCAACTGTATTTGGAAATAGAGGCTGTAGAGAGGTAACTATGGTTAAACGAGGTCATAAGGGCGGGGCCCTCATCCTCTGGGACCGCTGTCCTTATGAGAAGAGGAAGAGATCTTAGACAGCTTTCTCTCCACTCGCCACAGAGGAAAAGACATAGGATGACACAGCAAGAAGGCCACCATCAGCAAGCCAAGCAGAAAGGACTCGCCAGGAACCAAGGCAGCTGGCACCATGATTTGGGACTTCCAGCCTCCAGAGCTGTGAAAAAATACATTTCTGTTGTTTAAGCTGCCCACACTGAGGTATTTGTGATGGCAGCCAGGGCTGACTAATCCACATGTTAACCTCTATATTCAAGGATAGCTGAATTCTGCCTTTTTAGCTTTCTAGAATGAACTTTCTGCATTAACACTAAAAATTCAATATGGAAGAACCCTGCTTAAAGCATGGATATGTGGACACACACACACATCCCAAAAAGGCTTTATTTTGGAAATTTCGGAAGTTGAAGAAAAGTAAAATATCATCCACAATTTCACTACTCAGAACCTTCTTTGTTCCTAATTTGGATATTACTTTTGGGGCTTTTCTTCCTGTTGTCTATATATTTGAGATAATAGTGTATATAATTTGTTTTTATTCACTTAAAACCTCAATTTTTAAATTTAAAGACAATTTTTGTACTATTCTTACGTTATCAGTTTTGGATACTCCCTTTCTTTGAGTCGTACTTCAGTGTTCATGGAAGATCAACTTCTCTGAAGTCTGTGAAGCAGAAATGCCACAATAGCCTTTTGAACTGCCAGAGAGGGCTTTATTAAGTCAACAAAATACTTTCTCAGCTTTGAGTTACTGTGCAGTGGGATTCAACATAGACATGCCACTTGACTGGATTTTCTATTTTGAGCCTCATGTAAGTTAGAAAAATATGTAAGTTCAACCATTTTCTTTTTATTATATCCTTCACTTATTCTTTTATTTGTAGCCATACATTTTCAAAATTAGAGGAGGTTTTCAGAGTTGGTAGGACCTACAGAAAATCATAGAGGAAGGCATTATAAAGTCTGCTGTGTATGTATGTATGTATGTATTTTGAGACAGTCTCACACTGTTGCCCAGGCTGGAATGCAGCGTCACGATCACTGCTCACGCAGCCTCAACCTCCTGGCCTCCAGCAATCCTCCTACTTCAGCGTTCCTAGTAGCTAAGACCACAGGCATGTGCCATCATACCTGCCTAATTAAAAAAATTTTTTTTTGCAGAGGTCGGGTCACCCAAGATTTTTTGTTTGTTTGTTTTAGTTTTAGTTTTGTTTTTGAGACAGAGTCTTATTCTGTCACCCAGGCTGGAGTGCAGTGGCACGATCTAGACTCACTACAACCTCCACCTCCGAGGTTCAAGCGATTCTCCTGCCTGAGCCTCCTGAGTAGCTGGGATTACAGGCACCTGCCACCACGCTCAGCTAATTTTTGTATTTTTAGTAGAGACAGGGTTTCACCATGTTGGCCAGGCTGGTCTCAAACTCCTGACCCCACCTCGGCCTCCCAAAGTGCTGGGATTACAGGCATGAGCCACTTAGTCCCGCGGGGTCGCCCAATGTTGCCCAGGCTGGTCTCAAACTCCTGGGCCTACGCAATCCTGTCTCTGACCTCAGCCTTTGAAAGTGCTGGAATTACAGGTGTGAGCCACAGCGCCCAGCTGTAATTTACTTTAAAAATTTTAGTGTCGTTGGCATATCATTATATACATGCCAACTAGTTTAAGCTATAACTCTAGGGGCAACCAGCTGACCTGCCGTCAAAGATGTGTTCCAACATGGTCATCTGACACTGCACAGAAGAGGCCAGGCCCAGATGATTCCTGCAAGGTTCTCCACTATCCCATCCCCTCCACCAACCAGGCTTTGGTTAATTGCACATTGGATGTCAAAAATGGGTTTTATTGGCAGAACTAGTGTCTGTATATTATTAGGAGGGTAGATGTTGGAAACTGACTATCATTGGTGAAAATAATATTCTCTCTCTATACGTGTATAGGCAAAATAATTGAGGGACACTCCCTAAATCAGGTCACAATCTATGGTAGGGTGGGTTGGCCCCAGAGATGCCTGTCTTTCTGTAATCTCTTAAGTGTGGGCTGAATTTAGTGACTTGATTATAATGAATAGAATGTAGCGAGTGATGAAATGTCACTTCCAAAATTAGGTTTCAAAAGACTATTGCTATTTTTGCACACTCTTTCTTTCTCTCCCCTCTTCTCTCTCTCTCTTTTTCTGTCTCCTTCCCTTGGAGCATTCATCCTGGGGGAAGCCAACTGCCAAACAGTGAGGCAGCCCTGCAGAGATGCCCATGTAGAAAGGGATTGAGACCTGCCAATAATCATGGGAGTGATCTTGGAAACAGAACCATTTAGCTAACAGTACCAGATTTTTAAGCCACAGAAACTGAGAGTATGAGTGTTTATTGATCTAGACCTCTAAATCTTGGGGCGATTTGCTTCACATTAGTAGATAATAAAAATGGGTAAGACATAGAGAAACTATTCAGTGTCTGATATGTTTTTGGCAATAATATAGCTAACATCTCAGAGTACCTGATATGTGCTAAGCAGTGTTCTATGTATTTTACACATAGCAATTCATTTTAACCTAACTTTGATCCTATTATATCACCATTTTACAGATAAGGAACTGCTATAGAGAGGTTAAGTCACTTGGCCAAAGGCAAAGTTTGGAGGAAAACCTAGGCAATCTAGATTTTGAGTCCATGCTCTTAACCCCTGCTATGCTGCTCCTCGCAGTCCATTATGGCAGATGGAGTGAATCAAATTCTGTTAAAAGGCCATTATGGGAAGGGGTGGACAGGTGCAAGAACAGAGACAAAAAGTTGAAAAAGTTCACCGAAAACTAAATTTAAATTCATTAAGAATAATCTATATTAATTATGTTACCTATTCCCTATGTCTTAGTCTGTTTTTTGTTGCTGTAACAGAATACCACAAACTTGATAATTTATAAAGAAAAGAATCTTATTTGGCCATGGTTCTGGAGACTGGGAAGTCCAAGAGCATGGCTCTGATATCTGGTGAATGTCATCCCTGGCAGAAGGCAGAAGCAAGTGTACTAGACAAAGAAAAGATGGGGACTTATCAGGAGCCCAGTCCCATTATAACTAACTGACTCCTGTGATAACAGCATTAATGCATTCATAAAGGTGGAGTTCTCATTACCTAATCACCTCCTGAAGTTCCCATCTCCCAATATTGCTGCACTGGGGATTAGGTTTCCAACATGTGAACTTAGGGAACATATTCAGACCATAGCTTTCTGCCCCAGGTCCTCAAAACTCATGTCCTTCTCACAATGCAAAAACACATTCATTCCATTCCAATCATCCCAAAAGTCTTAACTCATTCCTGCACCAACTCAAAAGTTCAAAGTCCAGAGTTTCATCTAAATCAGATGTGAGTAAAATTTGAGACACAATTCATCCCAAGGCAAACTCCTCTAGCTGTGAGTTTGTGAAATCAAAACAAGTTATCTACTTTCAAAATAGTAGGACAGGCATAAAATAGACATTTCCATTCCAAAAGGAAAAAACGAGCAAGAAGAAAGGGGTAACTGGTACCAAGTAAGTCCAAAACCTAAAAGGGAAAACAACAGTAAGTTTTAAAGCTAAGCTAGGTGTGGTGGTGTGTGCCTATAATCCCAGCTACTTAGGAGGCTGAGGCAGGAGGATTGCTTGAAGTCAGGAGTTCAAGTCTGTAGTGAACTATGATCATACTTGCAAATAGCCACTAACTCCAGCCTAGGCACCATAGTGAGAACTTATTACTTAAAAAAAAAAGTTTTAAAGCTGGAGAATAATCTCCTTTGACTCCATGTCCTGCATCCTGGGAACACTGGGGCAGGAGTTGAGCCTCTGAGACCTCTGCCAGCCCTACCTCTATAGCTTTTCTGTGCTCAGTCATGCTTCAGCTCTCCCAGGCTGGAATTGCATGCTGCTAGCCCTACAGTTCTGTGGTCTTGGAGGTAGCCCCACTTCCTTGACTCCACTAGATATTGTCTTAGTGGGGCCTCTCTGTGGCATTTCCAACCCCACATTTCTGATCGGCATTGCCCTAGTAGGAGCTCTTCGTGGTGGCTCCATCCCTGTGGCAGGTTTCTGCCTGGGCTTCCAGGTGGTCCGTGGCATCTTTTGAAATTTAGGTGGAGGAAGCCATGCTTCCACAGCTTTTGCATTCTGCATGCCTGAATGCTACCAAGGCTTAACTCTTATACCTCCCAGAGTACTGAGTCAAGCAGCACCTGAAGCTGCTTGAACCACCACTGGGGCCACCAACAGGTGCTTAGATGGAACGCAGGGAACAGAAACCCAAGGTGGCTCTGGGCAATGAGCCTGTGGAGGAGGCTCCTGGCCCATCCCCTGAACCTATTCTGCCTTCCTAGAGCCCTAGGCCTGTGATAGGAAGGGCAACCTCAAAGAACTTTAAATGCCTTTGGGATCATTCTCCCATTGTCTTTATGAATAGCACCTGGCTACCTTCAATCCATGGTAATCATTTTAGCTTCTGCCGAGTATCCTACTTCATTGCTCTTTAAATTTTACATTTCACAGGGCCTTAGGACATTAACACAATTTACCTAAAGTCCTAGCAATGGTATAAAAAAGATGGCCCTTACTCCAGTTTTCAATACCTTTTTCCTCATTTCCATCTGAGACGTCATCAGAATGGCCTCTACTGTCTGTATTTCTATCAACATTCTGGTCCAAACCACTTAAGTAAGCTCTGTGAAGATGCAGACTTTCCTAAGTTCTGGGATCTTCTGAGCCCTCACCAGAATGTTCCTTAGTGTTTTATTCGTGGCAATCTAGCCTTTTTCTAGCCTGCTTCTCTAAATTCTTTCAGCCTCTACTCATTACCTAGTTCCAAAGCTGCTTCCATATTTTCAGGTAATTGTTATAGTAGCAACTCCACTGTCGGTACTAATTTTCTGTCTTAGTTCATGTTCTGTTGCTAAAATAGAATTCCAGAATATTTAAATACCAGGATAATTTACAAAGAAAAGAAGTTTATTTGGCTCACGTTTCTGGAGGCTGGGAAGTCCAAGAACATGGTGCTGTATCTCATGAAGGTCATCCCATGGCAGAAGTGGGGAAGGTGGAAGCAAGCACACTAGACCAAGAGAAGAAGGAAACTGAACTTATCAGGAGCCCACTTCCTTGATAACTAACTCACTCCTGTGATAATGACATTGATTCATTCATGAAGGCAGAGCCTTCATGACCTAATTACCTCTTTTTTTTTTTTTTTTTTTTGAGACAGAATCTCGCTCTGTAGCGCAGGCTGGAGTTCAGTGGCGTGATCTCAGCTCGCTGCAAGCCCCGCCTCCTGGGTTCATGCCATTCTCCTGCCTCAGCCTCCCGAGTAGCTGGGACTACAGGCGCCCGCCACCGCGCCCAGCTAATTTTTTGTATTTTTAGTAGAGACGGGGTTTCACCATGTTAGTCAGGATGGTCTCAATCTCCTGACCTCATGATCCACCCGCCTCGGCCTCCCAAAGTGCTGGGATTACAGGCGTGAGCCACCACGCCCGGCCTTAATTACCTCTTAAAGTTCCCATCTCCAAATATTGTTGCGTTGGGGATTACATTTCCAGTGCATGAACTTTGCACATGCCAACATAGCACCCGATTCCCACTCAGAACAACTAGCAGGCTATGAGGAAATCTGCCTCTATTGGCAGGGAAGGGCACTTTTCAAAGGAGGTATATAGCCCAAGTGATAGATACAACAGATATGCCCATCCGTGCTCTTTTGTGATGCTGTATGTTCTGACATTTCCACCCCAACTGATTTACTCAAGAGAAATAAACTCACCAACAATTTGATCCATATGGCCCTCCTTCAAGATAAAATAAAATCTATTATTGTTATTTTTCACAAACAAATAATGAAAGTCATAGACTACTTTGTTTTATTTGTCTTCCTTTCCATAGTGACTTCCATGTGCCTATATCTGGCATTTAGAATGGTGTGAAGAAAGAAGGCCCCTGGGAGTCTCAGCGAGCCTAATACGCTGCACCCCAGTTCTGCCTCTGCAGATGACACCAAGAGATTCCTGGTGTCTTTACTCTGAGCACTGTCTGGTCTGATCAGTAAAAAACATAAGTCCGGCTGGGTGCAGTGGCTCATGCCTGTAATCCCAGCACTTTGAGAGGCCGAGGCGGGCGGATCACAAGGTCAGGAGTTCAAGATCAGCCTGGCCAACATAGTGAAAACCTGTCTCTACTAAAAATACAAAAAAAAATTAGCCAGGCGTGGTGGCGGGTGCCTGTAGTCCCAGCTACTTGGGAGGTTGAGGCAGGAGAATTGCTTGAACTGGGGAGGTGGAGGTTGGAGTGAGCTGAGATCACGCCACTCCACTCCAACCTGGGTGACACAGCGAGACTCTGTCTAAAAAGAAAAAGAAAAAAAAAAAGTCCCCAGCATCCTTTGGTTATTGCTGATAAAAATGTCTTGTTGACTGTCAGGGAATGACACCCAGCAAAGTTGTCCTAGTAATATATTGTAGACAATGTACATGCAAATTGGAAGAAAGAATTTTAATGCAGGTATAAGCAGTGCTGTCTTCCTCTCATAACCTACATGGTGCTAATATATATTACAATAGTAGGATCATCCTTCCATTATAAAAACTTCACCCTGGGCTTCTGATTTACAAATCCATATATTCAGGACTAGAAGTTCTTCTCTGACAAATTTCCTCTCTTCCATAAAAATGACAAAGGTAAGTCTGTTAATTTTGGTATGTAGAAAATACCTAGATTTTATGTAGGGTGCTTGATTTATTATACAACTCTGTGTGCTAGTTACTCTGAGTAGTTTTATGGGGAAAAAGTCATGGTGAATAAGTAATTCCATTTTGCACATTGTAAAAATAAGAAAGTAAATGCAATACTTGTGTAACACTAATTGTTACCTACCAGGCTGGAAAAATAAAAACATGTTTGTCCTACAAACTAAATAGGGCTCTAGTTCAAGCACTTATGATTGCACATTTGGGAGGAATGAAATACCTCTTTCATTTAAAAAATACTAGTATGCATTCTATTTGGTGTTCTAGTATATAATATGGACACATGAACCACCCAAGTGACTATTTTCAAAAGTACACCCAACACAGATGTATAAACAGTGCACCTAAATCATATAA
The DNA here is from genome assembly GCF_000001405.40 of Homo sapiens. Lineage (NCBI taxonomy): Eukaryota > Metazoa > Chordata > Mammalia > Primates > Hominidae > Homo > Homo sapiens. The sequence goes on from NC_000012.12 coordinate 24,986,574, forward strand.
TTCAGTCACTAGATGCCCTATGAGGCCTCCTCTTGGAGGCAGAATATAAACTACGGGTACAAGTAAAATGAGGACTGTGAAATGACCTTGGATTTATATAATAATAAATGAGGTGGCAATTGGTGATCTTGATGATAGCAATTTCACTATAATATGTTCTAAAGTGAATGGGTGGAGAGAAATTAGAGACTGTGAGTACAGACACTGCTTTTTAAGAGTTCGCTGGGCCGGGCACAGTGGCTCATGCCTATAATCCCAGCACTTTGAGAGGACAAGGCAGGCCGATCACTTGAGGTCAGGAGTTCGAGATCAGCCTTGCCAACATGGTAAAACACTGTCTGTACTAAAAATACAAAAGTTAGCTAGGCGTGGTGGTGCACCCCTGTAATCCCAGCTACTCTGGAAGCTGAGACAGGAGAATCGCTTGAATTCAGGAGGCAGAGTTTGCAGCGAGCCAAGATCGCGCCACTGCACTCCAGCCTGGGCGATAGAGTGAGACTCTTTCCCTCTCTCTCAAAAAAAGAGTTTGCTGTGAAAGAAAGGAAAGAAATGGAAACCAGCAGAGATAAGTAGAGAGTGCATACAGCCACTCACTCCACAGCCTCTGCAACTCTTGCTTTCTGCATGCCTACAGAATTAGCACCACATGGATACTGCCATACCCTTGACCTTATTAACAATAGCTGCAGCCCTGTCCTATCTCAAGTGCTGTATTCCACACTTTGACAAACACCTGCTAACTTTCCAGCTCACTCCTTGTAGTATCTCAAATTCACCAACCTTCTATCTTACCAGAATCTTTAATCCACTGACTTTATTACTATTATAATGTCCCTCATCCCCACACTTGTGTCATTTGTTTTCTCCCTACCTAGTTTACATCCTATGGTCATCAGTAGAGTCACTACTTTGCATACATTCAACTCTACTAAGTCCTTCTTACTTCTCACATCATACTTGCTTGGATAGATCACACCCCTAGTTAACTGCAACTCCCCACCTGCTCCGTGCCTGCAGCCATGCAGTTAAAAGACATAAAACTGTGCTAGCTGCTCTCCTATTAAATTTGGGACCATGAATTTTCATGCAGTCTTTCATGCTGCCCAGCAGTCATACAGTGTTTCCCTAATCCCTTCTCTCTCACATTCTCCCCTAGATTATTTTATACTTTCTCCTCTCCCTTATTTAACACTTCCTCCCTACAGCTTTGCTGAGATAGTTGAAGCAATCAGAAGAAATCATCCCCACCTCCCTCCCCTATAACTGCCCATCTGCACCTGTGCCCACACTCCAACCTTCCCTTCTTCTTAGGAATCACCTGTCTCTGCTGCTGGTGAAGTCCCACCACCTGTGCACTTAGAGTCACCCCTGACTCATGCTCAAGGACAGGTTCTGCCATTCTCATCTCTCTCTTCTGCATCCTCAGTCTCCCCCTCCTGATGATAATTCCCATAAACATGCAAACATGCAGTTATTTCTCCCAACTAAAACAAAAACTCCATTAACTCCACTTCTCTGTCTGCTAGTATCCATTTCTTTCCTTCCTTTTACAGCAATTTTTTTTTTTTTTTTTTTTTTTGAGACAGAGTTTCTCCCTTGTTGCCCAGGCTGGAGTGTAATGGCAAAATTTTCACTCACTGCAACCTCTGCCTCCCGGGTTCAAGCGATGCTCCTGCCTCAGCCTCCCAAGTAGCTGGAATTGCAGTCATGAGCCACCACGCCCAGCTAATTTTGTATTTGTAGTAGAGACGGGGTTTCACCATGTTGTCCAGGCTGGTCTTGAACTCCTGACTTCAGGTGATTCGCCCACCTCAGCCTCCCAAAGTGCTGGGATTACAGGCGTGAGCCACCGCGCCTGGCCCACAGCAAACTCTTAAAAAGCAGTATCCATCTTGGCAGTTTCTCATTTCTCTCCCCCATTCACTTTTGAACAAGTTATAATGAAATTGCTTTCATCAAGATCACCAATTACCTCCTCCTTCACTACTAATCCAAGATCGTTTCATAGTCCTCATTTTACTTGTCCTATCAGCAGCCCATTACTTTCTTCTCCGTAAAATGCTTTGTCCACTTGGCTTCCAGGACACTGCACTCACCTGATTTTCCACCTACCTTTCTGCTGTTCCTTTTCAGTCTCTTGCTAGTTCCTCCTCATGTCATCATTCAGACTGGTGAGTGCTGATGTGCAGTAGGGCTCAGCCCTGGACTTCCCTTCTCTGTCTGCCTTCACACCCTGGGTGATCTCAAGAGCTCTCGCAGCTCGAAGTGCCACCTGTAGGCTCAGGACTCCCAGATTTTTATCTTCGACCCAAAACCTCTCCCTTGAATCCAGACGTATATCCAAATTCCTATTTGACATTTCCACTTCATTTTTTTGACTTTGTACTTTATACAAACGCATTTTATTTTTATTTTATTTTATTTTATTATTTTTTAGAGATGAGGTCTCGCTATATTGTCCAGGCTGGTCTCAAACTCCTGAGCTCAAGCAATCCTCCCACTTCAGCCTCCCGAAGTACTGAGATTACAGGTGTGAGTCACCGTGCCTGGCCTACAAATGCATTTTATGTACAAGATTAATACATAAAATAGGACAATAAAGAACTATTCTGGGTTTGGTGGGAGGATTGGGGAGATATTGGTCAAAGGGCATAAGATTTCAGAAGAAATAAGTTCGAAAGATCTATTGTATATCATGGTGACTATAGTTAACAACAATATATTGTATGCTTGAAAATTGCTTAAGACAGTAGAGTTTAGGTGTTCTAGTCACACACACACAAATGATAAGCATGTGGAATAAAGCATATGTTAAATGCTTGATATAGTCATTTCACAATATGTACATATATCAAAACCGCATGGTGTACACCATAAATGCATGCAATTTTGACTTCTCAATTAAAACAAACAAAGAAAAACAAATTACTCTGAGTGAACTGGGTGAAAAGCAACCCTAAGGGGCTTTTCATTCACCTGAATATTTAATAGCCTCTTTTTTTTTTAAGTTAATAGAGGCAAAGTCTCACTGTGTCTGGTCTTGAACCTGAGGTCAAGTGATCCTCCCACTTTGACCTCCCAAGGTACTAGGATTATAGGCTTGAGCCACCATGCCTGGCCTTAATAGCATCTCAGACTTCACATTCTAAAACAGCTCCTGGTATTCCTCCTGTTCTCGAAACCATCTCAATCAATGGCAGCTACATTTTTCCCGTTGCTGAGGTCAAAATCTTGAAGTCATTCTTTATTACTCTCTTATTCTCATACCCACATTTGGTCTGCTAACATATTCTGTCTCATCTAACAGTCTATCTCCCTCTCTCTCTCTCTATCTCTCTCTCTCTCTATCTATCTATCTACAATTTACTGTCATCATTTCTCCTCTAGAAATATTGTGGAGTTTTTTGGGTTTGTTTGTTTGCTTGTTTGAGATAGGGTCTTGCTCTGTCAACCAGGTTGGAATGCAGTGACACAATCATGGCTCATTGCAGCCTCGACCTCCCAGACTCAGGCGATCCTCCCTCTTTAGCCTCCTGAGTAGCTGGGACTACAGGTGCATGCCACCATGCCCAGCTGATTTTTTAACTTTTATTTTTTGTAGAGATGGGGTCTCACTGTGTTGCCCAGGCTGGTCTCAAACTCCTGGGCTCAAATGATCCTCCTACCTTGGCCTCCAAAGTGTTGGGATTACAGGCATGAACCACTGTGCCTGGCCCTGGATTATTGCTGTAAACGTCTAACTTGTCTCACTATTTCTGCCGTTAACTCTCTTCAGACTCTCTTCAATTTATTCATTTATTCAGAGCACAATTCTGCTCCGTTTAAAATTCTCCAGAGGCGTCCCATCTCCCTTAGAGCAAAGGCCAATGTCCTATAACCCTAAGATCCTGTATAATTTTCCCCTGGCATTAGTGCTCCGCCCTCATTTCCTGCCACTCTCCCCTGTATTCAGGTCACTCCAGCCCCGCTGACCTCCTTGCTGTTTCTTGGCCATGTCAGGCACACTTGCACCTCAGGTCCTTTGCATCTGCCCTTCCTTCTGCCTGAATACATTTCCTCAAGTGTCCTCTCCCCAGTTCCTTCACTTCCTCAGGTCTTTACTCAAATATGCCTCCTGGAGAGCCCTTCCTGGGCTACCCTGTCTACAACTGCAAACCTCCCACCAAACTCATTCTTTGTATTTTTATATTTTCCTTTGGCATTTATCAGCCCATAACATGCTATATTTTTTGGCCTATTATGTTAATTTTCTGTCTCCCCCTGTGAAAAGTAAGCTGTATGAGAGCAGGAAGTTTGTCTGTTTTGTTCACTGTTTATCCTTAGCACTACAACATGCCTGATCCTACCAAGTACTCAGTATTTGTTGAATGAATGAATTATAATGGTGATGGGCATGATGAAAATAGGCAGACAGACAAGGCAAACATATACAATAATGCTTACTTTTATACACATTGGTGACAATTGTCAGTTGCAACTATTGTTAAAAAGTTATTTTATCCTCAATGTTCCTACATCATCAAAATAGAGTTCTGCACCCAGACAAGAGTTAAGGCACTAGAATTGAGGACTGCTACCAAAATGTGTGATTTTTGTAACTTAAAAAAGTCCCCACAGTGATATTTTAAATATTATGCTACCAAATATTATCATTCTTTTTTTTTTTTTTTTTTTTTTTTGAGACAGGGTCTCGCTCTGTTACCCAGGCTCAAGTGCAGTGACACAATCACAGCTGACTGCAGCCTTGACCTCCTCTGGCTCAAGCAATCCTCCCACCTCAGCCTCCTGAGTAGCTGAGACTACAGGCATGCACCCACCATGCCTGGCTAATTTTTATATTTCTAAGTAGAGGTGGGGGTTTCGCCATGTTGCACAGACTGGTCTCGAACTCCTGAGCTCAAGCGATCCACCTGCCTCAGCTTTCCAAAAGTGCTGGGATTACAGCCATGAGCCACTGTGCCCGGACTTCTTTTAAAAAAAAAAAAATCTTTCTTATGATACACAATTTGAGCTCACGAACCAGTAATCACAACATTGAGAATAAGATAAATCATAGGTAGGTTTATTAATGACTTCCAACTACTTACCAGCAGAGGGTGCTACTTATCCATATTTTCACACGTATAAAGCGTGTTTCGCTGAACTAACAGGCAGGCTTCAATACTGTAAATGACATTATCTTACAAATCTGTATTATGTGATAATGAATCAGCCACCCAAACATAAACATAATACCTTCAGTTTTAAAAATCTATATTTTTCTTGCCTTTATTTGTGAATTTAAATAGATGATACTGTACATGAATATGGTACAAAAATGTACAGAAATAATTAACTCTTTCTTCTATCCCAGTCCTCTAGTTCCTCAATTTTCTCTTCCAAGGTTATCATTGTCTCCAGTTTCTTCTGTATTTATGTGTATGTCTGTTATGTTTTGTGTTTGTATTGTATGTGTTTTTTGTTTTGTTTTGTATTTTAAATCAGAAATGCTATAAGTGCTATTCTTCAGCTTAGGGTTGATTTATAAACAAGCCCATAATTTTGGGATTCCATATCAGTACTTATAGAACATCTTTCTTTTAAACAGCTATATTTTATTCCAGTGTGTAAATAAACAGAAATTTATGTAACCAGTCCTCTGTTGATAGATGGTAAGGTTATTTTAAATATTTTGCCTTTCCAAACATTAGTAAATTAGTGTATTTTTACATTTATCTTTGTAAATATGTGCAAGTATATTTGTAGGGTAATTTCTTAGGGAAAATTGGGTAGCCATCTGAAAAATAATGAAGGTATAGTTTCATCTCTCTATACAAAGATAAATTCCAAATATATTAAATCAAAGACACTAGAGAAAAACAGAGGAGAATGTCTTTATGATTTTTGAGTCACGAAAGCTTTCTAAGGCTAACACGAACTCAGAAGGTATAAGAAAGAAGATTGAAATTTGACTGCACATTTTTAAAAATCTGTGTGGCAAAAACACCATAAACAAAAAACACAAATAACACCTGGTGAAAATGTATTTGTAACACATCCTACAAAGAACTAAATCTTGTAATATGTAAAGAGCTTTTGTGTATTGATAAAATCAAGCCCCATTCAAAAATGACCAAAGCATACAAATAAAACATAGAAATGGAAATACAAATGGCTTTAAACACATGAAACCATATTCATAAGGAAAGAAATCACAAATTACACTGTTTTTTGGTCTTTTTTTTTTTCCTTTTTGTGGAGAATGGGGGGGGGGTCTCACTATATCACCCAGGCAGGTCTTGAACTCAAGCTATCCTCCTGCCTCTGCCTCCCTAAATGCTGGGATTACAGGTGTGAGTCACCATGCCTCTTGAGAAATGCATATTAAAATAATGAGATGCTATATTTCACCTATCAGATTGGCAAAGACCAACATATTGTGTTCGTGAGGGTGTGGGGAAACAAGCAGGCTCACAGATTGTTGGTGAGACTGTAAATTGGTACAACCTCTATGGAAACCAATTTGGCATCAGCTAGCAAACTTTTAAAACTAGCCAGGTTTAGTGGCTCACAACTGTAATCTCAACATTTTGGGAGGCCAAGGCAGGTAGACTCTTGAGCTTAGGAGTTTGAGACCAGCCTGGGCAACAGGGTGAAACCCTGTCTCTACTAAAAATACAAAAATTAGCTAGGTGTAGCATGGCTGTAGTTCCAGCTACTCGGGAGGCTGAGGTGGGAGGATCGGGCTTGAACCCAGGAGGTCAAGGCTGCAGTGAGCTGTGATTGCACCACTGCCCTATAGCCTGGGTGACAGAGTGAGACTTCCTTTCTCTCTCTCTCAAAAAAAAAATTTATATGAAAGTTAGTAGAGTTTTTTTTTCTTTTAGTCAAATCTGTTTATTTGGATTATCTGCATGTTCTTAACCAGAAGGAAATGCTACACAGAGTTGAAGAATAAAGACAAAATATTAAAAATTTAAGGTAGGTATTATGTTCTTTGTATAATGTGGATAACAGCCATATTGAGCTACGGAAAGTAACATGACAAAAGAATCTCTGAGTGTATATCACTCACGGTCCTTTAGGAAATCGATAGTACCTTTTTTTAAAAAAAAAAAAAAGGAGGCTGCAAAGAGTTTCAATTCTTGAAAGTGTAGGCAGGGTTAAGGGAAACAGCATGGGGTGGTGGGCAACCTCAGGTGCTGGCATCTGGCTCTAGGAAGCCATTACCCTCCCTGGCAAGAGGCAATGGAGAAAACACTTACAGAACCAAGTGAACACTGTCACTTTGGGAGAGGCCACCTGACAGGGGCTGTGGAAAAGCGTGAGCCACTGTCAGACAGAGACCTGGCAGGGTGGGAGCCAGGAGAACAAATGCTGCAGACTCTTCCTCCTCCTGGCCCTCCATCTGCTGGGCCCTCCCACTGGCCACATTCAATGGGAAATCAGAGGGCAAAGGAGCCAGACTGATGCTGTCAATAGAGGCCTGTCTCCTGGGATGCTGAACAAAGATGGGTTGCTCTTGCTCTGCATCCACGGGATAGATCCGGAAGGGCAACGGATGATTTCATTCAGTGTAATATGCATCTTGGTAATATATTCAGGGCCTTGCTTCATTTCCACCTTTCTCCAAAAACATATTATCACTTTTCTTTCAAAGTAATTACTTCTGTAGTAATCCTTTTTGGAATGGAAGCCATAGATCATTCAAACTCCCAATCCTTTTCTTTCCGAGACAGCATCTTTATATGAAAATTGTCATAGCATGATGTAGGCTGATTTAAAAAAAGAAGAAAAAAAGGCTTTCTGAAGAGACTGCATTTGCACATTAAAGTCCAATTAAAAGGCTGGGCACAGGCACTTTGGGAGGCCGAGGCAGGCAGATCACTTGAGGAGTTAGAGACCAGCCTGGACAACATAGTGAAATTCTGTCTCTACTAAAAATACAAAAATTAGCTGGGCATGTTGGCGCACGCCTGTAGTCCCACTTACTTGGGAGGCTGAGGCATGAGAATTGCCTGAACCAGGGAGGCAGAGGTTGCAGTGAGCCAAGATCACACCACTGCACTCCAGCTTGAGCAACAGAGCCAGAATCTGTCTCAAATAATAATAATAATGATACTTCATTTAAAAAAGCAACTTAAAGGCAATGATACCTAGAATATAAGCACATTAAAGAGTATATTATGAGAAATAAATAGTGCATTTTACATAGAGTGGGTTTTGAAAAATAAAAGTTATGTTTGGCCATGCATGTACTGGAGAAGGAGTCCATTATCTGGTTTTCTTCTTTTCTTTCCTTTGTTTGTTTTTATTATTGTTGTTTTTGAGACAGGGTGTTGCTCTGTCACCCAGGCTGGAGTGCAGTGGTGCAATCTCTACTGGCTAACTGCAGCCTCGACTTCCCAGACTCAAGCTTGATCCTCCCACTTCAGCCTCCCAAGCAGCGGGACTACAGGTGCGTGCCACCATGCCTGGCTAATTTATTTTTTACTATTTTATTTTATTTATTTATTTATTTTTTATTTTTATTTTTTATTGATCATTCTTGGGTGTTTCTCGCAGAGGGGGATTTGGCAGGGTCACAGGACAATAGTGGAGGGAAGGTCAGCAGATTTACTATTTTATTTTATTTTATTTTATTTTATTTGAGACAGAGTTTCACTCTTTGCCCAGACTGGTGTGCAATGGCTTGGCTCACTGCAACCTCCACCTTCTGGATTCAAGTGATTCTCCTGCCTCAGCCTCCTGAGTAGCTGAGTTTATAGGCATGCGCCACCCTGCCTGGCTAATTTTGTATTTTTGGTAGAGATAGGGTTTCTCTATGTTGCCCAGGTTGGTCTCAAACTCATGGGATCAAACAATCCACCTGCCTGGGCCTCTCAAAGTCCTGGGATTACAGGCATGAGCCACTGCACCTGGCCCCTTTCTTCTAATAGTGCCTCTCAACCATACACCTCCCACCTCATTTGTATTTGGTTAGACAAAGTGACTCCCTCAGATCAACCAGGGATTAATCCTGGAGCTCCAACACATATTTAAAACTACTGGCTTGATAGTCTAACAACATTGTAGATTACCTAGAGAGAAGCAGATACGTTATTTAAACGGATTTCTTGACCTATTTACATGATAAGATTTAATTTCCTTGAAATGCCATTTTGAAAACTGGGATTGGCATCCCTTACAGGTTCTCTAATTAGTTGCTTTCAGATTACTTGGCAAGTAAAGGACTATGTTGTTATGAACCCCACCTGCAGTATATCCCGAACAGGAATCTCCATCTTGGGTTTCTTTTTGTAAAGTCTGCATTTGACCCCTTTACACTCTTTTCCGTGTTCATAAACGTGCTCAGGGTTGGAAAAGCTGTTTCAGTAGAGATGGCATATTTCTGGTGGCATTCGGGGGCAGGTACAGGAGTTGCAGGCATCCATCGTATGCTGTCCAGCGTCTGCACGTTCCCTTGTTTGCTCCCAGTGGGTAGAGAACCCGGCATTGTGGGTACCTTATTAGAACTGTCAGGAGGTAATATTACATAAATAATGAAATAACATGTTAATGCAATTCATTACAGGTTCGTTGGAATTTATTGTTCAGGTTATTCCTTTCACTGCTCTGAGAAACATCAGGTATACTAGACTCACCTGAAGCAGGATGTAAGCGTATAATTTGTCAGACGGGCAATATGGTCTAGTGGATCCAGAATTTGAATATTATTTCTGGCTCTGCTGCTGGCTTCCTTTATGACTAGGAGGGAAATGTCTCTGGGTGTTGCCAGTTTCGGTATCTGTGGATTGATAAGCAGATCGCAAGCATGGATGTTATAATAGGTTATTTCATGGGAAATTAAACAGCAAATCTAATGAGAGGAGCGGGTTACTTGGTCATTTCTTTCTAGGTGCTATTTGGTGCTTTAAGAGGACCTCTAGTATTGGATAAGTTAAAGGAGTTTCAGAAAGTGCATCATAACAACATTACTGAGAGCTCAGAATGTGCTACATGGTTCTGAGGGCCATCTGCGTATTAACCTCATTTAATCCCTGCAGCACACCCGGAGGTCATTGCATGATATTGATGCAATTTTACAGATGAAGAAACTGAAGCACATATGGTTAAATAATTTGTCCAAGATCACAAAGCTAGTAAGCAGCAGAACTGGGGTTTGAACTCAGGTTATTTAAACTCAGAGCCCCAGTTCTTATTCCCCAGTATTTGACTCCCCTTTGCTCTCACCTGGTGATAGAAATGATAATGACCAGGCTGAGCGCAATGGCTCACACCTGTAATCCCAGCACCTTGGGAGACTGAGGCAGGTAGATCGCTTGAGCTCAGGAGTTTGAGACCAGCCTGGGCAACACAACAAAACCCCATCTCTACAAAAGATACAAAAATTAGCTGGCTGTGGTGGCATGCCCCTGTCATTTCAGTTACTTGGCAGGCTGAGGTGGGGGAGTGGCTTGAGCCCAGTAGGCAGAGATTGAAGTGAGCTGAGATCGTGCCACTGCACTCAAGCTTGGGCAACAAAGCAACACTCCATTTCCAAAAAACAAAAGAAAAAGTATGAGATTTAACTTAAAAATAATTTTCCTTCATCTGATTAGAAAGTATAATCAGGATGAGCTTTAGTGTGTTGTTTTTTGTAGAGCCGGGCGGGGACCGGGGGTGGGGGGGGGTCTCACCATGTTGCCCAGGCTGGTCTTGAACTCCTGGGCTCAAGCGATCCTCCCACCTCAGCCTCCCAAAGTGCTGGGATTACAGGTGAAAGACACTGCACCTGGACTATCTTTCTGTTATTGCTGTGGTGGGGAGCACACCAAAATAGTGCCTGTCATCCTCATCCTTCCTAGGCATCTTTCCCAGCACTGCTGCTGTGATTAGTACCTTAACTCCAGCCTAGGCAGGTGCAGTGCATCAGCGGCTCTCTTCTCTAGCTTCTTTTACCTCAGCCCAAGCCACTCTGTAGAAATGGGCTCCACCCATGTCATCTGACCTGTAGGTCTCCACTCTTTCTTCCCAGTTCTCAGATGGTTCTTGGAGCACTGGCGAAGTCAAGCGAAAATAAGGTGGTGAGTTTTCCCCAACGAAATAATTAAATTTTGGCTGATGCTGGCCTTTAGTCATCGAAGGCCGAGAAAGTACCGCCCTAACCAGGGAAAAGCAATATCAGATGTAGGCTGTTCTGTTGTGTCTCAACCTCAAAATGCTTGTGGCAAAAGGGACAAACCTCCAATAAGTCTATATTAGAGGTTCAACAGAGTTCATTGAAAACTTGAAACAAATCTGAAAAGAAAAACACTCTACAAATAGGGAAAAAAGATGGGTAGCTGAGAGTGATAAAGTGAGATTCCCCAGATATGTTGCTGTCACCACAGGCAAATCTCAAATTGTTTTCAATGGAGCTTTTGGAAATTTAAATTAATCCTGCCATTTTCAGGCTTGGTCGTTTGGAATGTGTGTTAGTGAAACGCAGTGATGTAGTTTTATAGACTGTAAGAACCTTGGAGGCACCTGAATTCTTGAAGCTAGAGATTTATTGTAGGTCTTCTCTTGTTCTCTGAGAAGAAAACCAGACTTCATATAACAAGAAGTGAGACAGAAGAACAGTTTTCAGAAGCATGTGTCACTCTGCTATTTTAGGAATTGTTCCAATAAGAGATGTTTATAGTAAGCTTGGTGTGACCCAGCCAAGAAGCTTAATATAACAAGGTTAACTGAATTGTGGGAGGAAAGTTTCTAGCCTATACCAGCTTGCATTTATTAATAATCAGAAAGGTTGCGGATGACAGACTTGCTGAGCATTTACTAAATCTGGTACTTGTGGTTTGCAAATCATGTGATTAACAGCTGCTATCATCTATCCTAGAAACGGCAGGAAGAAGTGTTATTATTTTATCACATAAAATAGTAGTCACAAAGAGAATGAAAACAGTTTAATTTGGCAGATATAAAATTCACTGGTTAAGCAGAAAACCATGCTCTGCCCTCCCACTGAGCTCACTAAAGATGGGTTTCCTGGGAATGTCTCAGTGAACAGATGTTTCTTCTTAGGTTTTGATGAAGAGTTTAGTGGCATCTAATCATTAGTGAAGGGTTGTTTTGGCAAAAGGAATCTCTTGTCTATCTACACACATACTTAAATTTTTTTTTTTACGTATATTAAGGATTTTGCATTAATTACCAATAGGATCTCACATAGATGAATCATGAATGATTGACTGGCTTTCCTAATCAAGTTTTGAATGATTTTAAAAATCAGCCTGCCTGATCTAAGGTTTGGAAGTTCAATGCTCAATAAATAACTTTAGTAAAGGGAGGAAAACATTTTAAAGGAAAAAAACAGGAAAGATAATTACATTGTTAATCTGTTTGGAGTTAGAATTTGATTCAGAAAGATTTCTACAGAGCCTTTTGAATCACCCTGAAATCTGCCAGCTTTTTCCAGGATGCTGCTTTTGTACCTCTGTATACATCATATGCCATTCTTTGCAATAAAATGCAACTTTCTTAGTGATTGAATAATATAGATGTTGATAAACACAAATTATGTCATGTTGTTTACATATACATTCCTAAAGAATAAGAAATATTGTCTACATTGTACATACGTAGTAGATTAACTCATTGAAGTCAGAACAAATGTAGATTTCTATAAGTCCCAAAGAGTATGGATGTCTTAGAGGTTGATGTTGAAGTCTGCAGTTACACTGGTGGTGAAAATCAAATATATAACGAATAACTTTAGGTAAGAATCAAATCGGACTTGTTTTACAGATGTTGCCATGTGTTAGAGGATTTTACTTGTTGCTTTATAGTTTTGGATCGGGCAGATGGTTGAAAAGTGTTGATTCAAGAGCTTTGACTGTATGGAACAAGATAATTGAGGCAATAATAATAATGGGACTCAGAATCTATAAGCCAGAGCAATGAAGCATAGTTCAATCAATAGGAGGAATAAAAAAGATTAGCAACATAAGCAGTATCGATAATCTCTAACATCATTTTACATTACATTTAGCTCACATGAATCCAAGTGGAAATTCCTCTAACAGATTTATAGTTCCACTTCTTAATTTTCTGTTTATAACCCTAGAAATAGCAAACAATATGTATAACATTCTGTGCAGTGCATATAATAGCCACATAATAGATGCTCCTAAATTTTTCCTAGCCTCACTCCCAAGCTGGGATAATTTCCTATTATAGGTTCTCATGGCTCCTGACTATGTAATTATTTATTTGACATTTTTCAGGTTGTCAGATTTAGCTAAAAAAAAAAAAAATACAAGACAGCCAGTGAAATTTGAATTTCAAATAAACAACAAATAATTTTCCAGTATAACTATGTCCTGTGCAACATTTGGGGGCATACTTACACTAAAAAATTAGTCATTGTTTATCTGAGATTAAAATTTTATTGGGCTTCCTAAATTTAACCTAATAGCTCTAGTGGCTTACTTGTTCATAGCTGTATCTTCCACAGACTACGAGTTTCAGGATATTGTTTTCTTCATCATTGTATCCCCAGTATTTGCACAGGGCTTAGCACTTAGCAGAAATTCAATAAATATTGGTTGGCTGTCTAAAGGGATGGATATTAAAACTACTTTAATATATTAGATACATTGGCTCACACCAGTAATTCCAGCACTTTGGGAGGCTGTGTTGGGTGGATTACTTTAGCTCAGGAGTTTGTGACCAGCCTGGGCAACATGGGGAAACCCCATCTCTACCAAAAATACAAAAGATTAGCTGGGCATAGTGGCATGTGCCTGTGATCCTAGCTATTGAGGAAGCTGAGGTGGGAGGATCACCTGAGCCTGGGAGGTGGAGGTTCCAGTGAGCCGAGATTGTGCCACTGCACTCCAGCCTGGGTGACAGAGGGGGCACCATATCAAAAAAAAATGTATTTTAATTAAAAGTATACAAACTGAGCCAGGTGTGGTAATCCCAGCTACTTGGGAGGCTGAGGCAGGAGGATCACTTGAACCTAGGAGTTTGAGGCCGCAATGTGCTATGATCACACCTGTGAATAGCCACGGCTCTACAGCCTGGGTAACAGAGACCCAGTCTCTACAAAATTAAAAATAATTTTAAAAACCATGGAAAATGCAACTGAGGTTCATAGAACTTGAAAGCAAAAGAAGCAGTTCTTGCCATTGGGTTATCTACAAGTGTACCATCTTTATGTAGTAAATAATCAACTAAGATCGCTAAGAGGGAAATTCCTTTTAAAAGAGATAGACTCCAAGCAACTGATTCTCCTAGTACAATTCACTTTCAGTTCTTAATTTTCACTTAATGCCTTTTCAAAGGCAGTTACTGTACAAAGCAAGTTGGGCTTGTATTTTTAAGTATTCTGGCAGATTGCAGCTAATCCTTTCTACCAGGATCGAAAATTAAAAAAGACGTTAAGAGGTTTAGACAGAAGAGACAGGAGATATTTCCAAGCTGCATATGGAGAAGATGACACAAATTTTGAAATCTTTATCACCCCATCTTATTTATTAAACTCCCACCCATGTTCTGCTCTATATTAGAAAAAGCAAAACAAGTTAATCTTATGCAGCTTTGGTAGCTCATGAAGAGCCATTGTTTTCAGTGCACTCTTTATAAGGTTTAGCTTATCAACCACAAAGCAGGGCTCACTTAGGTAAGTCAGGAAAGTTTAGAAGACAGTAGAAGAAAGCCTGGGAAACATGGTGAAACCCTGTCTCTACTAAAAGTACAAAAAAAATTAAAAAAAAATGCTAAGTGTGATGGTGCACGCCTGTGGTCCCAGCTACTTGAGAGGCTTAGGTAGGAGGATTGCTTGAGCCTGGGGAGTTGGAGGTTGCAATGAGCCATGAGTGCACCACTGCACTCCAGCCTGGGTAACAGACCAAGACCCTGTCTCGAAAATAAATAAACAAATGAAAACAGATGGTTAAAGGAAAAAAAATGCCTTGGAAATGCAAGTAGAAACATGTGCCTTATGTGCTAGGAACATTAATCTAGGTCAGTTACAAATGCCTACAAAGTGAGACTGTTTGTTATGGCTTGAACAGCCTACCACATCATCATTCAGTGACAGGAGGGGACAGGATTTGGGAGCATGAGTTTCCAGTTCTGGGGTCTCTTTTAGCCTCATGTCCAACCTGTGCCTAAATTCTCTGGTTCTATAAGGGAGAAACGGTCAACTCACATTGAGAACAATGACAGATACTTAACTACTCTTTTGGTTTTTTTTTTTTTTTTTGAGACAGAGTCTCGCTCTGTCACCCAGGCTGGAGTACAGTGGCACGATCTCAGCTCACTGCAACCTCTGCCTCCTGGGTTCAAGCAATTCTCCTGCCTCAGCCTCCTGAGTAGCTGGGATTACAGGCATGTACCAACCATGCCCTGCTAATTTTTGTATTTTTAGTAGAGACGGGGTTTCATCATGTTGGTCAGGCTGGTCTCGAACTCCTGACCTCGTGATCCACCCGCCTCAGCCCCCAAAGTGCTGGGATTACAGGCCATCGTGCCCGGCCTTAACTACTGTTTTATAAGGCTCTTTGCTCGACATAGGGAAGTCAGATGTGTTCCTGCCAAGTCAGTCAACTGTAGATTTGGAATGCTTTGTGTTCAAGGGTGAAGCCTCTTCTGTCATTACTGCTACTGCACTTCTACCTTCCCCCTGGAGCAACTGAGCAGCTCTTATTTATTCAAGGTGGGAATTTCTCCAGAAAAGGTGATCCTGAAAAGTAGTTGGGAGCCAACAATCACAGCAGCTGGGGGATAAGTCCATAAGCCCACTAATTATATACTTTATATATAATTGTAGATTATCAGTTGTGCCAACAATAATGTATTGAGTATCTAGAAAAAATCACATCATAGTTTTGAGTACAAGAATTAAAAAGTATTTTTGAGGAGAAGGCATGCACACACATTGGAAACAATCCAAGAATAGAAGACAACATTGAATTAAATGACAAAATGTGTGTTACAATTATAAATCCTAGGAGAGATCAGAAAGAATGGAGTCCCATGATTAAAAACTGATTCTAGAATTTCAAGAGAGGAGTGTATTTTAGACTTCACGTTGAGAGATCATTCTTCTTCTTCTTCTTCTTTTCTTTTTTTTTTTGGACAGAGTCTTGCTCTGTCCCCCCGGCTAGAGTGCCGTAGCATGATCTCAGCTCACTGCAACCTCTGCCTCCAATGTTGAAGCGATTCTCCTGCCTCAGCCTCCCAAGTAGCTGGGATTACAGTCGCCTGCCACCATGCCCAGCTAATTTTTGTATTTTTAGTAGAGATAGGGTTTCACCATGTTGGCCAAGCTGGTCTGGAACTCCTGACCTCAGGTGATTCACTCACCTTAGCCTCCCAAAGTGTTGGGATTACAGGCGTGAGCCACCATGCCCAGCCAAGAGATCATTCTTGAATAGAGGGAAAGAAGGGTATTGTCAGGAAACAATGTAAAGGTTGAGAGATGGTCATTACCTTAAGTGGTAAAGGATTCTGTTGGTGGAAACTGCACTGGCTAGAACTGGTGGTCCTCATATTGAAGATCAAGTAAGATTCAGAGGATTTTGAGTATTTTCTTCTTCCCAGTAATTCTAGATACCCCTTCCAATTATAGTACATTTAAAATTTCTGTATTATTGTTCATTCTCTATTAGGGGATTAAAAAAAAGATTCATGGAAATTTCTGTTAATGTCCTAAAAAATCATAGTTTTTGAAATCAGTAATTCCATAACTATTCAACTATTTGTTGTAACTATTGAAACTATTTTAACCTTTTGCCTAGAGTATTTAAAAAATATCTGTCTAATCTAATCTAATCTAATCTGTCCATCCATCCCTCTGTTGCCCAGGCTGGAGTACCTGTGGTGACACCTTCATGGCTCACTGAAGCCCTCCCATACTCAAGTGACCCTCCCACCCCCACCTCCTGAGTAGCTGGAACTACAGGCACGCACCACCACACCCAGCCTAGATTATTTTAAATCTTACTAGTTTAGGTAAAATTTTGAATGTATTTCCAAATTTCTGAATTACTATAAGAAGTGAGATTATGCCTTTTTTTTTAAAGGTCATATATCTTGCTACGCAATAAAACTATGCTGGAGTCAGACATTCTTTGACTCAAATCTTAGAGATGGGACCATTAGCAAATTACTTGGCCTCTTTGATTCTTAGTTTCCTTATCTATAAAAGGAGGATATTTCCACACAGCTGATAGGGTTTATGTGAAATTTAGACATAATACACATAAAACACCTAATATGGGGCATATTTAGTTAAGTTCTGAATAGAGGGCAACCAGTACAATACCAATGGTAGGTATTCAAATGAGAGATGTTAGCATCATTGTCACCTGCCCTATTATAAATAAAAAGCAATGTGGTTATCTAGCCTCTGGAGCTGGACTGCCTGCGTTAGAATCTGAGCTGTGGCATTTATTGGGGTGTGTTGCTTATTCTCTTTCTGTCAGAGAATGGAGAAAGCAGTAACGTTTATCTCAAAGAGTTGTTTTAAGGATGAAATGAGTTGATGGGTGTGAAGAGCTTAGTACCATGCCTGGCACTTGATAAATACTTTATACATGTTAGCTGTTATTTTCCTGAAATTTGAGGGCCAAAGTTAAATGCATGGAAAATTTGCTTAGAGAAACTGAGCATCTTGTCATGATCCCGCCAAAGTTGATTTGGGAATAAATTGCCTATTGCTAAATTATTGTTAGGAAAATACTGACTTTTAAACATGTATCTACTTTTGCCTATACTTTAGCCACTTCATCTGTATACTAGGAGGAAAGTCAACAATGGCCTCTCCAAGGAAGGTAACTGAGAAGCGGCATAACCCAGTGGAAAGCATCTGTAGAAAGATCAGAGCCA
Organism: Homo sapiens; assembly: GCF_000001405.40. Classification (NCBI taxonomy): domain Eukaryota; kingdom Metazoa; phylum Chordata; class Mammalia; order Primates; family Hominidae; genus Homo; species Homo sapiens. The sequence continues at coordinate 25,004,415 of NC_000012.12, forward strand.
TCCACAAGAGAGAAGCAATTTCAAATCCAATTCAGCAGATTATCAAATACCAATCTAGCAGTTTTGATAGCCCACAGACGAACACCAAGAAATATTTTGAAGAGGTACTGAGGAAAATGACTGCTGCTTGTGTTCCTACGCCCGGCTCTCATTGGTCAAGTTCTGAGGAAGTCGATGCCTTCATTTCATCGCCTCAAATAATATCTCCAAGAACCCCATCCACCTCTCACCTCAGCTCCCCTGAGACTGCAACATACTCTGTTATTCTCACAAGTTCTGAAAACGTCTCAAAGCCGAAGTCACAGAGCAACAAGAATTATACATCTTTGATGTCACAGATCAGAAAAGCAGAGTTTTTCTCTAACAAGGATTTGAATAACTATTGTAGTGAAAATAATTTTAGTACCTTAACACTTGACTTTGATTCCACCTTTGTTCAAAGCTTGAAGTGTTTTGATCCTCAGGATTCAGTGGTAAAAAAATTATCTCTGAATGAAGATGGTAAATATTCATCTTTTAATGTTTGTCCTTCCAATAGAGCAATAAACATATCTACTTTTAGAATACCTGAACTAAAAAAAAATCTACATTATTAAAGTTTGGATGGAATCATCCATCTTTCCCTTTCTGTTTTAACTATGTTTGTTTCCAGAACAAAACAGAACGTCATGATGGGAATACTTAGATATAGGGGAATATTTCCCTATATCTAAGGGGAAGGCTGTTTATTATGATAGGTTTTCTTTGTTAAACCAAAAAAAAAAAAGGAAAATTAATCATTATAGCACAGAAAGCATCAGGATTTACAAACTTTTTCTTCTAATAGGATGGAAACAAGAAGCTGATGATGGTAAAGAAGATGTAATATACAGCATCAACAGGGCCTGTAAAGAAGAGGCACTCACAAGTATTTTTAATGCATGTGACATCAAACGGAAAGGTAAGCTAAAAATTATCTGTTTAAACATTTGGTAGGACTGTCCAAGTCATCTGAACTTTCTATTGTGAGAGAAAGGGAAATGATTTGTGTGTGGGTCTCATTGTCTGCGTCTACATATGTGATGGATGCCACCTAATTTGGGAATAAGGTTTGCTCTGTAGGGCTTGGTTATTTCGTTATAATTTCCCTGTACCTGTTTTGCATCAGCATATTTTAACAGTGACTTGAATGATTCTTTTTGAGCTTATCAGCTGACTTACCATCTTTATTTATTGAAACTACTTACATGTCGTAGGTGGCGCCCCACAGGAAATATGCTTTTCAAATATGTAAAACCACTATACAAAATTTTAGTTAATTTTGGGCTTTCACTTCTGTTTTTCTTTAATTTTTATTTTTGAGATGTGTTTTTTAAAAAATTTCCAGACCTAAAACTACAAAAACCCTAGGAAATACCATTCTGGACATTGGCCTTGGCAAATAATTTATTAATAAGTTCCCAAAAGCAATTGCAACAAAACAAAAATTGACAAGCGGGACCTAATTAACCTCTGCACAGCAAAAGAAACTGTCAATAGAGTAAATAAACAATCTACAGAGAGGTAGAAGATATTCACAACCATGCATGTGACAAAAGTCTAACATCCAGACTCTGTAAGAAACTTAAACAATTCAACAAACAAAAAATAACCTCATTAAAAAGTGGGCAAAGGACATGAACAGACACTTCTCAAAAGAAGACATACATGCAGCCAACAAATATATGAAAAAATACTCATCATTACTAATTATTAGAGAAATGCAAATCAAAACTGCAATGAGATACCATCTCACACCAGTCAGAATGGGTACTATTAAAAAGTCAAAAACCAACAGATGTCGGTGAGGTTATCGAGAAAAGAGAACACTTACACATTGCTGGTGGGAATATAAATTAGTTCAGCCACTGTGGACAGCAGTGTGGAGATTCCTCAAAGAATTTAGAGCTACCATTTGAGCCAGCAATCTGTCCACTGGGTATGTACCCAAAGGAATGTAAATCATTCTACCTGAAAGACATATGCACTTATATGTTCATCACAGCACTGTTCACAGTAGAAAAGACATGGAATCAACCCAAATGACCATGAACAGAAGACTGGATAAATAAAATGTGGTACCTACACACCATGGAATACTATGCAGCCAAAAAAACAAACAAGATCATGTCCTTTGCTGCAACATGGATGCAGCTGGAGGCTATTATCCTAAGCGAACTAATGCAGGAACAGAAAACCAAACACTGCATGTTCTCAATTTTAAGTGGGAGTTAGACATTGTATATACATGGAAACAAAGATGGGAACAATAGGTATGGGGACTACTTGAGCAGGGAGGCATGGGCTGAAAAACTACCAGTCACATATTATGCTCAGTACGTGGGTGATGGGATCATTTGTACACTAAACCTCAGCAACACGCAATTTACTCATGTAGCAAACCTGCACATACACCCCCTGAACCTAAAAGTTGAGAGAAAAAAAAATTCCACAAGTAATTTTAAGTATATAAATGATTCATGCTCATTTGTAATAAAATTAATAATATACTGACAAGCGAAAAGAAGGAAAAAAAATTGGTAATCCTGTTTCCCTGAGTAACCATTGTTAGTGACTTGTTGTATATCTTTCCACAATTCCTGTCAATATGGTTTTGTTTTATTTGAATTCATAATTGTTTGTTATAGAACATTTCAAACATATACAGAGGTAGAATTCTATGATGAATCCTTATGTATTTGTCATAACCAATTATGTCTCATTTCTAACCCTGCTCATTTTCCTCTCCTCTACTCTGGATTATTTTGAGGCAAATCGCAGAGATCATAGTATTTCATCCACAAATATTTCAGTACATATTTCTAAAAGATAATTGACTAATTTAAAACACAACTACAATGCCATTATCATGATTTTAAAAGTAATATACTTTTCTAATATTATCAAATGTCTTGTTAGTAGTCAAAATTTCTCATTTGTGTGATAGATACATATCCTTTTTTTCTTAAACAGTTTTACTGTTCAAGCCAATATCCAAGAAATGTTTATTCATTGCAGTTTGTTGTCTGTCTTATCTCTGTGTTTCGCTTTCCATCTGTTTTTTGCATTTTGTTGTCTGTTAAAGAAACCCATCCATTGATTGATTGAGACAGAGTCTCACTCTTGTCACCTAGGCCGGAGTGCAGTGGTGTGATCTTGGCTCACTGCAACCTCTGCCACCCGGGTTCAAGTGATTCTCCTGCCTCAGCCTCTCAAGTAGCTGGGATTACAGGCGCCCACCACTACACCCAGCTAATTTTTGTATTTTTAGTAGAAATGGGGTTTCACCATGTTGGCCAGGCTAGTCTCGAACTCCTGACCTCAGGTGATCCACTCACCTCGGCTTCCCAAAGTGTTGGGATTACAGGTGTGAGCCACTGCACCCAGCCCATTCTTTTATTTCACAGTTTACCACAATCTGAAATTTGGTGATTGTGTATCTGTAGGAACACAAGCTGTTTCTCTGTCTCCTATGTTTAGAAATATGATCAGATAAAAGTTTGAGGGTTTTTATTTTATTTTTTTTTATTTTATGGGGGCAAGAATTCTAATAGGTTGGTACAAATGTGACTGCAGTTTTTAACCATTGAGAGTAATGGCAAAAACCACAACTACTTTTGCATCAACCTAAATACATAGATGGTGTTATGTGTTTTCAACAGAAGGCAACTATTGATGATGAAGGCCTAGACCTATATTTTCATTAGATGTTGCAAATGGTAATATTCTATCATTCCTTCCTAATGTATCACCTGAAATACATCTATAATGAGAAACTCTATTCCGCGTTATGAACTATTTTGCTATACTGGTGTCCTGAAGGAGAGAGGCAGGATAAAAGCTTGATTGATTCTCTTTACCTACCAGTTTTGAAAATACTAAATTGGGGCTGGGTGGGGTGGCTCATACCTGTAATCCCAGCACTTTAGGAGGCCAAGGTGGAGGCTCTGCTTGAGCCCAGGAGTTTGAGACTACCCTGGGAAACATAGTGAAACCATGTCTCCACTAAAAATAGAAAAATTTAGGCGGAGTGCAGTGCTTCAAGCCTGTAATCCCAGCACTTTGGGAGGCTGAGGTGGGCAGATCACTTGAAGCCAGGAATTTGAGACCAGCCTAGCCAACATGGTGAAACCCCACCTCTACTAAAAATATAAAAATTACCCAGGCGTGGTGGCACACACTTGTAATCCCAGCTACTAGGGAGGCTGAGGCACAAGAAGCGTTTGAACTCAGGAGTTGGAGGCTGCAGTAAGCTGAGATGGTGCCACTGCACTCCAGCCTGGGAGACAAAGCGAAACTCCATCTCAAAATAAAAGAAAAATTAGCTGAGCAACATAATTGCTAAAGATAGTGTAAGGTGTTTTCTTGGTCATCCTTTTTTTTAAAAAAGTGATATACTAATGTATTCTCTAGTATGTGTGAGAATGTTTTCAAACTTGTTTTATAATCTGCTTTTTCTCATTTAATAATTTGAGTACCTGTCTGCATCAAAAAATTTTCTTCATATGCTATACCATTTTTGATGTAACATGTTTAACCAATCCATGTCAATTGGATATTAATTTTTTCTGCTTTAAAAATTATAATATGCCAGACATGGTAGCTCATGCCTGTAATCCCAGCAATTTTGGAAACCAAGGTGGGAAGATCACTTGAGGCCAGGAGTTCAAGACCAGCCTGGACAACCTAGCAAGACCCTGTCTCTACAAAAAATATTTTAAAAATTAGCTAGGCATGGTGGCACACGCCTGTAATCCCAGCTACTCAGGAGGCTGAGGTGGGAGGATGCCTTGAGCCAAGGAGGCTGAGGCTGCAATGAGCTATGATCATGCCAATGCATTCTAGCCTGGGCAACAGAGTGAGACTCTGTCTCAAAAAATCCCAAAACTATAATAAATATTTTACATATAAAATCACTGTATTGAACACTTGTAGCAAAATATTTGCATGTACCCTTATTTATTTCCTTAGGATGAGTGGGGCTTATTTGTTCCCAGAGAGCTTCTCTGCTTGGACAGGATTTAAGAAAGTAATTCTCTGAAGAAAATAAGAAAGCTTCACTGATGGGAAATGGGATGTGTATTAGCCAGGGCTCTCTGGTGGGAAGAGATATTTATATTTGTATCTGTCAATTTAATCTAGCTAGCTAAAGAGACTTATTATAAGGAATTGGGTCATGCGATCATGGAGGCGGGCAAGTCCCAAGATCTGCAGGATGTCAGCAAGCCAGGGATTCAGTAGATCCAACAGTTTGGTCCCATTCCAAGTCCACAGGCCTAAGAACCAGGAGAGCTGCTGGTGCAGTTCCCATCCAAAAGCCAGCAGGCTTGAAGCAAGGAAGAGCCAACATTTCAATTCAAGTCTAGAAGCAGGAAAAAAAAAAAAATCAATGTCCCAGTTGGAAGGAAGGCAGGCAGGAGAGATTCTCTGTTACCTGGGAGAAGGTCAGCTTGTTTGTTCTATTCAGGCCTTCAACTGGTTGGATGAGGCCCACCTGCACTAGATGGACAATCTGCTTTACTTGGTCTATAGATTTAAATGTTAATATCATCCAAAAATACCCTCAGAGAGAGACCCAAAATAATGTATAACCAAATATGTAGGTACCCATTGATACATGAAATTAACCATTACAGGAGGCCTTTCTAGTTTTGATATGACAGAGGGCTTAGAGTTTCAGTGGAGGAAAATATGATAAATGATTATTGCTGGCTTTCCAGCTTGCTTTCCAGTTCTTCTACAAATAAAATAATGCAATTCTCTGCTGGGTACAGTGACTCACACCTGTAATCTCAGCACTTTGGGAGGCCCAGGCAGGTGGATCCCTTAAGTCCAGAAGTTCAAGACCAGCCTGGGCAACATGGTGGAATCCCATCTGTACAAAAAATACAAAAATTAGCTGGGTGTGGTGGCACATGCCTGTAGTCCCAGCTACTAGGGAGGCTGAGGTGGGAGGATTGCTTAAGCCCAAGAGATTGAGGTTGCAGTGAACCAGGAGCATTCCAGCTGAGCAACATAGCAAGACCCTGTGTCAAAAAACAAACAAAAAAAAAAAACAGTTCTCTCTCTAAATAACTGTATTAGTCATTTTATTTCTCTTTCTAATAGTGTCACATCTAAATGACATGTTAAGTTTAAATAATGTTAAAGTTATTAAAAACTTTGAAGTTATTCAGCCTCCTTTATGAGTATCTCCTCCTTCTAATTAAGAGACTTTTTTTTTTCTGATGTCATGGTCTATCCTTATTTCCTTAAGGGAAGAACCTTCTCTGTGGCATCTGCCCTCTCAAACTTCTACTTAATTTTTCCCTCTCCTTTGCAAGTAGCCAGCCCAAGGCAGGCCTTTGATGGGAGTAAAAGAAAAGTCTTATGTTTAAAAAAGATTGGTGTGTCAATGACTAACATAGTTTGGATGATTTTCTTTTCTGAATGTGATAGTAGGGATGACTGTCTAAAAATGCCTCCTCCACCCCCTAAAAAGTAGAAATTTTCACTTGAGATTGAAATTTTAACTAAAGTAGAGAAAAAAACTTCCTTCATTGAAGGCTTTTCAAGGAACTGAAAGGAAAAAATGTAATGTCATTTTGGTCACCTCCCATGAGAAATTATTGATTACATATATCATCAATATTTAAACCTCGCAACTCTGTGTGATAGGTATCATCGTCCCCATCTCAGATAAAGAAACAGGTTCAGAGAGGTTAATATTCCCAAAGCTACACAGCTGGTAATCTTCAGAGCCAAGATTTGACACTAGGTCCATTAGACTTTAGCCCAAGGCCAGTGTTCTTTACAATATACCATGCCAGCTCCGCAGGACTGCCAGGGTTATATATCATGTTTCTAGGATCAGGAAACATTAAAGAGATAGGTGCTTCACTTGTGAAAAATATAACTTTTCTGTCTTTCAGAACTGATCTGCTCTTCTTTTTCCAAAGGCTCAGTCGGAGTGGCCAAAATAATCAATTTCCTGAGACAAACAACTAGCCAAAATTCTGAAGACAGTGGCCTTGAGCAGTTGTGGAACATGCTTGATCCTGAGAAGAGAGACCCACATGTGGACCTGGAAACTTTCCAGGCCATGATGAAAGACTGGATGGCTTACTGTGGAAACACATGGTAATCAGAGTCCTAGTGGGATGCAGTTTAAGGTTCTATTTTAACAACTGATTATAATTATGCTAATCACTGTTTCCTGTGTTGATGGAAATACTATTGTCCAGTGCTTTAGCATGCATTAGAATCACCTGAATGATGTTAAACCTGATTGCTGGGGTCCCACCATCATGATTCAGCAGATCTGGGGTGAAGCCTGATAATTTACATTCTAACAAGTTTCCGATGATATTGATGCTGGGAGTGGGCTGGACATGCTTTGGGAACCACTGCTGTCATTCATTTCTTGTGATTAGTGGGGAGCACATGTGATACTCTCACAGAGAATTGAGCTGACATACGAGTCAGGTGAATTATTGATACTATCAAATCTCCAAATGTATTTAAATTCAATAATAGACTCCCTTTTAAGGGCAGTGGGGCTAGTCAGTGAATGTAATTTGGAATCCTAGAATATAGGGAGGCTAAGGGGAACAAGAAAGAATAGTAGAATAGGAAAAAGAAAAAGGTAAAGGAGGAGAAGGGCACCCCATGATCTCAGGTGCCCTTGGCAGATGCTGGAGATGTGTGTCTTCTTCCACAGAAAGCGAATTCCCTTTTTTTTTTTTTTTTTTTTTTTTTTCTGAGACGGAGTTTCACTCTGTTGCCCAGGCTGGAATACAGTGATGCAATCTCTGCTCACTGCAACCGCTGCCTCCCGGGTTCAAGCAATTCTCCCGCCACACCCTCCAGAGTAGCTGGAATCACAGGTGTGTGCCACCATGCCCGGCTAATGCTTGTATTTTTAGTAGAGAAGGGGTTTCACCATGTTGTCCAGGCTGGTCTCGAACTCCTGATCTCAGCTGATCTGCCCACCTCGGCCTCCCAAAGTGCTGGGATTACAGGTGTGAGCCACCCACTGCACCTAGCCAAGAAACCTAATTCCTATGCCTCCTATTCAGCCACCAATCTTCAGCTATCTGCTGATGCATGCTAGGATTTGCTTAAAGAAAATGTTGACAGGGCGCGATGGCTCACACCTGTAATCCCAGCATTTTGGGAGGCTGAGGCAGGTGGAACAGCTGAGGTTGGCAGTTGGAGACCAGCCAGGCCAACGTGGTGAAACCCTGTCTCTACTAAAAATACAAAAATTAGCTGGGCGTGGTGGTTCACGCCTGTGATCCCAATCACGTGGGAAGCTGAGGCGGGAGAATTGCTTGAACCTGGGAGGTGGAGGTTGAAGTGAGCCGAGATCGTGCCATAGCACTCTAGCCTAGGCAACAGAGACTCCGTCTCAAAAAGAGAGAAAATGTCAAGCCCAAGGAACGGAAAAACTTACCAGATTTCTGGTAGGATTAGGATGTATAGATAACTTAAGAAAATATGACTGAAATGTTGCATGCCATACACAGGTTATTCATGAAGTCAAGATAAATATATAGAAATAAGTAATGTTAGTGTAATCAAAAACTGCAAATACAGATATAACATTTCTACCCATGAGTTTAACAAAGATTTTTAAAAAATGACTCTAGCCCATGTGGTGGACTGTGAAAAGGGTGGAGAAATAAGCCCTCCCATATATTATTGGTAGTAGTGCAAGTTAGCATAGCTTTTTTAAGAGCAATTTAGGAATGTGTATCAGGCCCTTAAAAATATGCAGTCTTGGCCGGGGGTGGTGGCTCGTGCCTGTAATCCCAGCACTTTGGAAGGCCAAGGCGGGAGCATCACCTGAGGCCAGGAGTTTGAGACCAGTCTGGGCAACTTAGCAAGATTCTGTCTCTACAAAAAAATTTTAAAATTAGCCAGGAGTGGTGGCATGCGCCTGTAGTCCAGGCTACTTGTGAGGCTGAAGCAGGAGGATTGCTTGAGCCCAGGAGTTTGAGGCTGCAGTAAGCTGTGACAGAGCCACTACACTTCAGCCTGGGCAAGAGAGCAAGGCCCTGTCTCCAAAACAAAAACAAAAGACAAAAGGCAGGCTCTTTGAGAAGTAATGTAACTTTAAGAAAGATAAGAAAGATAATTAATTGTAAATGCTAATATAGAAGGTAGAAGGTAGTTTATGACAGTGATAAATACAAGCAATCTAGATATTTAAAAAGAGACAATTGGACAAATTATAGTGCTTCCATACACTAAAATACTAGTCATTTAAAGTAATAATATTTGATAAGAGAAATTAATATGTAATTACTTCAAATAAATAGGTCATAGATCTATTCATGTAGTATAATCCCATTTTTGGAAGAAATAAAAATATGCATAGGAAAATATTAGAAAGAATTTATGCCAAAACGATTATTTTTGCATAATGGTTTTAATTTTTTGTTTTCTTTTTCTTTTTTTTTTTTTTTTTTTTTTTTTTGAGACAGAGTCTCGCTCTGTTGCCCAGGCTGGAGTGCAGTGGCGCAATCTCGGCTCACTGCAAGCTCCGCCTCCAGGGTTCATGCCATTCTCCTGCCTCAGCCTCCCGAGTAGCTGGGACTACAGGCTCCTGCCACCATGCCCAGCTAATTTTTTATATTTTTTAGTAGAGACGGGGTTTCACCGTGTTAGCCAGGATGGTCTCGATCTCCTGACCTCGTGATCTGCCCTCCTCTGCCTCCCAAAGTGCTGGGATTACAGGCGTGAGCCACCAGGCCCGGCCTAATTTTTTGTTTTCTTAAGAATTTAATATTTCCAAAATATATGTTTGTATAATAAAAATATTAATAATTATAAAACAGCATGAAGACAAAAGAAAAAACATTTTTATAACAAGTGTAAAGGAAAAATCATGGGCGCTAGAAATACAGAAGATAAGAGCAGAAACTCAGAAATGGGGATAGGTGTGAACACGAGAATAGTCAGAACTCTGTGTGAGTTCTTTCATTCCCCCAACTTGTGACAGACATCTCACAATGACAAACAATGAGATGTAAACATATATTTGTTGAATTTTGTGGCTATTCCAGAGAGAAGCTTGAGGATTTGGTGCTTAGGTTAAGTAACAAAACTTAAATTATAATATAGGACTCTGAAAGGAAATGGTTGAAATGTTAATATGTTTATTTTGCAGTTCAAGCTAGAGTGTGTGTGCTACACAGCCTGTACAGAGGGTTTCCCAGATTCCAGAAGTAAAATGCCCAAAGTAAAATTAGTCGAGGTTCTATTTGATTCTCCATGAGAAAGGGAAAATGTATCCCTGTCAATGTATCCCAAAGTATTCATTGTTCGTGTATTTCCTTCTCAATCTCTTAAGCCCCATGATCTTGCAACCTCCACAAGTCTCCACTTACCAGTCCAACCTATGTCTATTTCCTAATCCACCGAGACCCCACATCTCCTAATCATACGCTGCCTGTGAGTTTTCTTTTTCATATTAGGTAAAAGTGTATGGATGGTGGAGGTAATGCCTAATGTACCACCTACATTAGAAACAGTTTCACTAGGAACACAGACTATTTTCTATCACTCTAAGTACCTAGCATAGTATTGAGCTCCAAATAGTTGTTGAATGAATATATATTTTTTTAACTCAGAAGGAATTACCTAAAAAGGAAAGTACAGAGCATAAATCTGAAAAAAAAAAAAAAAAAAAAAAAAGACAAAACTTGGTCAGGCAAAGAATCCTAGCTCACTGGTTTTGTTTTTTTTTTTTTTTTTTGGCTACAGGGAAGGAGTGAATCATAGATTAAGCAGCATCATCGATGATTCTGTTTGTGAACAGGATGGCATAAAATCAGATGGAACAAGTATGTATGTGTTTCTTCAGGATTGTTCTGTTTTCTTACGGTTTGTAGAAAATGATTTTTTTTCATAAAACTCTTGTATGTGTTTCAGTGAAGATGAGCACAGATATAACAGATTCTACATTGGGGAGCTTCGAGGCTTTGGGAGGAGAAACATCTAAAGGAGTCTTGTAAGCCTTCTTACTCTGCTTTCGCAAGTGTTTCAACTTCATTTTTCTTGTTTATTTCATAAATCTACGTATTTCAGTTACAATGAAGTCACTTTGCTCTTTTTTTGCAGTAGAGCTAGCATAACTGATTTTAAATTCTTCACTGATTCTAATAATGCCTGCATTAGAAACAGTTTCACTAGGAACACAAATTCTCGTATGACTAGTAATCCAAAATCACTTGCTCTCTCATGAAACCCTTCTCCCTCATTAATTTCCTGTGCTTTCTGTAGGGAAAAGTTCCACCTGAAGTAGGGTTATGATATTGACCTTACACTCTTTTGGAAATTATTTTAAAGCACTTCTTTAGTAGAATCTTTTAGGCATGAATGAGAAAAGCTGTTTTCCACGACATGTGTAAGTTTTGGGTATTAAGGAGAGTGATTCTGCCTCTGCTTTATTTTATCTTTGCCACTTCAGGTTTATCCGTAAAGAAAAGTGGTGTGGGCTGGGCGCGGTGCCTCACGCCTGTAATCCCAGCACTTGGGGAGGCCGAGGCGGATGGATCACTTGAAGTCAGAAGTTTGAGACCAGCCTGGCCCACATGGTGAAATGCTGTCTCTACCAAAAATACAAAAATTAGCCGGGCATGGTGGCACGTGCCCATAATCCCAGCTACTTGGGAGGCTGAGACACGAGAATGGCTTGAACCCGGAAGGTGGAGATTGCAGTGAGCTGATATCGTGCCATTGTGCTCTAGCCTGGGCGACAGAGCGAGACTCCATCTCAAAAAAAAAAAAGAAAAGTGGAGTGGGAACTATGTTCTCAACCTGAGCCCCGGGATAAGATAGCAAAAAAGAAAAAGAGACCTGGGGCTCCATGAAACACACAGTCCAGAATCTTAAAGGATTTGTGAACTGATATCATGGCAAATGATGCTCATAAACATTGACAAGTTATACAAAACATTAGGAAAGATGAGTACTGAATTGTGAGCTTCAGACTACAATGATAAGACTCTAGGAACTGTTTCCTAGGTAAACCTGCCGAGATCCCTTCGCTGAAAGAATATAGGCTGGGCACAGAGGCTCATGCCTGTAATCCCAGCACTTTGGGAGGCTGAAGCGGGCAGATCACTTGAGATCAGGAGTTCAAGACCAGCCTGGCCAACATGGTGAAACCCCATCTCTACTAAAAGTACAAAAATTAGCTGGGCATGGTGGTGCATGCCTGTAGTCCCAGCTACTCTGGAGGCTGAGGCAGGAGAATTGCTTGAATTTGGGAGGCGGAGGATCGTGCCACTGCACTCCATCTTGGGCGACAGAGCAAGACTCTGTCTCAAAAAATGAAAAAAAAAAAAAGAATATTGTGTCCATTTATTTCAGGATCTCTCATATTCCAGGCAGAAATAGGAACTCTTCGTTTAGAAGACAAATGTTGAGAGTGAAGGGGAAAAGAATCAACAAAAACTGTAGAAGTTGATTTTACATCTGGCAAATGATGGCTACTTGGAAATTTTGGGAAACATCTTTGATGCTATTGTAATAAAATCTGAATAGCTATTTATTATATACATTAATTATGTTTATGATGACAGATGAGGGTAAAGTTAAAAAAAAAAAAACTCACCAGAATATCAAAGTTTGGTTTGTTTAACCGTATACCTTATTTTATTAGAAGGAATTAGTGATGTGAAGGTTATTCTCATCTATTCTTTTACTTGCAGAGAGGTGTCTGATTTGATTGCCTACGTAGCAGACCTTCATTTCAACAAAAGAAAACTTGAGGAAGAAAATAATAAGTTTAAGTTGGCTTTAGAAACCCTGGAAGAAACTAACAGCCAGTTATCAGAGGACTGTACCGAATTGCGCCTTCAGGTAAAAAGGTGAGCCACAGTGGGGTCCAGTGTGCGGGGAACTTTCATTTCTTTTTTCTTTTTTTAAAAAACCTTTTAAATATTGAGAGTCACACAGCATAAAATTCATTCTCTTAAAGTATACAATTCAGTGTTTTTAGAGTATATTCTCTGGCTGGGCATGGTGACTCATGCCTGTAATCCCAGCACTTTGGGAGACCAAGGCAAGTGAATCACTTGAGATCAAAAGTTTGAGACCAGCCTGGCCAACATGGTGAAACTCCATCCCTACTGAAAATACAAACATTAGCTGGGCATGGTGGCACGAGCCTGTAATTCCAGCTATTCTGCAGGCTGAGGCAAGAAAATCGCTTGAATCTGGGAGGCAGAAGTTGCAGTAAGCCAAGATCGTGCCACTGCATTCCAGCTTAGGTGATAGAGCAAGACTCTGTCTCAAAAAAAAAACCAACAAAAAAAAAACTTGAGTATATTCTCAAGGTTGTGCAATTATCACCATTATCCAATTCCAGGATATTTTCACCACTCCAAAAAGAAACTCCATACTTACCAGCAGGCATGCTCCATTTCCTCTCTTCTTAGACCCTGGAAACCTCTATTCTACTTTCTGTCTCTGTAGATTAGCCTATTCTGGGCATTACATATAAATGGAATCATACAATATGTGAACTTTGGTGTGTAGCTTATTTCACTTAGCATAATGTTTTTAAGGTTCATCCATGTTGTAGCGTGTATTTCTACCTCATTTCTTTTTGGCTGAATAATATTCAGTTGCATAGATATATCAGATTTTGTTTATCCATTCTTCAGATGATGGACATTTGGAGTGTTTCCACTCTTTGGCTATTAGGAATAATGCTGCCATGAACATTTGTGCAGGAGTTTTTGAGTGGAAATGTTTCTTTCTTTCTTCTTTTTTTTTTTTTTTTTTTTGGAGACAGGGTGTCACTTTGACACCCAGGCTGTAGTGCAGCGGCACGATCTCAGCTCACTGCATGCAACCTCCGTCTCCTAGGCTCAAGTGATCTTCTGGCCTCACCCCCCACCCCTCAAGTAGCTGGGACTACTGGTGCATGCCACCATGCCTGACTAATTTTTGTGTTTTTGTAGAGACAAGGTCTTGCCATGTTGCCCAGGTTGGTCTACAATGCCTGGTCTCAAGCAATCTGCTCACCTCATCCTCCCAAAGTGCTGGGATTACAGGAGGGGGAGCCACTGTGCCCAGTCATATGTTTCACTAAAGCATTCTCATCCTCAAAATCTTTGACCTTGTCCAGTCCAGTCTCCAAACTAATCTTTAAAAAAATTGCTTACCTCAAGTCCTCTTCATTTCACAATTGGCTTATTTATTATTTAACTGAAATATAAAAATTCAAAGTTTCTTTAACAAAACTGCTTTGGATGAATATGTTGGTCAGGATTTTTGGTTGCAAGCACTGGAATCTAACTCTGGTTTAATAAGCAGTCAAGAAATATATCAGAAAGGAATTAAGTAACTCACATAATGGACAGAAAGGCTGGAGAATCCAGATGGGCAATCAGAATGCCACTGTCTACAAAATTAAGCCACGTGTCTTTCTCTTTTCTCCTTCCCCTAATCCTTTCTGAAGACTGTCTGTTTCCTTTGGGTTCCCGCAACCTAGTTTTGATATTGTCCAATTGTCCCATCATAGTGTAATTTGTTTTCTGTATTAACCATTGAGGTGGGAGGGTTCCCTTGACTGCCTCGTGGGACTTGCAACCGGGATGGCTTGTTGGCTCAGCTGCCATGCTCAAACCCCTTGCAGGAGGGGGAGCATGCAGGTGAGCAGGTGTAGGAGCTGGGGTGAGTGCCTTTAGGTGCCAGGAGGAACAAACCCCATACCAGCCTGTGGCAGCATCTAGGGGTTGCCCACAACCTCTGGAGCCCCAGAGGGCATGTGTTACAAGCAATACTCTTTTAGCATTTGCCATCTATGGACAGCTAAGAGTTAAACTAGCTCAGTGGAGGATCAGGGTGACAGCCTTTTACACCCTACCCTCTTGGTACCCAGGTTCTTGTCCAACATCCAGGAAGAATCAGGTCACACAAACTTGAAGGATGGTGAATGTGGAGATTGTATCGAGTGGTGGAAGTGGCTCTCAGCAGGATGGGGAGCTGGAAAGGGGATGGTGTGGAAAGATAATCTTCCCCTGGAGTTTAGCTGTCCCAGCCAAACTCCTCTCTGACAGTCCCTGGCCAAACTTCTCTCTGACCTTAGTCTCTGATGTCCAGCTGCCTCTTCTCCTCTTGATGTTCAGAGCTTCTTCTCTTCTCTCCTTCTCTTCCACACTGCTCTGCTCCTCTGCCAGTGGAGCTTGGAGTTTTTGTGGGTACAGGATAGGGGGCATGGTGGGTCAAAAGGCAGCATTCAGGTGGGAAATCAGGGATGCGAAGTTCTCATTTAAGGCCATGGGTCCAGGTTTGAGGGTGGAACCCTTGCCAGGAACCCTGCCCTTTTCTACCTAGTGTTTCCCTGCCTCCTGTTTATATCACTGTGACCTCCTTGATGGGAGGAACTATGTCATATTCATCCTGTTTAGCCTAGTGCTTAGTAGAATACCTACTGTAGAACAGCACTACTTTCCTTCTAGTTACCTAAAAGCCAGAAACCCTTATTTCTTTTGATTCTTATCATACTGTATTGTCAGTATGATTGTCTGTTTACCCCACTAGGCTATAAACTCCAGATGAGTAGAATTCTCCGGATTCAGTCATTCTTCCCTTCTTCAATGCCTAGCACAGTGCCTGGGACAGGTTCAGCACTCAATTAGTATTTGTTAAATGATCAATGTAATTTCTTAGGAAAAAAATTGTATCTCCTTTGAAGGCTTTGTTCCTAAGGGAACAGTCTATAATCTAACGGGAGCTACAGGTAGGTAACTTCATGATATGGATTACCATAATTCATTTAATCAGTTTCCTGTTGGTGGATGTTTAGGTTTTTTTTCCAATGCTTTGTTATAATCAACAGTATGATAAACTTCTTTATAGAATATGTCATATAGAGACTTGGTAATTATTTATTTGTTTAGTTGTCATCTCCCTCCATAGTATGTAAGCTCTATAAGGCCAAGGACCATGTCCCTTTTGTTCACCATTGTAGCCTGCATTGTAGAGCACCTAGAACATGGTATTATTCAATTAATATTTGTGGAACTGCATTAACTAACATTACATCTTCTTAGTAGGGGGAAAGAACCAGGTAATTCAGCCAGTGATGATTTTCAAAGGGATCCTCTAAATCTTTAGCTTCAGGAATACATTTGTCTGTTTTCCCCATAGTCTCCATTCCCCACTCCCCATTTTCTCCAAATTCCTTCCTTTTCCAAGGACTGAAAGATCATGGGTATATTTTTACTATGCGGGCATCTGGTTTAAGCCTTTAGTGGTTTTCAACTTGGGTCCAAAATAGTCCTTGGCTGTTCTTAGTGTCTTTGACGGTTATATTTGAGGTTTTGCTCATGGCCTTCTCCCCCCACCCCCACAGTGCCCACCAGGCTATTATGAGAACAAATCTGTTAAAAGAAGAACTGGAGGAACTGAAACTTAGTATGAATGCTTCAGAAGAGCAGAAGAGCATGATTGTAGCCCAGAGCAAACAATTAGTAAGTCATCTATTATAGTACTTTGAATTTGGCGTATAATTTACATAACTGAAATATACAAGAGGACTTATCCGGTGGAACATCAGAAGTCAATATCCTGATGAATGAATTGGTAACACTTTAGAAAAGTAAAGGCAGGTAGGATTTTTTTAAATCTGTGTTTTCCTTTTCTTTCTTTCTTTTCTTTTTTTTTTTTTCTTTTTTTCTTTTTTTTTGAGACAGGATCTTGCTTTGTTGCCCAGGCTGGAGTGCAGTGGCAGGATCGTGGCTCACTCCAGCCTCGACCTCCCAGGCTCAAGCGATCCTCTCACTTCAGCTTCCCAAAGTGTTGGGATTATAGGCATGAGCCACTGTGCTTGGCCTCCTTTTCAATCAAGATTTAAATTTTTTACATATTTCTCAGTCACATTCACAATAGTTTCTGAAAACCCAGAAAATATCTGGAATGCCTCCTAAAGTCGATAGGAGAATTCAAAAATATCTGATACTAAAAACCACTTGAATTAAAAAAAATCTGTGAAACTTTCACCTTTTTTCTCAGATTTAAAAAAAAACAGTTATCTCAGTACTTGCAGGTTACTGAGAAGCTCCATAAATCATTCCTTATGCTAAATAAGCACAGGCTTATAATTTCAGAGCAAAAGAGTCATTTAGACTAAACTTTAAGTCAGATGCCAGAGAAGTGATCATTTTTATTGAGAAGGTTCAACTGTTGTATAAAGAATTAGTAATAGTCTTCAAAATCCTGATAGATGCCAGCAGTACTCTAGTATCATTAACTATGGTAAGGAGTGGCTGAAAGTCATTCCGACTAATTTGTTTCAGGTATCAGTTGCAAAACTGTTTTTAGAGTCTCTAAATCTTGGAGAGACTTGGTTCCAGCCCTGTGGCAGTCCCTTATGACCTCCCACAAACAAAATAACTTTGTTTAGCTTAGCTCTTGCCTCAGTAGTAAAATATGGGGACTAGATCATTGAATGCCAGGTCTTTTGTGACCCTGCAAGTCTATATGGATGCATTATAGGAAAGACTCAATCTGGGACCACTAAGGAGCTTCTAACTGAAGGCAATGGAGAGAACTGGTCAAGAGCCCACGCTTGGGAGTCAGACTGCCTTCCTTCAAGCTCCGGCTCCAAGGGCTGTGTGACTTTAGCCCTGCCACATAGTCACTCTAAGCCCGTGGGTCCTCCTAGATAAAATGGAGATAACAATACTACTTACCCTAGGGCTGGGAGGGATAAATGAGCTAGCGCATGTAAAGCATTCAATGTCCTTTCTTTCCTGTTAGGAATTGGTAATGTTAAATTGCTATTGATTAAAGTGCAGAATTTTGGCCTGCACTTTGGGAGGCTGAGGCGGGTGGGTCACTTGAGGTCAGGAGTTCAAGACAAGCTTGGCCAACATGGTGAAACCCCATCTCAACTAAAAATATAGAAATTAGCCAGGCGTGGTGACACACACTTGTAATCCCAGCTACTTGGGAGGCTGAGGTGGGAGGATTGCTTGAACCTAGGAGGTGGAGGCTGCAGTGAGCCAAGATTGCACCACTGCATTCCAGCCTGGGTGTCTGAGACTTGGTCTCAAAAAATAAATAAATAAATAAAAATAAAGTTCAGAGTCCTAGATACGGAATCCTAATCATTTGCATTTTGTAGTGTTTTATAATTTTAAAAGATTTAGTTGATACTTCATCTCATAGGTAATAACAGAAAATCTGTAAGGTAGAAACAGAAGTTGCTATATTTTTGTGTACTAAAAAATGTAATAGAGCAATAAAGTCCAGAGGAAGTTTTTAATTGTTCAAAGTCAATTGTCTAATAAATGATAGAGCTAAATTAACCATTCTATGGTATATATGTACTTTAGAACATCATGTTATACATGGTAAAAGCACATGATGTTATTTATCTGTCAATTTTTTAAAAAATGGTAGGGCCACCGGGCGTGGTGGCTCACGCCTGTAATCCCAGTACTTTGGGAGGCTGAGGTGGGCAGATCACCTGGGGTCAGGAGTTCGAGGCCAGCCTGGCCAACATGGTGAAACCCTGTCTCTACTAAAAATACAAAAAGTAGCCAGGTGTGGTGGCAAGTGCCTGTAAGTCTGGCTACTCGGGAGGCTGAGGCAGGAGAATCACTTGAACCCGGGAGGTGGAGGTTGCAGTGAACCGAGATCGCACTATTGTACCCCAGCCTGGGCAACAAGAGCGAGACTTCGTCTCAAAAAAAAAAAAAAAAAAAGAAAAAGTAGGGCCAGAATTGAACTCAGGTATTCAGATTTTAAGTACATGGATGGGGAGCAGGTGTTTATTATTGTGTCAATGAAATCCTAGCTTGAGATATTTTTTCTTTCATTTTTATATTATAAAGGTAATACCTATTTACTTTATAAAAATAAAGAAATGCATATTAACAAATAAAAAGTTTTGCAAAATTCTTAACCTACCCTTGAAATTTACTGTTAACATTTTGGCAAATAGCCTGTCCTGAAATATATTGATTTTTTTTTTCTGATGGTTCTGAATTTGAGGCTGTTAATTGTAAAACAGTTTTTGATGCTCATATGTTGTGATGATGTTGCATCTGAGAATATCCACAGCTTCAAATAGAACTCTAGAGCTCTGTGATTTCAAGGTGCTATTTAAATAGCTGAGTTTACAACTACCTGTCATAAATGAAGTAGCAGGGAAAGAAGCCAGGTTGTTACTTTTTTGTTTCTTTTGTCTTTTCCTCCCTAACAACCATAGTTACATTGAGTCCAGGAGGAGAATGACTTCACTTAGATCCCCAAGTACCTGTAGGCCAAGGCTTAACCCCACATTGAAAATATTTTCAGAGTAGGCTCATTTGTGATAGGTGAATGCTACATTCAAAGTTGGTAGAGAATGTCAGCCTTGGAGGTAAATATGTGGTATTTTCATAAACATCTTAAATATATTTTAATTATTTTTCTCACAATGAATTAGGAGACAGAAAACCGGGCTCTGATTCTTAAGATTCGGATTCTACAGGAAGAGGTATGTCAGAATCGTTAAACACTGGCATAGACAAACATGCAAATCATATCATCGTGGTTTATGGCTGTGGGTTAAATAAAAATCATGTAAATATAGCCTCCTATAGGCCAGAGAGCAGGTTGACTTGTCAAATTACAAGTGAGGAGGAATGGATGGGATTTTCATGTCTGAACAGAGAAACTGTTACTTTTGCAATTATCCTTGGAAGAAATGGGATTTAAGAAATTCAAATTTAAGATGAAATACAATGAACCCATCTAAAAAATATCCAAATCAAGAAGGAAAGTATGGATGTTATCTAATCATTTTCCATTTAATTCCATTGAACAAAGTGGCAAGAGTCTTGAGTCTACGATTCAGATCTTAAATTCACTGAAAAAAGGACCTTGGAAAAACCATTTATCTTTTCTGGGCTAATAGTACCTATGCCATGGAGTTATTTTCGAGATTAACTAAGATAATTCACGTGAAGCCATTTGGTAAACCACAATGTAGCTTATAAATGTTAGGAAATATTAGTATAATCTCAAAGAAAAAGAATATAATTTTTTTAAAGCAACAAAATTGAAGCATTGGAAGAACAGGGAACAAGCTACTAGCAAGTTACTATTTTGCTGGGAAAATTCCTTTTATAATAGACACCATTTGAATATCAAGTAGTATGCCAGTTTTTAAATTTTGCTTTTATGTGAGGCTATCAGAAGTATTTATGAAGCTATGCAGCACAATCTGGAGAGTTATTCAAAATGTGGGCCAAGTGGGTATTTTAAAATTTCATAGTGGATTGGAAAGGAACAATTAAAGTTTGGAAAGAAAGCCTATATTAGATTCAGAGCTGGTATAGCCACAAGGCCAGGCTTTTGTGAAACTAGTGATTTACAATTAAACTACTAATGTAAGATATTTTTCTCCTCTTATTTAGATGAGTGACACGTATCAAAGAATTGTACCAAACCAGTTCAGAATTGAGATAGAAGGAAGATTGAAAGCCCTTCATCATGAAATAGCATTGCAATTATTGACTTACATTAGAAAACGAATATAAGTGTTGTCACTAGCTAAGATTCCTTTGGGAGGTAAAAATCTGATGCATTGTGAAGAGTAACATCACAATGGTTTGGGTAGTGATTCACTTTTATTCATTCATTCATTTTGTTCATTCAACACGTATTCATTGGAAGATCTTAGAGCTATTCTAAGTGCTGACTATATGAGCTTAGCAAAATAGCTCATGTGGAACTAGTATGTTAGACGGTAAAAAGAGCTATAGAGAAAAGAAAAGCAGAAAACAGAACTGAGGCAGAGAGGAGTGCAATTTAAACTAGGGTGGTTAGGAAAAGCAGCCTTATGAAGCTAATCCTTTGATTCAAAACTGGGAAAGGAGGTTTATCTGTGAAAGAGCCTTCCAGGCAGAAGAAATAGCTGAAAATCGTGAGGCTGCAGCCTGCCTGCTATTTTGGAGGGACAGCAAGGCCAGAGTGTCTGGAGCAAAGTGAACAAGTAGCAAGAGATGCAGGCCAAGAGCTGGAGGGTCCAGACACAAGGGGCTTACACACGCATCCTAAGGACTCTGTCTTTTTTTAAAACAAAACAAAACAAAACAAAAAAAACACTTGAGTGAGATGGGAGCCATTGAAGTGTTTTGAGCAAAGGAGTAATATGATCTAATTCCGTTTTAACAAGACAACTCTGGCTGCTGGGTTTAGAATCCATTGTAGCGGGGCAAGAGAAAAAGCAGGAAGACCAATTAAGAGGTCTTTGCAATGATCCAGTCAAAAGCTGATGGGGGCTTGGACTGAGTAGTTGCAGTGGAGGTGGACAGAAGTGTTTGGATCAGGAAATGCTTTGTAATATATCCAAAGATATTTGTTATGTTTTCAGGTAAGAAGGAAATTTTCTTCTGGTTGTTTCTAGTGTCTCAGTGAAATACAAAGCAAAGTCATCAGCTGAGAGTGAGGATGTTGGAGGGGTTATTGGAAATTTGAGGAAAGAGAAGGAATGAAATGAGCTAGGGGTTCGAAAATTTTTTGTAAAGGGCCTGATTGTAAATATTTTTAGGCTTTGCTAGCCACAAAAATGACCTTTGTGTCAACTACTTACCTCTGCCTTTGTATTGTGAAAGCAGTCATAGACAGTATGTACCTGAATGGGCACAGCTGTGCTCTAATAAAACCTTATTTACAAAAACAGGTGGTCAGCTAGATTTGGTCTTTAGGGGTGGAGTGAGGGGGCTGGGCATAGTTTGCCACCCCCTGATTTAGGTAAAAGGCAGTATAAATATACCAGGATGATATGATATGATCACCAGTAAACACTGAGGTTAAAGGCCATGAATTAAACCTGTGACCTATCTGTTCATGCTTTCTTTAAGCATGTTCATCTGAAAGGGTGCTGGTGTGGAGTGGGTGGTAAGCTAATCTAGGTAAATGCTAAGAAGCAGGAGTTAGGCAGGGAATGGAGGCATTTGGAAGGGAATGATTATAATGATTGCCCAGGGAAGAACTGAAGCTAAATAAAGAGGGGTCTGAGTTCATGGGAAGGTTGAAGGATAATGAAAAGGTGGTCGGATCAATGGATTGCGGGTTCCAGGGGGGATTGAAGGTTTGTGGGTATAGAGGAAGTAATCTGGAAAGCCAAGAGGTGGTTGTTGAACGGTGGGATGCTTGCAGTTAAGGTAATGGAGGGGCTGCAGTGACTGGTAATAACAAGTTTGAATTTATGACTATGGGAGTAGTGGCTGAGGTTGAATGGAAGATAAAAAGGCAATACTGAGAGTGATGAAATACCACCTCCTAAAAGAGACTTTGTTTGTCCTCATCTTTTATTTTTCTTGGTGCTAAATCCAAGAATACTATCTTTTACATTAGAATTTCAAGAACATCATGGATATAGACAGACTGGAAAAGAAGATTGAAGACTTGTCTAAAACTGAGACAGAGCACCAAGTAAGCACTTCCCAAATACTGGTAAAATATTTTTTTTCTGTCAAACCAGTATTATTTTATGAAAATGTCTATGCCTCATTGACAAACTAAACTTTGGTTATAAATTCTGAAACTTTTAGTCTACAAAATATTTGAGTTATATAAAAGCTAGTTTCCTTTTCCTTCTTTTTTTTTTTTGGCAACTGCTTTACTGATATGTAATTCACATGCCTTAAATTTCATCAACTTAAAGTATACAAGTCAGTGTGTTTTAGTACGTTCACAGAGTTGTACAACCATCTCCAAAATCAAGTTTAAAACATTCTCATCACCCTGAAAGAAATCCCTTTTACCATCCCCCACCCACCGTCCTCTCCCCAACCCTAAGCAGCCACTAATCTATTGTCTGTCTCTATAGATTTGTCTATTCTGGACATTTCATATAAATTAAATCATATAATATGTTGCCTTTTGTGTGTGGCTGATTTCACTTAGCATAATGTTTTTAAGGTTCATCCATGATATAGCATGTATTACTACCTCTTTTTTTTTCTTTTTTTTTTTTTTGAGACAGAATCTCGCTCTTTTGCCCAGGCTGGAGTGCAGTGGTGCAATCTTGGCTCACTGCAAGCTCTGCCTTCCGTGTTCACGCCATTCTCCTGCCTCAGCCTCCCGAGTAGCTGGGCCTACAGGCACCCGCCACCACACCCAGCTAATTTTTTGTATTTTTAGTAGAGACCGGGTTTCACCATGTTAGCCAGGATGGTCTCAATCTCCTGACCTTGTGATCTGCCCACCTCGGCCTCCCAAAGTGCTGGGATCACGGGCATGAGCCACTGCACCCGGCTGTACTACACCTCTTTTTATGGCTGGATAATATTCTATATGGATATATCAAATTTTGTTTGTTCACTCATCAGGTGATGGGTGTTCAGGCTGTTTTCACTTTCTGGCTATTATGAATCGTCTGCTATGAACATTTGTATACAAATTTCTATGTGTACATATGTCTTGATTTCTCTTGGGTATATACCTAGGAGTGAAATTACTGGGTCACTTGATGTTTCTATGTTTGTTTGTTTATTTATTTATTTATTGAAACAGAGTTTTGCTCTTGTTGCCCAGGCTGGAGTGCAGTGGTATGATTTTGGCTCACTGCAACCTCTGCCTCCAGGTTCAAGGGATCCTCCTGCCTCAGCCTCCTGAGTAGCTGGGATTACAGGCGTGCGCCACCATGCTTAGCTAATTTTTGTATTTGTGGTAAAGATGGGATTTCACCATGTTGGCCAGGCTGTTCTCAAACTCCTGACCTCAAGTGATCTGCCCGCCTCAGCCTCCCAAAGTGTTGGGATTACAGGGGTGAACCACCACGCCTGGCCTTGTTTCTACGTTTAACCTTTTAAGGAACTGCCAGGCTGTGTTCAAAGTGGCTGCACCATTTTACATTCCACCAGCAGTGCATGAGGGCTCAAATTTCTCTACATTCTTGCCCAGATTTGTTATCTTTTTATATTATATGGCAATTTTTAATTTAATTGTGTCTGATTTTATTTATTTCTAAATCAGGAAATATTTCAGATATTGTACCTTCTTTAAATTTTATTTTTATTTTTTTGTAGTTTACCAACCTCAACCTGAGATAATGTACCTTCTTAATGCTAAAAATGAGGAGAGATGGGAAAAATTTATCCCTAATTATATTAAGAAATTATACCTTACAAAAATATTTTTTGTCTAGATAGTGTCTAAAAAGTCTATATTTCATACATATTTTTGTTATCTGTCACACATTCTCATCAGGAAACAGATGACAACGACTAGTAAATTCATGAATTTGTGTCATGCTTATTGTCATCTCTAATGGCTTATTTGAGAAATATTTTGTTGTTGTATGTGTCTGAAATGATGATATACTTAAATTTCTACATTCTGATGTAGAGTTTTCCAGTTTCCTAGCAGAAACTAACATTTCATGTGTGTGTTTACATATATATGTAAAACAACAGTTATAATTTAAACATCAATTTTTTAAAAATTAACTAACAAATAATCAGTTAATTTGTGAATTTAAAGATGGGATCTCACTCTGTTACCTGCGCAGTAGTGCAGTGGCATTATCATAGTTCACTGCAGCCTTGAACTCCTGGGTTCAAGTGATCTTCCCATCACAAACCTGCACGTTGTGCACATGTACCCATCTCAAACTCCAAGTAGCTGGGAGTACAGAGGCACACCACCATGCCCAGTTAATTTATTTTTAAATTTTTTGTATAGATGAAGTCTTGCTATGTTGCCCAAGCTGATCTTGAACTCCTTCCCTCAAGTGATCCTCCTACTTTGGCCTCCTAAAGCATGGGATTACAGCTGTAAGCCACCATGCCCAGCCTTCTTAGACATTAAAATTAATTCTACACTAGGAGTGGCTGTCTTTGCAAAACACAACTGTGATAAACCAGTGGAAAGAGCCAGAAGACACGGGTTCAGATCCTGTCTTTTCTACTGAAAAATTTTATAACCTCAGGCAAGCTCTAAGTCTAAATTTTCACATCTACTAAATGGATGTGATGTTTGTACCTATCCCACAAGCTTGCTATAAATTCAGATGATGATGTGATTATATCCAGTGTATAAGATTATGGTGATGATTCTGCTTCTGACCATGATGATTATTTTTCCAGGTTCTCAATTCAGTCAATATACATATTTATTCATTCTATAATATGCAGCAGCATATGCCAACAAGCTTGCTTTTGATTTGAATAAATTGATATATCCTTTATGTTCACTTAGCTAAAAGAAATCTTAAGCATTGTTACAATATGTTTTTTTTTTTTATTTAAATTTTAGTTTTAGAGATGAGAGTCTTGCGCTGTCACCTGGGCTGAAGTGCAATGGTGTGATCGTAGCTCACTGCACCTTCGAACTCTGGGGCTCAAACCATCCTCCAGCCTCAGCCTCCCGAGTGCCTGAGACTACAGGCATGTGCCGCCATGCCAGGCTAAACTATGTTTTTAAAAGGGGAAGAGTCTTCTATGTGTCCTCATGGAATCTCTATGTTCATATTGTATCTAGACTTTTTATTTTCACCAAAAAAGTGAAGATTCTGAACATTCCCTTATTATGTTAAGTGTGGAATGGTGGGAAGGGCACTTGGCTGGAGCTGTAGACTTGCATTCCAGGCTCAGCTCTGCCATTGACAGTGTGCGACATTGGGTGGGTGAGTCTCTGGGTAGTGTGGAGTTTGGTTTCCTCACTGGTAACATGAGAGCAATGATGCCTGCCTCTAGAGTTGGAAGGGAAAGTACTTTGTAAAGTGAAAAGTACATGCATGTTAAAGGTGCTTCAGAAACATCTTACTGGAATGATTTTATGGCACTGTCCTTTTACCAAAGCAATGTCCCAACGGCCTTCCCTAAATTCGTCTCTTTTCAGATGCAGTTACACACATATGAGAACACTTTGCTTAATAAAGATACAAGTTTGCAGAAGGTTGGTATTGTTCCTTACCACAAAGTCCCATGGAATTGGCTAGCTCTCTCCAAATCTGATTCTTTTTTTTTTGACGGAGTCTTGCTCTGTTGCCCAGGCTGGAGTGCAATGGCATGATCTCAGCTCACTGCAACCTCCACCTCCCAGATTCAAGCAATTCTCCTGCCTCAGCCTCCTGAGTAGCTGGGATTACAGGTGTTTTGCCACCAAGCCAGCTAATTTTTGTATTTTTAGTAGAGACGGGGTTTCCTCATGTTGGCCAGACTGGTCTTGAACTCCTAACCTCAGGTGATCCACCTGCCTCAGCCTCCTGAAGTGCTGGGATTACAGGCGTGAGCCACCGCACCCAGCCTAAAAAATCTGATTCTAATATGATGTCATGAGACTTTCCTTTATAGCACTTTATAAAAATAAGTTTGAACATATCTTCTCTAAATTCTGGTGGTGTTCATCCACACGTGACAAATATTAGTGTGCCAATCTACCAGTCACTGGCTAGATACTGGTGATGTCGTTTTAATTTCTAACAACATAAATGAGTCTGCAGCCATTCATTTTAGGGTGGAAGAAGAATATATACCCAAATTATTTGAAACCCAATTTGATTGATTGATTAGATAGATACATAGATAGATATCATTCTATTCTTGTATCCTGTGATTGTAGCCAAGGATACCGGCTACAAAGGTGCTGGTTACGGTAACTTTAAGAGACACAGGAAGGAACACAGCCTCAGTCAATAATCTTCCACAGTCCAAAACAGAGAAGTGAAGAAAGAATGATATTTGCCACTCCTCTTTTCCATGCACATTTTGAAGTTTCAAAAGAAACATGCATAGCTGTGGACTTTGACTGGGATACTGCGTATTGTCCTAACTTGATGTCTTCATTGCGGGTGTTCTCTATGTAATGATATTGCGATAGTAGTGGCTACTCAGTTCCTCCCTAACTCTGGTCTTCTCACCGTTCTGCACTCCTGCTCAGGGTTCATCAGGTATTGATTGATCATCTCCCATGTGCCAGCCACCACGCTAGCCACAGGATAAAATTAGAGATCAGGTACTCACTACCTGTACCTTTTGGTCTTGTAGAAGAAAACAATGATTTTAAGGAGGTATCATTAGTACTGAAAAAAATCAGATGCCTTTATTTCATTGGTCACTTGCAAGACTGATTTTTTTCTTTAACACATCATGATGATAAATATAATTTTGTTTTGGGCTTAAGAATCACCTTTTAGAGTTTGATTCCACTGGGTCAGACAAACACAGATTATATTGACACCAGTTACATATTGCTCCCTTTTTGTCCGTGTGTGTGTGTGTGTTTGTTTTTGTTTTGTTTTTTTGTTTTGTTTCACTCTTGTTGCCCAGGCGGGAGTGCAATGGCGTGATCTTGGCTCACCACAACCTCCACCTCCTGGATTCAAGTGATTCTCCTGCCTCAGCCTCCTGAGTAGCTGGGATTACAGGCATGCGCCACCACACCCGGCTAATTTTGCGTTTTTAGTAGAGACAGGGTTTCCCCATGTTGGTCAGGCTGGTCTGGACCTCCCGACCTCAGGTGATCCGCCCTCCTCGGCCTCCCAAAGTGTTGGGATTACAGTCGTGAGCCACCACGCCCAGCCGTCCTTGTGTGTTTTTAATCGCAAAACACCGACTGGTTCAGTTTTCAAATAGTGAGACTGGTAGAATCGCATGACGATTGGGCATTTACAATTTTTCTGTGGCTCACATTAATAGTCTAATATATATGATTTGGTGGACCCATTACTTTTTTGCTATTATTTCTCTCTTCTACTTTTCAGAAAGGCTTATATATAGAAGAACTTAAATCAACCATCATAGAATATGGAAGCATTATAGAGGTATACCTGTTATTATTAATCTCACACCTTGCAAGGTGGGCTTGTTAAATGTAAATTCCCCACTAGAGTAACATGTACAGCCTAATGTTGTGTGCGATTCCAGAATTTACGAGGGGAAAAAAGTAAACTGGCTCATGAGTTACAGCACTTGCAACAGGCACTCATCACGTAAGTAGAGGGCAACCCTTGCCAGCCTCCTCTCTTGTTCCTCTACCCTACATTATTGGCCCAATTGAGCTTTGTATGTGCCACATTCTTTTCTTCTATACGTTTGTATGTGATATTTTCTCTATTTTTCTCCATGAGAACTTCTTTGTGAGTTTTCTATGACCCCTGATTGTCTTAGACAGCTCAGGATGCTATGACAAAATACCATAGACTGTGTGGCTTCAATAATACTCATTTATTTCTTACAGTTTTGGAGGCTGGAACTCCAAGATCAGGATGCCAGCAGGGTTGAGTTCTAGTGAGGGCCCTGTACTAAGTTGCAGATTGCCGACTTATCCTTGTACAAGCATGGAGGAAAAGCAGTTAGCTAACTCTTTGGCTTCTTCTTATAAGGACACTAATCCCATTCATGAGGGCTCCAACCTCATAACTTAATTACCTTCCAAGTGTTCCATTTCCAAATACCATCGCATTGGGGTTAGGAATTCAATATATGAAATAATGGGGGGCAAACAAACATTCAGTCCATTGTGTTGACTTTCCCTTGCTTGCTTTTCCCTTACCCTGGAACTAAGTAACTCTTTCTTTCTTTTTTTTTTTTTTTGGAGGTGGAGTCTTGCTCTGTCACCCAGGCTGGAGTGCAGTGGCGTGATCTCGGCCCGCTGCAACCTCCACCTCCTGAGTTCAAGCAATTCTTCTGTCTCAGTCCCCCAGTAAGCTGGGACTACAGGCATATGCCACCATGCCTGGCTAATTTTTGTATTTTTAGTAGAGATGGGGTTTCACCATGTTGGCCAGGCTGGTCTCGAACTCCTGACTTCATGATCTGCCTGCCTCGGCCTCTCAAAGTGCTGGGATTACAGGTGTGAGCCACCCAGCCTGGCCTAAGTAATTGTTTTGAATGTAAGCATGGCACCTTGTTCTCACCTCTTTCCTAACACACATCATCCTGTATGATAATTATTTGTTTCTGAATGTGAGTAATATGCTAGTCCAGGATCCACAGGAGCCACTCAGATAACAAAAATGAGTAAAGCTAATGGAATATGCACGCATCTACATTATGCAAATGGAAAAGGAGATAAGTGCATTACCGATATAAAGGCAAAGGGGTTACTCTGTTTAGCTCCAACTAATTGTGACATCAAAACGGTATGGACCTAATCTGGCCACATCTTCTGATTTTGGAAGAAAAGCCAGAAATCCAGATTTTTAAGTGACATTTTCTGATTTTTAACTGTTGGTACCAATTCTTTTAAAAACTGTGGCCTGGTGTATGACCTCCTAGACTCACCAGTCTGTGCAGCTCCTGGAGGACAGAGACAATTTCTGATCACTCTCCCTATTCCCAAGCACATTATACAATCCTTGGCACATGGCACTGATTGTTTCGTGATAAATGGACCCTATATTCTGTTGACTTCAAACGTAATGTTGGAGGCACACCTAACTAGACTATTGTTTTTGTTTTTCTCAAGAAATGGGATCCAGTTGAATGTTAATGGAGAGTGTAACAGTATCATCTCTGAAGGAGAAAAGTCTTTACATTACGAACTCACTCTTGCTCAGTCTGCAGAGGTAGGTCATTATAAGAAGATGGAAAGCTTTGAAAGATAACTACCCCATGTGATAGCTTATGATTTAATGAAGGTTCACAGCTTGCCAAAAACTACCAGTGACACTGAGAGAATGTGCTGATAGTTCTTAGAGTCCAAGTCTAAAGTTTCTTAGCTTGGGGAGAAAGGACCATTTTCAAGTTACGGCCGAAAGCTACAGCAAGGTTGAAGGTTTGTGGAAGTGTGCATTCAGGGACTTTGGGACTTTAGAAATCTTTGTTTTCTTGACAGGACAGACTACCTGCCCTGATTCCCCAGCCTGGGATCCCAAAGGTAGCAGTAGATATCCATGAGTTATTTTTTAGAATTTTCCAAACCCTGAAAGTAAATATATTTATCAAAAAATAAAGATGCCCAGAAACAATACCAAATTTATTTGCTTTAGATTATAATTGTATCAGCCCAAATTAATGACATTGATTATTACATTCTGAACAGAAACTAGCATTTTCTTACATGTGTTTTGGTTAATTTTAAAGTGGCAAAATGAATTTATTAGTTTAAACAATTTCCATTTGTTTGGTAGACCCAGTACTTTATAACATGGGAAGAAATATTTTAAAAACCTTCTCGGGGATAAAGATGTTCTGACTCCCTTATGCTATATTTTCATTCCTTTGTATTCTCCAGTTTTGTGCTTGTTATGCTCAGAAATGCTTTATTTAGAAAAATGCTTTCTTTTCACCATTTGATGGTCTCTTCCTATCTGTGGACGATAGATATGTCAGAATGTTCTCCTGTTGACAGCTGTGATGCCACCTTGAAAGGAGAGAAAGAATGCCTTTGGGCAAACGCTATTTGAATTGCTTCTGCCAAGGATGCAGGGACAACATATGCTGCCTTCATCTGAAGCCATCTCCGGCAGCCCTGGACATTCTGCTGAGGGCTGTGCTTTCCTGACATTCTGTTTCAAATACTCATCATTTCACTGTGTTTTTGAAACCAAGCCAAACTGCCAGACTGAATGAAACTGTGGCAAATCTGCCACAGCAGTGTGTTTTTATCCTCAGTCCTCTGAGATAATAATGATGTCAAGATGCCAGCCCAGAAAGTTCTATAGTTCTAAACAGGAAGGTTATCAGCCGGCAAAGTTCTGGCTCTGAGGTTTACCCACTGATGAGTTGGGAAGTTTGTCTTCTAACTAGAATCTCAAAGTAAGAGTCCTGTAACCTTTTCAACAGGCAGCAAAAAGAAGACTTGGGTCATATATTTAAAATATGACAGGAGGCAGAGATTTTGAGAGAAGTATAGGGAATGTACTTTGTGAAACATCATATGGTCTTTTATGAATGGAAGGGAGACAAAAGAAGCCAACCTGTTTTCAGTGGGATTGATGGAGCAGCCCTTCTCCATCAATTTTTTCCCCCTGGGTATTTCTTTACCTATTTTTATGTTAAAATTAGAGCCATAACCGTTTATATCATCAGCATGTAAATGTCATCTATTGATAATGAGTTTTCCTTAAGACAGAATAAATGTTCAATTGGAGCCATCCCAGAGAGAAAATATCAACAGCTTTTTTAGGATGTAGGAGAATTTCACAAGACTATTGAGAACCAAATGACAAGGACAATGACATTAACTCATGAGCATCATTTTTGTTAAGTGAAAGTAATGAATGTTCTTTATTCAGATGTCAATTGTGGGCATTTCGATCCTTGTTTCAGAACACTGAAACAGAAAGGCAGCACAATGTAATCAACTTGTCATCTCTGGACGCCATGATGGATCAGGAAATGCTGCTATTACTAAGAGAGCCCGCACAGAAGGCAGTGGAATTCACAGCCACGCTTCAGAAGCTGGTATCGTATAACATACCTTTATCATGGTGTTCCGTTTTGGCTGGCAATATCTGCAGATAACTGACCTGCAACCTGTTTGCTGAGTCCAAATGTATCTGTGTGCTGCTGAGACCCAAATTAATACACTCTGAAAAGCGAAGGTTTTTCTCAAACCTTTCTGAAGCTGGCCTTTTAGTTCTGGGTCAATCAGGGCTAACAGATTGACCATTAGATACGGATTGCTTGAGGTTATTTTTTCCTGTGAGCTAATCTTTAGTATCAAAGGGCTGAAGACATGGTATCTATTGAACAGTTTCCTTCTTTAAATTTTCTTCTGGTTAATGGCTGGTATTCCTTTCTCCATTTTGACTTTTCACTGGAAACTCTGGATGATTGGAGAAATCAGAGAACAATATTTTCATACTGGTATTGCCAGTCCCTTTCATAGTGCCTAGCATATAGTAGGTAGCATTTAGTTTGGTACATTTTGGTACATTTTACATTTTGTACATTTTGGTACATTTTAGAACGGTAAAAATAAGTGAAAATGGTTGTTTTCTTCTATTTAAAAAGATGGGGTTTGTTCTGGAAAATGATTCTCTCTGTATATATTCAACATGTATAGAGCACCTGATGATATAGCATATACACATGGCAACATCCTGGAATAAAAGAAAGTCACTGGGGGCATTAGATGCAAAGGAACGTATTCTGGTATTTTCCTGAGTTACCTATATAGTAGAATTTTGGTCTCAATGGATTCTGATTATATAATAGCATATGTCTTCCTAGTTGAAGATGTGGAACTCTTTTTTCAGCACGAAGAAATTTCTAAAATTGCAACCCTCATTGAAAACTCTCGACGGTGGGTAACTAATCCAGAAATTACTGTGAAAGAAAAGTGGGAGGAGCAGCTTACTGTAAGTGTTTTATATTTTATGATTTTCCTGGTTTTTCTTCTACTTTGTTAAGCCAGGTAATAGTATATACAGTACCATTTCTAAGACTTTATTGTAGTCTTCTGCTATCTTAGTCTGATCATGAGTATAGACTGTGTGTCCAGGGGTGTATATGAGTGTGAGGGTGAGGAAAGTATGTGAGAGAGAGTGAGTGTGCAGATATGTGAGATGTGATGGAGAGAAAATAATAAATAAGATGATTTAATGAAAAAAATGCATTTATCTCCTTGTAAGAATTGGCTAGTCTAAATTAAGATTTTTCCTTAGCCTATTAAAATTGCCTAACTTTGAAAGAATGATTACTGTGTAACAGAATCTTATTCCTGAGACTTTGACGGTTTTACTATCTCAGGAACTTGCAGAACATTGGAAAAACAGGAACTTCTTAGGTAGCTATTCCCAGCTTTATTAGAAAGGAAGCATATGAGAAGGTATCTCTTTCATCTGTCCCTCACCTATTTACCTCTACTTCTTGACTGCCAGCCACTTTCTAGCATCCATCAGCCCCTTAAGTTAAGCTAAAGAAAAAAGTAAACTCTGGAATATGATTTCAACTCCTTTGCCAATCTAATTTTTTTTTGTTTTTGTTTTTTAAAAAGGAATCTCACTGTTGCCCAAGCTGGAGGGCAGTGGCGTGATCTTAGCTCACTGCAAACTCTGCCTCCTGGGTCCAAGTGATTCTCCTGCCTCAGACTCCCAAGTAGCTGGGATTACATGCATGCACTACCACGCCCGGCTAATTTTTGTATTTTTAGTAGAGACAGGGTTTCACCATTTTGGCCAGGCTGATCTCAAACTCCTGACTTCAGGTGATCCACCCACCTCAGCCCCCCAAAGTGCTGGGATTACAGTCAATCTAATTTTTTTAAGATTACATGTGAATATGATAATCTGTAAATACTGATATTATTGCATTATCTTGTCCCATCCTGTTCTAAAGCAATTGTGATGACTACTGAAGTTGTCAGGGGAAACTTAAGAAAAAGAAAGCAAAGCTCAGTTTTAGGGACATAATAGGCACTTTATACATACTTGTTACATTGACATAACCAATAGGATAGTCAATCTCTGGGCAATTGGAAATTGGTATTAATTAACATACAATTGAGAATTGGTACTCATTGACATACAGTTTTGGCATCCAGTATGCCATTGAGATGGAATGTCCACAGCTTTTTAGATTGCCTCTGTCATTTGTCCGTGTTTAACATTGGAGTACTGGGGTTTGTTTTGTGACTTTTCTTGTAGGAATTCAACAATATCATGGAAGAGAAGCTAGATCTTTGCATATTAATGCTGAACATCTTGGGAAACCACAAAGAGTCTCTTGATAAAGAATTTGCCAAATTAATAGAGATTTTGAAGAGATTCAGGCAGGAATATTTTTATTTCAGAAAAGAATTTCTTGCCAGGTGATGATCATTTATATATAAGAAATCCATGCTTTATATACATGACATGTTTATGATCATGCCACTGCATTCAGTTTACTTTCTGCAAGTTGTATACATTGATTTCAGATGATACTTTTTTCAGAGAAGATATTCTGTTTGATAATTCTGAATTGTAAAATAGTATGAAATTGACTTACATGTTCAAAATTGCAAATGACGAACTATAAAATCTGTGGAAACCAGCCAAGCGCGGTGGCTCACGCCTGTAATCCCAGCACTTTGGGAGGCTAAGGTGGGCGAATCACCTGAGGTCAGGAGTTTGAGACCAACCTGGCCAACATGGTGAAACCCTGTCTCTACTAAAAATACAAAAATTAGCTGGGTGTGGTGGTAATGCCTGTAATCCCAGCTACTTGGGAGGCTGATGCAGGAGAATTGCTTGAACCCGGGAGGCAGAGATTCAGTGAGCTGAGATTGCACTACTGCACTCCAGCCTGGGTGACAGAGTGAGACTCCATTTCAAAAAAAAAAAAAAAATCTGTGGAAACCAGTATACTGAGTTATTTTTTCCCTAGAGAAGGAATTTGGAATTACAAAATATAATCTTTTACCAGAAGAAGCCTTAGAGAGCCTCTAGTAACCTCATAATTTTTCAGAGGACTAAGGCATGAAGAGATAAAGTGAATTGACTAAGACCTGAGAGTTACTAATGGAAGCTCTAGAACTTGAAGCCAGGTCTGTTGGCTCCTCCCCACTGGGTTTTATGTTTGACCTCAGTGTATCATGTTGGGCACTGGGCAACTAAATGTCAGTTAAATGGAGTCATAGGGAATAGATGGTAACAAATATAAAATAACTTACCCTCTTATCCTTTCTCTACCCTCAATTCTTATGATAATGGGGAAATTCTTGAAATTTTTACACCCTGGAAACCATAAGCACAGTGATTATATCTTTTGTTAACTACCATTTATATAGCTGCTAGGACCATACTTAGCACTTACTTAAGAAATGCTTTTTGAGCAAATGAGCAAATGAACACAGGTATATATTTCACTTGAACAAAATTTTAAAATGTAATTAGAGACTGAGGTAAGCTTGAAGCAAATAGCCAGAAGAAACTATTTTATTCCCCCCAAATATAA
Organism: Homo sapiens; assembly: GCF_000001405.40. Taxonomy (NCBI): domain Eukaryota; kingdom Metazoa; phylum Chordata; class Mammalia; order Primates; family Hominidae; genus Homo; species Homo sapiens. The sequence goes on from NC_000012.12 coordinate 25,039,265, forward strand.
GGAAACTAGATACCAGAGAGAGAATACCAGAGGAACTCTCAAGAAAATGATCTTCTGCTTTCCCTAAGAAGCAGAGAACCCACACTTCCCCATAGTGGTAAAAGATGGGGGCTAAGTGGACACGCAGCTTCCTTACACAGATACCGTCTCCACAAAAGGCAGCGTCAACATTCTTCTTTTTTTTGAGACGAAGTCTCGCTCTGTCACCCAGGCTGGAGTGCAGTGGCGTGATCTCTGCTCACTGCAAGCTCTGCCTCCCGGGTTCAGGCCATTCTCCTGCCTCAGCCTCCCGAGTAGCTGGGACTACAGGCGCCCGCCACCACGCCCAGCTAATTTTTTGTATTTTTAGTAGAGACGGGGTTTCACCATGTTAACCAGGATGGTCTCGATCTCCTGACCTCGTGATCCGCCCCCCTCGGCCTCCCAAAGTGCTGGGATTACAGGCGTGAGCCACCACACCCGGCAACATTCTTCTATTTAGCAACAAAGAACTATTTGGAGAGAGGTCTGCACTAATGTCATCTCGAAATGAGTGAATCTTCTGTATTGTCCTACTTAGACATACAAGCAGCCCGGTTAAATAACAGTAGGTGTCATTTGTCTAGAGGCTACTGTGTCAGATGTAGTGCTAAGAATCTGACATATATTTATATCCAGAGAGGTTGCATAATTTGCCCAAGGTTACCCAGCTGGGATTAAGTGACAGCTGGGATTCAGACCTAGTTCTGTCTGACTTCAGAACCTGTGTCCTTTCGATGGTTGATCTCCCACCATCGACTTGTTAAATCTGATACAAGATTCTTTAAAAATATTCTGGGAACCTGGCATTGGGCAAAATACTCCTTATCAGCATAAGATGGTTATAACCTCTGGCTTTTGGACACAATTTAAAACTGACAAAGCCACATAAAGGCTACACACAAAATAATTTGACTGTGGATTTTAGCTATGAATAAGTAAATAGCTGGGTGCCCCGGCTCATGCCTGTAATCCCAGCACTTTGGGAAGCCAAGACAGGAGGATAGTTTGAGCCTGGGAGTTCAGACCTGCCTGGGCAACATAGCGAGACCCTGTCTCTAAAAAAAATTTTAAATGAGCTGGGCATGGTGATGCATGCCTGTAGTCTCAGCTACTTGGGAGGTTGAGGTGGAAGGATTGAGCCCAGGAGTTTGAGGCTACAGTGAGCTATAATTGTGCCAGTGCACTCTAGCAGCCTGTGAGACAGAGCAAGACACTGCCTCTTAAAAAAAAAGAGAGAGAGAGAGAGAAAAGAAAAGAAAAAGAAAATAAATGGAGTATTTTGTGAGGATGAGAGAGAATTCTGTTTAGATGAGGTAGGAAATGTTTATTAAAGGTAAATTTTTAGGGGCTATTTACTGAGGAAGAGAAGGTTCCCATTCTGCTGTGGGACAAATAGGCTCTAATGCTGAAGAATGGAAATAATTGAGTGGGCCAAAGAGAGGCATGGACAGGAAAGTTCTCTCAGAAGCCTTGGTGAGGAAACAAGTCTTGATTCGTACGACATCCGTCAGGATGTCCGCTCTTTGCCTGGCTTCCACCCCTTCCCCAACCCCAGATGATAAGCAATTATAGGAAATAAGACAGAAATCTCTGCCTCTATGAAACTAACATCTAGTAAAGGATGCAAATAACAAACAAATAAACATATAATGTCAGAGAGTGTTATAAAGAAAATTAAATCAGGATAAGAAGACAGAGAATGACTGGGAGCATTTTAGAGAGAATAGCCAGGAAAGTCCTGCCTGAGGAGTGATGAATTGAGTAGAGAGCTGAGTGGGGCGAGGGAGTGAGCTATGTGATGATCCGGGTGTGTTCCAGGCAGAGCAAGGAGCCGGTGCCAGGAGCCTGAGGTTGTAGTGAGCTTGTTGTTTTTGAGCAGCAGCAAGAAGCCGCCATGGCTGGGGCAGGGTGGGGGGTAAGCAGTGGTAGGATGTGGGGCCAGAAGGATAGACAGGGGCCAGGCCACACACAGCCTTTGCAGTCCATGTTTAGGAGTTGGGATTTCATTGAGTATGGTGAGAAGCCATCAGAGGGTTAGGAGCAGAGAAAAAATGTGATTTGTGTTTTGTTTTTGTTTGTTTTTATCTTTTTCTTCTTTCTTTGTGATTTGTGTTTTGAAAGATCTGCTGGATGAAGAATTATTTATAGAGGGCAAAAGTGAAAGCAGTGAGATGAGTAAGGAGAGTTTTCTTTTCTTTTGTTTTCTTTTTTTTCAAGACAGAGTCTCACTTCATCACCCAGACTGGAGAGCAGTGGCACGATTTCAGCTCACTGGAACCTCCACCTCCCGGGTTCAACCTCCACCTCCCGAGTTCAAGTGATTCTCTTGCCTCAGACTCCCAAGTAGCTGTATGCCGCTATGCTCCGCTAAGTTTTGTTTTTTTTTGTTTTTTTTTTTTTCAGTAGAGATGGGGTTTTGCTGTGTTGGCCAGGCTGGTCTCAAACTCCTGGTCTCAAGTGATCTGCCCACCTAGGCCTCCCAAAGTGCTGGGATTACAGGTATGAGCCACAGCACCAAGCCAGAGAAGAGGTTTTCAACAACAGATAACCATTTAGATATTCTGATATCAACTTACTGGTTTGTGACCCATTTAAAAAAAAGACATAAAATAATAGAGTGCATTACATATAGTAAGAATAAGCAGTGCTGAATTGAATTTTTGTTTCAGCTGTGTGTGTGTGTGTGTGTGTGTGTGTGTGTGTGTGTATGTGTATGTGTGTTTGTTTGTATACTGAGTTGAAATATAAAATATTTCATGATTAAAAAGTTATAGACTTAGGAACTATTGCTGCAGTCCAGGTGAGGGATGTAGTGTGGGTCAGGGTAATAGTCATGGAAGTGATAAGAAATTATTAAATTTGAAGTGTATTTTTGAGGGTGGATCTGATCAAACATGCTGGCAAGTTATATGTGTGGAGAAAGAGAGGAGTCATCCTTGACTTAGAGGCTTTTGATCTGAAAACCAGGTAAATGGTGTGCTATTTAGACAGCAAAGTCTGAGAAAGATGCAGACTGGAATAGAAATCAAGATTTATCATTCGAACATGTTGGCAGGGAGAATTGTTGGATTTAAACACAAACACAAGCTAATATATACCTCTTTACATGATGATAAAATTTCTGTGGGAGAAAAATCTTCAAAGGTTTATCATCTGTTGAATATCTTTAACAGATGGTACCATCTAATTTTTTTTTTATGAGACAGAGTCTCGCTCTGTCGCCAGGGTGGAGTGCAGTGGTGCTATCTTGGCTCACTGCAGCCTCTGCCTCCCAGGTTCAAGTGATTCTCCTGCTTCAGCCTCCTGAGTAGCTGGGACTACAGGCACGTGCCACCATGCCCAGCTAATTTTTTGTACTTGTAGTGGAGATGGGGTTTCACCATGTTGGCCAGGATGGTCTCGATCTCTTGACCTCGTGATCCACCTGCCTCGGCCTCCCAAAGTGCTGGGATTATAGGCATGAACCACCGCGCCTGGCCCCCATCTAGTATTTTTAAAAAGCTATTTCTAAGACTTATGATTCATAAAGTTCATAAAACACGTTGTTATATTGGTGAAAATACATATAAGTAATTGAAAGTGTGAGTATTAATAAATAAGGATTTATGATGGTCCTTAAAGTCCTTTTGCTTTCTCTTGGAAGATAATGGACACTCTTGAAAATATAGACTATTCCTGTAAGAGAGAAAAGTAGATAAAAGTGATGTCTTTGAAATTAAAAAAAAAAAAAAGAAGAGGAATGATTCCTGCAAGATGGTGGAATAGGAAGCTCTGGACCCTCCTTCTCTCCAGGAGCACATGAATTCAACAACAATACATGAACAAATTCCTATTGTGAAGAACCCAGAAACTAGTTGAGAGGCTCCTGAATCCTGAGTGAGAGTGAATCCAGCTTCATCAAGGCTGGTAGGAAAATCTGAGGAATCCTCACCATAATCCTTATCCCTAGCTTAGCGCCACGCCAATGGAAAGAAACCTCCAGCTCTCAGCTTCTCCCTAGCATGGTGGGGTGGGGAGGAGAATCAAACCACATGTCCAACATTTCAGCTTTCCTGGGGGCTGCCTAAGATACTGGCTTCTGTTTCACTTGTCTTATAGTGCTAATGGGACCTGGCATACTCTAGATGCCTGGATACCACTGAAAACGAAGAAGGTAGTTTGAACTAGCATGCATGCGCTTGCTGGAGCCCCTACTCCCAGCTCAGTGAAAAGCCCTAGGTCTCAGCTTCTTTCCAGGGATGAAAGGATGGAAGAGCTGGATTATGTATCCAATGTTTCAATTTTTCTGGATGCTGCCCAAAGAATTGGCTTCTGTCTTACCTGTCTCGGAGTACTATGAGATGCATCATGCTCTAGATGCCTGGGGGCTGCTAGAAACAAAAATGGTGGTTTGGATTAGTGTGAGTGTTTGAGACCACCCCTGGCCTCCAGAATCTCTTCCTGGATTGATTAAGGGATTTCTCCGGTATGAGACCAGTATGTGAAGACTGGGAGAGTTGGCTATTTTTTCTAATGCATAGTTAAAAAGAGTCAAGGACAATAAAGAAGTAGGAAAATATGTTGCAAACAAAGGAACAAAATAAAGCTCCAGAAACGGACCCTAATGAAACAGGTAAAGAACTTACCTGACAGAGAATCCCATAAAAATGCTCGTGGTCAGAAGAAAATGCCTGTGCAAAGTAAGAATTTTAACAAAAAGAAAATACAAACACAGAACACTGTAACACTGTAATGGTTGTGGTTAAATCACTTTTAATTCTTATATAAAAGTTAAAAGTATTATAAGTAAAAATAACTATAAAAATGTTTATGATACATAACTAAAAATATGTAAATTATGATATCAATAATAAAGTGTTTGAAGGAGAGAGTAATAGAATAGAGTTTTTATATGTGATGGAATTTAGGTTGTTAGCTTAAAATAGACTATTATAAGATGTTTTATGTACGCTCCATGGTAATGCCAAAGAACATACCTATAGAGCAGACACACACACAAAGAAAGGAATCAAAGAATATTAATACAGAGAAGTCAACAAAACTCAAAGGAAGGCAAGCAGAGAGGAAAAGAGGGAAAAAATAACTACAAGACAGACAGAAAAATAATAAAATGGCAGTAGTAAGTCCTTCCCTATCAATAATTACTTCAAATATAAATGGATTAAACTTACCAATCAAAAGACATAGAGGGCTGAACATATTAAATTTTAAAAAGCCCAGATTCAACTATATGCTGTCTCAAGAGTCTCACTTTAGATTTAAGTACATACATAAACTGAAGGTGAAGAGATGAAAAAAGATATTCCAAGCAAATGGTAGCCAAAAGAGAGTATGGGTAACTATATCAGACAAAATAGACTTTAAGTCAAAAACTGTCATAAGAGACAAAGAAGGACATTATATAATAAAAGGATCAACTCACCAAGAAAATACGATATCTACACACCCAACATTAGAGAACCTAAATATATAAAGCAAACACTGACAGAACTGAAGGGGGAAATAGAAGACATAGACAGCAATAAAATAATAAAAGACTGTAGTATTTCATGTTCAATAATGGATAGAACATTTAGACAGAAAATCAATAAGGAAACAGCAGGCTTGAATGGCACTAGAGAGTAAATGGACCTAACACAGAACATTCTGCCCAACTGCAGTAGAATATACATCTTTCTTAAATGCACATAGAACATTCTTCAGGATAGACCACACATTAGGTCACAAAACAAAGAGTAACAAATTTAAGATTATTGAAATCATACTAATTATCTTTTTCCTACCATAATGGAATAAAACTAGAAATGTATAGCAGAAGGAAAACGGAAATATTCACAAATATGTGAGAATTAAACAACAGACTCCTGAACAACAAATAGGTCAATGAAGAAATAAAGAAAATTAGACTTGAGACAAATGAAAACAAAAGCACATACCAAAATCTTTGGGATGTAGAAAAAGCAGTACTCCTAAGAGGGCATTTTATAGTGATAAACACTTATACTAAAAAAGAAAATAAATTTCAGATAAACCTAACTTTTTACACTTCAATGAACTAGAAAAAGAACAACTTAAGCCCAAAGTTCCTTCCCAAGAGAAAGGAAATAATAAAAATTAGAGCAAAAAGTTGTTTAAAATAGAAAAGCAATTAAAAAGCAGCAAAACTAAGAGATGGATTTTTGAAAAGATAAACAAGACAAACAAACCTTTAGCTAGACTGAGAAGAAGACTCAAAATCAGAAATGAAGGAGATATTACAACTAGAACTGCAGAAATACAAAGGATTATAAAAGACTAGTATAAACAATTTTATGCCAACAAATTAGATAACCTAGAAGAAATGGAAAAATTCCCAGAAACATACACCCCATCATATTTCTTTATGAATCATGAAGAAATTGAAAATCTGAAAAGATCTACAACCAGTAAGGAGATTGTCTCAGTAATTAAACACCTCCCAAAAAAGAAAAGCCCAGTATGAGATGGCTTCACTGGTGAATTCTACCAAACATTTAAAGAAGATTAACGCTAATCCTTCTGAAATTCTTTACCAAATAAAAGATAAAAAAAAAAAAAAAAAAAGGAAAGGAAAAGGAAGGTACACTTACAAATTCATTTCATGAGGCCAGCATTATCCTGATACCAAAGCTAGGCCAGTACCCCTGATGATGCAAAATCCTCAAGAAAATATAAGCCAGTCAAATACAAAAGCACATTGAAAGGCTTATACACTATGACCAAGTGGGATTTATTTCTGGGATGCAAGGATGGTTCAATATATGCAAATTGATTATCTTGATATACCACATTAACAGAATGGAGCATAAATATTTTGTGATCATCTCTATAGGTGCAGAAAAAACATTTGATAAAATTTAACAGTATTTTGTGTAAAAACTCTTAAGAAACTAGGAATAGAAGAAAATTATCTCAACATAATAAAAGTAATGTATGAAAAACTCAGTGAACATCACTCAATGGTAAAACACAAAGTTTTTCCTCTAAGATCAGCAACAAAGCAAGGATGCTCACTCTCACCACTTCTGTTCAGTGTAGTACTAGCCAGAGCATTTAGGCAAGAAAAAAAAATAAAAGGCATATAAATATAAAAGGAAGAAGTAAAATGATCTCTGCAGATAACATGATCTTATTTATAGAAAACTCTAATGATTTCACAAAAAAACCTGTTAGAATAAAATTTAGTAAAGTTGCATGACACAAAATCAACATACCATAATAAATTTCGTTTATATATGAGCAACATTGAACCATCTGAAAAAGAAATTAACAATCTCATTTACAATAGCATCAAAAAGAATACTTTGAAATAAATTTAAAGAGGTAAAAAACATATAATAAAAACTACAAAATATTGATGAGAGAAATTAAAGAAGACACAAATAAATGAAAAGGCATCCTACGTTCATAGATTGGAAGAGATCATGTTGTTTAAATGTCCATACTACCCAAAGCAATCTATAGATTCAATGCAATCCCTAACAAAAATTCCAATCGCATTTTTTTACAGGAATAGAAAGAAAATCCTAAAACTTATGGAACCATGAGGGACCCTGAATAGCTGAAAACAATCTTGAGAAGAAAGAACAAAGATGGAGACATTACCGTTCCTGATTTCAAAATATATTACAAAGCTACAGTAATTAAACCAGTATGGTATTAGCATAAAGACAGATATATAGACCAATGAAACAGAAGAGAGAGCCTAGAAATAAACCAATGCATAGATGGTCAATTGATCTTCAACATAGATACTAAGAATATGTAATAGGGAAAGGATAATCTCTTCAACAAATGGTGCAGGGATAACTGGACATCCACAGACAAAAGAATGAAATTGGACTCTTATACCATAAACAAAAATCAATTAAAAATGGATTAAAGATGTAAATTTAAGACCTAAAACTGAAAACACCTAGAAGAAAACATGGGGGAAAGCTTCATAACATTGGTCTTGGCAAGATTTCTTGGATATGACACCAAAAGCACAGGCAACAAAAGCAAAATAGGCATGTTGGACTGCATCAGTCTGAAAAGCTTCTGCACAGCAAAGAATACAATGCAATGAAAAGACAACCTATGGAATGGGAGAAAATATTTGTAAACTAAAAAACTGATAAGGGGTTAATTTTTTGTTGTTTTTTTGTTTTTGTTTTTTCCTTTAACTTTTAAGTTCCAGGGTACATGTGCAGGATGTGCAGGTTTATTGCATAGGTAAATGTGTGCCATAGTGGTTTGCTGCACAGATCAACCCATCACCTGGGTATTAAGCCCAGCATCCATTTGCTATTCTTCCTGATGCTCTCCCTCCTCACCTGCTTGACAGGCTTCCAGTGTGTGGTGTTCCCCGCAATGTGTCCATGTGTTCTCATCATTCAGCTACCACTCATAAGTGAGAACATGTGACGTTTGGTTTTCTGTTCCTGTGTTAGTTTGCTGAGGATAACAGCTTCCAGCTCCATCCATGTCCCTGCAAAGGACGTGACCTTGTTCCTTTTTATGACTGCGTAGTATTCCATGGTGTACATGTATCACATTTTCGTTATCCAGTCTATCACTGATGGGCATTTTGGTTGACTCCATGTCTTTGCTATTATGAATAGTGCTGCAATGAACATACGCTTGCATGTATCTTTATAATAGAATGATTTATATTCCTTGGGTATATACTCAGTAATGGGATTGCTGGGTCAAATGGTATTTCTACCTCTATTTAGATCTTTGAGGAATTACCACACTGCCTTCCACAATGGAGGAACTAATTTATACCCCACCAACAGTATAAAAGCATACCTTTTTCTCTGCAACCTCACCAGCATCTGTTGTTTCTGGGATTTTTAATAATTGCCATTCTGGCTGGCATGAGGTGGTATCTTATTGTGATTTTGCATTTCTCTAATGATCAGTGATGTTGAGCTTTTTTTCATGTTTGTTGGCCATGTGAATGTCTTATTTTGAGAAGTGTCTGTTCCTGTCCTTTGCCCACTTTTTATTTTTTTATTTTTTTGAGACAGTCTCTCTCTGTTGCTCAGGCTGGAGTGCAATGGCGGGGTCTCGATCTCGGCTCACTGCAACCTCCACCTCCCAGGTTCAAGCGATTCCTCTGCCTCAGCCTCCCGAGTAGCTGGGACTACAGGCACACACCACCACACCCAGCTAATTTTTGTATTTTTAGTAGAGATGGGCTTTCACCACGTTGGCCAGGCTGGTCTCAAACTCCTGACCTCAAGCAATCCACCCGCCTCAGCCTCCCAAAGTGCTGGGATTACAGGTGTGAGCCACTGAGCCTGGCTTGACCACTTTGTAATATTTTTTTTCTTGTAAATTTGTTAAAGTTCCTTGCAGACTCTGGATATTAAACCTTTGTCCAATGGATAGATTGCAAAAATGTTCTCCCATTCTCTAGGTTGTCTGTTGACTCTGATGATAGTTTATTTTGCTGTGCAGAAACTCTTTAGTTTAATTAGATCCTACTTGTCAATTTTTGCTTTTGTTGCAATTGCTTCTGGTGCTTTTGTTGTGAAATCTTTGCCTGTGCCTATGTCCTCAATTTTACTGCCTGGATTTTCTTCCAGGGTTTTTATAGTTTTGGGTTTTACACTTAGTCTTTAATCTATATTGAGTTAATTTTTGTATAAGGATTGAGGAAGGGGACCAGTTTCAATTTTCTGCATGTAGCTAGCCAGTTCTCCCAGCACCATTTATTCCCATTGCTTGTTTTTGTCAGGTTTGTCAAAGATCAGATGGTTGCTGGTGTACAGTCCTATTTCTGAGTTCTCTATTCTGTTCCATTGGTCTATGTATCTGTTTTTGTACCAGTACCATGCTATTTGGCTACTGTAGCCTTGTAGTATAGTTTAAAGTCGGGTAGCGTGATGCCTCCAGTTTTGTTCTCTTTTCTTAGGATTGTCTTGGCTATTTGGGTTCTTTTTTGATTCCATATGAATTTTTAAATAGTTTATTCTAATTCTGTGAAGAATGCCAATGGCAGTTTAATGGGAATAGCATTGAATCTATAAATTACTTTGGGCAGTATGGCTATTTTCATGATATTGATTCTTCCTATCCATGAGCATGGAATGTTTTTCCATTTGTTTGTGTCCTCTCTGATTTCCTTAAGCAGTGGTTTGTAGTTCTCCTTGAAGAGGTCCTTCACTTATGGGGTTAATATTTAGAAAATATAAGAAACCCCTACAACTCCAGAACAACAATAAAAAAACACAAATAACTAGATTTAAAAATAGACAAAAGACTTGAATAGGCATTTCTCAAAAGAAGACGATAAATGGTCAAACAGGTGTACAAACATACTCAACATAACTAATCATTAGGAAAATGCAAGTTAAGACTATAATTAGATATTGTATCATACCTGTTAGGATGGCTATTATTTTAAAAGACGGCCGGATGCGGTGGCTCACGCCTGTAATCCCAGCACTTTGGGAGGCTGAGGCGGATCACGAGGTCAGGAGATCGAGACCATCCTGGCTAACAAGGTGAAACCCTGTCTCTACTAAAAATACAAAAAAATTAGCCAGGCATAGTGGCAGGCGCCTGTAGTCCTAGCTACCCGGGAGGCTGAGGCAGGAGAATGGTGGGAACCCGGGAGGCGGAGCTTGCAGTGAGCCAAGATTGTGCCACTGCACTCCAACCTGGGCAACACAGCGAAACTGTGTCTCAAAAAAAAAAAAAAAAAAAAAAAAAAGCTACTCGGGAGGCCGAGGCAGGAGAATGGCGTTAGCTTGGGAGGTGGAGCTTGCAGTGAGCCGAGATTGCGCCACTGCACTCCATCCAGCCTGGGTGACAGAGTGAGACTCCGTCTCAAAAAAACAAAAACAAAAAACAAATAAAAAAAAGTGTTGGTGAGGATGTAGAGATATTGGAGTCCTAGTGCACAGTTGGGGGAATGGAAAGTGGTGCAGGCACTATAGAAAATGTTATGGAGGGCCGGGTGCGGTGGCTCATGCCTGTAATCCCAGCACTTTCGGAGGCCGAGACAGGCGGATCTCGAGGTCAGGAAATCGAGACCATCCTGGCCAACATGGTGAAACCCCGTCTCTACTAAAATACAAAAAATTAGCCGGGCATGGTGGTGCGTGCCTGTAGTCCCAGCTACCCGGGAGGCTGAGGCAGGGGAATCGCTTCAACCCGGGAGCCAAAGGTTGCAGTGAGCTGAGATCGCGCCAGTGCACTCCAGCCTGGAGACAGAGCGAGACTCCGTCTCAAAAAAAACAAACAAACAAACAAACAAAAAAAAACAGTTACAGAGTTTTCTCAAAATATTAAAAATTAAACTACCATCTGATCTAGGAACCCCACTTCTGGGTATTTATCCAAAATAATTAAAATCAGCACCTGGAAGAGCTATTTGCATTCCCATATTCACTGCGGCATTATTCTCAATAGCCAAGATTTGGAAACAACCTGAATGTCCACGGATGATTGGATAAAGAAAATTTGGTATATAAATACAAGGGAATATTATCCAACCTTTAAAAAGAAGGAAATTCTGCCACATATGACAACATAGATAAACCTGGAGGACACTATCCCAAGTAAAATAAGTGAGTCACAGAACAACAAATACTGCACGATCCCACTTCTCTGAGGTATCTAAAATAGTTAAACTAATAGAAAGAGAGAGAATAGTGGTTGCCAGGAGCTAGGGGAGGGGAAATGAGGAGTTGCTACTCAATAGGTATAAAGTTTCAGTTATGCAAGATGAAGATGTTCTAGAGATCTGCTGTACAACATTATGCCTGTAGTTAATAATACTGTATTGTACACTTAAAAATTTGTTAAGTGGGTAAATCTCCTGTTAAATGTTCCTGCCACAGTTAAAGAAAAAGAGAGAAAAAGAGAGTGAGAGAGACAACGATAAGCTATTGAAGGACGCTCAGTGGAAAGTGTGGTGATGTAGGCAGTTTTTATTTTTGCTTAGGATTTTGTTTGCTTGTTTACCAGTATGGTAAGCATTCTGTGAGACCATTCTTGCCTCTCATGTGGTCCTTCGTGTAACCAGGGCTGGATTTGTGCCAGTGTGCAGTGGCATTCTGACTAAATGTTAACGTTTGAGAGGCATGCACAAGGCCTACGGCTGACAATGTCTTCCTTGCTGTTTTGCAACTCCCGACATTTATCACCACTTTGAGTTAAGGTCCATATTCAAGTCAGATTGTTTCCAGATAATCATTGAGGTACTGGCATGTAACACACATTAAATAATCTCATCTGCTAACAGAGAGTAAGTGCATTTTTACATGTTTTAGAGATTAGAATTGGATCCAAATGAGGTGTAACGTAATGGCACCATGAGATCTGTGGTGGGGAAGGGTGATGGGGAGAAAAGCTTCAGCAAAAAGAGGACTAAAGTAGAAATATCAACCGCCAGCTTTCATCTGTGCCTGGGGGCGGTCCTTCCTGTGCTCGTGGCACGTGTTTATACTATGATTGACAACCCTTAAGGAGAAAGGCTAAGGTCATGAAACAAAGCTCTCTTTCCTTTTCTTTTCCCTCCCCCTACCTTTACCCCATTCCTTTCTTTTTCTGTAAAAGCTAGCTGTGATGTGTAAATGTTGCACCTGTCACCCTGACCTCATTGTAGAGCCATCTTCTGAGTAACTGGCAACTGGCAACTGATGCTAAGTGCTATGAATGCAGCTGGTGGGAACTGAACACACCAGTGTAAAAGATGAAACTAGAAGTCCTTATCTGTAAAGTGAGGGTGTCAGGCTAAGCGACCAATAAGCTTTGCTTAAGATTTTATATTTGTGAAGCATTTATATGTAAATACTTTCACTTTTTCCTCTGATCTCTAAGGAAGTGGTGTTAAGTTTGAGTTTGTCATAATTTCACAGGGTGACTCTTAGTTGAAATGTCACTGACAGCTTGCGGTTTGGACTTTTTTTTTTTTTTTTTTTTTTAACTCCAGTCAGAAACAACTAGAAGCCATTAAACAACTACAGGAAGATGCTGTCAACCAGGAAGGCATCCTTAGGAAGAGGCTCCAAGAAACCAGCCAACGGCTGGAGGATGTGGAGGAGCAGGTAGGGTGGCTCATGGCTACATTAGATTCAGGGGACATCTCCTCAGATGCCCTGCAAACCATGAAATAAAAATGGAGGAGGAACAACAACAACAAACAAAAAAAAAAAGCAAAGAGGAACTGCAAGTTCAGTCCCTAGCGACTAACAGTGAGCAGAGGAAGTAAAGGGGGAGTTGTAAGAGAGGCGGTATCAACAGCCTGCTGATGAAAGAGGCGACTCTGCAGAAAGAGGCAACTTGACATATCAGGACTTTAACCGCTGTAGAAATAGCTCAGGCATACCAAGCCCATGCAAACACAGAATTGCAGAAGTTCAGGAGAGGCTTATCACTTCCCTGAGAAGAAAAACACATTTTCAGTTTTGCCTGCATCATAAGAGTGAGCACTCCATTGCTTTCTTTCCTGGCCACACTGCTACAATCCAGCACTAACTATCCATGTCCAGGGTAAGGATCGAGATCGAGAAGCCCACACTGCCAGTGAAAAAGCTACGTCTTTACTGCATAAATTAGAGGAAGCAATTTCGGAACAACGGAACCTTCAAACTATAAATACTGAATTATCGAACACTTGCCAGGCACTTCAGCAGAAGACAAGGAAACTGAAGAGTGAGTAGCAAATATTCATTTATGACCCAGTTTTTGTCCACCCTCAGGCGGGGCATAGGACTACAGACATTTTTCTAGATTACAGCTAGGATATTATTCCTGAGTTTATGACAATGAAATGGTTTGAGAAGGCAATATTGTGGGGCTTTCAGAGAGGTTTGCTGAGTGGCTAGGTGCATGCATGGGTTTAACCATTAACTTCCCTTTTTGCCTTTTTATTATAAGCTGGTTTTGTCTGTGGCTGTTTTTTTCTTTTAAAATTAATTAAAACTTCTCAAAATTTCTAAAAGTAAACAAGGAGAAAAATCTAGTATGCATGGTATATTTGAACTTGCAAGTTGTTATATATTATACTCTGATTTTATTAGCTAGTTTTTTTCCTCTCATATGGTAGAAAAGGCCTTGCTCGTCTATTTTCTTTGGAAATTTTAGGGGGTTGGGCAAAATAATTATGAATTCAGTGTATATCAAAATATCAAATGTGTGAAAATTCTTTTAAAGTTTTAATGCATTCTCTACATACATCTACATACATATTTTGCATTTTAAAAATTGGAATATTTGTCATTTTTCTGTATTACCCAAAAGTATATAAACAGTTACCAGAGATTTATGTGAGAAGACAGTTGTCACATTACAGATGTCAGATTAGCTATAAAATTGTTTCATTCTAGAAACCTAATATGGTAAAAATAAACCTTACTTATTTAGCCATTTATCAGACAATTGCTTTTGTTCAGCCAGTTTCTTGTTCTAGCAGTATAAATATTCTTTTTATAGAAAGTTACTTGGTTTGAGAAATAAACATTGTTTATTTGTTAATTGTTATATAATTATAAATAATTATATATTTAATATATAAGCTTAAGGTAGGCTAGAGATGAAAAATTTCAGACTTGTGTTTGTTTTGGATTTATTGTACCCTTTCTACTATTATCTGAGAAAGCTATTTAGGAGTTTAAGAAATAGTCTAGTTTTAAAATAGCAATGGTTTGCCGGACACAGTGGCTCACCCCTGTAATCCCAGCATTTTGGGAGGCCGAGGTGGGCAGATTGCTTGAGCCCAGGAGTTTGAGACCAGCCTGGACAACATGGTGAAACCCTGTCTCTACAAAAATTACAAACAAATAAATAAATAAAACATTAAAATAGCAGTGGTTATTCAACATATTATTGTCATAATTTTTAAACCTTTATTGAATTTGCCAGTTTTCAATATTCTGATTCACTCTGTTAAGCTAGTAAGGCAGTCTTTAAATTACACAGTCTGTGTGTTATTTTACTACTGCTCAGAGGGCATTGGAGAAGGTTCCCTTGTGATTAGAACTGTTCATGTTGAGACATGAATCATAAGGCATTCCAAAGTTGGTTTAAGGTGTGTCTGCTTTAGACACTGTGCCCAGGACTATTCTTTTGCTCCAGTTTTGCCTTTTGATTAAATCAATATTATACCTGAGTTTTATAAACTACTAAGAATTTGTTCCCCTTCCTCACTGTGATTTTCTTGCAGTATTTTCTTAGAAGAGTCAACTTTAATAACTTACCCCAAAGTGCACGTTCTTGATATTATGAACTTGCTATTGTTGTCTTCCCAGTTTATCTTCACGGCCCAATAGATTCAAATACACTTAAAAGCAGAATATGAAAGCTGCCCTGGGTTGATACGTGTATTTTTTTCTGCCTGGATAACGTAGAGTGGACACTTCCTTTCTGTCTTGAGTTATGCATAACCTGTCCAGATTTATGAAATCCCTTACTTGTTACTTGTATCTTTTGCTGCCCAAAAAACCCATACAAATCAGGATTTTGCTTATATGACCATGTACTTACGATCTTTCTAACAATGCCCTTTAAATTCAATCTTTGAGAGAAGAGGGAAATTTAGATAGCACGTATTTTCAAAATGTTCTATATAGCAGATGTTCCAGATAGACTGCAAACAAATGTCAATGACTGCAGTTATCACACAAACACGTCCACGCACATCCCGCCATGACCACTGCCACCCCATGCTGTTTGATTTCTGAGTCAGACATCTGATTCTGAGTCAGAAAACAAAACATATTTATATCTATTTAGCTTTTCTGAAACTCTCTGGCTAGTTTAATAAATTCACAAAGTATTTCAGACAATTGTTTTCTGATCCATCTAAGTTGCATCAGCACATTGTGTGGGGATGCAGCTGGTTTGTCCAAATGTTCAGATCAATGTGCATAATGTTCACACTACAACTGGAAATTTATATGTGATGTTTGATCAGAAATCCTGAACTTTATCTTGAATAAATGATATTGTTCAAGTTTTCAATTGCCTTCAGGACTGGGCTGATTTATGAGGCAATTCATGTGCATGATATTCTTCAAGAAATGTGCCATGAAAACTGTTCAATTGCTTGAATGGTTACTTATATATTTTATTTCTTCTGCATCTAAACTTTGTTTATATCCAAGTATCTTGTTAATAGACACATGACTGGATTATAATTAGTGTTTGCTTTAAAAAGGAAATTTTTTTTATTATACTTATGTTCTAGGGTACATGTGTACAACGTGCAGGTTTGTTATATATGTATACATGTACCATGTTGGTGTGCTGCACCCATTAACTCGTCATTTACATTAGGTATTTCTCCTAATGCTACACCTCTCCTATCCCCACCCCATGACAGGCCCCAGTGTGTGATGTTCCCCGTCCTGTGTCCAAGTGTTCTCATTGTTCAATTCCCACCTGTGAGTGAGAATATGCAGAGTTTGGTTTTCTGTCCTTGCGATAGTTTGCTCAGAATGATGGTTTCCAGCTTCATCCATGTCGCTACAAAGGACATGAACTCATCTAAAAAGGAAATTTTTAAAAGCTTATAGGATGTGTATATAACATATTAGGGTGAATCTTATGTACAGAAATCATGGACTAATTGATACAATCCAAAACTATCACCCCCTTACTATTCACCATCTCTTGTTCCCATCTGACGTGAAATCTTCATGGAGTCAGTCTTCTCATAGACAATGAGAGAATTACCTTTAAGAATCACAAATTTTTCCTTGAAAAGAGATCCTGGGAAACTCTGATATAGCATAATTTCTTATTTGAACGTAGTATCTGCACATGAACTTCCTAGTTTAGAGGAGACTTTCACCTAGATAATATCACTGCAAACACTCTTTTAGCTTGCTATTCTTAGCATGGAGGGCGGGAGGTATGGCAGAGGTAAAACCCTTAGGGCTTGGAGCATGGATTCAAGATGAAAGCCGTGTCCTAAGCAGTCAGTAAACAGGAGGGAAATGAGCCAAAGAAGGCGGGTGAAGGGATCCAGGTGATTGAGATACTTAAAGATAGAAGGTTTTGGGGTGACGGCCAAGGAGAAAACCAAAGCCAAATACAGCTTGCTCAACAACTCTGATAGGATAGGGACCCAAGTTTTCCCAAATGAAAAATGCAGATATGGAGAAGTAATCTGGGAAGTATAGTATAATGATTAAGAACATGGGATTTGAAATTAACAAACCTGTGTTCTCACTCAAAGTCCACAGAAGAGTGGCTGGGTAAAGTTGAGCAAATCACATTGCCTCTCTGAGCTTCAGTATCCTCTTTGGTTAAATGCAGTTGTTGTGAATTACATAAATAACATAATAAATGCAAAATAGTAGCTAATGCTTGGCCACAGTTGATATTTGTGTTCTGCTAGAATACGTTTCTATAACATGAATCATCTCATTTGTGATTTGTAAATGGGGAAATGCTGTGGTTATATAGTATAGAAATTATGTTGTTTCATTCACGATTTTCTTGGCACTTGGATCTGGATTGGTAGGAATAGAACTCTCACCTTCCTCAGGAAAGGAAAAAGTCCTTAGCTTGGCTGCTGAACAGGCAACAGGAACCCTTTCAGCTTTATTTTGAGAAAATTAAAATAAGTGTCTGCACCTGGGCCTCCCTCCCCAGAGTCACTCTGGGTTCTACAGGGCTCTGGACTTTATAGGGCTCTACCCCAGCCTTGTAGAGCCCTGGTCTGTGTCCAATCATACTCCCTCCTGTGTTCACCTTGTTAGCCTCGCTGCCTCTATCTACATTTGCCTTTCACCCCACCACCACTGTTCTAGTGAAAGCATCACCAGCATTTCCACTCTCTTGTTTTTGTGTATTTCTAATATCCTGTGAGGCATTTAAAGTTGCATGTCTGAGTGATGCATGTGATCTTCTTAGTACTAATAATAAGTGTGTTTGTTAGTACTCTGGTTACAGTGTTGCACATACATACAGATAGGTAGGTAGGTAGGTAGACAGGTAGACAGATTTTTTTTTTTTTTTTTTTTTTTTGAGACAGGATCTCATTCTGTCACCCAGGCTGGACTATGGTGGTGGGATCATGGCTCACTGTAGCCTCAACCTCCTGGGCTCAAGTGATCCTCCTGCCTCAGCCTCCTGAGTAGCTAGGACTATAGGCGAGCACCACTATGCCTGGCTAA
The DNA here is from genome assembly GCF_000001405.40 of Homo sapiens. Classification (NCBI taxonomy): domain Eukaryota; kingdom Metazoa; phylum Chordata; class Mammalia; order Primates; family Hominidae; genus Homo; species Homo sapiens. Next base: position 25,057,426 of record NC_000012.12, read on the forward strand.
TTTTTAAATTTTTTGTAGAGGTAGGATCTTGCAGTGTTGCCTAGGCTGGTCTCAAACTCCTGGGCTCAAGCAATCCTCCTGCCTCAGCCTCCCAAAGTTTTGGGATTACAGGCATGAGCCACTCTGCCCAGCTGCATGTATTTTTTTAGTGGTTTCTTCTTAACCCTATTTCTCTCATAATCCCTGCATTATTTTGTTCTTATACTTTTAACTTCTTTTTTATTAATGTATTTAACATGTCATAAAATGTTCAGATCTCGAGTATACTATTCAACCAGGTAGATAAATACACATCAAAACACGGAATTTCTATCACCCCAGAAACTTCCCTTGTGCAACTTCCCAGTCAATGCCCCGCCTCCACCTCTAGCACCCTAAGGAACAACCACTGGTCTGATAGGTTAGCTTAGCCTGTTCTAGAACTCAGTTACACAGTATGTACTTTTTTGTGTGTTTGTCTTTTTTCTGTCAGCATGATGGGATTATGTTGTGTTTCTTAGTAGTAGTTTTTTATTATTGAGTTGTATTTCCTTGTATGAATATTCCAAAATTTGATTGTTTTTCCTGCTGTTATTGGATATCTGCAGTATATGCAGTTTGGGGTTACGACGGACAAAGCTGCTATGAACGTCTGTGTACAAGTCTTTGTGTGCACATATGTTTTTATTTCACCTAGAATAAATATCTAGGAGTAGAACTGTTAGGACATAGCATAGCTGTGACTGTCACTTTTTAAGAAACTGTCAAATGGTTTTCGGTAGTTTTTATAGCATTTCACGCTCCCACCAGCAGTGTGGGTGGTTTTAGTGTTCCACATCTTCAGTATTTGGTAGTGTTAATCTTTGTCATTTTAGCCACTCTACTAAATGGGTATTTCATTGTGATTTTAATATATATTTTTCAGATGTAATGATGTTGGGACCTTTTTCTTGTGCTGATTGGCCATTGTATATCTTCTTTGTGAAGTGTCTAAGTCTTTCACCCATTTTAAAATTAAGTTTTCTGTCCTTTTATTCTTGGATATAAGTCCTTTGACAGATATGTGCTATGAATAGTTGATCTTAGTCTGGGGTTCTTTAATGAACCCTGATATTTTTAATATACAATTTTACAGAACATGAGGTTTTTTCCAGTATAGATAGTATTATACAAGCCCCGTACTCTATAAATGTCATCCATCATTGATAGCTAACATGATAACGGCTCTAATAATGTTATAATTTTCATTTTCAACAGGCAATTAATTGTGGGGCCTTTGCCTGAGACCTCATTGCTTAGTCATTTAGAAAGTTGCTTTATCTCAACTTTCTTCAGAGGCAATGTATCCAAGACACCTGGTCCCATCCTACATGGCAGATGGCAACAGCAGGGGATACAGTAGCCATTGTTTTACTTCCTTCTATATGAAGCATATATTTGTTCTAGAGGCATTACAGGTCCAACTCCAAACATGTAAAGCAGAATGCAAAGGTGAATGCAAATTGTGGTCATAAGCCAACTTGTTTTGCCATGTGGAAAATATGGAAATAGTTGCTATGCATTGCACAAAACATCTGTTGAAATAAGGCTTTCAATTTGAATGCTTCAAGATAGACTGTTTCTAAAACCCAAGATTGCCTGGTGAGCAAGCAGATGGGCAATTTAGACAATCTTATACTAGCTCATCATCGCTTCTGAAACACGGCTTCATTGGCAATTGTAAGATAGTATTCTGAATTTGTATTTTGGAGATACACGACCTTCAGAAACACACGATGGCCACTTCTTATTGCTTTGGTTGCTATTGTTTAGATGTAGATCAGAAGGAGCACAGGGCCTTCCTTCTTAATACAGTTAAGACAGAATTTTTTAAAAATTTCATCTTTACCAGGGTCCTAAGTATTAATAAGAAATAAATTTTAAATTACTTTTGTAGGTTAGAAATACTTATTTTTTTTTCCCCTGAGACAGAGTCTTGCTCTGTCACCCAGAGCTGGAGTGCAATGGCTTGATCTCGGCTCACTGCAACCTCCGCCTCCCGGGTTCAAGCAATTCTCCTGCCTCAGCCTCCTGAGTAGGTGGGACTACAGGTGTGTGCTACCATGCCTGGCTAATTTTTTTGTATTTTTAGTAGAGACAAGGTTTCACCATGTTGTTCAGGCTGGTCTCGAACTCCCGACCTCAGGTGACCCATCTGCCTCGGTCTCCCAAAATGCTGGGATTACAGGCATGAGCCACCGCACCCAGCCTAGAAATACTCTTTTAAAAATATGCTTTTCTTCCTATGTGAGGGAGATGTTTGAAAAACAAACATCTGTTTTGCTCCTAGTGGGCCTAGTAACACTATGTCAAGCTTGATTGAGAAGTAAGTTATTTTTACCAAAAAAAAGTCCTATAAAATAAAAAATTTACATAGGTAATTTTCTACATAATTGAAGCTTTTAGAGCCTTTTTCCTGAAAAAAATTAAAAATTAGATTATGTACTTCTTTTCATTAGCATTATGCTCATGACTCAGAATTTCTCCAGGCTATTAAGATATAAAACTGTTGGTTTATAAAATAAGAAGCACCAGATTTCTATGTATTTTGGATGCCAGAGTATCTGCTGTTAATAATTTTCCTGGCTGTTAGTGATTTTAAAAAAAAGTGGTAGCTATTAATATGCTTCCATCTAGCAGAGCTCCTTATATCCTTGTTTAAGTTTTGCTTTTAATCTTCTTTGGGCTGAGAAGGCAGTCAAACTGGTGAAAATTATGTATATACCCAGAGCCCACTGCTTGAGTTGAAGTGTGAGGTTTGCCACGTGAATAAAGGGCATAAATATCAGTATCTATTCTAGTTGTTCAAAAGATTTGGGTTTATTTTCTGGTTTTGGCTATGTTTCAGAGAGTAGGATTTGTCAAATAAATAATATGTTATTATGTACATCAAAGAGCTAGTTAAATATTAGGTACTTTTCCCCCATTTCCATTATTCCAGGCATAAGACCTTTAGAGATTTTACTTAAGCAGAAAAACAAATATTTTTAGTTTCACAGAATGATACCCTGAGTTAAGCTCTGTTCCATGAGTCTAATCTCAGCTCCATGATTTACCAGTTACCTTTTCAATCGTCTGCACATCAGTGTTCTCATGATCTGAGATCTACTTGTAGGATTCTGGGATCCTAGGGCTGTAATTTGAGGGCTCAAGCAGAGGCTTATTGGAGATAGGATTTCTTTATCAGTAGGAGGTCAGACTGAATGACCTCTAAAATGTATTTTCTTTTTTTTTTTTTTTTTTTTTTGAGAGGGAGTCTCGCCCTGGAGTGCAGTGGCATGATCTTGGCTCACTGCAACCTTCACCTCCCAGGTTCAAGTGATTCTCCTGCCTCAGCCTCCCAAGTAGCTAGGATTACAGGCATGCGCCACCACACCCAGCTAATTTTTGTATTTTTTTTTTTTAGTAGAGATGGGGTTTTGTCCTGTTGGCCAGGCTAGTCCCAAAGTACTGGCCTAAAATGATCCACCCACCTTGGTCTCTCAAAGAGCTGAAATTAGAGGTGTGAGCCACTGCACCAGGCCTAAGATGTATTCTTAGCTTAAGATTAGACAATTCTGTGACTCACTTCTAGAAGACAATTCACATGTATCTATCAAAGTAAAATTTAAATACCCAAGGGAGATAATGGCTTATCTGTTCTAGCCTGGTTTTCCATTTTTCCCGAGTCATAAGTTGAGAGTGCCATTCTCAGAAATCATTATTTTCCCTTTCCTTTTCTTGAGGCCCCAAATTTAAAGCCATTAAAAGTTTTTGAAGCAATGAAATGAATTAAAGGAGACAAGGTTAAATATGCTCATACTGGGCATAGTGGCTCATGCCTGTAATCCCAGCACTGTGGGAGGCCGGGGTGGGTGGATCACCTGAACTCAGGAGTTTGAGACCAGTCTAGACAACATGGTGAAACCCATCTCTACAAAAAATACCAAAACTAGCTGAGTGTGGGTGGCATGTGCCTGTAATTCCAGCTACTTGGGAGGTTGAAACAGGAGGATGGCTTCAGCCCAGGAGGCAGAGTTTGCAGTGAGGTGAGATCATGCCACTGCACTCCAATCTGGGCAATAGAACCAAATCCTGTCTTGAAATAAATTCATTAATTAATTAAATTAAAATGGTCATATTGAGCTGGTTATAAATTCTCTTTGTAGCAACAATTGAGTCACTTCAAAAGGAGTTCATTGAAGGGGAACACCATGGCTTGCTGTTTCAGGTAAAATATCTCTGATATGTGTTCAGTTACTGTGGAGGAAGTTGTTCAATTCATGTAAGGTTTTGAAGCTAATTTATAACAGACAATGACTTTAATCATTAAATTAAATAACCAGTTTAGAAGAAAATGTTTTGGTGGACTTTGTTCTCTTCTGCACTTAAAGTATTTAGCAAAATAAGAAAGGAGATCTTACATTAGTGAGTGGCTACTGATAATATCTTCTAGAGAGGAAGCATTTCAGAATTTTCTTTGCCCCACCACTATATCTATTAGCGAACAGCCAGTTTTTCAGTCTTGGGGACCTCCTTTCTGATAGTAAGGGCATATCATTCAATTTATAATATGCTGAAATTTTGAGTATTCTTGAATAGGCTTTGATGGTTACTGTCTCTTTTTTCTTTCTCATATTTGAATTAAACTTTCTATTTCTTTCTGTATGGGTCATCTCAAGATATCCCTGGTAAAGTGTATTTCCTTCCCTTGTGATACTTGGTGAATCTCCTTTTTGTTCAGAAATGAAGAACATAAGGGAACAGCAAGGCAGCAAGGTTGGCACTGGAGGAAGATGATGGAGGAGGAAAGAAAGAAGGGTGATATTTGCATGTATCTGTTTCTAGGGCATCATGCAGACACATCTGTTAAAGCAGGAAAAAAAAAACCATGTGGAAGATTAAGCTAGGCAGAGTGCCTGAAAAGCCCTCTGCAATAAGTTGAGCTGGAAAAACCTCCATATCTAAAGATGCTTTAATCATCTCAAGAACACCAACAACATTTTCTATTATAATATAACTATGATAGATGTGAATCTACCTCTTGGATTAAGGCAATAATTTTATAGCTATCAAATTTTCACAGACACCATTTTCACTACTCTGAGTTGCATCTCTAACAAGCTTCTTTAGCCTCTGCCTACAGATTTCAGTGACAAAGCCATTCAGTTTCTTGTTCCCGATCTTCAGATTTCATTCCTAGATCAAGTAATGGGGCAAATACAATGGGAGGTTTAAAATTACAAATGTGTTCCCTTGGAGTAGAATACAAAAAGAACTTGTCAATTTCACCCACTTTGGGTAGTGTCATATCTTCTATTAAGTCTAATGTGTTTGGGATCTTTGACTCTTTCATCATTCTGTCTTTGAATACACTCTACCATTTTCTCTTGACAGAGCTTTTTAGATGAGGAATTTCCTCACTATGATTCCCTGTCCTGCGCAGATGCAATTCAACAACCTCTTCAAGAAAAATTGGTAATTGCGAGCTTTTTGAAATTATTTAGGTAGTAATTGTGAATCAACAACTATCCTGTAATAGAAAGCTAAATCCAGTATGTATCAGTAGTCTTAGAACTGCATATATTGCTTTTATCAAGAGATTATCAAGTGAGGCAACAGATACGTGTTTTTGTAAATGTACACATACACACACACAAACCTAGTTGGTCCTTTGTCGCCCAGGCTGGAGTGCAGTGGTGCAATCTCAGCTCACTGCAACCTCCGCCTCCTGGGTTCAAGAGATTCTCCTGCCTCAGCCTCCGGAGTAGCTGGGATTACAGTCATACACCACCACGCCCGGCTAATTTTTGTATTTTTAGTAGAGATGGGGTTTCCCCATGTTGGCCAGGCTGGTGACCTGAAGTGATCCACCTACCTTGGCCTCCCAAAGTGCTGGGATTACAGGCATGAACCACCGCACCCGGCCTGTTTTACTTTTTTTAATTGCAGTATCACGAAGAATTATGTAACTAAGTTTATTCCTCACCTATACCTCTTTCCTCAAAGCCTTTGTTTACATCAAAGTGTCAATTATTTGGAGTTGATGATGTTAGCATTCTCCTAGATTACTAAATTGTGACTTTTAAATAAGAATCATAAGTTACTCATATGTATACCTTTTGATCAAACACTTGAAAGCTTTTTTACTTGACAGAATTTATTTTCTTCTTGATCTCTCTCACAGGGTCACTTGAGACTAGTGATATTCTTTCCACCTTTGAAATGGAGGTAGTAGATTATGAAATATATGTTACATTCCTTTAGATGGCTAATACTACTTGGTTTTCTGTTCAGAAGCAGTGTTGCCACAAACTATATGGTGGTCAAGAAGCAAGAATACATCAGACACCCCTGACCTTGAAACATACGTGCTGGTACACACCTCTGCTGGGTAAGCCCCCCTTCTATACCTGCTCAGACACAAGTAGGGGTAGAGTTCTATTTGAAAGGGAAAATAACTAGTTATTATTACATTTGTATAGGAAGAATTGTTGAATACGTGTATATTTACCCCTGAATTCAGTCAATCAATATATATTTGAGTACCTGCTCTGTGCAAGGCAACATATTATGCATGATAAAGAATAAGTCCTGGCCAGGCACGGGGGCTCATGCCTATAATCCCAGCACCTTGGGAGGCCACAGCAGGTGGGTTGCTTGAGCCCAGGAATTCGAGACCAGCCCGGGCAACATCTCTAAAACAAACAAACAAAAAAGAATAAGTCCTAAAGTAGCTCACAGACTAGCAAGGAGACAAGACCTGGACTCAGAGAAGTCAAAGATGATTCCATGGAAGAGGTTAGAGTTGAACTGGCCTTGAAAGATTAGTTGGCTTTGGAAAAGCAAAAAACATCAAAAAAGTATTCTAATGGGTGAGAGTAACATGAGCAAACAAAACAAAAAAAATAAGAAGAGAAGTAAGAATCAAAAGCCTTAAGTGTTTGAAAAAGAGCCAAAGGTAGGCAAGTCATTTTGAAAATGAAAGGTTTTGGGTTGAGATACAGTAGAAGAGACATTTGGAGAAGGAAAATTGGGTTGTGGGTCAAATTTATACTCAATGCCAAGAGAAAGAGCTTTATTCCAAGAAGTGGTCAAAGTAGTGACACCTCTCAGGATAACATGGATGCAGTTAAAAGCTAAAATTAACGTCTAGTTCTGAAATGACAAAAAGAAATGATTATCAAAGTAAATTTAAGAAGGAATAAAGAGAAAAAGTAGAGTGATTTGTGGATCATTTAAATTTGAGAAGGAAAAACTACTAATACTAATGGAGTGTCTATTTTGTGTCAGGCAGTATAAATTAGTGCTTTTTAGAGATTACTTGCAATAACTCAGTAACAATAACCACCACCAACAGTGGGAGTACTTAAACAGTGCTTGCTGGCCAGGTGCAGTGGCTCAAGCCTGTAATTCCTGCACTTTGGGAGGCCGAGGTGGGCGGATTGCTTGAGGTCAGGAGTTGGAGACCAGCCTGGCCAATATGGTGAAACCTCGTCTCTACTAAAAATACAAAAATTAGCTGGGCATGGTGGTGCACACCTGTAGTCCCAGCTACTCAGGAGGCTGAGGCAGGAGAGTCACTTGAACCCAGGAATTGGAGGTTGCAGTGAGCCGAGATTGTACCATCACATTCCAGCCTGGGTGTCGCAGTGAGACTCAGTCTCAAAAAAAAAAAAGAGAGAGAGAAAGAATGCTTGCTATGTGCCAGACACAGTTCTATGCTCTTAACATATCTATTAACTCATTTAATCCTCAACACATCCCTGTGAGGTAGATGTTAATATAATTACCATTCAAAAGATAAGGAAACAGAGGAACATTGAGTTAATAATTTGCCCAAGGTCATCTGTCACTTTATACATAAGCAAACTGAGGCTCAGAGTGGCTTAGTTATTTATTCAAGATCACACAACTGGTATGTGGCAGAGCCAGGATCTGAACCAAAAATTTCTGATTGACCCTAAACCCTATGTTTTTTCTATTAAACTCTGCTGCTTCCTATACTCAGAAACACACATAACAAGATGGTTTTCCCTAATAAATGATTTGTGATCTCAACCTATTTCCCCTACCATTCTTTGATGGGTTCTAATTACCATGTCTAATGCTTTTCTCTTCTGGAGGCTGCAAAATTGTTCTGTAAAAGACCCGATAGTAAATATTTTAGTTTCTGCTGTAACTACTCAACTTTACTGTTGCATCACACAAACAGCCATGGACAATGTGTGAACAAATGGGTGCAGCCGTGTTCCAGTAAAACTTTATTTATTTTTTGAGACAGGGTCTCACTTTGTCATTTAGTGGCACGAACACGGCTCACTGCAGCCTCAACCTCTTGGGCTCAAATGATTCTCCTGCCTTAGCCCCCCAAGTAGCTGGGACTACAGGCACATGCCATCACACCCAGTTAATTTTTGTCATTTTTGTAGAGATGGGGGTTTGCCATGTTGCCCAGGCTGGTCTCAAACTCCTGAGCTCAAGCAATCAACCTGCCTCGGACTCCTAAAGTGCTGGGATTACAGGCGTGAGCCACCACATCTGGCTACAGTGAAACTTTACAAAAACAGGCAGCTGGCTGGATTTTCACCCGCTGGCTGTAGATTGTTAACCTCTCTAGTTGCTTAGTGGGCAGGGGTTTTCTGACCTCTCCCACACTTAAAAAAACTTTTTTGAAATTATTATTTTGTAAATATTATTATTAGAACTAAAATTATTTTATATATATTAATATTACTATCATTCCCAAATGCTTTGTTAAAATTAAGCATTTGACGTTTTTACCCTCTGTGATTAGGCATCAAGGGAGTTTATGTTAAAATGTGAATAGAAGCGGGTTAACTTTCACTTTTTCAGTCTCTCAAGAAGGAAAGACTTTATGCTTCAATATAGTTTGAACCAGAAATTGGTCTCTATTTTTATTTTTTTCTGTTCTACTGCAGATGCCTTATCTCTGGATAGTTTTACAGCAGTTCCAACCCTGGAATCAACACCTTTCTCAGGTGTAGCCAACCAAATCCACACTCTGTGTGAAAGGCCCACATATGGAGAAGTAAAGGATGGTGCTTTGGATGTAAAAAGACAACACAAGTAGGTTAAGAGCAAAATTTACTTACTCTACTCCTCATGGGTGGCCCATTCCCATTGCCTAACATTTTAATTGGTCAGATTTTCATAACGTGAGATCACATCTTTATTGTCGAACTTCTCTAACTTCCTGAAAATTTACAATTTCTTTCTTTCTTTTTTTTTTTTTTTGAGATGGAATCTCGCTCTCTTGCCCACACTGGAGTGCAGTGATGTGATCTCGGCTGCCTCCCGAGGTCAAGCAATTCTCATGCCTCAGCCTTCCAAGTAGCTGGGACTACAGACGCATGCCACCATGCCCAGCTAGTTTTTGTATTTTTAGTAGAGATGGGGTTTTGCCACGTTGGCCAGGCTGGTCTCGAACTCTTGGCCTCAAGTGATCTGCCCTCCTCGGCCTCCCAAAGTGCTGGGATTACAGGTGTGAGCCACCACGCCCAGCCGAAAATTTACAATTTTGAGATAAAGTTATTGCTGTAGTTTTCTTGAAGTGTAGTTTTCTTGCTTTTCTTGAATTTCATAATACCACTCTAAAGCTTAAAAGACAAATTAGACTACCTAAAATGTTTCCACTTTTTAGGACTATACCGTAGACTGCTAAGTTAACATAGGTAGATTTTGATCATAATTCTCTTTCTTTCACATTCAAAGTTAACACATCTTTGGGAACCTGTCCTTGTCCCTGCACCCTACCCTCTTCCTCTTTAAGTACACAGACTAATCTTCTAATCTAAAGGAAAAACACACTCACCAATGGAGTGTTTTTTCCTACTGTAGTCTCAATACCACACTTCTGATACCAGATGTGTGGGGGTTTTTTTCCCCACACTCCAAGCAATTTTCCACACACCAATCACTTCTCCAGCCGACATGAAATGGGCGTCCAGTAATTCAGTTCAATTCCAACGTTATCTACCTGGAAATAGCATCCGATTCCACAGGTTAAGGGCTCAGTTCCACAAGGCTGGTCCCTGCTTGAGATGCCCCTTGCAGGTTCCAGACTGTGACCTGTGCTTCTGACCAACTCTCTATAAATTGGGGGTTGCCAAGATCCCCTTCTTGGGTTCAAATAATTTGCTAGAGTAGCTCACAGAACTCGGGGAAACACTTTCCTTACATTTATCCACTTACTACAAAGTTTATTTTATTCATTTATTTATTTATTTAAATTTATTTTTTTGGAGGCAGGATCTCACTCTGTCACCCAGGCTAGAGTACAATAGTAATTTGGGCTCACTGAAACCTTGACTTCCTGGGCTCAGGTGATTGTCTCACCTCAGCCTTCTGAGTAGCTGAGACCACAGGTGCCTGCCACCACACCCCGCTAATTTTTGTTTTTTTGTTTGTTTTTTGAGACAGAGTCTCACTCTGTTGCCCAGGCTGGAGTGCAGTGGCATGATCTCGGCTCACTGCAACCTCTGCCTCCCGGGTTCAAGCAATCCTCCTGCCTCAGTCTCCCAAGTAGCTGGGATTACAGGCCCTTGCCACCATGCCCAGCTGATTTTTGAATTTTTAGTAGAGACAAGGTTTCGCCATGTTTGCCAGGCTGGTCTTGAACTCCTGACCTCAGGTGATCCACCCACCTCAGCCTCCCAAAGTGCTGGGATTACAGGTGTGAGCCACAGCACTTGACCTTGTATTTTTCACAGAGACAAGGTTTCTCCATGTTGCCCAGGCTGGTCTTGAACTCCTGGACTCAAGTGATCCTCCCATCTCAGCCGCCCAACATGCTGGGATTACAGGTGTGAGCCACTGTGCCAGGTGACAAAGTCTATTTTAAAGGATACAAATGAACAGCCAGATGAAGAGATACATCGGAAAGGTTTGGAAATGTCTCGAGCACAGGAGGGTCTGTCTTTGTGGAGTTGGGGTGTGCCATCTTCCCAGCACATGGCTATGTTTTAGTTCACCAAATCAGAAGCTTTCCAAGTGCTGTCCTTTCAGGTTTTTATGGAGGCTTTACTAGGCACGATTGATTAAATCATTGGCCATTGGTGATCACCTCAGCCCCCTCCCCTCCCAGGAGCTTGGCAGGGTGGAGTTGAAAGTTCCAACGCTCAAACCACAGATTGGTTCCCCTGGCAACCAGCCCCTCATCCTGAGGCTATCCAGAAGCCCACCAAGAGATACCGCGTTAGAACAGAAGATGCTCGTAATACTCAGGAAATTTCAAGAGATTCAGGAGCTTCGCGTCAAACACTCCTATCACTCGGGAAATTACAAGGTCTTAGACACTCCGTATCAGGAACCAGGATCAGAGACCAAATATTAGAGTAAAGATTCCCCTAGCACCTCTGTCTACAAGGATTTTAGGAGGTCTGTCTCAGGAACTGGGGGCATTGATCACAATATCAACGACATCCTCCTAAGTTAACTTAGACAGGTTTTGATCCTATTTCTGTTTCTTTCACACTCAAGGTTAACAAGCCTTTGGGAACCTATACCTGTCCCTGCCCTCATCCTCCTTCGGTGCTCATTTGCACCTGCCTTTTTAAGTATACAGACTCATCTTCCTTAGGAAACATTAAAAAATGTCAGTGCATTTTGTGAGGGCCTAATCTACCTCAATAAAATTTCCCTTCTATATTGAGGGTGAGGAAGGATGGCTTTGAATTGCAAATGCTTCATTTTCATTTTTGACTGGATTCTCTGTTGTTTGTAACCTCTCTCTGATGGAGGTGGGAACTCTCTTTCATTATGTGTTACTTAAACCATGAACTTAATTAGAAATTTGATAAAATTAGGACTGGGCGTAGGGGAGTGAGAACCATGTTATAGTTTAGTATCTGCTAAGATTTGCAGTTTTTTCACCTGTAGTAAATAACTCTACTTCCTACTGCCAGGTGCCCAGGCCCCACAAGTGGCCCCAGCCCAGGAACGAATCTCTCAGGCTGCATCAGGATGAATGATGACCCAAGTATGGAAGTGAGTGTTGGACTGGATTTTGGTTTCATTTTCAGTATTACCATATCCTGTTCTTCTTCTATGGGTATTCTTTTTCCCTGTCTTTTTTATTTTTTAAGTATTATGGATATTCTTGTAGCAAGTCTGAGTCTGCTATTCCAAAACTCAGATGCATGAGAAATAGCAACCTTTGAAGTCAAGAAATTAAAATTATTTAATATGAGGGCTTTCTACCCTGTGTTTAGTATGCACTGTGGGTTATAGAACCAAAAAGAGATTTCAATGAAGTGAGCTAAACTTTTTGTTTGAGAGGCAGGCTGGTTTGGGACTTAAATTCACGAATGACTGTAAGAAGCCTCAGATCCCATTGATTCTCCAAGAATTGAGGTCGAGGCTGGATAATCTTTGAGGGGCTGGTACCCTTTGTCAAAGACCACAAAGCACGGCCATGCCCATGGAGAGTAGTAAGGTATTAATTGGCAAAGTTAGGTGCTAATGCCACTTTTCTACCCAAGAAGAGAATAATGCTAAATGACCTGAGAAGGTCACTTAGGTCACTGTCTCTATCATTGAGATGTGGTTGGAATGCCTTCCACAGTCTGCACCCTGAGCCTCGTGATCTTCTCAATCAAACAGAGCAGGCAGTTCTGTTTCAGGATCTGGCAGTCCATCATTCTTCTTTCTTTTACATTTTAATTGAGATATAATTCACCCACCAGACAATTCATTAATTTAAATTATTCACTTAAATGACTTTCAGTATATTCACAGAGTTGTACAACCATCACCACAATCGGTCTTAGAATACTTTGATCACCCCAGAAATAAACTGCGTACCCATTGGTAGTCTCTCCCTATTTCCTCCTGTCCCCAACCCCCAGCTGGAGGCAACCACTAATCTACTTTCTGTCCTATAGATTTGCCTATTCTGGACATCTCATATAAATGGATTCATACAATATATGGCCTTCTGTGCCCAGCTTCTTTCAGTTAAGGTTCTCAAGGTTCTCAGCATAAGGTTCTCAAGATTCATCCATGTCATAGCATGATATCAGTACTTCATTCATTTTTATGGCTCAATAATATTCCACTGTATAGATACACACCACATTTTGTTTTTCCATTCATCAGCTGATGGGCATTTGAGTTGTTTTTACTTTTTGGCTATTGCAAGTGATGCTATTATGAGCATCAGTGTATTGGTTTTTGTGTAAACATGTTTTTAATTCTTTTGGGTGTATTCCTGTGGCAGAGTTACTGCATCATATGGTAACTCTATGTTTAATGTTTTTGAGGAACTGCAAAACAGACTTCGAGGGTGGCTATATCCTTTTACATTTCCAACAGCAATGTATGAAGATTCCGGTTTCTCTGTATCCTCATTAAATATTTGCCTATTTTTTATTAAAGCCATCTTTGTGGGTGCAAAGTGATACCTCACTGTATTTTTGATTTGCATTTCTCTCATGATTAATAATGAACATCTTTTCATGTGTTTGTTGGCCATTTGTATAACTTCTTTGGAGACAAGTCTACTCAGATCCTTTGCTCATTTTAAAGATGGGATTATATTTCTTTTCACTATTGAATTGTACAAGTTGTTGTTATTCTTCCTGTTGAGTGGGTATATGGCATTGTTTTTGTTCATAAATACCTGTCTGAGCAGCTAAGAAAAAGGAAATGAATCTATTTTGCTCTTACCTAGAGGCCAAGGTGGGCGGATCACTTGAGGTCAGGAGCTCAAGAACAACCTGGCCAATATGGTGAAACCCCATCTTTACTAAAAATACAAAAATTAGGTGGCGGGCACCTATACTCCCAGCTACTTGGAAGGCTGAGGCAGGAGAATTGCTTGAGCCCAGGAGGCAGAGGTTGCAGTGAGCCGAGATTGCGCCACTGCACTCCAGCCTGGGTAACAGGAAAAGACTCCATCTCAAAAAATAAAAATAAAAATAAATTGAAAATTTTTAAAAATATATCTTGCTCTTACCTAGCAATTCTTATAAAGTTTTAGTAAAGGAAGTTGAACTTGGAAGCTTACAGGATGTTTGGTTATTAGTAATTTCCCTTTTATCTGGCACCGAGTTTACCAAGAAGAAGGAAGAAACAAATATCAGTTGTGTGCCAGGAACTTTGTACAAAAGCATTCCCACATGCCATGTGATTAATCTGCTCCACACTTCTCTGCTTTTTACAAAGGAGGCAACTGAAGTTGAGGGAGTTAAATAACTTGCCCATGATCACTCAATTAATAAATAACAAACCTGGGATTAAAATTCAGATTTGTCCAGCTTCAAAGGATACAGGCCTTTGTCATGGCTACTCTTAGTACACTGAATTTAGACATTTTAATCATAATTACTTAGCATTACCTTGAAAGTATTTTTTTTTTTTTTTGGCTAAGAAATGTACTGCCTTTTATATCTAAAAGGACCTCCATATTGACTCTTATTAGGATATGTGACTGCGTGGTTTTGTCTGTGCTTCACACCCATTAAGAAATAGGAGCTGGGCTGGGCGCAGTGGCACACGCCTGTAATCCCAGCACTTTGGGAGACCGAGGCAGGTGGATCACCTGAGGTCAGGAGTTTGAGACCAGCCTGGCCAATGTAGTGAAACCCAATTTCTACTAAAAAATACAAAAATTAGCCAGGCATGGTGGCAGGCGCCTGTAAAACCAGCTCCTTGGGAGGCTGAGGCAGGAGAATCACTTGAATCCGGAAGGAGGAGGTTGAGTGAGCCGAGATCGTGCCATTGTTCTCCAGCTTGGGCGACAAGAGCGAAACTCCATCTCAAAAGAAAAAAAAAGAAAGAAAAAGAAAAAAAAGAAATAGGTGCTAACAGACATCACAATCGAGCCTCCAGTCACATGCTCCTGTAAGTTCCCTGAAGATTTTCTTGTGTCTTCTGTAGTTTGCAACAGCCCAGGAATTAGTCTGTTGGCTGCACCTTCTGACTGATCCCACCAATTCTCAACCTTCCCATTCCAGGTTTCTGCTCCACTGGAGAATCTCAACAGCCTGGTAACTGTACTCTCTGCCTCTGACCCTTGTCCCTTGAGCAACTCCCCACCTACCATCATTTTATACTCACATTATCTCTTAAGAAAATAGAAAGCTCTCCTTAGAAAACGCTTTTCTAAGCATTGTCATTGGTAATAATTACAGGGAATTAGAGTAAAATATAAGATATAAATTATTTTAAAAACATAATATATGTTTATCATCCCAGTGGACACCCCAGACGATGGGTGTTTTCTTAACTCCTTGTCTCTAAATGATGGATTCTGTCAATCTCTACAGCCTTATAACAAACAACTTGACCTGGTATTGGAGTCCCTCTCTAAACTGGTTGCAGTCTACCTTTTTACCTTTATTTCCCCATTGTTGTGTATGGTTGTGCCTGTACGTCAGCCAAACCAGGTAGCCTATATTGTCAGAATATATCACGCAAACGTGTTTGTGCTGTTTTCTTTGCCCAGAACAATGTATGCTTTTCCATTTATCAAAATTCTATTAGACTGTCAAGCCCCATTTCAAAAACCAATAAAAACTTTTTTTGTGGTAGCATAAAATGTTGACATTCAAGCATCTCCAGTCCTTCTTGAGGTGGAAATCATAATGGATTAAGAGTGGGGAGATGAGGTTTTTCTGTGGGTTGGCCTCTGTGTGAGTCTGGGAAAGTCGTGTTTTCAGGCCTGTTTCCTCATTTCTCAATGATCCAACTCAGAAAAAAACTAAGCTCACTTCCTTCTTTAAGACCCTTGTAATTCTCTGTGCCCCACATTTCTTGTCATCTGTATGCTGGTTTGCATTGTAGTTATTTATTTTCTTATATTTATTTGTGTATTAGGTGATAAAATTGCTGGACAGTACCTTTATTTGGCCATTAACCAATGCGCATGTAGCACCCTGCATAGGATTATATACAGTAGCTGCCCAATAATATTTGTTGAATGCCTATTTATTTAGGTTGTACTCACTACAACGTCTGTTTAAAACACTGAGAGTGAGCACTCAATTAGCTTACTGCTTTCTGACTCATTTCTTGGGCTGGTGCTCCTAAGAACTTGAGATTTACTTTCTGTTCCTTCCCCATATTCACAGAGGAAGCTGTCTTCTAATATCTTTCCCAGAAGGCACAGTGCAATATAAAAGTGAACATCATTATTCATAAGCAGGTCTTTGGGAGAGCAAAGAACGCTAACAAGGTTAATGTCTCAAAAAGAACATCTCAAAGTAAAATAATTTGGAGCCCTGTTTGGGACATTCTTGAGGAAGAAAGAACTTCTTTATTCACCCAATAAATTAGTTTATTTGGGATATTCTGGTGTAGTTAGGAAAGAAGGAAACAAATTATTTCCAGTCCTTATCTTTTGGAGATTCATTCTGAAATATTTACGGATAAAAATGTTATGATGTCTGCCATTTGCTTCAAAACAAGGTTTAGAGGGTGAGAGTTTGAAACAAGATTGGCCATAGGTTGGTAATTGTTGAATCTGCATGACGGATATACCAGGATTCATTAGATTCTTTGTTTTGTCTACTTTTGTATTTATCTGAAATTTTTCCTAGTAATGCTCTAGAATCTTTAGCCACATAGCATAGGCTGTAGAATGAAGCACATCTAGATTGAAGACTGGCTTTATTACTTATTAGCTGTGTGAACTTGGACACATGACCTAACCTGTCTGAATTTGCTGTGTCCCCTGTGAAATAGACATTGATTTTCATAGTTCTTTTGAGGATTCAAATAAACACACACAAATACTTTACATATATACATATATTTCCACATATCTGTATCACTGAGTTCTGGCCTAACCTGTCCATGGAAACAAACCAACTAGGTCATATGTAGAGGCAAGACACTGCCTCTCAATGCCTTGTTTCCCCACTTGCTGATGACTAAGAAGGCCTTTCCTTTCATGGAGTCATTTCCCAACATTTCCAGTGAGTTCCAGAGGTGAATACCAAATATATCCCCATGTTCTTCAGGCCTCACCGACTAGTGGCTTCCATGCAGACTTTTAACCTCTCGAGAAATTGTGGGGCCAAGAAGTTGGTTTCACGACTCATGTCTCTGCAGTTCTTTTGGTTTGTTGTCCACACTGTCCTATGACAACAAAGTTGATTCTTCCTTCTATCTTACTTCAGTCTCAACTCTGACCCCACCAAGATACTCTGTAACATACGCAAAATACCTGAATCATAGTAAAACCTCAAAAAGAAAATTAGCTGGTCATATTTCCCAGAATCAGAATTATCAGCAGCATGAAGGCCAGAGTATATCTTGAAACAAGCCAATGATTTGGAGATGAATTTCTCTGTTTTTCTTTTGGCTGTTAAAAAAATTACATATACCAAATATTAAGTGTCTTGTCTCTCTTTGCGTTATCCTTCATGTTATTACATGCTTTTGTCTAAGATGTACTATCACTGGGAGGCGGTGATTTATTAAGGCCAAGAACAGGATCAATTTAAAAATATCTCAGAAGATTTTCTGGCTATTGTCTGTCCTGTTCTTCCAAGTTGTATGTGGGTGCAGCATTAATAACCTTGGAGAATAAATAACATTGCCAGTTGCAAAATTGGAACATGTAGAAGTTGACTGATAACTATATTATAAATGAACCTGAAAGTGGTGGGTGTAACCTGTAGATCTGAGGGTGTGGTATACCTTTAGTTAGAAAGAGAAAAAATAAATGCAAACCTATAAGCAAATTTAGCTTTGTTTAGGTTCCAGTAGTTCTAATCTTTTAAAATTCAACTTAGCATTGTTCCTCTTTTTGGAACATTTAAACAGACGCTGAGTCAAGTCAGAAGTAAGTCTAATAGACTCTTTGTTAAGTTATTTTTTTGTTCTCAGAAAATCACGTTTATTTAAGTATCAGTTATCTAAAATGGGTCAAATAGTAAACATTACATTGGAACCATAAATATTTATTAGTAGAAGGTTTCTGATCACAAAATCTGTAGTTTAGTATTTCATATAAAAGAGCAAAAATAAAATAATCCTGGGATATTAGGCCAATTAATCTTAAAAGTTATTTTTTATTGTTCATGTTGTTCAATCTAAATATTGAAATAATATTGCTGTGTGTGTGTATGCGTGTGTGTGTGTGTGTGTGTGTGTGTGTGTGTGTGTATGTGTGTCTCCTGTGTTTGCTGACCCAGCCCATGGGAGAATCTGTTTCATTTTTTCCATGAGTACTTTTGCTACCCCACCCTACATTAGACTCTTGCTGTCAAAAGCAAATGGGCTGGACCATGGATTTTTCATGTAAATGTTATGCAGGTTAATATTTGAATGGCTTGGACAGAAAGAGCATTCTCCCTGCTCTGTGCTATCGGCATGTGTTAGATTCATTGACTTGAGCCAATCTTCTACATGTAAGTGAATCTCTCATCTGAACTTTCTTTTTCTTATTCTTTATTTTCCTTGATTTTAAATTATATCTAGTAGATTATCTTTCTCATGATCTGTCCAGGTGTCACAGTTGGTGCGTGCTGGTTATGTTCTGCTGTGGGCCTGGTTTGCTGGTTTAAATAGAGGTGGCTTTAGAAGCTAGAAGAAAAGAGCCCAAATGTGGAAAGTTTTTGCCCCAACCCCTTGAGGGTTTCATCTCCAGCTTTCATGAACTGTTGTCCTAAATTTGAAACCAGATCAAAAAAAAAATCTTCTTTACTCTAGTTAGTCTCACAAGAAGAAAAAAAAATTGTCATTAGACCAAACTTGTGAAAACTTAGGATTGGGATATGTTGTATATTGGGTTGTTTTCTGATTACTGACTTTTACAAAGATGAGTGCTTTGAGAATAACATCCAGTTGCTTACCTTGCTACTGTTCCACAACAAGGTAGTATTAAATGGCTACTAAACATAGGCAATTTCTCCAAAATCACATAATTATTTGTTTAATCAATAAATATTTTGTATTTATTGAAAGACTTCTAACTACAATGTTTCATATCTAACGTATAGGGCAAAAGAAGGCCTTACACAGAGCATTAGGGCAAATGAGACTGATATGTAACATAATGGAGGCAAACTGTATTTTTACTGTATTTATTACTTTGGCTTTAAATACTAATTAGACCTTTTTTTGAAAAGGTTTGCAGAAATGATGTACTCTCTTTTCCCCAAACTGGAAACTGGCATAATGGAATAGAAAATAAGAACTGCATTCTCTTTCATATTTCTTAAATATGAATACCCATGATCTTGACAGGTACAAAATGAAGGCTTTTCTGACAAGTGTGTAGTGTTTTTTAGTTATAGTGCAATAATAAATGTTATTTCATGCTACAGATAGTAACAATGTGTTTATATGTGTTAGGATATTATACTTTATTATTATTAAGAAATCAATTCTTATTGATTTTTATGAAGGGTTACACTCAATAAAACTGAAGGATATTTAATTTTCTCCTTTTTTTATAGCTTCCTTTCTTTTGTTTTCTTTCTTTCTTTTCATTTTTTTTAAAGCAGGGTCTTGCCCTGTCACCCAGGCTGGGGTGCAGTGGTATGATCACAGCTCACTGCAACCTTAACCACCTGGGCTCAAGCAATCCTCCCATCTCACCCTCCCAAGTAGCTGCAATCGCAGGTGTACACCACTGTGCCCTGCTCATTTTTTAGTAGAGATGGGGTATTGTCATGTTGCTCATGTTGGTCTCAAACTCCTGGCCACAAACAGTCCTTCCACTGCAGCCTTCCAAAGTGTTGAGATTGCAGGCGTGTGCCACCGTGCCTTGTTCATTTCATATATATATGATATATATATGAAATATATATATGATATATATGAAATATATATGATATATATATGAAATATATATATGATATATATATGAAATATATATGAAATATATATGATATATATATGAAATATATATGATATATATGATATATATATGATATATATATGAAATATATATATGATATATATGATATATATGAAATATATATATGATATATATATGAAATATATATACACATAATAGTATAGTTAAATAAACATAAAAATTACTAATATAATTTATTTAAATATTTTAAAATAGGGCCATTATCACGTAACTACAATTTAAGGTACAGTTTCTCTTTAAAATTGAATTCAGATATCCCCACGCTGTTAATTCTGCCCTGTGCATATTACTTTCCTCTGTGGCATGCTGCTTATAAATTGTAGAGTAGGATTTGTATTATATATTTCTCTCCATGCTTGGCCTACGGGCTTCTTCAGGATAAGAACTGTGTGTTTATATATAATCTTTAGCCCTTGTCCCTGTTCCTAGCACAAAGTGGGCTTTGGATGAAAGTTTGTTGAATTAAATTAAACTGGTGTCATGAGGGGTTTCAGTCATGTATGAACTGACCCAAAGTCACTTAAGGCAGAAACAAAATGAAGTAAAAAAGAGAAAAAGTTGACCAACATCATTGATGCAGAAGTAGGTATAAATCCTCGCTTTGCAAGTTCGATTGTAGATTTTTCTAAACATTTGAGGTGAACATCTTACAAGTCTACATTAAAAATCATCAACCAGTCTAAGACAATAATTGGGAAGTCTTTTCCTCTCCAATAGCCTAGGTTAGGGTATGCCCAAGTTGGTTTTGTTTACAGTGGAGAAGACACTGTATTTAGTTCGATATGTGTTTGAAAGCTGACTCCACCATTCTGACTGGTCTTGGGAAATTACCTTATTAACTGGCCTTCATTTCATTACCTGTAATAAGTAAATCTTTTCTTGCTAAAATCTGCTAAGGTTGTTGGGAGAATTAAATGAGATGATATATTAAAGGGCTCTTGTAAATTTTAATGTACTAAACATATATAAGCTACTATCATTGTACTGGATAAATACAAATTCAGCAAACCCTTAGTAAACCTGTACTTTACTTGTCTGTGACTATGGGAGATACTTTCTGGGACTGATTCTAAATACTGTGTTTGATATACAATATTCCCCCATGGGAACCTATTGTTGGTTGTGACAGTTAGTAAGTTCTGATTATGGAATAACTAAATGCCTTCTTTTTACTTTGTGTAGGTTTTCCATATGTCTGAATGATTTCAGTTTTATTGAATTTTAATTTATTTTTCTAAACTAAATCAAATAATTAAAATAATATACTAGAAAAGCTTGTTATTAGAAATGAAACTATGTTCTCACTGTATTTTTTGAAAAAGAAAGTTGTACAACTTTAATGCCCTAAAGTTACCCCCAAAATAGGAATTCCTTGTAGAAATTAAGAGGTTCATAGAAACTTTCAAACACTTGCCCTGGCAGGCTGGGACTATAATTTTGTTAAGCTCTTTTTGAGAATCAAGTAATAGGTGCTAACTTAGATGTAATCCTTCAGATCTCTCAGATATGGATTAAGTTTGAAATGCATGATTTTTCTAGCTAGAAAACTAAGAGCAATTTTAAAATTACCAGGTCAGAAATTTTAGGTTGAGTGCTATTCCCACACATAGAAATGTTGTTTCATGCCCTTGTAGAATTTTCTGTTTAAAGAAAACTTGACTTAAGCGTATGAAATAAACCCTATCTGCCATTTGAGTTTAGAATTTGTTTTGCCCAAAATTTTTATCAGATTTTTTTAAATATCAGACTTGTAAATATACTTAATATTGGATTTTTGGGTAAGTGCAGCTTTGAGGAAGTGTGTATATCCATCTGCCCTATACCATCCCATTCCCATATCCTTTCCAAAAGAGCTGAGTAAATATGGGTTCATTTAGAATTGTATGAAAATGTTTGCTTAAAACAACCTCTTTGGAATGGAAAATGTCAAATTGTTGAACTTATGTCTCCTTTCTTTTTCCTTAAGGAGAATGGTGTTGAACGCGTGTGTCCTGAGAGCCTGCTGCAGTCCAGGTTTGCTTGTTTGTGTTGTGTGTGTGAATTTGTATGCATATTTAGTTGGTTTTAAGAGAATTATTTGGACCTGACATTCCAAAACATGTTTGCTATCTTTTTGGCAGGGAATATTCCTCACTACCATTACCCAGACACACTTCATCGACAGACGGTACTATAACTTCAAGTGGTAAGTGGATTTGGAAATAATATTAAAATAGACTGTTAGTATTACAGCTTTCAGCCTGATGTTCTGTGACCTGCTGGGGTGTGAGCAAATGAGAAGAACATAGGCAAATACTCCTTTTGCATAGTATAGTTAAATACACTATATATAATATTATGTGCATAGTATTCGCACCATTTGTTTCTCCTGTTGACAGATCCTGGATTAGAAATTCTGAATATGGCTTCTTGTGACCTTGACAGAAACTCGCTCTGTAAGAAAGAGGAGGATACAAGATCAGCTTCTCCCACGATAGAGGCCCAAGGTAAAATGTTGACAGGTGTAAGCATGATTTTAATTCTAAAACACGAAGCAAGTCTATAAGCTAGTGAAGTAACTATCCACACTAGCTCAATAATGTTATTTAATTTTTTTTGTAAAATAATTCTTATAAAACAATTTTGAAGATATAGTCTGCAGAAAAGAAATCCAAGTGGTAACTAACCATGGCCTTTCACACATAAGGATGGTATCAATTTTTTTCGATTTTGTAGCCAGAACAAAAATTATGATATATTGTAATGGGACAAATATTTCCTATGGCAAAGATTGACTGGAATTTACTGGGTTTCAACTGTAGCACAGAAGTGACATCATCTGCTTAGGAAATTCTTGGAATCCTAGTTCGAATTTATCAGGTTAGAACGATGGAGCAATTAGCAATGGTCCACCCAGAGGCAACAGAACTAACCAGTTGGTTTGTTAGGTCCTTTTCTGCTACTTGACTCTGAAAACAATGTAGTTATTCTCGACCATTCCCAGTGAGACACCACTTTAGTTGACATTCATGGGAGGAATAGGCTCTAATTCCCATAAAAAAAAATCAATCAAGGAAAATTCATTCTTTTTCTTTTATCTTTTTTTTTTTTTTGAGACGGAGTCTCGTTGTGTCGCCCAGGCTGCAGTGCAGTGGCATGATCTCAGCTCACTACAAGCTCCGCCTCCCGGGTTCACACCATTCTCCTGCCTCAGCCTCCCGAGTAGCTGGGACTACAGGTGCCCGCCACCACGCCCATCTAATTTTTTTGTATTTTTAGTAGAGACGGAGTTTCACCGTGTTAGCCAGGATGGTCTCGATCTCCTGACCTCGTGATCCACCCTCCTTGGCCTCCCAAAATGTTGGGATTACAGGTGTGAGCCACCGCGCCTGGCCAAGGAAAATACATTCTATCGTTTTAACTCGACGTTTAAGTTTGAGATAGAGGTGCTAAAATAGAATAGCCACAAAATTGCAGAAATGGAATCCATTTCATGGGTTAATTACAGAATGTCTTTATACTCCACCTTATGTCTAATAAGTAAATCTTTTAATTAAAAATACACCAAGGTTCCATTTGTTACCTATCATATAGACAAAGAGGCACAAATTTGATTACACTCTGTTGGTAAAGTTGTAAGAACAAAAGAAAAGTGCTGTAGGGAATCTAACTTTTTGTAAATATAGTAGTCCCCTTTTATTCACTGGGGCTACATTCCAAGACCGCCAGTGGATTCCCAAAACTGATAGTGCCAAATCCTATACACACTATGTTTTTGGCTATATAGACATACCTACGATAAGTTTAATTTATTAATTAGATATTTACAGCAATAACTAGTAATAAAATAGAACAATTTTGACAACATATTGTAATAAAACTTATGTGAATGTGGTCTCTCTCTCTCTCAAAATATATTATTGTGGCTGGGCGTGGTGGCTCACGCCTGTAATCCCAGCACTTTGGGAGGCTGAGGCAGGCAGATCACGAGGTCAGAAGATCGAGGGACCATCCTGACTAACACGGTGGAACCCCGTCTCTACTAAAAATACAAAAAATTAGCCAGGCGTGGTGGCGGGCACCTGTAGTCCCAGCTACTCGGGAGGCTGAGGCAGGAGAATGGCGTGAACCCGGGAGGCGGAGCTTGCAGTGAGCTGAGATTGCACCACTGCACTCCAGCCTGGGCAACAGAGCAAGACTCCGTCTCAAATATATACAATTGTATGTAATATTTTCAGACCATGGTTGACAGCAGGTAACTGAAACCATGGAAAGTGAAACCTTGGATAAGGGAGGGCTACTATAATGTGGAGAGAAATGTTCTAATATCTATCAAAATGTTGAATGTATATATCCTCTGATACAACTATTCATTTTCTAGGAATTTATCCTATAGATAATATGCACACACATCCCAAATAACATATGCAAATGCTTATATATTGCAGCATTGTCTGTAATAACAAAATATTAGATTTTGGCATATCCATGTAATAGAATACTAATATGCAGGCATAAAACATAAATAAGGAGACTTTTTTCTTACAATAACATAAAAGGACTACTGTTTCTTGGGGGAAAAAAGTACAGAATGTTAAGTATAGTGTACACAATTTTGTGAAAAAAAGGACAGAAAAAGTTGGTTTTTGGTGCACATGGGGACGGTCTTACTCTGTTGCCCAGGCTGGAGTGCAGTGTTACAATCATAGCTCACTGCAGCCTCAAACTCCTGGGCTCACATGATCCTCCTGTCCCAGGTTCCTCAGTAGTTGGGACTACGGGTGCAAGCCACCACATTTGACTAATTAAAAAAAAATTGTGAAGATGGGGTCTCACTATGTTTCCTAGGCTGGTCTCAAAGAAAAAGTTTTTATGTATGCATGAAATATCCCTGGAAAGCTAGACAAAATTTAATAACATTGTGTCTAGGGAGATAAACTGGATTTCTGGAAGTCATGGATGGGAGGAAAAATTTTCACTGTAAAACATTTTTACGCTTTTTGATTTATGAACCATATGAATCTACTACTTGTCCTAAAATTTTTTAAAAACTAAAGTAAGGGCTAGGCACGGTGCACATGCCTATAATTCCAGCACTTTGGGAGGCTGAGGCAGCAGGATTGCTTGAACTCAAGAGTTCAAGACCAGCCTGGGCAACATAGTGAAACCCCGTCTCTGCAAAAAAATACAAAAATTAGCTGGGCATGGTGGTGCATGCCTGCAGTCCCAGACACTTGGGAGGCTGAGGGGGTAGGATCACTTGAGCCTGGGAGGCGGAGGTTGCAGTGAGCTGAGACTGCGCCACTGCCCTCCAGCCTGGGTGGCAGAGTGAGACCCTGTCTCAAAAAAAAAACAAAAAACAAAAACAAACAAAACAAAACAAAACAAAAAACCTAAAATAAAATTTTCATAAGGAAAAAATTGTATAGCTGTGAAGAAATTGCTTACCATTTTGTTCTTATTTCCATATAAATTTTACAAATATAATACACGCTTTAAATATTTTTCTCTTAAAAAGGAAGAAACAAAACCTGCCTGTATCTGCTGACCTTTGTGCCTGCACTGAACTAAATGTAGGACAATGGACTGAGTAAACAGGAGAATAATTATCCGGTACATTTCAGTACAAATAAAGTACATAAAAATAAACAGAAATTACCAAAAGGAATGGCACAAGTTAAAAATGCATCTTTTCCTCTTGGTTTCATGACATTTAATTTAGAAAGCTACCATGTTTTAGAAGGATATCATATTTTTTGTTATCAGCCTTGCAAATACAATATTGAAAGAAAATTTGTTAAGCTATTAAAAAAGCTACTAAGTTACCAATTGTTCATCCTTCCGCCCTCCACTTTCTATTATTGTACCAGTCATGTGTTCCATTAAAAAAAGCAGCAGCAGCCTAAAAAATGATTTTTAAAAAATCCTATTAGAAGGCCATTTGTACAGATGTTCACTTCTTTTAAGAAATCTTTTACGGCCTTAGCTGCTCCATCCTAATTCTGAGTCAATGGGCACGTATACATTTTTTGTAGTTCATAATTTGTCTCATATGTTAAGACCTTTGTCAGTTACTGGTCAGCCCATATTGCCACTCTCACTGTTTCCTCCTCTTTTACTTGCTCCTGCCCCCCTAACTGCTTTGTGTGTTTCCTGTTTCTCACAGGCACAAGTCCAGCTCATGATAATATTGCATTCCAAGACTCTACGAGTAAGGATAAAACCATATTAAATCTGGTAAGGAAATACGTATGTTCACAACAAAGGTGGTGGTATCTTACAATGGTAGAACTATCCCTCTAAAAAGTAGTCTTAAAAGTATTATCTCATTTATCCTTTCAAAATATTATGACGTTCATATAATTTAATTAATATTTTATAGGCAAAGTAGTTGAGGCCAAAGTGTTTTTGTGACTTGTCTAAAGTCACACAACAGGATCAGAACTAGGATCTCCTAGCTCCACCTTAATTTATTGTTCATTCATTCATTTGCTCACTCATTTATTCATCAAAAGTCAATTGGAAACAAGCTAAATATTTCTCAGTAGAGGACTGCTTAAATAAATGAATGCATTAATAAATGAAGTTGAATAAAACGGTGGTATCTATCCTAACGATATGTTCTAATCAGGTGAAGAAACAGATAATCACTGAATAATTAGAGTGTGCTTAGTGCTTTGAAAGAAAAAATGCTTGAGATGGCAGGCCAGAAAACATGTCACGGAGGAAGTACCATGTTAATGGCATTGAAAGTTTTACAGTTGCATGGTAAAGCTCTATAAACATAAGGAGAGCTGGAAATGATTAGAGAAAAGAGTTAAATTCCTTCCTTAAAGAGAAAATTCATTAGGCCCAGAGTGGTGGCTCATGCCTGTAATCCCAGCACTTTGAGAGATCGAGGTGGAAGGATTGCTTGAGCCTAAGAGTTTAAGGCCAGCCTGGATAACATAGGGAGACCCTGTTTCTACAAAATATAAAAACAAATCTGCCGGGTATGGTGGTGCTTGACTGTTGTCTCAGTTATATAGGAGGGCAAGGCAGACAGATCACTTGAGCCCAGGAGTTTGAGGCTGCAGTGAGCAATGAGCATGCCACTGCACTCCAACCTGAGCAACAGAGCAAGACCCTGTCTCAAAAAGAAAAAAAAGAGAGAGAGAGAGAAGACTCATTTCCACTTCTATGAATTAATAATCATTAAAGAGTAACTACAGGTCTAATTTCATGATTCTTCAAGGGTCTTGCTTATGTCTTGCTTATGTCTTGCTATGTTGTATGCATGGAGGGGTGTGTGTGTGTGTGTGTGTGTGTGTGTATTATTGTTTTTTTCTTCTCAATATACAAGCATTGTTCTAGTTAAGCATTTGGTTGCAAGAAACAGAGACCCATGCAAGCTAACTCAAGTTAAGAGGAGGCCATGGCACAGACTTGGGGCAAAAAAGTAGATGAAAATTTTTCAGCATTTCATTCTAAAGATAGTGAAATGATTGGATTTGTGATTTGGAACAATGACATGATGTCATTCGTTTCCTTTGTTATCCAGAGGCGATTGATTCCAAGAACCCCACAGATACCAAAATCAGAGAATGCTCAAGTCTCTTATATAAAAATTGCATAGTATTTGCATATAACCTAATGAAACGGGAGAGTTCCCTGATTCCCCTTGCAGGACATGCAGCAGTGGTGTGTCTCACCTGCTTAGTCACCCCATAGTTCAAGCCCCTAGGGGGAACATGCAGACCAGCAGCTGCAGAGGCCAGGGCAAGCGCTTTTGGGCTCTGCCCCCTGGCAGCATCTAGGGGTCAGTGTCTGTGATTCCCAAAGTCCAAGTGAGTGTGTGTTACAAAGCTCTTTCAGATTTGCCATCTGCAGACAGCTTGTGTGTTAATTAGCTC
Organism: Homo sapiens; assembly: GCF_000001405.40. Taxonomy (NCBI): domain Eukaryota; kingdom Metazoa; phylum Chordata; class Mammalia; order Primates; family Hominidae; genus Homo; species Homo sapiens. The sequence continues at coordinate 25,085,149 of NC_000012.12, forward strand.
AATGGACCCTCAGCCTTATCACAAGGGCAGAGGGCCAGTGTGACAGCTTTCTGTATCCTGAGCTGTCGCTCAGTGTCCCAAAAGAATCAGATCACACGTGAGCTGGAAGGATGAGTGCAAGGTTTTACTGAGTGGTGGAGGTGGCTCTCAGTAAGATGGATGCGGAGCCAGAAGGGGGGATGGAGTGGGAAGGTGGTATGGAATGGGAAGGGGGTATTCCCCTGGAGTCAGGCTGCCCAGAGGCCATACTCTTCTCCAACTGCCCCAGGCTAAACTCCCCTTGGCATCCAGACATCCCCCCTCTTCTCTCTTTCTCTGCCATGTCATTCCACTATTGTCAGTCTGCCAGTCTGCTGGTCTGCCAGTGTTGTGTGCTCACTTCAGCTGCTTGTGTTGTGTGCCCACTAAGGTCTCGGGTTTATGTTGGCACAGGATGAGGGGCATGGTAGGCCAGAGTGGTCTTGGAAAATACAACATTCAGACACAAAAACAGGAGTGCCTGTTCTCACTTAGGTCTGCAGGCACAGGCCTGAGGGTGGAGCCCTCACTGGGGACCCCGCCTTTCTCTATCCAGCACTTCCCTGCCCACCTCCCATATCACTAACACATCCTCTTATATACTTTAAATCATCTCTAGACTGCTTATGATACCTAATACAGTATAAATGCTATGTAAATAGTTATAATGACAAGAAAGGAAATCTGCGTGTGTTCAGTACAGATACAACCATTGTAGGCCTAACTACATTTTTTTTAGTTAAATCCATAGATGCAAACCCACAAATACAGAGGGCCAGCTGTATAGGTAGGATATAGTGTTGGCTAGCACATATGCTGAAAATGGTTGCTCCTAGTAAAAAATGAACAGAAGAAAACTCAAGTCCTTTACTCTTTCATAGTAGAATCTTCTGAGAGAATAAAATTCCTTCTCATCTCAAAAAAAATATAGACATAAAGACACTTTTTAAAATAATGGATCAATTTGCCATTGGAAGTTGTGGGACTGGTTAGGATACTATGGCAATAATTCAGATGAGATGAAGGTAGTATGAATTTAGTGAAGGTGGAGAAAAGGAGATAAATTTGAGAAATATTTAGGGGTAGAATTCACAGAGGATGATGACATGTCACGGGTATGGGAAACGGTAGATACCCAGGCTTATGGCTTAACCTACCGAATGAATAGAATAACATGACAGTAGGGAAGGAGGAAGGAGAGTAGAATTTGTGGGGTAAAATAAGATCAGTTTGAGACAAGTCAAATTTCAGGCTGATCTGAGACATTGATAGTCGGTAAGGAGATTTTATATACGGCTGCATACCCATATTCATAAACTCACCTGTGCGGTTTTTGAAAGCTGACATATATTTGTGAATTATCAGCAAAAATCCAAGTGTGTGGATGAGATTTCCCAAGGACTGTGGCAGGAAGGAAGGGAGCATTGAGGATAATGGAATCCTGGCTAACAATATCTACTAGAGAAGGCAGAGGAGACTGAGAACGGGCTGTGACGCGGGGCTGGGGCATCAGAACAGGGAAATCAAGGGGAAAAAATCTTCAAGAGGAAAGGATGTATAGATAATTTTAGATGCTATAGTAAGGTCAAGTAAGATAAAGACTGAAAATTATCCACTGGATTTGGCAATAGGGAGTTGATAGCTGGTGAGAACACTTTTCTTGGAGTGCTGTGTAAAGGGGTAGAGTAGTTAATTGATCACGAATGGGAGAGGAAGAGCTAGAAACAGCAGCCACACACAACTCCTTATGTGACCTTAAAACATATCTATATGCGGTAAAAGCCTAACATAACACTGTCTTAGCAGCCATCTTTGTCACAATTTCTCCAAAAACCTATCTAGAAAACTCCATGTGATAGCCCTATATCACCCACACCTTACCTTTTCATCTATCCAGTCCTACCTCTTCATCAAACTTCAGCATGTTTCTTGTCTGCAGAAATTCCATGCTACTCAAGTCATGGTGTCATGGTGCCACTCTCCTTCCTTTTTTTTTTTTTTTTTTTTTTTTTTTTTGTTGAGACAGAGCCTTGCACTGCTGCCTAGCTTGGAGTGCAGTGGCATGATCTCGGTTCACTGCAACCTCTGCCTCCCCAGTTCAAGTGATTCTCCTGCCTCAGCCTTCAGAGTAGCTTGGATTATAGGCCTGCACCACCACCCCTGGCTAATTTTTGTATTTTTAGTAGAGACGGGGTTTTGCCATGTTGGCCAGGCTGGTCTTGAACTCCTGACCTCAGGTGATCCACCCACCTCAGCCTCCCAAAGTGTTGAGATTACAGGCGTGAGCCACAGCGCCCTGCCATTTCCTTCCTATTAAGAGCACTTGTTTATCTATCTCATTTATTTGGCAATTAATCCTAGTTTGCATTGTTGTAATTCACATCATGTTTGCATCTTTTCATGTATTTACGCCCTTTTTGCTTCAACTAGATTGGAAGCGCCCTTGCAGCCAATTTTATTTCCTTCTTAACAGCATTAAAAACTGTAGAGCAGGGGTCCCCAGTCGCTGCTGAGCCAGGGATCAGAACCCATTCGAGGCTGTTAGGAATTGCGCCGCACAGCAGGAGGTGAGCGGCAGGCCAGGGAACATGACCACCTGACCTCTGCCTCCTGTCAAATCAGTGGTGGCATTAGATTCCCACGAACCCTATTGTGAACTGTGCAAGCGAGCCATCTAGATTGCATGTTCCTTAGGAGAATAACGCCTGATGATCTGAGGTGGAACAGGTTCCTTCAGAAACTGTTTCCCCCTCACCTCACCCCCGTGGAAAAACTGTCTTCCAGGAAACTGGTCCCTGGTACCAAAAAGGTTGGGGACTGCTGTTATAGAGTGTTTTTGTCAGAGTAGGCTTAGGAGAGGACAGGAAGTAGGAAAATGACTGGTTATGAAGTATTTCCACTCTATGTACAGTGGTAAAATCTTATGATTTTAGGAAGCCAAAGAGGAACCAGAAACAATAGAAGAACATAAAAAAGAACATGCTTCAGGAGGTAAGGAATGTTTCTTTCAATCCCCATGTGAACTTTTGTTCTCTGCTGATATTTTTGTGGGTGAAATCTGTCTGAATAAAGCTATGTCACTTACAAATTCTGCATCTCTGGATAAGGTCAGTCAATAGGACCGATTATTGATTCCATTTGTGTCATTTTCAAAAAGCCACATTTGCATTGTGTTGACTGTGCGATCCCAGAAAACCTGTAATAACTGGTGCTCTATTGTGAACTAAGAACCAAGCGAATGTTGGTAGCAAATGCTATGCTCTACTGTTAGTTCTTTTTTAGTATCCCATCTAAAAGTAAAGCCCCTATTTACAGAATAAGTGCTAATATGCTTTTCCCCTTAGCCTACCTCCATTGGGATGGAATAGTGGATAGAGTTCAGGCTTTGGAGTCATAGAGACTCTACATGGGATCAATCTCTGACTAGCTATTGATCTTGGAAAGTTACTTAACCTTAAGTCTCAATTTTCTCATTTGCAAGAGGAAAATGAAAAGAAGAAAAGTACACTTAATTGAGAATATATTCTATGCTGAGAACTAGGCTAATTTCATGTGCATAGTTTTATTTAGTCCTCCAAATACTATGTGAGGTGGTAAATTGTGATTCAGTTGCCTAGCCTATAAAATGTGGACAATAAAAGTATCTACAACAGAAGGTTTGCTGTGAGGATTGAATAAATTAATATGTATGAAGCACTTAGAAAAGTGGCACCAAAGTTCTCATAAAAGTTAGTTACTATTATAAAAAAATCAATCTTATCTTAGATGATAAGATATCTTTATCTTATCAATCTTATCTTAGATGGCTTAATGACTTTGTGACTTGTTCAAGCTCACATAACTGTAAGATTCAAACAAAGCTCAGACTTAAACCAAGTTTGTTTGACTTTAAATCCAATGCTCTTAATAACTAATACATAGTCCTTGGTAAAGTTGTCATAAAATCATATGTGTAAAATGCTTTGCTCTGTGATTGGCAATATAATAAAGCCATGGTTGATGCCATGTTTATTGTCACTGTTATTGTTACCAGTATTATTATTACTACTATTATTATTACTACTACTGTTCCTGCTACTGCTAATAAAGCCTTGATCCAAAGAAGAACCAGGATACCAGTAGGAGGTTTAGGCTTTTAGCCATGGGATCAAGTATAGCAAACATGCAAATGCAAAGAGAACAAATTGGGCTGTTGCTTGATTCTGAGACATCTTTAAGTATGAAAGACTATTCACATGCTGAGGTATAAACAAATGATTGTAATGGCATTGTGATCCCAATAGCTTAGCATAACATTATAATTTAAGTGCATACATTATTAGCTGGCGATCATCTCAGACATATTTAAATGAAATACTTTTGTTTAGTGGAGATATAACATTAGATCAAATGTGCTTTTACAGGTCAAGCCTTTTTAACCAAATAATATTTTATTATATTTTAATAGACTCTGTGGTTTCCCCTCTTCCTGTAACCACTGTGAAATCGGTTAACCTTAGACAAAGTGAGAAGTAAGTGCTTCTTCATGTAGCATGTTAACATGTTTTATTTTTCTGTTGGATTATGTTTAAATATGTTTTTTGTCTTATCCTACAGCACTTCTGCTAATGAGAAGGAGGTGGAGGTGAGTTTAAAGCAAATTTTTTTTCCTTTTAAAAAAGTGTTCCAGACTCACCTGCTACAGTCACTTCATGTTTTGGCACAAGCTCTCATATGCTCGGTGTCTGTTTGGCTTGGCTGTGACTCAGTGCAGGTGAACCCTGTGCATGTCAGCATTATGTTGCTGGGGGGAGAAAGAAATGCCTCAGTATAAAACAGTATTAAACTGAAACATCTGACCACATCCGGTTTTCTCTCCTCTTCCTCACCCTCACATTATTTTGACAACAGGCAGAATTTCTCAGATTATCTTTGGGATTTAAGTGTGACTGGTTTACCTTGGAGAAGAGAGTGAAGCTTGAAGAGAGGTCCCGTGACTTGGCAGAAGAAAATTTGAAGAAAGAAATCACTAACTGTTTAAAACTATTAGAGGTGAGAATCAGAACATTTGGGATATAAACATTTGGTCTAGCCAGGCACAGTGGCTCACACCTATAATCCCTGCACTTTGGGAGGCCAAGGCAGGAGGATCATGGGAGACCAAGGCAGGAGGATCACTTGAGGCCCGGAGTTCAAGATCATCCTGGGCAACATAGTGGGACCCCATCTCTACCAAAAAAAAAAAAAAAATCAGCCAGGTGTGATGATGTGTGCCTGTAGTCCCAGCTACTTGGGAGGCTGAGGCAGGAGGATCATTTGAGCCCAGGAGTTGGAGATTGCAGGGAGCTATAATCACACCATTGCATACCAGCTTGGGTGACAGAGTGAGACCCTGTCTCAAAAACAAAACAAAAAACACCCACAGAAAACATTTGGTCATATTTTCAATAACACTTTCATAATTACATATGAAATTACTTGTATGACCCAAACCAGTACCAGGTGCCAAGCTCTGCCTGACCCAAATGTGAATCATAGAAAGTAAGAATGCAGGATCAGGCTGAAATAAAAGTTTCACTAATAGGAGAGTATCAGCTATAAAATGAAAAATGTCTTTTTAAAGTAGGTTGCATGAGTCATCTGCCTTTTCTCTGGATTTTCAAATTTCAGGCAGAAAAGGAATCATACAGAAAACTGAGCAATAGGAAATATCAATTTTAAGCTTCAAAGAAGAGAATCGAGTCTATTTCCATTTATGATTAACTGAGGAAAGAGAATGGTAACTGATTCAGTCTTGCAGATGATGGGCAAGCCTGCTGTAGGGTACTGAGAGAAGAATGGGGGTGCAGAGGAGTGTAACAACTACTATTATCCTTCCATATGGTGAAGTTACCATACATTTAGAGATGAGCTGGAAAATTAGTAGGCTTAGTTTTGGATGAAGGACATTAAAATTGAGAAACCATGGAAAAGAATCACGTTATTTTTTACCGTGATAAAATATGTAACATAAAATTTATCATCTTGAACATCTTCAAGTGCACAGTTCAATGTAAGTTTATTTACATTGTTGCAAAACAGATCTTGAAACTCTGTACCTGTTAATTTCCCTTTTCCTCCTTACCCCATCCCCTGGTAACCATTATCCTACTGACTCTATGAATTTGACAACTTTAGGGACTTTGCATAAGTGGATTCATACAGTACTTGTCTTTTGTAACTGGCTTATTTCACTTAGCATAATGTCTTCAAGGCTTATCCATATTATAGCATGTGAGCGGATTGCCTTCTTTTTAAGGCTCAATAAAATTCTCTTGTAGCTATCAATTTTTGCTTATCTATTCATACATCGATGGGCATTTGGGTTGCATCCACTTCTTGGCTATTGTGAATAGTGCTGTTAGAAACGTAGGTGTATAAATATCTCTTGGAGACCCTTGGAGACCTTGCTTACAGTTCTTTTGATTATATCTAGACTCAGGAGTGGGCTTGCTAGGTCATATAGTAATTATATTTTTAATTTTTTAGAAACCACTGTACTGTTTTTCATAGCAGCTATATCATTTTAGATTGTTACCAACGGTGCACAAAGGTTCCAATTTCTCCAAATCTTCACCAACACTTGTTATTTTCTGTTTGATTTTATGATAGCCACCCTAATGGATGTGAGGTGGTATCTTATTGTGGTTTGGTTTGTATTTCTCTAATGGATAATGATATTGTGCATCTTTTCATGTGCTTGCTGGCCATTTGTACATCATCTTTGGAAAAATGTCTATTAAAGTCCCTTTCTATTTTCTTTGCAGAAAAAAATTTTATTTATAAAAGTACAGTTTCAGGGCTGGGCACAGTGGCTCACTCCTGTAATCCCAACACTTTGGAAGGCTGAGGCAGGCAGATACCTGAGGTCAGGAGTTTGAGACCAGCTGGCCAACATGGCGAAACACCATCTCTACTACAAATACAAAAATTAGCCAGGTGTGGTAGCGGGCGTCTGTAGTCCCAGCTACTTGGGAGGCTGAGGCAGGCAGATCACCTAAAGTCAGGAGTTTGAGACCAGCCTGGCCAACATGGTGAAACACCATCTCTACTAAAAATACAAAAATTAGCCAGGTGTGGTGGTGGGCGCCTGTAGTCCCAGCTACTTGGGAGGCTGAGGCAGGAGAATCGCTTGAACCCGGGAGGCAGAGGTTGCAGTCAGCCAAGATCACACCACTGCACTCCAGCCTGGGCAACAAGAGTGAAACTCCATCTCAAAAAAAAAAAAAAATTAACTGGGCATAGTGGGACACACCTGTAATCTCAGCTACTTGGGAGGCTGAGGCAGGAGAATCGCTTGAACTCAGGAGGTGGAGGGAGCAGTGAGGCGAAATCATGCCATTGCACTCCAGCCTGGGTGACAGAGCAAGACTCTATCTCAAAAAAAAAAAAAAAAAAAAAAAGGACAGTTTCAGAAGGTAACATAGTAGCATAAGAGTAATCTTTCTATAGGCATATTTTAGTAGACTAGTCTCTCATTCCTGGTGGAGGAGCTTCTCTCATTGATGGCTGATATTTTACAGAAGATTTTCAGCTCCCAAAAGTGTTCCTACTTTAAATAACACCTGGAAGGCTGGATGAATCTTATGTTTCCTTTACGTTTGGTTCTTTCTCCTGAACATCTGAATACTTCCGATGGAGTTGTTTTGAATTAGATAAGAAATAGCTGCATTCCTAAGGGAAGACTGTTCTCTCCTTAAGTTCATAATATTTTGTTTGTAGTTGTTTCAGTTGGTGGCTCTAACCAAAGCAGCTCATCCTGGACTTCAGTCAAACGCTGTCATTTCTTTTTGATATCTGAAATTACCTTAGCATTCTTCTTTTTCAGATTTTTCAATATCTGGACTTTTTAAGCATTTTGTTGAGTTCTTCTTTACTAGTACAATAAAATTTATTGATGTGTTTCTTACAAATTTTAGATTCTATTCAATGTTTATACTGGACGAGGTTTTTCTCAAATGCAGGCAAAACAATATTCAATTCCATGATGTCGTTGGTTTTCCTTCCTTCCAGACACCAAATATGCACAATGTTGGAAATATCTGAGTCTATTGCTTCACTTCTTGATTTCTTCCTTTTGCCATAAGATATATTCCCTTTTTTCTGGGTTTTGCTTGACTTTCTGTTGTCAGTGTGTCTTTTTCAACAGATGGCTGGGCATTAATGGGTCCTATGGTTTTGGAAGTGACTGAGTCGGCTGGTTTCTCTGAAAGGGCTGAAGATGCTGTAGTTGGAATAGCCTCGTGTTGTTGGGTCTTTATTTTCTCCACTGACTTAACTTTTCTTCTCACATCACTTTCTTCAGTGCTTTCAGACTCATCGCTGAGTTTGAGTTTTCTTCCTGGCTTTTTGCACTCATTTTTGCAGATTCGTTTTCACTTCCTTCATTTTCAGAAGTGCTCGAGCTTCTTTTTGCTTCTTTTCCTGCAGGAGTTGAAGTGGTAGATAATCCACAATATTTGGAGAATTCTTCATTGGCATACATAGATGAGCTGTGTAAAGGAGGATCAAAGGTTTCATAAGGTTCTTCATCTTTCTCATTTTCACCAAGCCTGCCAATTCTTGAGACGGCAGAATTATTAGGAAAATCAAACACATTGGTAGGCTTGCACTTTTGACCAGCTTTATCTTTCACAGGATGTATTCTTCATAAAATGTTCTTTGAATATCATGGACCTGCATGCCCGGGAGGCTGCACTCAATGTGGCAGGGCCATCAGGCCACTCTCTTTCCATTTTTTAATTGAGTTATTTGGATTTTTAATTGTTGAGTTGCAGGAGTTCTTTATATAGTGTGGATATTAACCCCTTATCAGTCGTATGGTTTGAAAAGATTTTCTCCCATTCTATAGGTTGCCTTTTCTGTTGACTGGGTCCTTTGATGTATAAAGACTTTTAAGTCTGATGTAGTTCCATTTGTCTATTTTCACTTTTGTTGTCTGTGCTCTCGGTGTTATATCCAAGAAACCATTGCCAAAACCCATGTCCTGAAGCTTTTCCCTTATGTTTTCTTCTAGGAGTTTTCTAGTTTGGGGTCTTACTTTTAGGTATTTAATCCATTTTGAGTTAATTTTCATATATGATGTAAGGTAAGGGTCCAATTTCATTCTTTTGCATGTGGATATCGAGTTTTCTCAGCAATATTTTGTTGAAGAGACCATCCTTTCCTCATTGTGGATTCTTGGCACCCTGGTTGAAGATCATTTCATATACATTTATTTCTGGGCTTTTAATTCTATTCCATTGGTCTATATGTCTGTTTTTATGTCAGTACCACACTGTTTTAATTATTGTAGCATTGTAATATGTTTTAAAATTAGGAAGTATGAGTCCTCCTACTTTTTCAAAAGTGTTTTGGCTATTAGGGTCCCTTTAGATTCCATATGAATTTTGGGATAAATTTTTCTATTTCTGCAAAGAAAAAATGCCATTGGGATTTTGATAGAGATGCCCTTGAATCTGTGTATCACTTTGGGTACTATAGAGAGCTTAACAAAATCAGGTCTACCAACCCATGAACACAGGGTGTCTTTCCATTTATTTGTGTCTTGTCTTCTTTAATTTTTTTCAGAAATGTTTTGTGGTTTTCGGTGTACATCTCTTTTATCTCCTTTGTTAGGTTTATTCCTCAGTATTTTATTCATTTTGATGCTATTGTAAAGGGAATGGTTTTCTTAATTTCTTTTTTGGAAATTGTTAGTGTGTAGAAAGACAACTAATTTTTTGTGTTAATTTTGTACCCTACAATTTTGTTGAATGTGTATATTAGTTCTAACAGGTTTTTTTGGTGGAATTTTTAGTGTTTACTATGTATGAGATCATATCATCTACAAACAGAAATGATTTGACTTCTTCCTTTCTGATTTGGATAACTTTTCATTATTTTCCTTGCCTAATTGTTCTGGCTAGAACTTCCAGTATTATGTTGAATAATATTGGTGAGAGTGGGCATCTTTGCCTTGTTCCTGACCTTAAAGGAATAAGCTTTCAGTCTTTCACCACTGAGTATAATCGTAGTAGGGTTTTCATATATAACTTTTATTAGGTTAAGGTAATTTTCTCCTATTTCTATTTTTTTAAATTAGCACTTCAGTGACATAGTAAAAATAATGTGTGGTTTTTTGCATCTTTTTGTTAGTATTCCTAGTTTTTGTGTTTTTTAATCATAAAAGTGTGTTCAATCTTATCACATGCTTCTTCTGCATCAGTTGAAATGACTATATGGTTTTTGTCCTCCTTTTTGTTAATGTGGTATATTATATTGATTGGTTTTCATATGTTAAACCACCCTAACATTATAGAAATAAATCCTACTTGTACATGATGTATAATCCTTTTTATGTACTGTTGAATTCAGTCTAGTAGTATTTTGTTGAGAATGTTTACATTAATATTTATCAGAGATATTGGTCTGTAGTTTTTTTTCTTTAATGTCTTTTTCTGGCTTTGGCATTAAGGTAATGTGGACTTCATAGAATGAGCTTGGAAGTATTCCTCTTCAATTTTTGGGAAGAGTTTTATGAAGATTGGCATTAATTCTTTAAATGGTAGAATTCCCCAGTGAAGCCATTCAGTCATGGATTTTTCTTTATTGGGTGATTTTTGATTACTGATTCAATCTTCTTACTAGTTATAGGTCTGTTCAGATTCTCTGTTTCTTCATGGCTTAATCCTGGTTGACCATACTCTGTTTTGCTAACAATTAACATCTGCTCTTTCCTTCCCAACTGGAGGTGGTGGTTTAAACCACTGTAAGAAACTGCATGTCTGACAATTGCCATCCTAGTTGGTTAGCAACTCTCTAACTACAACTTACACATATCTGTCTGTTTCAAAAGTGGTTATCCTTCATTGAGCACCAAATGTGCAACAGGCAGTTGGCATCTCTTACCTATCATATGACAGTATTTCTGGAGAGGATACGTGATTGTCCCCACTGGACAGATAAGGAACAGCAAATCAGAAAGGTTGATTTTTTTTGAACATTTCTAAAATTATGATGCAATTTACAGTCGGTGGTGCCTAATGGTTTTATTGACAGCCTTTTCTTTCTTAATGATATACAAAATCGTTGTATCTCTTATAATTCATGTTGCTTTAGATTTGGGAAAGTTTTAGAAATTTGCTCACAATCACACAGGTAATGAGCAGTGTCATGTCTGCTTCCAAATCTGTTATTCACTTAATCCTGTCTGTACTCTGGTGAGAAGGATGTTCATCAGGAAGGGCATCATATTGTGTAAAGGGCACAGGATTGAGAGGAAAATTCATAAGGCAATGAATGTATATTCACCTAGCCAGCCCAGTCATACCGTCAGAGACATTTTTAATTCCAATATGTTTGGTTACGTTTCTTAAAATTCCAACCTATGCTCCTTATATGATACATTCACCTCTTTTGTAAGCATAATCTCTTTACCATTACCAATTAATTGCAGCCCATCCTATTAGCTGTAGAAGAAAGATGTGGCAAATTTGGGAAGTAAAGAAAAAAGGGATCAAGAATAGACATAAAAGATTTGTGATCACCTGCGTATATCTACCCAGTACCCAAAAAAGATAATAATATATCAGTATCATTCATTATTGATCTTTGCTGCTTCTTTTCATCTTCCACCGAAATAATTGAGATTAGAATGTCATCCACATTTGCAACTTAGTCAGTGTTAGAATCACTCGCTGAATGCTTGTGTTAGATATCTTTTAATATGCTGTTTTCTATACAGTCTTTAACACCTCTGTGTGAAGATGACAACCAGGCACAGGAAATCATTAAGAAGCTGGAGAAGAGTATAAAGTTTCTTAGCCAGTGTGCAGCACGAGTGGCCAGTAGGGCTGAGATGTTGGGAGCCATCAATCAGGTAACCTGTCTTCATTTCTCTAGTTAGAATGAAATTACAAAAAAGATTCACTTTTCCTGAGACTATGGATTTCTCACTTCTAGGAATAAGTTTTAAAAAATACTTTTGTTGTATAAGACATATGCGTTTAATACATATGTGTTTAATACAGAAAAAATGGAATATACAAATAAAAAATGTTAAAAAAATATAATACGATCCAGTGACAATCATAAAATTTTTGTGATATATTCTTCAAGATGTATAGTGTTATAATATAGTGTTTATAATCCCTTATATAGTGTTATAATCTGCTTTTTATTCATCATACAACATAGGTAACTTTCTGTGTGATATAATTATATACTCACATGTCACCATTTTATGGTATTCTACTGGTTGAGTAGATATAAATTATTTAACCAATTCCTTGTATTCAATCATTTCAGGATGTTTTTGGTATTTTTCTGTTATAAACAATGCTCCAGTAAATATCCTTGTATATGCATCTGTGTGTATTTGTCCTTAGAGAAGTAGAATTCCAAAATTTCTTTGTGGGCAAACCTGGGGAGATATGAATTTTTTAAATCTATACCTAAGCAGACTTGTTAAAATATATTTTCTTAAGGAGAAATTTAATTGTGGTAGTAATTTTAGTTTGATCATTTGTTATATACTTTCACACCTTAGTTCCTTTTTAACCCCTCACTAGAGAATACTGTTATTCTTTGTTTCATTTTTACTAAAGTTATATATGCACATAGTTTTTTAAAAGGTCAATCAGCTCTATAAGCCTTACTAATTTCCCGTGATCCAGAGAAACAACTTTCAACTTTTTGTCTTATTTGTTTTGTATTTGCATTCACATTTTTCAATAACATGCTCATGCTGCCATTTAGTGATTTATTTTCAGTTTTAGGTATTATCTGTTGCTCTTCCACTACGAAGACAAATATTTAGTTCTTTTATCAATCTCTGGCCCATCACACCTTTTCACTGTCCCTCAAGCTACTGTTGGCCATCCTGCTTTCCTGGCCAAGCTTATACTCCACAGTTAAACATAGTTTTCACTACCTTGCATGTCCCCTCATCACTTACCCCTTTCTTGCTTTGTCTTACTCATTTGGCGAATCTACAAGTAAATCCGCTTCTCCACCTCTCATGCCTGCATAGCTGGAAAATGTCACATTCCCATGCTGACCTGTTTCTCTTTGAATTCATTATCACAAACCTCAAGCGGGTCCTTGGGGCTTCCCCTCAATCACCCTCCTTCTCTTTTAAATATCAATTTCCCACCCTTTCCTTTCTCCTCAAACCACTGTCATGTCTTTCCCCATATTCTCTCTCAAACACAGGTAATGACTGCTTCCAACCTCACTGAGGAAACTGGGACAATCAAAGGAAACTGCCACAAAGCCTCCCAGCGTGTGAATCCTTACACACTCCCTTGCTCTTGTTCCTAAAGATGCGTTGTCTCTAACCCTATCCAAGGCCAGCCTTCCCCACTGTAGATGGGAGCCTTCCCGACTAATTTACTCAGAGTCATGGGACCAAATTCTCCTGACTTTTCTCCATTTACATTTTCTCCACTCTACTGAACCATTTCTATCAGCACACAAATAATATGTTGTTTTCTAGATGGGAATAATAACACAAAACAAACACAAACAAAATAACTTTTTATCCTTTCTTTTCTGGCCACCACCCTGTTTCTCTGCTCCCATTTACAGCAAACCTCGACAGAATGGTACTCACTGTGTTCAGTCTCCCTCCTCCCACGTTCTCTCCAACCCACTCTGTATCAGCCTTTTGCTTCCACAAAGCAGATTTTTCCAAGGTCACTAGTGACCTCCACATTACCAAATTCAGTTTCTCAGTCCTCATCTGGCATGGCTGATGTCTTCCTCTTCCTGGAAATGCTTTCCTCACTTAGCTTCCAGGCACCATGTCCTCTAGCTTTTCTCTACATCACGGGCTGCTCCTTCTAGGCTTCCTGCAGTTCTACCCCTTCTCCTGGACCTCTGAATATTGAAGAGCCCCAGGACTCCACTCGTGCACATCTGATCTCCATGTGCACGCAATCCCCCTGTGATCCCTTGCAGTCACCTGAGGACTCTCAAATTCATATGTTTAGCCTAACCCACTCCCCTGAGCTCCAGAGCAGAGTATGCTACTGCTGACTCAACAGTTCCACTTGGATGTTTGATAAACTCAAACCTACCATTCAAAACTGACTGTTCATGGTCCCCCCACCAAACCTACCCCATGCATAAGCTCCTTACTTCACTCAAGGGCAGCTCTGTCCTTTTAGTTGCTCAGGCCAAAATAGGGGCAGAGGGAGCTGGGGTAATTCTCAACACCTTTCTCTCTCACTTCACATTAAATCCTACAGAAAATCCTATTGGCTGAATTGTCAGAATATATTCAGAATTCAACCATTTATTTCCCTTTCTACTGTTACCATCTTGATCTAAGCCTCCATTCTGTTTTGTCCAGATTAATGCAATAGGTTCCTATATGGTCTCCCTGCTTCCATCCAATTCCAATCCCTCCTCCCAACATAGTCTGTTCTTAATAAAGGAGCCAGAGTAATCCTTTTAAAATTAGATTGTGTTACTTTTTGGTTCAGCGTCCTAAAGCTCCTCAGTTTACTTGGGGTAAAACCCAATGTCTTACTGTGGTTTGAAAGGATGTGTGGCCGGGCGCGGTGACTCACGCCTGTAATCCTAGCACCTTGGGAGGCCAAGATGGGCAGATCATGAGGTCAGGAGTTTGAGACCAGCCTGGCCAACGTGGTAAAACCCCGTCTCTACTAAAAATACAAAAATTAGCCAGGTGTGGTGGCACGTGCCTATAATCCCAGCTACTCGGGAGACTGAGGCAGGAGACTCACTTGAACCCGGGAGGCAGAGGTTGCAATGAGCCGAGATCGTGCCATTGCACTCCAGCCTGGGCAACAAGAGTGAGACTCCATCTGAAAAAAAAAAAAAAAAAAAAAAAAATGGGCAAAAGACTTCAATAGACATTTCTTCAAAGAAGATACACAAATGGTCAATAAGCAGGTAAAAAGATATTTAACATCCTTAAATGTATTAGGGAAATACAAATCAAAACCACAATGAGATACCACTTCACACCCACGAGGATGGCTATGGTGAAAGAAGAAAGGAAGTAAGGAAGTTGGAAAGGAAGGAAGGAGGGAGGGAGGAAGCAAAGAAGGAATAGTGTTGGTGAGGATGTGGGGAGATTGCAAACACTGTACGTTGCTGGGAGATGTGAAATGGTCCAGCCACCGTGGAAAACAGTTTGGTGGATCCTTAAAAGTTAAACATAGAATTACCATATGACTCAGCAATTTCATTCCTAGATGTATACCCAGAAGAATTGAAAACAGGCACTCAGATACTTGTACACAAATATTCATAGGACTATGAACATTCCAGATGTTTCACTGGGGTACTCCTAATGTCATTAGTTATAGGACTTTTATCTTAGAATATTAGAATCCCCAGAGAAAAACCTTCCAACTGCCTGCCTTGAGGGTGTAACTCTGGCTGCCAGTGTTTGGAGGCTGGAAGGAGGAATAAGGCTGGATCTCAATATTCAATATGCATATAAGTTGTTGCTTAAATCTGTTGTTTTCAGCATGATAGATCCATCATCAACTATCTGTTCTTTCCCAATCCACAGAACCTCAAGTTAACTCTCTCTAGATATCCAACTGTATGTAGTCTTTCACCAAAATAGTGGAGGGAAAATTGCTGTGCTGGCCACAGTAAGGAAGGAGTCTCTGGACCTAATCTTTTTTTTTTTTTTTACACAGACTTTCAACCATTTCTTCTGTTCACATACCCACCATCAACCTTACTGAGGTGCAGTGTAGGTTGCTTCTAGGCTTTTCTTACTGCCTTTTTTAGGGTTCAGCTTTTCCAGGTCTTAGTCATTTGCCACTAGTCCTTCTATCCAGCTTTCAAAGTCTTGTTGTCATATTCTCTTCTGTTTGCCCCTGTAGATGCATGTCTTTTTAAAAAAAAAACATTTATTGCCACTTTAGTGGGATTTAGGAATGGAGTGAAGGTAAATGTGTTTAATCACCATCTTTTAATTGAGAGTAGTATTTTCAATGTAAATGTGCTCGTTTTTTCTCTTGCTAGGAAAGCCGGGTTAGTAAAGCAGTTGAAGTGATGATTCAGCACGTAGAAAACTTGAAGAGGATGTATGCCAAAGAGCACGCTGAATTAGAAGAACTGAAACAGGTTCTTCTGCAGAATGAAAGGTCTTTCAATCCTCTTGAAGATGATGGTAATAAAAGTTTATGATAATAGTATTAGTTGTGTTTTTCTACATTCTCCTCTTTTTTGCTAAGTCTTATTATTACTTCAGTATAATAAAACTCTTAGGTTAACTTTATATTAGAAAAATAATTCATTCCTGTTATTTATATAGCTAAAAGTGAGGTGTCAGAAAACAGGTTGGGACACATGAAGGATTCTTTAGTAATGACACCAAAAATTTATTAACTCAATTTAGATTACTGAGATGACAGAATATATTTAATCCAACTCATGAAGTTGACCTTAGTGTTCCCCTACTTAGGATACATTAGAATTTCTCCACACGTAAAAAGTAAGGATAAATAATTTAAATGGGCGCTGCCATCAGCAACGGTTTTGATTCCTCACGGAAGGAATGACCCTGGCACAGTAAGCTGATTGATGAACTGGAAAATAGAGAAACATATGAGGCCACGGGGAGTAACATATCGTTTCTATAAATCTTACAATAGTTTTATTTAAAATAAACAATATGAACTTTTCTGAGCAGAATTCTTATTTCAAGAATCTGTTCCCTGTTCTAGAACAGTAACCATATTTGATACTCTTCTGAACTGTACTTTTGGATTCCTTTCTCCAGCAGACACACATGTAGTGCCTACCCTGTGCTAGCTAGGCATTATGGACATCACAGTGACACAGAGGACTGTATTCCATTGGTTAAGATGGTAATTGTTATGAAGAATGAAATGAATGATAAACAGATATTTATATTGCTCGGTAGTCTCTAAAGTCTTAATATCTTCTGAATTTTGCTTTACCTTTAAAGAATTAAGACGTTGCTTTAACATAAATGGCATGTGTAATAGCTAAAATGTGTCAATGTGTTTTTCCTTTCAGATGACTGCCAAATTAAAAAACGTTCAGCTTCTCTAAACTCCAAGGTAATTACTAATTCACTTAACAAATGTCTAGCAAATACTATAAGACGGTTTTAAAATGTTATTTGAAGTTTCAGGCCTTTATATGTAAATAACAAAATAGTGATTTTAATTCATATAGATGTATTTGTTTATCTAAGTATGCTTTTATACTCTCTGCTATATTTTTGTATCAATTAAGTGTGCCTGGCAGCATGAAGAAAGTCAGTACAACAATGGTTTCTCTCTGTTGTGTAAAACTGAAGTTGGAAGTGGGTAACCCGACAATGGCACAGCAGCTTCACAAGATCCTGAGGGATCAGCCTCCTCCTTTCGTGCTGCCTCACTACCCTCAGCCCTTGGCTTCTGCCTCAGAGTCTAAGATGGCTACTTTAGATCCAGGCACCAAGCCCTCATCATTACATCATCTCATTCCAAGAAAAAAAAAGAAGCAATGACAAGTATTCCCTCTCCCTGTAAAGACACCCCCTAGAAGTCCAAAGTAACATTTCTCTTTCCATTCTTTGTTACGAATGAGACTGGAAAATACAGCGTGTATTTGGGAGGCTGTATGCCTAGCTAAAAATCAGGAGGCTTATTACTAACTAAGAAGGAAGAATGTGATACTGAAGGTCAACTGGCAGGTTTTGCCACAGTGTAAAAATCAGGATTTCATAGATATACAGAATTTTTGAATAAGTGACTTTAAAATCATTCCATACAAATCCCTCTTTTTCAGATGAGGGAAGAGAAACACAGAAGTTAAGTGATCAGTTATGATCATGTATTGGTAGAAGCATGATTAGAAACCAAGTTTCTTGGGCCGCAGTTTCATATTCTTGATGCTCAACTAACCTATGAAATTAAATTAGGGATGATGGTTTAAGAAAACGATTCACATGGAACCCCCTTAAATTAGTTTATTTATTACATATTTTAAAAATTTATCCTGATGTACTTATTTAAACCTTAAGAACCACATAATACTATATAATGCTTTTCTGTACAAATCTCAAGAAACACTTTCATTCATTAAAACATCATGAAAATCCTTAAATGTGTTAAATGGAAAAAAATGAAACCATGAACAAAAAAGCTATACATGTAGGTGCATATTTATCTCCTCCTGAGTTGGGAGAAATCTTTCTAAGCACAGAAGCAATGGTAGCAAAAGAGAAGAATAGATTTGGCTGGATTAACAACAAAAAATTTCTGCCAGAAATATGAAAATTCAATTTAGACAAAATTCAATATAAACAAAATTAATATAGACAAAGGTGGTAAACAGGTGGTTCTCAGAGAAGATAAATACATGATTATTTAACATAAAAAGAAATGTTCAATGTTTCTAGAAGACAAATAATTACAAACCTAAACAAATTGTATATTTGTTAGATTGGCATAAATTATAATAATCCAACATTGAGTTAGGTGGAATATAAATTGGTAAAATATTTCTGGAAGACAATTTGGCCACAAGAGGATCCTTTAAGATATGTCTGTTTAACTCAGCTGTGGTCAAGTACACGGATATGCATGTACAAGGATATTTATTGGTGTTGCATATAATGATAAATTATTGAGAGTTTTCTAAATGTACATTTTCCTCCTTCTGGTAGCCATCTTCTCTACGAAGAGTGACTATTGCCTCTTTACCCAGAAATATTGGAAATGCAGGAATGGTAAGACAATTCCTAAGTGTTCTTAGTCAAAGGTAAATTCATTTTCATATGACAGAAAATATAAACGTATATTTTATCATTTCTTTTAACATTTGAACTTCTACTAAAGGTGGCTGGGATGGAAAATAATGATCGATTCAGTAGAAGGTCAAGCAGTTGGTAAGTGTAATTTTATGGTTCCTCTTTGGGAACCTTACTATTTTATACTTGGGCTAACCTAAATGAGTGCTCAAATTAAGTGATATAGTAATGTTTGATTTGTACAAAGTGTAAACAGAATAATTATATAAATTGGTATCTAATTATGAAGTTTTTTATCATAAAGTAGGAGATCTGTGAATGTGCCAAGAAAAAAATAATTAGGACATATAATTTTGTATTTACTTAAGCAGTAGGAAATAAATTGATAATGGCTACAGATGTATTTGATTTGACAAGTGGCTATAATCATCTTTATTTAGGCGTATTTTGGGGTCAAAGCAGAGTGAACACCGTCCCTCATTACCTCGATTTATTAGCACCTATTCCTGGGCAGATGCTGAAGAAGAAAAATGTGAACTAAAGTAGGTGAAGCTCAGTGTGTTTATTAACCTGACATGAACTGGGGCATAAACAATGGGAATCACTTTTATTCCATGGAGATGAAATAATGCTGTATAATTAAAAAGATAATTCATTGTAAAACACTTTTATAAACTGTAAAGCACAATATAAGTGTTATTTGTGAATATTAATACATTCACTCTCATAGCTCTCAGAATGGCAAAGTTTGAGGTCTTAAGTTAGAAAAGACCCTGGAGTTTGCCATATTTGTGAAGATAATTTTTTTCCTGTCCAGGTGTCTGTCTACAATGGGGAAAGGTCAATAAAGAGCCACAGAAGTAAAATGTCCATCTATTTATATATTTTTAAAAACATGAGATATATAACGTACGTATTATATAACATATAGGCACATATGTAACATGTATGTACATCTATCTATCTTCCATTTATGTAAGTGAAGAGTAGAGGAAACATGAAATTCTGAATTGCTATCTCTGTATCTAGTAAACTAAACAAATATACTTCTACAGTGAAAGGTAGAGGGCAAGAAGGAGGGATATGCAGAAATGCTACCTCTGAGTCCTTGGGTGACATTAGAAAAAGTGCCTAACCTTACTTGGTCTCAGTTTTTTTTTTTTTTTTTTTTTTTGAGACGGAGTCTTGCTCTGTCACCCAGGCTGGAGTGCAGTGGCGCGATCTTAGCTCACTGCAACCTCCACCTCCTGGGTTCACGCCATTCTCCTGGCTCAGCCTCCCAAGTAGCTGGGACTACAGGCGCCCGCCACCACGCCCGGCTAATTTTTAATATTTTTAGTAGAGACGGGGTTTCACTGTGTTAGCCAGGATGGTCTCGATCTCCTGACCTCGTGATCCGCCCGCCTCGGCCTCCCAAAGTGCTGGGATTACAGGCTTGAGCCACTGCGCCCGGCCTTCAGTTTTCATATCTGTTAAAGTGAAGGATCTTAAGGAGATGATTTTATGTTTATTTATTTTATTTTATACATTTTCGTGAGTGCCTACCATGGGATGGACACTCTGCTCAATTCTAAGGAATATAAAGATGAGCATGACATGGTGCAATCCTCAAATAATCTGTTTTGGTTTTTTTCTTTTTTTTAAAGTCCTGGGAGCCTACTGCATGTGTTACAAACTCTTTTCAGATTTAGAGTTAACATAATGAATTTGAGCTGGTTGGAAAAAAAAATCAGTTCAAGAGTCTCCTTCAAAAGATTATCTAGTTTTTGCTTTTTGTTAGTATGGTATGATTTCTACTGAGAAGTCTTTGTAAACAAGACTGAAACCTTGAGAATCTTACAGAAATGCAATGCAATTTATTCTGGCTTTTGGGTCTTGTTTTCTTTAAAAACTAAAGTCTATCATATTTATTTCCCATAGATGTTTGAATGAAAAAAAAGTCTTTGAGACACATTTCCCTTTGGCAATTCTGAGGGTATTATGAGCTTGAGATTTCAAAATTCAAATCCAACTAGGAACTCATCAGCAAATATAGTGGAACAATTATGTTTTGCTTAGGTGGAAGAACACCTCTTTAAATAATATGATTTGATTTAAAATGCAGTCAATCAATTGCTATTTCCCAGTTCACTGAATACTAATTTATTTTAACCAGTTTTATACTGAGAATATTTTCAAAAACACGTTTTAAATTATTAAGATTTTCAGAGAAAAACTCTGATGTTACTCCAAGTTAGCACTGATTGGAAATCATACAGAGAAAGGAATAAAATCAATAATAATGAGAAAAGATTTTTACTAATGTTAAATAAAATTTAAAAGGAAGAGATATGGTGCCCACATTTGTTTTATATATACACATACACACACGCACACACAGGTATATGTACACATCCATATACAAAACATATATACAACATATACATACATATTTTTATATATATAAATATATATATTATGGAATATGTGTGTATATATTATAAACTTTGTATAAGCATATATTAATATGCATATATTATATGTAGATATGTGTGTATATATTATATATAAATATGTGTATATATAGTATATATTTATATATACTGCACTCCAGCCTAGGCAACAGAGTTTCTTCTCCAGCCTAGGCAGAGTTTCTCTGCATATATATATGCAGAGAAAGAATTCATAGTAATAACATTGGTTAATGATGAGACTAACTTCTGAAAGTTCTTTTTAAATTTTCCCTTTTTGTATATACTTGGCTAATATTCTATTGTATATACTTGGCTAATATTCTAACTAACTTTCTACACATTTATTATTTTTCTAAATAGAAGAACTTATTTTTAATTAAATTTCTATAAAAGGTTTAAATTATAAATCTGGTGATTTGATTTTTAGAGTTAGATATTTATCGACTTTCCCTAAAACAGAACAAATATTTGTGAGCCTCTTGAGTTACAGTAAGATTCAGCAATATTTTATGAATAATTATAGCATATTATCCTTAGTTTCAAATATTAAAAACAACATTTATTTACAGAACTAAAGATGACTCAGAGCCATCTGGAGAAGAAACAGTAGAAAGGACAAGGAAGCCAAGTCTTTCTGAAAAGAAAAATAATCCATCAAAGTGGGATGTCTCTTCAGTGTAAGTTATCTACTTGATAAATTCTACCATTTTAGTGGAATGGGAAAGGGTGAGGCAGGGCTGACAGTATTAATCCTAATCAAATTACTAAAAGACATGCCAAATTGTTGTATTTAAGATGAATAACAAACTTTGTATGTCAGGTTATCCTTGAACCTATGTTATCTATTTTGAGAGACAGACTACATTCACATAACTTTTACTGTAATATATGTTATATTCTATTTTATGTTAGTTATTGTTCATCTTTTACTATGCCTAATTTATAAATTCAATTTTGTTATAGGCATGTATCCATAGGAAAAAAACAGTATATACTGGGTTTAGTACTATTTTCAGCTTCAGGCATCCACTGGAGGTCTTGGAGCATATCCCACAAGAATAAAGGGGGACTACTGTACACACACATAAGTACATACACAGACATCCACTCTACCCAGCAAATAACATTTTTGTTTCCACTGTAGGAATATGTTGCCTTACCTTACTGAAAGAATGAGATACTTGTATGTACTTATTAGAAGATACTGCCTACATCACGTAATTTTCAGATTCTCATCGTAGCACATCATTTCTTTAATCCTAATAGGTACAAAGGGTGGGAGGCAGATTGTTTCCAAAACCAAAATGATAAATCATAATATGTAGATTAAAAGGCAGTTTTGGGGGTATGAAGGGCAGATCACCTGACTGGTGGTGTTAGCAAAAGGAATGTTTCTAATGACAAATTACCGATTACCAAATTCTATTTGTGTTTTCCTTATAGTTATGACACAATAGCTTCCTGGGCAACAAATCTCAAGTCCTCCATCAGAAAGGCTAATAAGGCCCTCTGGCTCTCTATTGCATTCATTGTACTGTTTGCAGCTTTGATGAGCTTCCTCACAGGCCAATTATTCCAGAAGTCTGTGGATGCCGCTCCCACACAGCAAGAGGACTCATGGACGTCTCTAGAACATATCTTGTGGCCATTTACCAGACTCCGACACAATGGGCCACCACCAGTGTGACAGCAGGACATCCTAATATATGGATCTTGATTTTTAAGTTTCAGTATCTGAACTTCGTAAATTAGTAACTTTTAGCTGGGAAAGTATAGCATGAAACCAGAGGTTCTCAGAATGACTGTAAGATAGCTTACA
Source organism: Homo sapiens (assembly GCF_000001405.40). NCBI lineage: Eukaryota > Metazoa > Chordata > Mammalia > Primates > Hominidae > Homo > Homo sapiens. Next base: position 25,108,193 of record NC_000012.12, read on the forward strand.
TTTCCTCTTTTTGCCTTTATCTCCCCAACTAAAATACAATGGGGAAGAAGTCTGCCTATGATCTTTGAATGAGCTTTTTAAGGAAGAAATATTATATATTGTTTGTTAAAGTTTATTGAAATAAAGAATCATTTAAATCTTCATAGAGTGAAAGCTGAAATTCTTAACAGGCCAAGTATTCAAAGGAAAAAAAAATACTGTTTTTAAAATAAAACTTGAGTAGAAAATGCAGATTAGAAAATTTTTAATAGTTGATTTGAAATGTATTCATTCACTCATTACATTGTGTTGCAGAAATACCTGTCTTTCACCATGCTTGGTTCTTCATACTTACAATACAGTTTGTAAGTGGAGGTTAGGAGTAGCTGAGCAATCTGGTAGAGAGCAGCATGTGGCACACAGAGTTGACAAACTGACAGTTGGAACTCCTGACTTTCTCCATTGCTTCCTCAGAAGCAAAATCCTTCACCATGTGATATAAAGTAGAATGAAACTCAGTTTCTTCTTTAAGTGCTTCAGAAAATGCCTCACTCTCTTCCTTGATCTTCAGTCTTTGTGCTCTGTCACCACTAAACATTAAAAGGGCCCAATTAGGATTCTCAGTACATGCTTCAGTAAGGTGTTCCCTCACCTAAAAAAAAAAAAAATTCAAGCAAGTTGTTAATAATTCCTCTTCTATTCAGTATTTTGGTAGCAGATTATTATTTGAAGGGCTCAATTTATCCCCCAAAATTGCAAAGGTTAAAAGAAACAGTCTATGTGTTCCATTACTGGGTTTTGAAAAACCATCACACTGTTTATATTTTGGTGATTATGGAGCTTATCCACATGTATTAATTCATGCAACAAATATTTATTGAGTGCCTATCATGTGTGAGGTACTGTTCTAAGTGCTGGGGATATAACAGAGAAAGAAAACACAGAAGAAATATAGACATACAACATATATAAATAACAACTGCAACAACAAAGCCCTGCCCTCAAGGGGCTTATATTTGAGTGGGGGAAACACACAATAAACAAGAGCAATAAATACAGTGGCTTGTTTAGGCCAAAATATTCATCAGCTTTTAGAATTTGATATGGTTACTACCACCTGATAACAAGAAGGTATCAGGAAGTTAAGTTGGAGGACTAACCCTCTCAGAGGAGAGGGGCTGTAAGTCACAGATATATTAATGTTAAAAGCCTCCATTTGTTGTTTTTTTTAAGAGATGGGGGTCTCACTCTGCTGTTCAGGCTCGGGTGCAGTGGTGTGATCATAGCTCACTTCAGCCTCAAATTCCTGGGCTCAAGCGATCCTTCCACCTCAGCCTCCCAAGTGGCTGGGATTACAGGTGGGAGCCACTGCACCCGGCAAGGCTTCCATTTGTTCTTGAGTCAATTTGTAAACAGATACAAGGACTCTGGCCTGGCTTGAAGTCAAGAGCTTGGACAACAAAGGCATAAACTTTATATAATTTAGATTTATATTTTTGACAAAAAATTTGAATTTTTTTTTTTGAGATGGAATTTTGCTCTTGTTGCCCAGGCTGGAGTGCAATGGCATGATTTTGGCTCACCACAACCTCCACCTCTCAGGTTCAAGCGATTCTCCTGCCTCAGCTTCCTGAGTAGCTGGGATTACAGGCATGCGCCACCACACTTGGCTAATTTTGTATTTTTGGTAGAAACGGGGTTTCACCATATTGGTCAGGCTGGTCTCGAACTCCTGACCTCAGGTGATCTGCCCACCTCAGCCTCCCATAGTGCTGGGATTACAGGAATGAGCCACCGTGCTTGGCCCAAAATTTGAAATTTTAAAATTCCGTATTGAATGTTAATTTTTTTAACTTTTCTAAGAGGGGAAGCCATGGTCTACATTCATTTAGTCTTTGAGTACTTTATCTTCTTTTGGAGGACAAAGTAGTTTTATGGGTTTCTACATATCATACCTTAAATACGACTTTTGTAGAATTACATAGTAGGTTCCACTTGCTCCAACCAAATGCAAAAGCAGAACTTAGTAGGGCCATCTGTCGATAAGCTTTCACTTCTACCAAAGGAACCTGTCAATATAAAAACAAATAGAATTGATCTTTGAGCCTCCCAACAAGTCTTCCTCCATCTTTGGCCTCCTTCAGTCTATTTTCAACACAGACGGATCCACTTAAAATTGTAAGTCAGAGTACATGACTCCTCTCTCAACACTGGGCAATGGCTTTCCTTTCTCTGAGAATAGAGTCCATAGTTAACAAACGACTTGCACGGCCCTCTGACATCCCTACTCCCGACTCCACATATACCCCATTACCTGCCGACCTCTTTTTCTTCTCCCTTTGCTCTCTCAGTTCCAGGCCCCATGGTTTCCATGGTGTCCCTCCAATCCTCCAGCACACCAAGCCACTCCCTCGGGGCTCTTGCTCCAGTTGTTTACCAGGAAGCTGCTTCCCCAGATGTGCACATGGCTAAAGTCCCCACCTTTGAGTTTCACTCAAGTGTTATCTCTCATTAAGCTGCCCTCCCTGACACCCTATTTAATATGGGTGTCATATGGCCTCAGCCTCACTATTCCGGATCTACCTTTTCTTTTTTTCCATAGCACTTTTCACCTTTTTAACATACTAATCATTTATTTTTTTAAATGTTTTCCTTCGACTGTGAAAGAAAACAAAGGTAAGGACCTTTGTTTCATTCATTGCTATATCCTAATCATCTAAAATAGTGCCTAGCACACAGTGTTCAGAAAAAAATATTTCCTGGAGTAGAATATTCTGAAAGCATGAGCAGAACACTACATTCAACAATGTAGAGTAACAGGCAATTTGAGTTACTAAAACCAAGGGTTTTTTTCCTATGCATATATGTACATACACTTATTTCTAAATATTATATAAATATCTACTTATATTGTCATTTTCTGATACATTCATAAATATTCTTGAGTACAGAACTCTTCTGCCTACAAATTCACTTTTCATGATTAGAAGTTACTTTGTGTCTTCATATATCACAAATGTTTACTAAGCATCTACTATATTCTAGGACTATGCTAGATGCTAGAAGAATCAATGTTCATTAAGAAATGACCCCCATCCTCAAGAAGCTCACAGTTTAACCTGGAAGGATCTTACTGAACTAAAGCCTTATGACGAACATGAAACAGTACACAGACATGGAGGCTTTGCCAAGAAACTAAAGGAAGTGGGTTTTGTACATTGGTGGTCCTTGTATTTTTAATTCTGCCTAACTTACCATGTTTGGGAAAGTGCAGTTATTTACTCTTTTAGGAAATCTCATATAATATCCAGTAATGCAAAAAGAAAGTATATAAAATGAGAATTGCTTAAACTACCTTTGCACTAAACTGACCGTCTGTGGATATGCTCCATTTGTCAATATGAAGATCGCACTACAGGCTTACTTTCTTAGGGAAAATTAAGAGAACCCTGGATTTCTGGTCTTTTCACTTATTTCTTTATAATACTGTATAAATGAATATATAAAATACAGTGTATATAATATTAAATTATATAACATTTAATAATTGCTAACATTTTAAATGCACGCCACATTAAATTTGGAAAGATTCATTCTTGCCTTATTGTTTATAATAACATAAAAATGAGAGTGTCTAGTAGGAAAGATATTCAGTCCAGCTTCTTTCAAAGCAATAATGAAAGGAATAGGAGTCATCCAGGTTCCTTCCAAAATAGAGATGTGTTTCTTGTCTTTTAGTTTGATTGAAGATAACATGCAGAGGTTTTCCTAGTTTAAATAAGAAAAAAGAAGCTTTTATGTAAGTTAAATCATTACTTCAGTATCACTCCAGGTGCAGCCTTTAGATGCTTTATACATTTTTAAAAGTCATCTATCACTCTATATTAGAAAGAATGCAGGGCAAGTATATCTTAAGCCTCATCTGAATGCTCTGACACAAAGTCCCCATGTTATGTTAAGCAGTTTACTAACTCTTTTTGGGCTTCATCAGAACATTCAAAGAATGGACTATAGCATCTCTCAAGCCTCCTATTTTAGAAATTGTAATATAAGAATATGCATATGTTCACACTGAATTAAAATAGTTATTAGATAACAATTATGATTATACTTTTAGGGATCATTCTTTTCACATCCGTAAAAGTTAACATAATGAGGCAATATTATTATCCAGTTTTAAAGTCTTGCGCGAAGTGACAGTTTGAAGGTGTATAGAATTCACATCTGGTTTTTTTTTTTTTTTTTTTTTTTTTGAGACGGAGTCTCCCTCTGTCGCCCAGGCTGGAGTGCAGTGGTGTGATCTTGGCTCACTGCAAGCTCTGCCTCCCAGGTTCACACCATTCTCCTGCTTCAGCCTCCCTAGTAGCTGGGACTACAGGCGCCCACCACCACACCCGGCTAATTTTTTGTATTTTTAGTAGAGACAGGGTTTCACCGTGTTAGCCAGGATGGTCTCGATCTCCTGACCTTGTGATCTGCCCACCTCGGCCTCCTAAAGCGCTGGGATTACAGGCGTGAGCCACCACACCTAGCCTACACATCTGTTTTTTTTTTAATGTTAATAATATATTTCATTTAACCCAATATATCTAAAATATTTCAATATGTAATCAGTATAGAAATTATTGAGAGTTTACATTTTTTTCTTCATACCAAGAACTCAAAATTTGTGTTAATTTTACAGTTAGAGCATGTGCTAATTTGGACTAGTCACATGCAGTAGCTATATACGGCTGGTAGCTACCACATTAGACAGCACAGATCTACTAACCTGAAAACGCACACTGAACAGTCTTGGGTGTTTCAATCGTCATATTAATAAGTGAACTTTGTGAAGATGCTTGTATTTTTCCATGAGTCTAGAGGAAGAATCTCTGCACAAGGGTCGTCAGGGCTGCTGGAATGGTGCAGGGAAGCCTGAAAGGAGGCTCCAGCAATACAATCCCCTTACACAATCTCAGAAAGGTCACATAACCTCCTAACCTCTATGGGCCTTAGTTTCTCTCTATATACAACAGGAGGGTAGACCAGAAGCATTTTAAGGGCACTTGCACACTAATAATTCTACGGCACTCCATCTCCCATCTCACCTAGTTTGTTGTTGTTGCTGTTGTTGTTGTTGTTGTTGTTGTTGTTGTTGTTGTTTTTGAGATGGAGTCTTGCTCTGTCGCCCAGGCTGGAGTGCAGTGGCACAATCTTGGCTCACTGCAACCTCCGCCTCCCGGGTTCAAGCGATTCTTCCGCCTCGGCCTCCTGAGTAGCTAAGACTACAGGCGTGTGCCACCATGCCTGGCTAATTTTTGTATTATTAGTAGAGATGGGGTTTCACCATATTGGCCAGGCTGGTCTCAAACTCCTGACCTCACGATCCACCCACTTCAGCCTCCCAAAGTGCTAGGATTACAGGCGTGAGCCACCGCTCCCAGCCCTCATCTAGTTTTAAAAGCAAAGTTTAATAATATTCTAGGCTTTCTGTACTCATGATGAATTCCAGGCTATCTCTGTTTTTAAAAACAACTTTTTAAGATATATTTTACATATCATAAAATTCACCTATTTCAAGTGTATAATTCAATGATTTTTAGTAACTTTACAGACTGGTACAACTATCCCCATAAATCCATTTTAGATCATTTTCATCCCTCCCAATAAGATTCCTCATGCTCATTTACAGTTAATCCCCACCCACTCTCAGCCCCAGGCAACCACTAATCTACTTTTGTCTCCAAACATTACAGGCTATGTAATTTCTTTCTTTCTTTCTGGGTTTTTTTTTTTTTTTTTTTTTTTTTGAGACAGAGTTTCACTCTGTTGCCCAGGCTGGAGTGCAGTGGTACGATCTCGGCTCATGGCAACCTCCCCTTCCCAGGTTCAAGCGATTCTTTTGCCTCAGCCTCCTGAGTAGCTGGGATTACAGGTGTGTGCCACCACGCCTGGCTAATTTTTGTATTTTTAGTAGGGCTTCACCATGTTGGCCAGGCTGGTCTCGAACTGCTGACCTCAGGTGATTGCCCGCCTTGGCCTCCCAAAGTGCTGGGATTCCAGGCGTGAGCCACTGCGCTCGGCCCAGGCTATGTAATTTCTGACTGATGAGCAATAGGGGATCATTCAGAGAGAAACCAACCTCAAAAAGGATTTCAAATGGCTGGATGATAAACATCACGTAGCCCCTTTAGGGTGGATCAAAAACTCTGAAATTCATACTGCAATGAGGGTTGTTGGTTCATCAGTTGATCTATCCCTAGTAACTTTAGGGTACAAATTTAAGTTTGAGCCTTGCTATTTACATGTTATTGCCTATTTAATTATTCAACTAATATTTCATTTAGAAATATAGCTCAAGGTACATTTTTAAGGTCATTATAAGACACTTATATTTCAATATATAAATCAGCAGCCACTGATTGCTTTTGACAAACTAGTATTCCATCAAAATGGTTTACCTCTGATACGATAGTACATAACAGCTACAAGAGTAACTCACCTTAATTTGTATTTGAATCTCAGTAAATACTGTAGTCACAGTTAAAAGTACTTTATTTACATCAAGTGGTCTTAGTTCCCATGACTGGTACGGCATGTTAATATGAGCATCTTGAATCAAGGTAACAGGGCCAAAGGTGTCCAGGCTGAATGTTACAAGTCTTTCTTTTGGTTTGTAGGATACATTGCTGATGCCATCAGTTCTCCAATGTTTACCTTTATAATTGATGAAGAAAGTGACACTAGTTTCATTTTTTCCCTATTAAAAAAAGATAAATGAAAGCACCAAAAAAATTGCTTTGTGTATAAATTGATCTTTCATATTTAGAATAGAAACTCAAAAGAAGGCCAGCTTCGCTGAGAGATTTCCCCTGACTACAGGATCAAGTCCCACCTCCTCAGCATGGTAAGACCTTCAGAATGAAGCTTTGACTCACTTTCTTGGCTCCATCCCTTGCCACTCCTCAAGGGAAAAAGTTTTTCTCTTTTCAGCCCCACTTTTTTCTTTCCCTAACAACACTGTATGTATACCTCTGGGCCTCAGCACATACAGTTCTTTCCTCCTACAATACTGTTCCCTAATCTTTCAGAGAAACTCTCTTCAGCTTTGCTTTAAAATGACTTCAAAATTCATGTATTTTTTGTATACAATTCAATTATCTTTAATTTACCCAGTTGTGCAACCATCACCACAATCCAGTTTTAGAACATTTTTATCCCCTCAGTAAGATCCTTATGTCCATTTACAGTTAATTCCCATTCCCACCTCCAGCCCCAGGCAACGATTAATGTACTTCCTGTAGGTGGTCTTTTGTATCTCTTACAACTCAATAATAAAACACAACCTAATTTAAAAGTGGGTAAATGATTTGAATAAACATTTCACCAAAGAGATATGAAAGGCTAATAAGTACTTAAAAAGATGATCAACATTATTAGTAATTAGGGAAATAAATTAAAACTACAATGGAATACTACTTCACACCCACTAGAATGGCTATCATCAAAAAGATAAATAACAAATGTTATGAACAAACAGAAAACCTCATATAGTGCTGGCAGACATGTAAAATGGTACGGCTACTTTGAAAAACAATTTGGCAGTTTCTTTGAAAGTTAAATATAAACTCAGCACTCAACCCAGCAATTCCACTCTTAGGTACATACTGAACTGAAAACATGTCCACACAGAGACTTGCATGCAAACATTCTCTTCATCTTTGAGGGACCTGTTCAACATTCCAACCTGTGAGAAGCCTTCCAATACTCTAAAGATTGAGCCATCTGTGTCGTGCTCTATAGCACTTTACATCTATGCTAGCACCCTACTATGTTGTATCACAATGTGGTGTTTACCCATCTGCCCCTCCTACAACTTTTGAAACTCCAAGAGGAAGAAACTATGCCTCATTTATCTCTGTATTTCTTTCTTTTTTTTTTTTTTTGGTTGGGGGGAGGGGTCATCTTTATAGGACAAATAAATGAACCATTTTCTTCCCAGACGTGCTCTCCATTTCTACTTAGCTCTCTTTCCTGCTCTCGATTGGAGGGTTCTGTTGACAAGTTTTTACTCTTAAATTTCATATAATAAATAAAATTACATTCACAAACTTATTTTTAATTCCTCTTTTTGTCGCTACATTAACAAATAATTTTAATTTATAAGGTAAAAAGTTATTACCTATAAATAAATTCTCCAAATTTCTAGTAGTTCCGGGCAAAATGTTTCCCCATGGTTTAAAAATTACTAGAATTGTAAATTACTGCTTTCTAATTACTGAAGTTGTAGAGTGAAATTATTCCCCTGAATTGTGTGGAATAATTTACCTTGTCTAATTCTAATTTCATGTGAATAATTTTTTTTTTCAGAGTTTCACTCTTGTCACCCAGGCTGGAGTAAAATGGTGCGATCTCAGCTCGCTACACCCTCCGCCTCCCAGGTTCAAGCAATTTTCCTGCCTCGGCCTCCTGAATAGCTAGCATTACAGGCACGTGACACCACGCCTGGCTAATTTTTTTAAGTAGAGACAGGGTTTCGCCATGTTGGCCAGGCTGGTCTCGAACTCCTGACCTCAGGTGTTCCGCCTGCCTCAGCCTCCCAAAGCGCTAGGATTACAAACATGAGCTACCATGCCCAGCTGTGTTAATAATTTTTAATGTGATAAATACTTAGGAATATTACCATTAAAGTGACACCTCTGAAACAATATCAAAAGAGATACAGTTGTTCATGTTGATGTATTTTATAGTTTAATATGTAAGAATTTACTAGGTTTTTTAACTTATTTTTTATTTTTTGAGACAGGGTCTCACTCTGTCACCCACCCTGAGTGCTGGGGCATGATCACAGCTCACTGCAGCCTCAACCTGCTGGGCTCAAACAATGCTCCCACCTCAGCTTCTGGGGTAGCTGGGACTACAGGCATATGCCACCACGCCTGGCTAATTTTTGTACTTTTTGTGGAGATGGTGTTTCTCCATGTTGCCCAGGCTGGTCTTGAACTCCTGAGCTCAAGTAATCCACCCACCTCAGCCTCCCAAAGTGCTGGGATTACAGGCATGAGCCACTGCGACCGGCCTACTGTTTTTAATACATAGACTATTTCTAGAATATAAATAATACATCTTGTAGGTCTGTCTATACAAACAAAAATGTAGAGCACCAGGGCATTCATTAAAAAATTTAAAATACAAAATATTTAAACTTCTTGGTATAAATTCCTAAATTCTCTGTTCCTAAATTTTCCATAACTAAATAAGTAGATTATGTAAAAGCTCTGTGCCTTAGTGATATTTGTTCCCAGCCTATCACCAAGTATATAAATCCCTTCACCAACAGATGGATATAAAACAACCTTAAAAACAAAGGTGTACTCCTCTCATCTAGGATCCTTAAAATGGCATACATTAACTCACCAGACCAAGATTTTTCAAAATTCAGCAAGCCTACTCCAAAAGAGGTATTTGTTAATGATTAACAAATCATTAGCTTGTATCACTGTAGATACTTATAATTTTATTAATATTTAAGTTTTGAATAAGCAATAATGTCCCATGGCTCAAAAATAAAAAGGTATAAAAAGGTATACAAGTGGCTAGTTTTCCCTTTCTCAGGTTTCCCATTTGCCCATTCCTCATCCCCAATACTTGTGTACAATTTATAAACGATTAACATTAAAGTAATCAAATACTAATTATCCAAATCCAAACTATTTGGTTATTTCAGAAGAGTAGACTTTTTATCTGTTTTTGATTTGCTAAACTATTTTGATATTTTCTTTTTCTTTTTTTTTTTTTTTTTGAGACGGAGGGAGTCTCGCTCTGCCTGGAGTGCAGTGGCGCAATCTCGGCTCACTGCAACCTCCACCTCCCAGGTTCAAGCAATTCTCCTGCCTCAGCCTCCCAAGTAGCTGGGACTACAGGCATGTGCCACCATGCCCCATTAGTTTTTGTATTTTTAGTAGAGATGGGGTTTCACTATGTTGGCCAGGCTCTCTCGAACTCCTGACCTCAGGTGATACGCCCGCCTTGGCACTCCAAAGTGCTGGGATTACAGGCGTGAGCCACAGCGCCTGGCCTGATTTTAATATTTTCATTCATTTTTGCCTGTTTGTTTTGTTTTGTTTTGAGACACAGTCTTGCTCTGTGGCCCAGACTGGAGTACAGTGGCGCCATCTTGGCTCACTGCAACCTCTGCCTCCTGGGATCAAGCTATTCTCCTGCCTCAGCCTGCGGAGTAGCTGGGATTACAGGTGTGTGCCACCACGCCCCGCTCATTTTCTATTTTTAGTAGAGATGAGATTTCACCATGTTGGCCAGGCTAATGTCAAACTCCTGACCTCAGGTGATCCATCTGCCTCGGCCTCCCAAAGTGCTGAGATTGCAGGCATGAGCCACCACGCCTGGCCTGTTTGTTTTTTTGAGACAGACAGAGTCTCACTCTGTCGCCCAGGATGGAGTGCAGTGGCACCATTTCAGTTCATGGCAACCTCCACCTCCCGGGTTCAGGCGATTCTCATGCCTCAGACTCCCAAGTAGCTGGGATTACAGGTGCACACCATCACGCCCAGCTAATTTTTGTAATGTTTTAGTAGAGAGGTGGGGTTTCACCATGTTGCCCAGGCTGGTCTTAAACTCCTGAGCTCAGGTGATCTGCCCACCTCAGCCTCCCAAAGTGCTGGGATTTACAGGCATGAGCCATCGTGCCCAGTGTTTCACTCGTTTTTTAGAAACATAATGATATAACCATAAAGTAATTGTTCATAGACAATGGCAGATACAGATACTTTAGGAGTTAATAGTTACAACACTCAGCAAATTTTAAACTCCAACACTTATTCATTTCCATTAAGAACAAACAAAACAAGACCCTTGAATTGGCATAGAAATATGTAAGATAGTAAGCTCAGTTAATACACTACACTTTCTGTTTCAACTTAAGGGTTTTTATGATTATCCCTCCTTTTATTACATAATTATAAAAGCTGTACCTTCAGCATCCCACCTTACAACCACAGGATCCTCAAAAAAGATTACATTCTCATGAACCTCAAGTGTGACCTCTATAGGTGGGAAAGCATTTTCTGTCTCAAACTCTTCTGTAGTTTCCGGAGGATATGTGTATTTCTGTAATCCTTCTTTGAGTATCTTTTTAAAATGACCAAAACAACATCAAGTTAGTTGACTGGTAGCAGTGAAAAATGTAAATAGTACTGAATAAGTTATATAGTTATTTTTAATAAGCACTGCAGTTTGATCCTATTTATATATAGATTAACAAAATGTCACAACAAAATTTAAAAGATACATGATTGAGAAAAAAAGTTACTAAATATGAATGTACAGAACTTCCTATGGGCCAGATTGTGTGGTGGGGCTTCCTCAACATTTTATTCCTCTAAGCAATCCTAAAGGCCTATATTTAACAGAAATGATAACTAAGACTTAGAAAAATCAAGTAATTTGACAAAGATTACAAAATGACTTCAAAGTGGCACCAGAACTCAAAAACCGGTGTATGGGACCCTAAATCACATGCTCTAATACCATGCTAAGGGTGTGTAGGTAAAGAGAAAAAGAAACATATAGACAACCTATTGAGAAGAAAGGAAATGAATGAATGAAAGTGAATTAACCAGACAGCAGATTTTTCTGGGATAAGGAAGATTTGTGCATTATCTGAATGCAGCAGACAAGGATCTAGGGAAGGAAGAAAGATTTAAAAATATTAGAAAATAGAGGAAAAATTAGGGCAAGATTCTAGAAGAGGTGGAAAGTTATTGAAAAAGCCTTGAAAATGAGGAAAGCCTCTTTGTTGCAGGAGAGAAAAACAGCTGTGAAGGAGGACTCTTTGGGTTCAAGGGGAGAGCATGAAGTGGTCTCAGGACACTGTGACAAAAGTCAATAACAACAGATCTTTAGATGGATTCTTGAAAACCCCAGCTCAGGCTGGGACCTTATGGATAAAGAGAATATTAAAATTTTGTTGGAGTGGCAGGTGATTAGGAAAATAACGGGGGAGAAAAGGTTGGGAAATACTTCTCAAAAACAAGAATGCACCAAGGTCCTTAATGGATAGGACTGTGGGTGAGAAGTACCCAGCAATCTGTGTACAGGTGTGTTAGGGGAGAGAGGGTGAGAAGAGAGAGAGAGGCAGGAAGAGGGAGAGAGAGAGAGAGAGAGAGAGAGGAAGGAAGGGGCAGCCTATGACAACATAACTGGGTATATATGGTAGTATTCTATGGGAAGCAAGCCACCACGAGGTTAAGTTAAAAATAAACCAAGTCGGCCGGGCGCGGTGGCTCACGCCTGTAATCCCAGCACTTTGGGAGGCCGAGGCGGGCGGATCACGAGGTCAGGAAATCGAGACCATCCTGGCTAACACGGTGAAACCCCGTCTCTACTAAAAATACAAAAAAAAAATTAGCCGGGCGTGGTAGCGGGCGCCTGTAGTCCCAGCTACCGGGAGGCTGAGGCAGGAGAATGGCGTGAACCCGGGAGGCGGAGCTTGCAGTGAGCCAAGACAGCGCCACTGCACTCCAGCCTGGGCGAAAGAGCGAGACTCCGTCTCAAAAAAAATAAAAATAAAAAAAATAAATAAACCAAGTCAATAATAGCGCAAGTGTTACTACTTATAAAACAGGGGTGAGAAACTCCTTGAAAGATGATCTAACAACTATTATCACCAAAGTGTGGTCAGGGCATCAGCAGCATTGGCATCATGTGGACTGGTGATTTTCAAACTTCAATATGCATAGGAGTTACCTGGGGATCTTGTTCCACTGCAGATTCCGTAGCTCTGAGGTGCAGCCCAAAATTATGCATTTCTTGCATGTTCCCAACTGACACTAATGCTGCTGGTTCAATGCTGTTGATTTAGGACCATATTTTGTATGTCAAGGATTCAGACTAGTGATTTCCAAACTTTAGGGTGTATTTTTCCAAAACAGATTGTTGAGCCTTACCTCCAGGGTTTCGGATTCAGTAAGTTTGAGGTGGGGCTCATTAATTTGCATTTCTAGCAAATTCCCAGATGATGCCAGAGGATGCTGATGCCTCTGCTCGAGGGAACACATATTAACAACCACTGATTTAGACTGGAGTCCATAAACTACGGTCCCTGGGAAATCCCACTCACCACCAATTTTTGTAAATAAAGTTTTATTGGAACATAGCTGTGCCCATTCGTTTATACACAGCAGTTTTAGTGCTGCAATGGCTGAGTTGAGTAGCTGCATCAGAGCTAGTAGGGACCGCGAAGGTGAAAATATTTACCATCTGGCCTGTTACAGAAAAAGTTTGCCAACCTCTGATCTAGAATATTATTATTAAGACCAAATTGGCACTAACAAAACATAATGATGTAAATTTACAATGAAGTTAACATATCTGAATTCTAGTACAAACGTCATATTATTTTAGATTCTTTTAGCATCTGATTCAAATTTTCAATACCAATACATTTAAGACAGTTTAAAATTACATTTTTTCCTTTGTGTTTAATAAGGTTAAAGCTTATTAGATGTTAGATAATATGAAATAAAGTAAAAGCGTGAGCAATTATTTTACTTATAAGTTTTGATTCAAGAATCAACCTACTTCCACAATCATCCATCCCTTCACTGGTTTACACTGTGGAGGAAGCTCCAAAATATCCAAGTGGTATACTCCACCCAGAGTTGTGAACTGGCATAAATCCACCACATTGTCTTCAAAGAAATCTGGCTTTTCAGAAGAATTCTCTACCAGCAACAACTGTGCTAAAATTAATCAGATTAACAGTTTTCAAATAGATTACAGTTTAGTATGTTCTTAGGAAAGAAATTTAAAAATTCTCATACTGGTAAAGGAAGTTTCTATTCAACCAGCTACTAAAACTTTTCAAAAAGCAGTTAACTCAAAATGATTCATAGAGCTGACCTTGGAAGTGGAAACAGGCATGAGTAATGGTGGGGTATAGGGGAGGACATAATTTTTATTTCATCTATGAAACCATACAATAAGCATGTGTTATTATTAAAATGAAAACAGGCTGGGGGCAGTGATTCATGCCCACTACTTTGCGAGGCTGAGGTGGGAGAATCGCTTGAGCCTAGGAGTTTAAAACGAGTCTGGGCAACATAGCAAGACCCCATCTCTATAAATAATTTAAAAATTAGCTAGCCTGGTGGTGCATGCCTGTGGTCCCAGCTACTCAGCAGGCTGAGGTAGGAGAATTACTGGAGCCTGGGCAGTTGAGGCTGCAGTGAGCCATAATCTGCACCACTACTGGGCAATAGAGCAAGATCTCATCTCAAAAAAAAAAAAAAAAAAAAGAAGGAGAAGAAGAAGAAGAAAGAAAAAGTGAAGTTTAAGGCCTGTTATGAAAAAATATGCTAAGAAATATATAGAAAATAGATTCCTAGAAGTTATGGGGAAAGAAGCATAAAGTTAACAGAAAAGATGTATATAAATCTCAAACTAAAAGATTGACAAATTAGACATCGCTATTGCCTTGACACTTCTAAACTATATCCAACTGCTATTTGCCAGGACAAGACTGAATGCAAACACTTGTTAATACCCAGAAGTGTTGCGAGATTTTCAGTTGTGTATGTGTACTTGTGAAAGTTCATTACAATATTGTAGTAATACAAAATTAGAAACAACCTGCCTATCAATAGGGATTTAAAAAGTGTTCCATTATTGGATGGAATTATACAACTACTTCAAAAAGTGAGGTTACCAATGTATTCTTAGAATAATGTTGAATATTCATTTACATGAAATATATATTGTGTTCTATGTATGTAACACGTTGTTAGGTGGGAAAAAAGTAATTCTCAACAAAAACATTTGTATAATATAATCCCATGGTTTTATTAGAAATTAAGAGAGACAGGGATAAATTGAGCAAAGAAATCTGTTAACACTGGTATCTCAGAAAAGGGACTATGAAGAATTTTCACTTTAAATATATTTTTGCAATGTCTGAATTTTTTTAACAATGATCCTGTATTTCTTCTGTAAGAAGAAAATCTCAATAAAGTTAAATTCTTAAAATGTAATTTAGAATACCTGCTGAAACAGTTTCACTTAATACTTTCATCTCTCGTTCACATTTTATGGCTTCAGATTCTTCCTCAGCAGAACTCTATAAAAAACCACAGACATATGGGTGTGATTGTCAGTGTCTACATAGTACAGTCATTGTCTTTGTGTTCCAGTCCTCACTTCAGATGCCTGCTACCTTAATTCTAGGCTGAAAACCCCAAACTGATACTTGCTCTACCATAAAACTGGACTCAAAAGCAATATTTTAACAAGCAATTAAAATATCTACAAAACTTCACAAGGGCAAGAGGTTACCCTGCTCAGATTCTCTGCTGAAAATCCTCAAGTGTAAAAGATGGAGATTAGGAAGCAATGCAAGCTATAAAAAATATTATTTATATTTGCATTTTGGTTTATCCAGGAGGTAGATTTTGCTTAAATTTGATAATCAGCTCTGGTAGAGTCATCCCAAAGCCTGCTTTTGGGTAAGTCTCTCAAGGAAATTAAAGATGTTGCAGCTCAAGTAATGTAGAAGATAGTATCCCATTGTACTCTAGTGCAGTAAAAATAATCTAGACTTTATGTCTAAATCTGCCACTAACTTACCTTTCTGACCTTGAGCAAGTCATTTAACTATTATGAGCCTCAAATTCCTGATGTAACAATAACACATTTGGTATTTAACTGTGTATCAGACATATAACACATCTTGCAAACAATCCGAAGAAATAAGGAAACTGAAGCTGAGGGAGATAACTGTTTTAAGGGTCAAATAAGATAATGGAAATAAAAGAACTTTGGGTAATGTAAAGCACTAGATAAATGCAGTGTTGCTAGTATAAAAATTGTGTGTGTGTGTGTGTGTGTGTGTGTGTGCTAATACTTGCAAATTGAATGACATCCAGCAAACTTCACTTGACTTCAGGTAGCACCTGTACTTCTGCAGCAATAGAATAACCTTATACCAGAGTTCTAGTCAGAAATTTAAAGCTAGTTATTCCCATGACTCTTACCCATCATACACAGACAAGTCCCCCTTAGTAGACTAGCCTTTCCCATCTCTCATCACCATATTGCCCTATGTGTCTTCCCCCTGACCAGCTTTAACACTATTACATTCTCTGCAAACCCTTTCCATCATGCCTCTGAACCTTCTCCCTTATTTATTCATTCAAAAAAAAAATTACAGAGCTCCTAAATAGTAGTGGCATTGCTAGACACTGGCAATAAAAAACAAGGTCCCTGACATAAGGAACTTCCAGACTATTAGGGAAGCAAGTAAACAAATGGGTATATTTTTGTAAGTGTTGTAGTATAAAGTAAAGGAGCCACAATAGGAGTACAAGGAAGAGGAGTTAATTCTGTGGGAAAATGTGTGGGTGAAGACAGGCAACACCTCTCTTACCTAAAGGTAGTAAGTTTGAACTAAATTTTTTTTTAACTTTTATTTTAGGTTTGAGGGTGCATGTGAAGGCTTGTTGTACAGGCAAACTCAGGTCACAGGGGTTTGTTGTACAGATTATCTCATCACCTAGGTATGAAGCCTAGTACCCAATAGTTATTTTTCTGCTCCTTGCTCTCCTCCCACCCTCTACTCCTAAGTAGGCCCCAGTGTCTGCCATTCTCTTCTTTGTGTTCATCAGTTCTCATCATTTAGCTCCCACTTACAAGTGAGAATATGTAGCATTTGGTTTTATGTTCCTGCATTAGTTTGCTAAGGATAATAGCCTTCAGCTCCACCCACGTTCCTGCAAAAGACACGATCTCATTCTTTCTTATGGCTGCATAGTATTCCATGGTGGGTATGTACATTTTCTTTATCCAATCTGTCACTGATGGGCATTTAGGTTGATTCCATGTCTCTGCTATTGTGAAGAGTGCTACAATGAACATTCACGTTCATGTGACTTTATGGTAGAATGATTTATATTCCTCTGAGTATATACCCAGTAATGGGATTGCTGGGTGAAATGGTAATTCTGCTTTTAGCTCTTTGAGGAATCACCATATTGCTTTCCACAATGGTTGAACTAATTTACACTCCCACCAACAGTGTATAAGTGTTCCCTATTCCCCGCAACCTCACCAGCAACTTTTATTTTTTGACTTTTTAGTAGTAGCCATTCTGACTGGTGTGAGATGATATCTCATTGTGGTTTTGATTTACATTTCTCTAATGATCAGCGATATTGGGCTTCTTTTCATATGCTTCTAGGCCACACGTATGTCTTCTTTTGAAAAGTGTCTATTCATGTCCTTTGCCCACTTTTTAATAGGGTTGTTTCTCTCCTGTAAATTTAAGTTCCTTATAGATGCTGGATATTAGACCTTTGCCAGATGCATAGTTTGCAAATATTTTCCACCATTCTGCAGGCTGTTTACTCTGTTGATAGTTTCTTTTGCTGTGCAGAAACTCTTAAGTTTAATTAGATGCCACTTAATCAATTTTTGCTTTTGTTGCAATTGCGTTTGGTGCCTTTTTCATGAAATCTTTGCCCATCCTATGTCCAGGATTGTATTGCCTGGGTTGTCTTTCAGGGTTTTTATAATTTTGGGTTTTACATTTAAGTCTTTCATCCATATTGGGTTGATTTTTGTAAACAGTATAAGAAAGAGGTACAGTTTCAATCTTCTGCATATGGCTAGCCAGTTATCCCAGAACCATTTTAATTGAATAGGGAGTCTTTTCCCCATTGTTTGTTTTTGTCAGCTTTGTTGAAGATGAGATGTTTGCAGATGTGTGGCCTTATTTCTGGTCTCTCTTATCTGTTCCATTGGTCTATGTGCCTGTTTCTGTACCAGTACCACGCTGTTTTGGTTATTGTAGCCCTGTAGTATACTTTGAAGTCAGGTAATGTGATGCTTCCAGGTTTGTTGAACTAAATATTGAAAGATAATTATTAATAGATCCTCCCCCAAAAAGGGTGGGAGAGAATTCTAATGTGAGTGAAAGTGAAAGGCATGAAGCAAAACAGGATTCCAAGCACTCCAAGTGGTCAGGTATAGCTGGAGTGAGGCATGCTAGGAGGGTGTAAAGATCTGAGGCTGGAGAGATGCAGGGGCCAGATTGTGGACAGCTCTGAATGCCACTCTGAAGACTTTAAAATGTCTCCTATGGGTAAAGGAGAGCTCATAAAAGGCCTTCAGTAGGAACCTAATGTGAAGAAATTTGCATTTGGAAAGAGTATTCTGGCAGCCACCTGATGAATGGGCTGCTCAGTGAAGTGCTAGAAGTCCAGTGTAGACAAGATCAGGACCTACCCAAGGCAGAAGCAACCAGGGCCACTAGAAGGAGCTTATAGGAGAGATGATAAGGAATTAAAAGCAATCTAACTTGAGGAGGGACTGGATATAAAAGTAAAGCAAGGGAGAGGCTACGGCTGATGTTCAGGTGTTGGATTTAGGTAATTAAGGTAGAGAGTGATAACAATTAGCACCAAAAAAAAGAAAAAAGAAAAGGAAGAGGAAGGACAGGTTTGGGGGAAAAGTAATGAATTTGATTGTGGAATGTTGAATTTGAGGTGCCTGTGGGATAGCCAGGTGGCCTTTGGCATTATTTACCTTTAAAAACCAAGTTGCATTTATTTCTTTCAGGGAGGATTATGATCAATAAAAATACCAAAGATATCAGACCAATAGGTAAGTCAGTCTAATTCATATCTTTAAAAAGTTGAGAACTCTTCAAAGAGTTTAGACCAAACTGGCTTCTTATCTTGCAGGAACACTAGGAATTCAGACTTTCTCAACAGAACTTTTCCCTTGATAAACACGAGTACTTCACCTCAGCATGCAACAACAGGAATTTATCAGTTTCTATAGTACCACATCATAAAGAGGATATTCTTGCATATAACACATTGCCTTTACATAAGTCAATTTTTAAAAAAATTGTACTACTCTTTAGCTCAATTGACTCTTTTTTGAAGTTAGACTTCTAGAAGGATGCAGTGAGTCAACTTACATTCTAGCACAAGCTCCTTAATTTTGATAACTAGTCTAGAATGGGTTCCTGTAATTGCAACAGTGTCATCAGAACGTGCTCCCGCACAAAAACTTCAAATCTCATTTGCTGACAATACAGGTATAATGTATAAGCTTTATATATAATAATAATAATAAACTCCTTGTGTTTGTTGGCAATGAAGCCAAAAAAATACTTCTTTATTCCTATTTTCATCATGTTTTATATCTGGTAATGATGGTCCTCTTTCATCATAATTCTTTTACAAAATTGGGTGTTTTCCAAGTATTTTTTTCTTCTAGGTAAACTTTAATAGTATTTTGTCAAGTCTCAAAAACTGACAACTGGAATTTTTACTTCAATTGTATTAAATTTATAGACACAATAGATTTAAAGTAAATAACAATTTCTAAAAGATGTTTGCTTGGAAATGTTGACAGAATATGAATCAGAGAAGGTAGCTAAAGTATAACTTTTCAATGATATCTTGTCTCAATGTATACGAGAACTGGCTTATACCATGAAAGAATGTCATGGGACACTAGCAAATAATTTTCATTGCAACTTGATAAATGCACAGATAGTATAACATAGAAATTCCTTAGTATATGTGCAATTTGAATTTGATATAAAAACATAACCTATCATTAATAGGTGGATCAATAAAAACAGAATATAGATTCCAGAAATAGAGAATAGGATCCACTTGAAAATTTAGCATATGGCATTTCAGATCAATGGAAAACGCCTAGGTTTATATGGTATGTGTTTTGAGACAGCTGGCTAAGATTTGCAATAAAATAAATTTAGATTCATTCTTCTCACTTTACACTAAAATAAATTCCAGATGGATATAAGATTTAAATGTAAAAACAAAACTAAACCAATCAAAAGCTACAAAAACCATGAAAGTATTGGAAAAGAATATATGAAACTGATGCCAACAATTATTAATGAAGTAAATGATCTTGATAATATCTGCAAAATGTCAGCACTGAACACTTTACAAGTTTGACAGAATGTCTTGAATTTTATTATCCATCAACAGAAGATCTATGCAAAAGAAATTCATTGATCTGAAATATACTTTTTCATCAAAAGATAATTTAAATTTTACTATAACTCAAAATAAATTGTTGGAACTGATTCTTGATAAGGAATTGAAAATGAATTTTGAAAATACAGCATTAATTAAGAATAATTATCCTGGGTCTACTGGTCTCATTCATTCCAGTGGCTTTAAATACTATCTATAGACCAATGGTCCCCAAATATAAGCTAGTGATGCTCTGTAGGTCACACACATTGTACCGCTTGATTCCAGAAGTTCAGAACATAACCTGCACGTGAACATGTACGTAGCAGCTGTGTCTGACTTTCCTCTGAACTCCAGGTTCACATTTGCCTACCTGTCATTTCCACTTGCATCCCCCAAACTTACCCAAACAGAACTCTTTGTTTCACAGCCACTCTCAACTGTTTCACTCTATTTTTGTTCATCTCTGTAAACTGTATCACCATATGCCTCATTTCTCAAAATAAAAACTCAGTAAGATATATTTTACCTCCAAAACATCTCCCAAACATATTCATCTTTCTATAACTCTTACTGCAACCTCTGTCCAAACCACCATGACTTATTACTTACCAGTACTATTTAACTAGACACTGTGCTTTTATTCTGGCCCCTCACAATTTGTTCTCCATACAGTAGCCAGAATAACCTTTCAGGGCCATACATCACATCATGTCACACTCCTACTTACCACCCTCTAATGGCTCCCCACTACATTTACAATAAAAGCCTAAATTCTCACTCTGGCCTGCAAAGCCTGACTTTATCTGGCTTCTGCCTCCCTTTCCAACTTTATTACATACCACTTTGCTTCTTGCCCATCATACATCAGTCGCTGGCCTTCCTTCTCACTTCTGTTTTATGACTTCTGCAATAATTGTGCCTGAAGACTATTTTTACCTTCATTTTAAATAGCTGATTCCTTCTTGTCA
Organism: Homo sapiens; assembly: GCF_000001405.40. Classification (NCBI taxonomy): domain Eukaryota; kingdom Metazoa; phylum Chordata; class Mammalia; order Primates; family Hominidae; genus Homo; species Homo sapiens. The sequence goes on from NC_000012.12 coordinate 25,129,155, forward strand.
TCTGGGTCTCGGCTAAATAATACCCCATCAAACAGGCCCTCCCTAACTACCCAATGTAAAGTCACTCCCAGTTTAATCCTGTTTAATTTGGTGCATGAATGATTACTATATGGTATTTTCTACTTTTTCTTATTTATTGTTGATTTCTCCTAACTTGTATGTAAATTATGAGAGAAGGAGCCTTATTTGTTCTTTAGCCATCCTCCCGAGGGCCAGAATGGTGCCTACCACATAGAGGTAGGCGTATGATAAATATTCAGTAAGTGAGTAAGGAAATGAGAACAACTCCCAGGGTATGACCTGGAAATGCACTGAAAACATACATTTGTGGCACATTAAAGGTTGTTGAATGTTAAGGAGCTCTGATGCTAGGTTTTTTATATAACTTATTCCCATGGATTTTTAATTTATCCACGATGATCACAAAACATCCCAAATTACTAAGGCTATTTCATGTCTCCATACTTTTCCCTCTGACCAGAATAACTTCCTTTCCTTCCTATCTAAACTTCTCCATGCTACACCAAAAGATTCAGCTCATGTTACCTCATGAGAGAAGACTTCCAATCTGTTCATTTGTTTTTATTTTGGGTTTATTTTTATTTTATTTTTATTTTTTTTTTTTGACATGGAGTTTCACTCTTACTGCCCAGGCTGGAGTGTAATGGCATGATCTCAGCTCACCGCAACCTCTGCCTCCCAGGTTCAAGTGATTCTCCTGCCTCAGCCTCTTGAGTGGCTGGGATTACAGGTACCTGCCACCATACCTGGCTAATTTTGTATTTTTAGTAGAGATGGGGTTTCTCCATGTTGGTCAGGCTGGTCTCAAACTCCCGATCTCAGGTGATCCCCCTGCCTCGGCCTCCCAAAGTGCTGGGATTATAGGCATGAGACACCACGCCCAGCCTATTTTGATCTCTTAACCCCCATGTAGAATCTCTCTCATTGCATATATTAGAAGATATGGTAACTGTTACTCTTCTAATCCACAAGATTGTTAGCTCATTAAAAACAAGAGCGTGTTGAATCCCTTATCAATAGCAGGTATTTGGTAAATGTTTGCCAATAACATATACATTACATATATAAAATATTTATATGGGCCGGGCGCGGTGGCTCACGCCTGTAATCCCAGCACTTTGGGAGGCCAAGGCAGGCAGAGCACAAGGTCAGGAGATCGAGACCATCCTGACTAACACGGTGAAACCCCGTCTGTACTAAAAATACAAAAAATTAGCCGGGCGCGGGGGCGGGTGCCTGTAGTCCCAGCTACTTGGGAGGCTGAGGCAGAAGAATGGCATAAACCTGGGAGGCAGAGCTTGCAGTGAGCCGAGATAGCGCCACTGCACTCCGGCCTGGGCGAAAGAGCGAGACTCCCTCTCAAAATAAAATAAAATAAAATAAAATAAAATAAAATAAAATAAAATAAAATAAAATATTTATGTTAAATCCTGTATATGTTTGCTTAAACTATCTTAAAGCCAGAGACTACTTTAACTTTTAAAAGTTCAAAGACCCACATACTATAATGCATGCCCCTTAGATCACTAATGTAGTTCTGAAGGTAATTCTCATTAGAAAAAAAATTTCTCACAAATGTGCTACACTTAAATTAGGCTTTTCTAAAAAGTTTGCATGATATAGTAATTGGGAAGACAGTATTACCCAATACCTATAATATTATTAGTATTACACATTTAAATGAACTAAAATGTGGTATTAAGAGCCCTCTAGTGGCAAACTTCTTGCTGTACTCATGAAAAAGAAAATGTGTACATCATCTAATGTAAGAGATTTAATTTTTTAAATGACCAAAATACTAAATACTTGTTATTTGTGATTACCTAACATATCAAACATAACTCATATGTTCTGGGCCATAATTGCCTGCATTATTATATCATACTTGCCTTGCATCAGTCTCTAAAGTCATTATAAAGATATAATGATGTAAGATTTATAATAAAATATGCCAACCTAAAATTGTGAGGTAAGCAGTTTACCCCCAACCAAAAAAAAAAAGCTGGAAAAATAGAGAACTTTTTTCTCTAAATCCAAAACATAGTTAAGTTTGCCTACTGATCTTACATGTAGTCCCTAATTTATACACATAGACAAAAAAGTTGAGTATCATGAATTTATATGGCAGTTTAAAACATTTAGAATACATTTTGTCACACACACAAATTGTGTTATGAATGAAATTTAGGGTTATGTTAGTTCTCCTGTAGCTGTGATTATATAGGAATACAAACATAACTTTACACTGTCTGTAAATATTGCTTCACACACACACTGAGTTCCAACTGGAATGGGAGGAGCACACCTTTCCTAAGGCTGAAGTAGTGACAGCAAGAGTCTTCCTATTACCACATACTATGCCGGATCACTAAAGGGGTGGAGGATCAGAACTGCAGAGGAGAGAGTCCCAAGAATCCCCAGTAACCAGCTTGCAGAATCCGTAAAGGTAGCAGAAGTGATCTCCAGCACACCCAACTGTAATGAAGAGGATCTTAAGTATCTCTCAAAAGACAGGATAACTTTGAGGAGCATAGTGGTTGGATTGCCCAATTTATGTAGGCTGCTCACAACAAATCAGACCCAAGTCAGGGCCTGCTTTTCATCATTTAAACATCCATTCATTCACTTCTTCCTTCCTTCATTCAATAAACATTCATTGAGCCCTTATCATGAGCTCTATGCTCTCTGCTTAAATATGAAGTCTCTCAAGAAATTCTTGCCCTCAAGATCATAATTTAGTGTTTAAGGCAACAATTATAATAATTAAACAGAATGACAAGAGCATAGTGGAGGGACATCTGATTTAATCTGAGGAGACGGAGGATTCTCTGGAGGTAAAATTTAAGGTAAGTCTTGAATGAAGACAAGTAGAAGTTAGGTACAGGGATTATTCGTGTGATGGGAGGAAGGGAATTTCACCTCAGCACAGAGGCTTATCATGAACGTTCCCCCTTTAAAGCCAAAATGGGAAATACATCGTTTCATTTCCTATGAGGAAAGTATTGCGTGTTCAGTACTTACTTATTGAAAATTCAAATAACACAATAGAGTATAGACAGTAAAAAAATCACTGATAATATACCACCATCCCATCCTTCTCACGTTCTTTCCCCCACCACCAAAAGATAGCCACTCTTTGGTAAAGAGGCCTCTAGATTTTTTCTGTGCATTCATAAAAACAGAATCATATTGATAATAGAGTTTTAACTTTAAAAAAAATTTAACAATACAGCTTAGGGATCTTTCTATAGAAAAGTATATAAATCTGTGTCATTTTAAATGATAAAATATCCAAATATCCAAACAAACTAGTGTTGTTTGGATACTTTACAATTATTTTAATTTGTGGACTGTTTTTGCTACTATAAAAAACTTCAATGAAAATCTTGGCACAATCATTTTTATTTATTTTGTTCTATTATTTTCTAATAATAAATTACTATAAGTTAAATCACTAATCATAGGCATGTTTACATGGTACCAAATAAGGACTGTACAGATTTACACTTCTAATAACGGTATGTGAAGACGCCTGCCTGCTCAATCTGATAGGAAAACAAATGACATCTTTTTTCTAATTTGATTACTTATTTGGTTCAGTACATTTTTGGCTAGTTGTATTTCTTTTCTCAGCTGCCTGCTCATGTCCTTTGCTTAATTTTATATTAAGAAATTGTCTTCTCACTGATGTGTACAAATTCTTTATATTGGGGTATAACCCCTTGTCATGTACGTTGAAATATTTTTCTTAGTCTGTTATTTGCCTTTCAGCTTTGTTTTATAATGAGGTTTATGGGGCTACACAAATATTTGAATCCAATCTCTTTTTCGTTCATGCTTTTGGTTTTGATGCACTGGTAAGTACGAAAGGTCTTCTTAGTAAAGATAATAAAATAAGTTTCCTATATTCTGTTCAAATACTTTCATTATTTTTATAATTTTTGAATAGTTCAGTTTGTTTTTATATTTAAAACTGTGATTTTTTTTTTTTTTTAGTCTTTAGGGTAAAGTGAGAATCGAAATTTCTTTTAAATCTTAGTCAACTGCCCCAGCACCAATTGTTATATCAAACTCATCCTGTCCATTCTCGACTTCGAGTTTCTTTTATATAGATATTACACTCCTATTTCTATCCATCATCTCTCATTCTTTTCCCCTAACAAATCCCATTAAATTATCTCTGTCTTCCTCTTTTGAGCTGCTGATTGTCTTTATAAATCTAGTGATTTTTGCTCCCTGCAGTCTACTCACACCTACGAAAGGCGGTTTACACTGTTCAGAATCTGTGGCAAGTATAGGCCCATCTGACAAGTAGTTTTGTGTTGGGGGATTCTTCGCTCTAAGCAGTCACCCACCACCCTTCCCCCTTCAGCACAGAAGATGGCTTCCCCCTCCTGCCCTGGCACACCTCACCAATACTATGGGGTTCTTCGGCTTCTGTGGAAATCATACATACTTCAGCATTATTCATATTAGCATTTTCAGAATGTTGTGGGGTTTTCAGCAGAAGGATAGAGCACAGATACATAAGCATAAGCGTCTACACATGTGTCTGTTGGGTGGTGGTGAGATATGTTCCTGGAAATGAGGGTGCTGAGTTAATGTTACTCTCACTTTCTAGGCAATCACCTGTCCCTTTCTAAATCCCATGGATATAAATCCTCCAGCCAGGTTCCTGTATCTACCATTCACACAATTCTTACCATTCACAGACTTTGGACAAGTTTTCATTGCCTTTTATAAAGTAAAATTATTTCTGCCATATCACTAATTGCCTGCTGATCTTTATTTGAGGTTTCTTGGACTATGTATTTGTTTTGTTTTTATTTTTGTTTTTAAGACAGGGTCCCGCTCTCTTGCCTAGGCTTGAGTGCAGTGGCATGACCACTGCTCACTGCAGCCTCGACCTCCTGGGCTCAGGCAATCCTCTCACCTCAGGGTTCCTAGTAACTTGAACTATAGGCACATGCCACCACATCCGGCTACTTTTTTTGATTTTTAGTACAGACGAGGTCTTGATATGTTGCTCAGGCTGGTCTTGAACTCCTGAGCCCAAGGGATCCTCTTGTTTAGGCCTTGAGCCACTGCACCCAGCCTAGACTATGTATTTGAACATAGCCTCAAATTTGATAAAATGTGCATCTTGCCATTCATTATAATGGTTTTCCTTGGCGTACTTTTTTTTTTTTTTTTTTTTTTGAGACAGAGTCTCACTCTGTCGCCCAGGCTAGAGTGCAGCGGCACAATCTCGGCTCATTGCAACCTCTGCCTCCCAGGTTCAAGTGATTCTCGTGCCTCAGCCTCCCGAGCAGTTGGGATTACAGGCACATGCCACCATGCCCAGCTAATTTTTGTATTTTTAATAGAGACAGGGTTTCACCATGTTGGCCCGGCTGATCTCAAACTCCTGACCTCAGGTGACCCACCTGCCTCAGCCTCCCAAAGTGCTGGGATTATAGTCATGAGCCACTGCACCTGGCCTCCTTGGTGTACTTTTGTGGCACTTTCAACATCATCATTTGCATATCTTTATTCATCATTATAACCTAAAATGGTTCAATGTAACATTACATAATAACAAAAACTGGATGTAGTTAAACTCATTGGTAAGGGCCATTCAAACTAAGAAAAGCTTAGCTCGGTACTTTCAGGCCCACTAGCTGTCTACACTAATTGATGACAAATATTGAGAAGAAGATATAAATTCACTATGCAGTCAGTATTGTAGTGGATTCATATGCTTATATATTTAGTATAAAAGTATTGCCATTTAGGAAAAATGGCAGATATGAGGCAGGACTAACTTGAAGCTCCCACTTGGACAGACAGAACAGTGAGTGTATGGAGACTCACATCATGAACTTTTGCTCCAAGAACTACTGCAGGAACACACCAGGAAAACGGAAATAATTCACAGACTCTGAAAGAAGCACTTGCCACTGCAAACTCCATGAGACAGCCAAAATACTGTGAGTGTCCAAAGTGTGAGGGGGGATAATCTGCCTCCAAACACACATCCTCACTGGAGAACCTGAAAATCCAGATCATGGGAGAAGGATTTAACCTTACCTAGAACTGAAATGGATTTAGAAAGCCGAATGAAATATAAAAGTAGAAGAAGCAGTGGGAAGAGCCCTGTAGGCGCTCCTGGTCTCCAGGGAAGCCATTTCTGACTTTTATCTCACAGGGGTCCTTGGGGAGAGCTGCCAGTGGAATTGGGGAAGGACCACAGGGAGAAGGAAACTTCTAGCTGAACTTTGCAATAATTTCCACCAAACACAAATTTTCCTGGGCAGGATCCGGGAACAGGGGATGGGGGGCGGTGGGAAATGGGAAGTACAGACACAAGCACAGAAGCCACAGAGGGCAGCGGGGAGGGCAGGGCAGCAAAAGCCCTGTTTACTTTCTTAGCAGGGAGGCTGGTAGCCTGGGGCAAGATCTCAGCCCTACTCACTGGTTGCCTGGATATAAACTCAGTGCTGTTGGTGATGCATGGTGGGAGTGAGACTGGCCTTGATGGATGTGTAGGAGCTGGGTGAGGCCCATCACTGCTGACTTTCCCCCACCTCTCTGGCGGCCTGTATGACACAGCAGAGGCAGCCATAATCCCCCTGGGAGCATAATTCCACTGGCCTGAGAAGCATACCCCCATCCCCTAGAGCAGCCGCAGCAACCCCCGCCCAAGGAGAGTCAGAGCCCAGACATGCCTATACCTGCCTCCACCTGATGGTCTTTCTTTACCTACCCTGATAGCCAAAGGCAAAAGACATAATCTCTTGGGAGCTCTATGGCCCCATCCATCACCTGAGAAACCTGAATACTTATCCAGGTTACCTTAGGGCAAGCTTGTATCCTCCCACACTACCGCAGCTGATGCCCTCTTGAAAGCGCCACCTCCTGGCTGAAGGCCAACAAACAGCCAGCATTTGAGAAAACCAGTGCCCTAAACAAAACTACAACCAAGAACCCTCACAGAGTCCACTTCATTCCCCTGCTACCTCCACTAGAGCAGGTTCTGGTATCCACAGTTGAGAGCCCTGAAGATGAATTACATCACACGACTCTTTGCAGACACTCCGCAGTACCAACCTGGAGCGCAGTAGCTCCACTGGGTGGATAGACCCAGAAAAGTAATAATAATAACTGCATTCTGGCTCTCAGGAAGCCTCATCTGTAGGGGAAGGGGGAGAGCCCATCAAGGGATCACCCTGTGGGACAAATGAATCTGAAAAGCAGCCCTTGAGCCCCAGATCTTTCCTCTCATATAGTTTACCCAAGTGAGTAGGAACCAGAAAAACAATTCTGGTAATATGAAAAGACAAGGTTCTTTAACACCCCCAAAAGATCACACTAGCTCATCAGCAGTAGATCCAAACCATGAAAAAAATCTCTGAATTGCCACAAAAAGAATTCAGAAGGCCGATTATTAGGCTACTCAAGGAGTCATCAGAGAAAGGTGAAAACCAACTTAAAGAAATTGTAAAAATGATACAGGCGATGGATAAAAAAATCTCCAGAGAAATAGATAGCATAAATAAAAAACAATCACAACTTCTGGAAAAGAAAGACACACTTAGAGAAATGCAAAATACACTGGGAAGTTTTCAACAATGGACCTAAACAAATAGAAGAAAGAACTTCAAAGCTTGAAGACAAGGCTTTTGAATTAACCCAACCCAACAAAGAAAAAGAAAAAAGAATTTTAAAAAATGAACAAAGCCTCCAAGAAGTCTGGGATTATGTAAACAACCAAATCAAAGAATAACTGGTGTTCCCAAGGAAGAAGAGAAATCTAAAAGCTCAGAAAATATATTTGAAAGAATAATCAAGGAAAACTTCCCTGGTTTTTGCCAGAAATCTAGATATCCAAACACAAGAAGCTCAAATAATGCCTGGGAAATTTATCGTAAAAAGATAATCACCTAGGCACACAGTCATCAGGTTATCTAAATTCAAGACAAAGGAAAAAGTCTTAAGAAATGTGAGGCAAAAGATTAAAAGCAGATTTCTCAGCAGAAACCTTACATGCTAGAAGGGATTGGGGTCCTATCTTTAGCCTCCTTAAACAAAATAATTATCAGCCAAGAATTTTGTATCCAGCAAAACTAAGCTTCATAAATGAAGGAAAGATAAAGTCTTTTTCAGACAAACAAATGCTAAGAGAATTTACCACTAAGTCAGCACTACAAGAATTGCTAAAAGGAGTTATAAATCTTGAAACAAAACCTCAAAATATACCAAAACAGAACCCCCCTAAATCATAAATCTCACAGGGCCTATAAAACAATAACACAACATAAAAACAAAACAAAAAAATAATATATTTAGGCAACAACTAGCACAATGAATAGAATAGTACCTCACATCTCAATACTAACATTGGATGTAAATGGCCTAAATGCTCCACTTAAAAGATACAGAACCACAGAATGGATAAGAATTCACCAACCAAGAACCTGTTGTCTCCAAGAGACTCATCTAACACATAGAGTCACATAAACTTAAAGTAAAGAGGTGGAAAAAGACATTCCATGCAAATGGACACCAAAAGCAAGCAGGAGTAGCTATTCTTATATCAGATAAAACAGACTATAAACAACAGTAGTTTAAAAAGACAAAGAGGGACACTACATAATGATAAAAGGTCTAGTCCAACAGGAAAATATTACATTCCTAAATATATATGCACTTAACACTGGAGTTCCCAAATTTATAAAACAATTACTACTAGACCTAAGAAATGAGATAGATGGCAACACAATAATAGTGTGGGACTCCAATACTTCAACACTGACAGCACTAGACAGGTCATCAAGACAGAAAATGGAAAAAAAAAAACAAAACAAAACTATACCCTAGAACAAATGGACTTAACAGATATTTACACAACACTCTACTCAACCACTGCAGAATATACATTCTATTATTCATCAGCTCAAGGAACATTATCCAAGATATACCATATGAGAGGACACAAAACAAGTCTCAATAAATTTAAGAAAATTGGGCCAGGCACAGTGGCTCATACCTGTAATCCCAGCAGTTTTGGAGGCCAAGACGGGTGGATCACCTTAGATCAGGAGGTGGAGACCAGCCGGGCCAAATGGTGAAACTCTGTCTCTACTAAAAATACAAAAAATAGCTGGGCATGGTGGCATTTGCCCGTAATTCCAGCTATCCAGGAGGCTGAAGCAGGAGAATCACTGGAACCCAGGAGGCAGAGGCTGCAGTGAGCTGAGATCACACCACTACACTCCAGCCTGGCAACAGAGTAAGACTCGGTCTCAAATGAATAAATAAATTTAAGAAAATCAAAATTATATTCAGTATTCTCTCAGACCACAGGGAATAAAATTGGAAATCAACTTTAAAAGGAACCCTCAAAACCATGCAAATAAATGAAAATTAAATAATCTGCTCCTAAACAATCATTGGGTCAACAATAAAATCAAGATGGAAATTTAAAAATTCTTTGAACTGAACAATAATAGTGACAAAACCTATCAAAACCTCTGGGATACAGCAAAAGTGATGCTAAGAGGAAAATTCATGGTATTAAATACCTAAATCAAAAACTCTGAAAGAGCACAAATAGAAAATCTGAAGACACACCTCAAGGAACTAGAGAAAAAAGAACAAACCAAACCCAAACAAAGCAGAAGAAAAGAAATAGCTAAGATCAGAGCAGAACTAAATGAAATTGAAACAAAAAAAAAAATACAAAAGATAAATGAAATAAAAATCTGGTTTTTTGAAAAGACAAACAAAATTGACAGACCATTAGCGAGATTAACCAAGAAAAGAAGAGAGAAGATTCAAATAAACTCAATTAGAAACAAAATGAGAGATACTACAACTGATAGCACAGAAATACAAAAGATCATTCAAGGCTACTATGAACACCTTTATGCACACAAACCAGAAAACTTAAAGGAGATGAATAGATTCCTGGAAATATACACCTCTCCCAGATTAAAACAGAAATAAATAGAAGCTCTGAACAGATCAATGGCAAGCAGCAAGACTGAAATGGTAATTAAAAAAAAATTACCAATAAAAAAAAAGTCCAGAACCAGATGGATTCACAGCTGAATTCTATCAGGCATTCAAAGAAAAATTGATACCAATCCTATTGACACTATTCCAAAAGGTAGAGAAAGAGGGAATCCTTCCTAAATCGTTCCACGGAGCCAGTATCACCCTAATACCAAAACCAGGAAAGGGTATAACAAGAAAGGAAACTACAGACCAATATCCCTGATGAACATAGATGTAAAAATCCTCAACAAAATATTAGCTAACCGAATCCAACAGCATATCAAAAAGATAATTCATGCAGCCATAAAAAAGGATGAGTTCCTATCCTTTGCAGGGGACATGGATGAAGCTGGAAACCATCATTCTCAGCAAACTAACACAAGAACAGAAAACCAAACACTGCATGTTCTCACTCATAAGTGTGAGTTGAACAATGAGAAGCCATGGACACAGGGAGGGGAACATCACACACTGGGGCCTGTCGGGGGATGGGGTGATAGGGGAAGGATAGCATTAGGAGAAATACCTAATGTAGATGACAGGTTGATGGGTGCAGCAAACCACCATGGCACATGTATACCTATGCAACAAACCTGCACGTTCTGCACAGGTATCCCAGAACTTAAAGTATATAATAATAAATACATTTTTTAAAAAAGATAATTCACCATGATCAAGTGGGTTTCATACCATGGATGCAGGAATGGTTTAACATGTGGAAGTCAATAAATGTGATATACCACATAGAATTAAAAACAAAGCATCTGACAAAATCCAGCATCTCTTTATGATTACAACTCTCAGCAAAATCGGCATAGAAGGGAAATGCCTTAAGTTAATAAAAGCCATCTATGACAAACTCACAGCCAACATTATACTGAATAGGGAAACATTGAAAGCATTACCCCTGAGAACTGGAACAAGACAAGGATGCCCCCTTTCACAACTTCTATTCAACATAGTACTGGAAGTCCTAGCCAGAGCAATCAGACAAGATAAAAAAACGAAGGGCATCCAAATCAGTAAAGAAGAAGTCAAACTCTCATTGTTTGCTGATGATATGACTGTACACCTAGAAAACCCTAAAGACTCATCCTAAAAGCTCCTAGATATGATAAATGAATTCAGTAAAGTTTCAGCATACAAAATCAATGTACACAAATCAGTAGCACTGCTATATACCAACAGTGACCAAGCTGAGAATCAAATCAAGAACTCAGCCCCTTTTACAGTAGTTGCAAAAATAAATAAATAAATAAATAAATAAAATACTTAGGAATACACCTAACCAAGGAGCTGAAAGACCTCTACAAGGAAAACTGCAAAACACTGCTGAAAGAAATCACAGATGTCACAAACAAATGGAAATACATCCCATGCTCATGGATGGGTAGAATCATATTGTGAAAATGACCATACTGCCAAAAGCAATCTACAAATTCAATGCAATTCCCATCAAAATACCATCATCATTCTTCATGGAACTAGAAAAAAAAATCCTAAAATTCATATGAAACCAAAAAAGAGCCCACATAGCCAAACCAAGCTAAGCAAAAAGAACAAATCTGGAGGCATTGCATTACCTGACTTCAAACTATACTATTAAGCTATAGTCACCAAAACAGCATGGTACTGGTATAAAAATAGGCATATAGACCAATGGAACAGAATAGAGAACCTGGAAATAAAGGCAAATACTTACAGTCAACTGATCTTTGACAAAGCAAACAAAAACATAAAGTGGGGGAAAGGACACCCGATTCAACAAATGGTGCTGGAATAATGGGCAAGCCATGTATAGAAGAATGAAACTGAATCCTCATCTCTCACCTTATACAAAAATCAACTCAAAATGAATCAAAGACTTAAATCTAAGACCTGAAACCATAAAAATTATAGAAAATAACATTGGAACAACCCTTCTAGACATTGGCTTAGGCAAAGACTTCATGAAAAAGAGCCCAAAAGCAAATGCAACAACAACAATGATAAATAGATGATACCTAAACTAAAAAGCTTCTGCATAGCAAAAGAAATAATCAGCAGAGTAAACAGACAACCCACAGAGTGGGAGAAAATCTTCACAAACTATGCACCTAACAAAGATTATTAGATGCAGAATATCCACAATCTATAAGGAACTCAAACAAATCAGCAAGAAAATAATAATCCCATCAAAAAGTGGGCTAAGGACCTGAATAGACAATTCTCAAAAGAAGATATACAAATCGCCAAGAAACATAAGAAAAAATGCTCAACATTACTAATTATTAAGGACATCCAAATCAAAACCACAATGTGATACTACCTCACTCCTGCAAAAATGGCCATAATTGGCACGGTGCAGTGGCTCATGCCTGTTATCCCAGCACTTTGGGAGGCCAAGGCAGGTGGACCATGAGGTCAGGAGATTGAGACCATCCTGGCTAACATGGTGAAACCCTGTATCTACTAAAAATACAAAAAATTAGCCAGGCGTGGTGGCACGTGCCGGCAATCCCAGCTACTCAGGAGTCTCAGGCAAGAGAATTGCTTGAACCTGGGAGGTGGAGGTTGCAGTGAGCTGAGATCATGCCACTGCTCTCCAGCCTGAGTGACAGAGTGAGACTCTGTCTCAAAAAAAGAAAAAAAAAAGGCCATAATTTAAAAATCAAAAAATAATAGATGTTTGAGTGGATGGGGTGAAAAGAGAACACTTTTACACTGATGGTGGGAATGTAAACTAACACATTCCTGAAAAAACTAAAGGTAGATCTACCATTTGATCCAGCAATCCCAGTACTGGGTATCTGCCCAGAGGAAAATAAGTCATATGAAAAGGACACTTGCACATGCATGTTTATAGCAGGACAATTTGCAATTGCAAAAACATGGAACCAGCCCAAATGCCCAGCAATCAACAAGTGGATAAAGAAAATGAGGTATATGTGTACCATGGAATACCACTCAGCCATAAAAGAGAATGAAATAATGGCATTTGCAGCAACCTGGATGGAACTGGAGACCATTATTGTAAGTGAAGTAACCCAGGAATAGAAAACCAAACATCACATATTCTCACTTATAAGTGGGAGCTAAGCTATGAGGATGCAAATGCATAAGAATGATACAATGGACTTTGGGGACTCAAGGGAAGGGTGGGAGGGGGATGAGGGATAAAAGACTACACAATGGGTAGTGTCCACTGCTCGGGTAATGGGTGCACCAAAATCTTAGAAATCACCACTAAAGAACTTATCCATGTAACCAAATGCCACCTGTTCCCCAAAAACCTTTTGAAATAAAAAAAAAACAAAACTACTGCCAAAATTAACAGAACTATAATTAATTATTACTACATGAGGCCACTTTGAGATAGATGCATAAGAAAAAAATGCTTTAGCCATGTAAATGCAAGTAATAGTTCAAATTTTATGGTTCCAAATTATTATTTCACAATTTTAAAATCAATAATGTGAAATTCTTATGTAAAATACTGATAGGTTCTTTGTTTTCAGGAATATAAAATCACAAATCCTCCCTAACTTTATTTTAGGTTAATGGGGTTTAATTTTGTATTTTACTCCATATTGAAACAATGTTAAGTCCAAGACCTATTTACCCATTCTATTTTTTTCCCCCTTGGAAATGAGTTTGTCATGTCTAATCACATCTTATTAGCTAAGTCACATGGTCATGCCTAGCTGCAACATGGAAAGGAGTATAATCCTTCCATATTCCAGGAAAGGGAAGAGAACTGGAAATACTATTGTCTCTAGTAAAGCTTCTAAACTATCTGAGAGTTCACATGAAATTTTTATTTTAAAAACTATCTTATTGCCCAAAAAACATTTAAACAAAAATGACAAATTTTTAAAGAAGAATAAATCATTTCCCTCCTCTCTAAAATATGAGCTATGCACAGATTTCTGGGTTCTCATTTCCTTATGCCTTTAAAATTTTCACGTGCTTGTCATTAGAGTCTAAATACAATTTTTTTATACTTAGCATTATGTCATATCCATTTTTCTACATTGCTACAGAGTCTTCATAATTTTTTTTTTTTTTTTTTTTGAGACAAAGTCTCACTCTGTCACCCAGGCTGAAGTGCAATGGCATGATCTCGGCTCACTGCAACATCCGCCTCCTGGGTTGAAGCAATTATCTTGTCTCAGCCTCCCAAGTAGCTGGGATTACAGGTATACACCACCACGCCCGGCTAATTTTCTGTATTTTTAGCAGAGACAGGGTTTCACCATGTTGGCCAGGCTGGTCTCGAACTCCTGACCTCAAAGTGCTGGGATTACAGGCGTGAGCCACCACGCCCGGCCTATAATTTTTGATACCAGTGTAATATTTTAAATTGAATTCTTAATAAATCACGTGTTCTTAGAGTATCTAATAATTCCTATTCTGATTTTAAATTTGTATTCAATCTAATCCTTAATCCTTTCCTGTGTTTAAAGAAAATAAATCAATAAACCAATACATTTCATGTCTTAAGCACTTGTCAGAAAACTTGAGATATTTTGGTCCCTCATAACATGCAAATAGGCTATTAAACAAAGAATCTGCTTAGCTCTGAGAAAGTATTACTAAATTCTTAAGAGACATTTTTTCTAACATAAATAAGTAGCTTGACAATCTTGCCAACAGAAAAAAGAGAAGAAGCTAACTAAAGGAATATGATTATTAAATTGGTCAAAAGCTATCTCTAAAGATGTCAGATTTTCAGAGAAGAGTGTAATATTTTAAGAAAATTAATTTTTACTTTATAAAATTATTTCTTACAAAACCAAAAACTGAGGAAGTAACAGGGTAATATAAGATTATTTACTGTAAGTTTCCATTTAATGGCAAGTTCCCTTGAATTTGAAATATATAATAAATATACAAAAATTAAATGGCATCAAAGCTGCCCGGTTGTGCACCTAATATAAAAATAAGCAATTCCTGTGCTGAACTTTAGGATGTTGAAGCTAGTGGCTCAACTATTAATTGACTATTAATGGAAGGCAAGAAAAAGATACATATTAAAAATTGAGGCACTGGCAAGAAAGTGGCTCCCAGACAATTTCCAGTTGTTTAGGAAAAATCTTGAGAACACTTTAAGGGAATCTAATAACGCATGCTGCATGAATAAAAAAATGTGTATATTTAAATGTGTCCTACCATTTTCACTTCAATATCACCTTGTTCCTCCTCAACTTTTATTTCTTCCTCCTGAATTAAGTGAGACCCTCTTTCTTGTTGTTTGGACTCTTCTTCGACCTCCTTGCTGATTGCTTTTTCTACATTCTTAACATCATCTTTGACAAGCTCAGTTACTGCAGAAGTGTATTCTTTTGATGGTGTTGAAACAGGGTGCAGTGCAGAAACATGATCATAGTGGGTATGCAGGAGTCGTACAGCAATGTCACTTGTTGCTAATATCCTTGGAATCTCAAATCCAATTTGTGTTTCAGAGAATCTAACACTTCTGTGCCTGTTAATAATTAATTACAACAAAAAAAGATGAGACCCTAGGAAACTCTAGATCTGTGTCAAATTTATACCTAAGCAGTATTTCTCTTCACTTTAATTTTGCTCCAATTTTGACTCTGATCATATGTGCTTTCTTTGCAGCATTTGGACCCAGTTGCTGATGCTATCCTTCTCAAAACAGTTTATTGGGATCCATAACCCCACAGTCTTCTCCATCTCTGGAAGTTCCTTCTGTCTCCTCTATATGGCCTTCTTCCTAACCATCCCTTCAATGTTGATATTACTCAGTGCTCCATCCTAAGCCCTTTTTCTCCTCTCCCTCAACATACACTCTCTGGATATTTTTACTTCTGTGGCCTGAATTACTATCTATACTATCAGAGGTTTGTAATATGAGCTTTATTTTTCCTAGGTTTGGGTAGGAGTATGATGCATCTCTGAATGGACTTTAAGCGGTCTAAAAATGCCCTTCCACAAGTGCAAGCATCTGTAATTACTTGACATTCGGAAGAATCTATGACTCCCAAAAAGTGAAGAACCATTGGTCTATATGTTGATGACTCCTCAAAATATACTACACCTCAGATTTCTCTCAGTGCCTTCAGCCAGTTGCACTTTGATATCTTGTAAGTACTTCAAACTCAGCCAGTTGAGCACAGAACTCATCATCCTTACAACCCCCACCCCAATCACCATCAAAGTGAAACTTGTTCTGCCTGCACTATTCCTTATCTCGTAAAAGACACCACCTAATTCTCTTCTTAAACCTGGGTAGTGAGTACAGAGCTATTCATTTTATTTTTATTCTTTTAAAACTATAAAGAGTTATTTCCTTAACTTTTCTGTACTTGACATATTTTACAATGAGAAAGGTTACTATATTGTCTCTGATTAGATGTAAACCAAAAAGTTGGTTTTTTTGTTTTTCATAGCAAATGGAAGGAACTTAGGAAATATTTTTTTCTTCCCTTTTACTAACTATCAAAAATAAAGTCTAGTTTTTTTTAAATGTCACATAGCTAGTCTTTTCAGAGGTAGGACCAGAACCTAGGCCTCCTAATTTTTATTCTGGTAATTTTTCTCTAAAACTCACTGCTATACTAATGCAAGTAACTTAAAATGTTTAAAGATCAAGCAGCAACCAAGCACTCATGAATTTGCCATCGTCACTGTCATTCCTCAGAAAGATGTTTCTTTGTTGAAAACTATTGGGGAAATAGCACTAAAATGTCCAAGAAATACACATATGAAAACCTATTATGTTTGCCGGGCGCAGTGGCTCACGCCTGTAATCCCAGCACTTTGGGAGGCCGAGATGTGCGGATCACCTGAGGTCGGGAGTTTGAGACCAGCCTGACTAACATGGAGAAACCACGTCTCTACTAAAAATACAAAATTAGCCAAGCATGGTGGCACATGCCTGTAATCCCAGCTACTCAGGAGGCTGAGGCAGGAGAATCGCTTGAACACAGGAGGCAGAGGTTGCAGTGAGCCGAGATTGCGCCCTTGCACTCCAGCCTGGGCAACAAGAGCCAAACTCTGTCTCAAAAAAAAAAAGAAAAGAAAACCTATTATTTTTAAGTCACAAAGATACATTAAAAAAAAAAAATCCAGATTGCCATATAGAAAGTACCTATTAGCTGGGCGCAGTGGCTCACGCCTGTAATCCCAGCACTTTGGAAGGCCGAGGCAGGCTGATCACTTGAGGTCAGGAGTTTGAAACTAACCTGACCAACATGGTGAAACCCCGTCTCTACTAAAAATACAAAAAAATTAGCCAGGTGTGGTGGCGTGCACCTGTAATCCCAGCTACTCAGGAGGCTGAGGCACAAAGAATCGCTTGAACCTAGGAGGCAAAGGCTGTAGTGAGCCGAGATCACACCACTGCACTCCAGCCTGGACGACAGAGCAAGACTGTGTCTCAAAAAAAAAAGAAAAAGAAAGCACCTACCACTTCTACTTTTTTGGAGGGCAGAGGAGTTAAGTGGGTAAAGAGAAGAGGAAGACCTGGTATTTAATGAGTGTATATTTGTAATAAACACTATGCTATAACTATGCTATAACACATGCACTAATGTTTAATCTTCAATCCAATCCTATTAAGTGACACAATCATCATTTTACTGATGATATACTGAAGCTCAACAAAGTAACTTGTGTAAGAAAATGGCGGGTTTCTGATTCAACCCTTAGTGGGCTAACTTCCTGAAATGGGCTTTTCCAAACACACCATGCTGCTATGCAATAGGCATCTATCTGGCAATCATGATGTGGCTCAATGTCTTTCTTTCCACCTACAGGGAAAGTATTGCCCACAAGGGTACCTTGGATTCTTCTTGAGGTTTGCCCACACATACAGAGTAACATTTTCATCTTTAATGACTTTTTCCATATTTCCACTGTCCAGATCTGCCAAAGTACTAGCTTGCTGTAAGAGAAAAAGAAAACATTATAAAGGGCCACAGGCCTCATAAATTATACAAATTAGATAAGTTACTTTATCACTTATGTGTTGGATTCCCTTTATTAATCACCTAAGAGAGTAACTTGGGTAAAAATAAGGTTCAATCAACATGACAAAGAATTGTTTAAAAAAATTCTCTAAAAATGCAAACATATTTACTTACTTAAATATGCATCTCCTTTTTCCATTCAGTTTCTCCTAAGGTGTCTAAGAATTAAAGTTGCTCTTAGGTTGGGTGAGGTGGCTCATACCTGTAATCTGAGCACTTTGGTAGGCCAAGTCGTAAGGATCATTTGAGTCCAGGAGTTCAAGAAAAGCCTGGGCAACATAATGAGACCACCCCCATCTCTACAAAAAATTAGCTGGGTGTGGTGGTGTGCAACTGTAGTCCCAGCTACCTGGCAGCTGGGAGGATCCTAGGTGGAAGTATTGCTTGAGTCTGGGAGGTTGAGGCTGCAGTGAGCCATGATTGCACCATGCACTCTAGCCGGGGTGACAGAGCAAGACTGGGTCTCAGAAAAGTGAAAAATAAAGTTGCTTCTACATTTCTGGGTAGCACCTGTGGATTAATATGTTACCTTTCTCAGTCATAACATCAGAATCATGACTTTTCATTTTAACTATACACATGCTGCTTTATCTGTATCTTATTATACTGTAGACTATTCTACTGCAAAAGTTAACCTATCTCCGAACACACCAAGTTTAGAAAGCAAAATATCTAGCTTATAAAATCCAGATAAGTCATGTTTTCACTAGTCTAATATTTAATATCCAATATTAACCATAAAATTCAAGTATGTTAAGAATTTTAAAATAAAAACTAACACAGTTTGATGCCTATTGCTCAAGGAATCAGCTGTCATAAAGGGTTTGAATAAGTAAATATGTGGTTGCTAGAATGTAAAAACTTTAAAATGTTGAAGATTATATTTATTATTAATTTTTTTAAGTGTGATTATTCCTGCACACTTTTTATTTTCTGAAACTAACTTTTTGAAGTGTTCAGGACAATTGTCTTGTAGAACTGTCCCATATTGTGGATTTCTATTATTGTTTCCTCATGGCATTGTTTAACTGGCTCCTCTATCCTCTTTATTTTTGTACACTGGAAGGTCTAGGGGTTTAACTGGATTCAGATCCACCATCTTCAGCAAGGAGGCATCATAGGTTATGCTGTATTCTTCATACTGCATTCTATCGAAGACATATGATGTTCCACTATTAATGATATGAACTTGATCGCTTGCTTAAGGTGCTGACCACCAAATCTCCCCACTGCAAAGTACATTTTCCCCAATCTGAGGTCAAATACTTTGGCACTAGAAGAATTATGTATTCCTCAACAGCTTTTCACCTAATCATTTAGGTAGCCACTGAGGATCCTTATTTGAAACAGTTATTACACTGGGGATTGAAAAATGGTGATTTCCTAACTGATCACTGCATCCACATTAGATAGATGGCATTCTACTGTAAAGAACTGTTCTTTCTTCACTCCACCTTCCCCCTTTGTTTCTGAAGTATCACTATAAACTCATAAATTTTTATTTATTCAATTTGTTATAATTGATTATAATCATTATTCTGATATTCAAATTATTCCAAATTTGATCAGTGGGACTTCTAAGCTAGCCTCTTAGCTAACGGCATCCCTTTCATACAATGTCATTAGTCTCTGAGTGTTTGCTTGCCTTCTAGCACAGTAAGATAATCCAGCCTCATCTTTCACTTTTCCTGCCCCAGAACTGAAATCCCACATCCTATTTATAGAATAAAAAGAAATCTGGTTCATGCTGATATTTCCATTTCAGATATAACATTATAGTTTCTTCTTCTTCTCCTTCTTCTTCTATTCTTACTTTTATTTTTTTGAGACAGAGTCTGCCTCTGTTGCCCAGGTTGAAGTGCAGTGGTTCACTGCAGCACTGACATCCTGGACTCAAGCGATGCTCCCACCTCAAGCTCCCAAGTAGCTGGGACAACAGGCAAACCATGCTTGGCTAATATATATATTAGGATGAGGTCTCCTATCCTATCCTTACATATTATTATCCTAAGAATAATAAGGTTGGTGCAAAAGTAATTGCGGTTTTTGCCATTACTTTTAATAGCAAATAGAAATAGTATTCTATTTCTTTAAAAATAAAATATTTGGCGGGGAGCAGTGGCTCACACATGTAATCCCAGTACTTTGGGAGGCCAAGGAAGAAAGACTGTTTGTGTCCAGAAGTTTGAGACCAGCCTGGGTAACACAGGCAGATCCCATCTTTACTATCTCTAAAAAACAAAACAAAACAAAATAAATTATGTTTAAAAATAAAATATTATCAGTTATTAAATCTGGATAAATATATGTACTCTAAATTATTCTGCTAACTTTTCCATAATCTCTTCATTTTTCAATTTAAAAAATACTGGATTATTTTATAACATAAAATGTTAGCTCTTATAAAACTTAATATATAAGCAAAATATCACACTTACTTTGAGAAGTATTTCTGTGGCTACACCGAATTTAAGATGAAGGAGCTCCTGCAGTTGTAGTATTGATTCTTGGTACTGTATTATATTTTTATCTTGCAAATCACATGGTGGAGTTTCCAGTAAAATAAATTTCAATTTCTCAATTAACTGTAAAGTAAAAGAATATTTGCATTAATTCTCAGAGAAATAGTCAAGGACAAGTGAAAAAGGGAATGTTTTATCCCTTTTGAATTGAGGAACACATCCTTAGCAAAACATATAGAAACCTTTCCTGTATTTATTCTGTAATTTAAGATCATAAACAAAAATTTCCTCCCAAACTCCCTTAAAATTAATTATAACACACTGAATAAATAAAAATCCATGAGTCTATAGTGTTAGACGTTCAGAAATGAAGGGGGAAGGTGGGGTGAAGAAAGACCAGTTCTTTACAGAAGAGTGCCATCTGTCTAATGTAGATGCAATGATCACTTAGCAAATCACCATTTTTCAATCCCCAGTGTAATAACTGCTTCAGATAAAGATCCTCAATGGCTACCTAAATGATTAGGTGAAAAGCTGTTGAGGAACACATAATTGTCCCAGTGCCAAAGTATTTGACCTCTGATTGGGGAAAATGTACTTTGCAATGTGGAGATTTGATGGCAAACACCTTAACCATGTGATCAAATTCGCATCATTAAATTAATAATGGAGGCCGGGCGCAGTGGCTCATGCCTGCAATCCCAGCACTTTGGGAGGCCAAGGCGGGCAGATCACGAGGTCAGGAGATCAAGACTATCCTGGCTAACACAGTGAAACCCCATCTCTACTAAAAATACAAAAAATTAGCCAGGTGTGGTGGCGGGCGCCTGTAGGCCCAGCAACTCGGGAGGCTGAGTCAGGAGGATGGTGTGAACCCGGGAGGCGGAGCTTGCAGTGAGCCGAGATTGCACCACTGCACTCCAGCCTGGGAGACAGTGAGACTCTGTCTCAAAAAAAAAAAAAAAAAAAAAAAATTAATAATGGAACATCATATGGCTTCTGATAGGATGCAGTATGAAGAACACAACATAACCTATGATGCCTTCTTGCTGAAAATGGTGGCTCTGAATCTAATTAAACCCTCGGATCTACCAGTTAACTATGTGTGACAGCTTTCATTAGCAAGTTAATAAACGAGTGGCAACTTGTCATTACCTAAGACTGAGAGATAATAGAAAAAACAACAAAATATAACAACAATCAGGAGAAGGAGATGGAAGAGAACTACTAATATTTTTACTGAATGCTTACAATGCACCAGGAACTGTTCTAAATGCTGTATATGTTTTAATGCATTCATTCTTCATTATAACTCTATGAGGTAGATATTGTTACTGTGCATATTTTACAGATAATGAAACTGAGGCACAGTGTGATGAAGGAACAACTAGTAAGTGGCAGAATTAAATTTTGAACACTAACACAGATAATACATAGAAATTTTCTGAATTAAGACAGGCAGCATCGTAGCGTAGGGTAGTATGGACTCAAACAAGAATGCAGGGCTTCAATCCTGGCCACCTCTCAACTAGCAGTGGGGTCTTGGGCAAGTTATTGCCTCAATTTCCTCATTGGAAAAATGGGGTTTTTAGTACCTATCTCCTAGTGTTATTATGAGAACTCAGAAAGCCAATATTTCCAAAGCTTGGCATAGATTAAGCACTATATAAGAGTTTATTAAATAAATTTGAAAATTTGGAAATTGGTGTTTACTACAGGGCCATTTCCTTCTGTTACTGCTATCCAACTCCACTTTTCTGCAGCTTTCTGCTTTCTTCCTTTCCTATTGTTGTGATTACTCCCCTCTTCTGTCTCCTGTGTTATTGAACTTATCCTTTTCTCATCGTTTTTGCTATTACTTCTACTTCTGACTCCTCATTCTTGTAACAGGAAGATGTCCCTTGCAGCTCATCACTGGTGAACTCTAGTACTACTTCCCACTGCCTCCCTGCTAACTGCAAAGTACCAGATTCCTAAGCTGACGTCATGCCATGGCAGCCTCTCTGGTAGACAGGATGTGTAGTAGCAAGAACACTGTATGATTAATCCACAGGCATTTAAATAGCTCAGACTGCACGGGAGACTCCTTGGGCCTACGGAAAGTCAGAGTAAGGTCCATCTAAGGTCTCACAGTGGACTGCAAGCAAATCACAATCTATGTTTATTTGTTAAATGACTCTTATAATCTTGTTGTTTAGATTAAATCTCGCAATGCATGGTATGAGCTTAAAAGAGTCTACAGTTCTACCCTCTTATGACAACATGAAGAAGTTAAACTATAGCAGCAATGACAGGAAGCATAAAACTGTGAGGAAGTGGACCAAAAAAGCATTAAAGGATAATAATAGGAATAAGAGTAGTGAATTCCTTCTAGTTTCTATTATCATATAAGTGTGTTTAAGTGTGAATGTATTTATCCTAACTTGACGTGACATAAAAAGAAATAAATATTTGGTCTCTGCCCCCTGTTCCTGGCACAAGCTTCTTAGAATTTCTTGAGGGATAGGAATGACAGAAACAGCTTTTGTTATTTATAATAAGCCCTTTTCAACCTCACCTGAGTTTATGCTAATATGATGAGTCTCAGAGGATGGCGGCTGATTGCCAGAGGGACCAACCATGTGATTAGAGGGCTGAAACTTGCAGCCCCACTCCCTAGCCTCCAGGATGGGGAGAGGGGATGAAGATGAACTTAAATGCCAACGGCAAATGATTTAATCAAGCATGCCTACATAAATGAGGTTTCCATAAAAAACTCAAACAACGAGGTTCAGAGAACTTTCCGGTTGGTGAACACATTGAGGTGCTGGAAGGGTGGTGTGCCCCAAGAGGGCACGGAAGCTCTACACTCCTCCCTACGGACCTCACCCCTTGTATTTCTTCATCTAGTTTTTCACTTGTATCTTTTGTAATATCCTTTATAATAAACCAGTAAAGGCGAGTAAATGTTTCTCTGAGTTTTGTGAGCCATTACAGCAAATAACCTGACCAATGGCTTGTGGCTGATTTATAACAGGCTGATCAGAAGTACAGGTGACAAGCTGGGACTTGTGATTGGAAGTGAAGGAAAGGGCAGTTTTGTGGGACGGGGGTCTGCACTAGCTCTAAGTACTCAGTACCAGCACTGGATCGAAGGACACTTCAGTAGGAATCTGGAGAGTTGGATAATTGGTTGGTGTGAGAAAACCCCACATACATTTGGTGTCAGAAGTGTTAAAAGTATAAACGCTAGTTTTTCGTTTTACTTAGAATTTCTTGAGCTTCCTGAATGTGAGGATTCACATCTTTCATCAATTCTGGAAAATTTTCAGCCATTATCTCTTTGAATATTGTCTCTCTTCCATTCTTCTGTATCCCTTCTTTTCTTTTTTAGCCCTTGTTACTCTATAATACATGCCTGTCAACTGCTCTTTCATATTTTCTATCTCTTTGTCTCTGTGCTGTCTTCTGGTAAATTTTCCAATCCAACTTTTGATTCACTCCTCATTAAAAATTCTTGGCTAGGTGCAGTGGTAATCCTAGCACTTTGGGAAGCTGAGGCTGCTGGATCATTTGAGGTCAGCAGTTTGAGACCATCCTGGCCAACATGGTGAAACCTCATTTCTACTAAAAATACAAAAATTAGCCAGGTGTGGTGGCACATGACTGTAATTCCAGCTATTGGGAGGCTGAGGCATGAGAATTGGTTGAATCCGGGAGGTAGAGGTTGCGGTAAGCCGAGATCACGCCACTGCACTCCAGCCTGGGTGACAGAGCGAGATGCCGTCTCAAAAAATTAATTAAATAAATAAATAAATAAAAATTCTTAGTGGAGACATTTTTGTTTCTTATTCACTAAGCTAAAGATAAGCCAAACGCATCTTATCTCCTTTTGCACAATAAATTTTTCCTGTTATCCATAATGTCTTTTGAGGCTCCCAGCCATACAGGAGTCTCTGGTTCAACTTACCACCTTGTATGTACTCTAGGCTTTGCCTCCTGATGGCCCTTTGAACCAATGCTAAGCCATAGCAGTTAGCTAGCTAAGCCACTAACTAGTTAGCTATGAAGCCATGGCTTCAAGACCTTCTTACTTTCTGGATTGTTTTATGGCCTCTAAGGTTTTACCTTACTTTTTTTGATTAAAGCAATGAATTTAAATTTTTTTTAATAAATTAGTTTTTTTTCCCCCAGTATTTTTAAGTGCATTGTAAAGTGGCAGCTTCTCAGGCTAGTCTAACCATCCTATTTGCAGGAACAAAAGTTAGAATATTCTGATTTGTCTTTGTACCCCCACTGTCTAACAGAGTGTATACCTGGCACCTAGTAAACATGAAAAATCATGGGTACTAAATTACTGAACAGTGGATATTCCAACTGAGGATAAAATTACCCACTACCCCCACCCGAGTTATCTACATGAATGCATGCAACTTGATTTTTTTTTCTTGATTAGACAGACAAATAATCAATGTTTTATGATATGCTGACCTTAGCTAATATGGCAAGGAATTCTTAGGACTTGTAAAAAAGAAAAAAGAAAATGAAAAGATTACCAATTACTTCTTTTGCTAAGGGTTCAAAAGCAGTAGTGTTATTACTTGGCAAATGATATATTAATTTTTATTTTGAGTTAATATCAGACTATTTGTAATAGCCAGTTTATAGGAAAATGCATAAATACCTACATTTAGCACTACTTTACTCTTCTCAATCACTTCCTCAAAAGTCTCATTTGTTTTCTCTTTCCACAAACTAATAAACGTGTTCATTTCTTGGGCTACTGAAGGATCAGGACTCCCATCACATTGAATGTAGTGCTTCCACTGTGGAATAAAAATGTTTAAAGGTTCACATTGATGAAGATTCAACCAAAGATTAAATGACTTCTTTTTTGAAGGTGAATTTTTATAACCTAGTTTAACCAACTTAGATAAAAACATGATGGCTTTAACCAGTAACTTGAGAGAGCTCTAAAATAACCAAGTTCTTCTTTATCCAAGTAACTTCTAATCCTTAATATTCAGATACATAGAAGCACTAAAATACTTTCACATTTTTATTTTTAAAGCATTATTTATAAGTAGTTTTGTTTTGCTTAGTTTTCCTCTCTAATCATAGAGCTGCTTATTTGCAAAGGCCAACACTTAGGCTAATTTCTACTTCCCAAGTTATTACTAATGTCTAGTTGCCACTGGCATTTTAGTAGAAGGCCTTCCATTCATTTTGTAGTTTATGCAAATTTCACATTTGTAATCATATTGTACTGTACTTAGAATTTTTCACTTGATTATACCACAATCTTTAGCCATATTATAATAGTTTTTCATTTTTCTCCTGATATTCACCTATATTATTTCCAAAGTTATGCAGTTTTGAGCAAGACTAGATTGCCTTAAGCACAAAGCTTTTACGTTTTAATTTAGCATAATTTCCCTAAGTATACATTCCCAGCAATTGAGTCAGAGTCAAAGAATATAAACATTTCAAGGACATTATTACTGACAAATAGCTTTCTACAAAGTTATGTTAGTTTACTTTGCCATAAGCAATCAATTTGTCAGATGAGAGGGTTTTTTAAAACAGAAAAATTTAGTTTCTTTTCTTGGCATCAAAATTGGACTACACCTCCCTCTTGTGGTGACAAAGGTATTAGCTAAAAAAGAGAAATCAGTCCTACCTGAGAAAGCAATTTAGTTTCCTGTTTCAATTTCTCTGCTTCAGGAAAACACCTCTCTAATAAATAAAGTTCTTCAAGTTCTTCATTTCTCCTTTCTAGATCCTGTTGCACAAGGACAGATACATTGATCAGCTCTTTAATTTTAACTTTATGTTTCACAAGTAGCATCTAAAACTGACGTGGCTAAATATATAACTGCAGTTTCAAAATGAATATTAAAATTAGTTTGAATATAACTGATATCTCCAAAAGGTTTCATCTGAAACAGTGGCTTACAAAGTGTGATCTACAGACTCTTGATGGGTACCTAAAACCTGGGATCTGTGAGGTCAAATCTATTTCCATAATAATACTAACATTATTTGACTTTTTCATCGTGTATCTATTTGCACTGATTGTGCAAGATGGTGTGAAAGTGCTGATGTCTTAGCACAGATCAGACAGTGACCCCAAACTGTACTACTTCTAGGGGGAGAGGTGAAGGGAAGGAGCCAGCTTCACAAAAGAATGCCCGGATGGATGGGTGCAGTGGCTCACGCCTGTAATCCCAGCACTTTGGGAGGCTGAGGCAGGCGGATCACTTGAGGTCAGGAGTTCGAGACCAGCCAACATGGTGAAACACCATCTCGACCAAAAATACAAAAATTAGCCGGGTATGGTGGCGTGTGCCTGTAATCCCAGCTACTCAGGAGGCTGAAGGGGGAGAACTGCTTGACCCTGGAGGCAGAGGTTCCACTAACCCAAGATCGCGCAACCGCACTCCAGCCTGGATGACAGGGCAAGACTCTAAATCACGTTACAAAAAAAAAAAAGAATGCCCTGATGAAGAGGTGAAAATTATTAATTGTATTAAATCTGAACCCTAAGTACATGTCTTTTTAATAGCCTGTTGGATAAAATGGGAAGTCAGCATAAAGCTCTTCTGCTGCATATCGAATGACAATACTGTCTTGAGAAATATCACTTGTGCAATTATTTGACTAATTTGGTAGACATTCTCTCAAAAATGAATGAATGGAGTGTGTCACTTCAAGGATACAACTCAAAATATCTGTTGCCAATGACAAAATTCAAGCTGTCAGGCAAAAATTCAAATTTTAGAAAACTTGTATCTATCACTGTAAGCTTGAAAGTATTCCGATCTTTAAAAACTTCTGATTTGGGCCTGGCGTGGTGGCTCACATCTGTAATCTCAGCACTTTGGGAGACAGAGGTGCATGGATCACAAGGTCAGGAGAGTTCGAGATCAGCCTGGCCCCATCTCTATTAAAAATACGAAAATTAGCCGGGCGCGGTGGCGGGTGCCTGTAATCTCTGCTACTCGGGAGGCTAAGGCAGGAGAATCGCCTGAACCTGGGACGTGGAGGTTGCAGTGAGCCGAGATTATGCCATTGCACTCTAGCCTGGGTGACAGAACAAGACTCTGTCTCAAAAAAAAAATGAAAAAATCTTCTGATTTGGTTGGTGATTATACTAATGTATGTGATTTTTGATAATGAATAATCAATTACATCAACATTTGGAAGCAAATAATTCAGTAAACCAAAACTTTTCAAGCAAGCAACACATGATAATGCCAAATCATGTATGAAAACAAGATCTGTTCAGAGGGTAAGATAGATCAATGTTTTAAAATAACAGAGTATGAATAGTTGACTGATATGGTTTCATATTCCACATTAAGAAACTACAACTTGGCCGGGCGCAGTGGCTCACACCTGTAATCCCAGCACTTTGGGAGGCCGAGGCGGGTGGATCACGAGGTCAGGTGATTGAGACCACGGTGAAAGCCCGTCTCTACTAAAAATACAAAAAACATTAGCCAGGCGCAGTGGCGGGTGCCTGTAGTCCCAGCTACTCGGGAGGCTGAGGCAGGAGAATGGCGTGAACCCGGGAGGCGGAGCTTGCAGAGAGCAGAGATTGTGCCACTGCACTCCAGCCTGGGCGACAGAGAGAGACTCCGTCTCAAAAAAAAAAAAAAAAAAAAAGTTTTGATACAGTATCAAAGAAGAATATCCACAATTATCAGAAAGGCTATTAAAATATTACTTTTTTTCAATTGCATATCTGTATAAGGCCAGATTTTCCTTATATGCTTCATACAAAACAACATATTGCAACAGATGGAATACTGAAATAGATATGAGAATCCAGCTGTCTTCTGTTAAGTCAGATATCAAATAAATTTTTAAAATATAAACAATGCCATCATTTCCTTAATTTTAAAAAAAAGTTGTTTCTTTAAAAATATCCATGTATTTACTTATGTTTAATAAAATTTATTTTTATCAACATGTAATGTCTGTTAATGTAAGCAGTTTAAAATTTTTTAGTTTTAATTTCTAATATGGTAAATATTGATAGATGTAATCCACATAAACATAAGCTCCTTGGAGGGTCTTCAGTTTTTAATAGTAATGGAGTTTTGTCCTGAGACCAGAATATTTCAGAATTACTGATCTAAAAGATTCTAGTGAAACAGAGAAGTGAAACTAAAAAAGGAGAGGTAGAATTTGAATATTTTGAATTTTTTTTTTTTTTTGTTCCTGTTATCTTGTCTATACAACAGATTCATGTATGCTTAAAGGTTACAAGCATAGGCTCTGCAGCAAGACTTGCTTAGATCTAAGTCTTGGCAGCCAGGCATGGTGGCTCACGCCTGTAATCCCAGCCCTTTGGGAGGCTGAGGGGGGCGGATCACAAGGTCAGGAGATGGAGACCATCCTGGCTAACAAGGTGAAACCCTATCTCTACTAAAAGTACAAAAAATTAGCCGGGTGTGGTGGCAGGCACCTGTAGTCCCAGCTACTCGGAAGGCTGAGGCAGGAGAATGGCGTGAACCCAGGAGGCGGAGCTTGCAGTGAGCCAAGATCACACCACTGCACTCCAGCCTGGGCAACAGAGCGAGACTCCATCTCAAGAAAAAAAAAAAAGAAGATCCAAGTCTTTGCTATGCCACTGATTAGATGCTTAATTTCTCTATGCCTCAATTTCCTCATCTGTGAAATCTGGATAACAATGTCACTTATTCTATGGTACGATTAAGTTCATGTAGGCCTAAATATTACTGGTAGCTATGGGCTGAGAAGGACATTAAATGACAATAAATCTGATAGCCATAGTTTAAGTATTCATTAAGAACATTATTAATGTTTATTTACTTTTGCTTCAAGTCGATGCCATTTTTCTTTCTCAATTCGCTGTATTTCAAGCCTTTCCATTTCTTCTTTCTCATATTTCAAACGGGCTTCCTCTAAAGAACCAAAAATAATTTTTTTCTCAGTGAATAGATCACTGTATTTTTAAGCCCTTAAAATTACTCCTAATATTTTCAAGATGTAGTGGTGGAATCTTTTATAGAAGTCACAGTCTTTATTACATGGTAGATATGAGAAAAGTGTCAGTTCTCCTTTCTTCAAGACAGTAACTACAAGAAAAAATCAAACAACCCCATCAAAAAGTGGGCAAAGGATATGAACAGACACTTCTCAAAAGAAGACATTTATGCAGCCAACAGACACATGAAAAAATGTTCATCACCACTGGTCATCAGAGAAATGCAAATCAAAACCACAATGAGATACCATCTCACACCAGTTAGAATGGCGATCATTAAAAAGTCAGGAAACAACAGGTGCTGGAGAGGATGTGGAGAAATAGGAACACTAATGTTGATGAGACTGAAAACCAGTTCAACCAATGTGGAAGACAGTGTGGCAATTCCTCAAGGATCTAGAACTAGAAATACCATTTGACCCAGCGATCCCATTACTGGGTATATACCCAAAGGATTATAAATCATGCTACTATAAAGACACATGACTCCCAGCCATTGTCTCTTCTTTGCTTCTTGTGGAAATGATGTAGGAGTGGCTCCCTTGAGCACTCACTGTAGCTTTAGATGTGCTTCCTCTCTGCAGCAGGAGCTACTCGGCCTTATTATTCCCCTACTTAATTTGAGAATATTTATTCGATTTGAGTATGTTTTTGACCTGCCAGGGTCTGTGAAACAAAATAACTCCTACTGATAGCTTCTTATCAAGAGTAATTTAAAACATCCATCATCTCCTGCTGAATGTGTCAAAATAAAGGTTGAGACAAATTCCCATTTCCCAAAAAAAAAGAAAAAAAAAAAGAAAGAAAGTAACATGATTCAAACTTTGTGGTCAAAAATAAAAAAATAAAAAATAAGCCACAATAATATTTTTCTTCTCCAAAAGGTTTATAGCAATCCAATAGTGATTTTAACCAATAAGGTATGGCAGACCTATCATGGCAATGAAGAGGAAGTCAAGCCTTCAGAAGACTTCCATAATCTTGTGACATCTACATCTCAGATGCAATTACCTTAATCTTCTCCTGCTCTCACTATTAAAAACAAAATGTGAAGTACATATTGAAGAGTATAAGTTTAATCCAATATAAATAAAACATGCCCCAAGATATAGATCCTGATATTGTATTTGTATCAGGAGTCACCGAAAAAAAAGGATGTATAAAATTATACATAAAAAGTCAATATGGAACCTGAGAACAGTCTTTTAAAAACCTCTATCTAAATACTCAGATTTTAAAAATCACTTTTTGGTACTTTAATTAATAAACACTTTTATCAATGTTTAATCAGTTTTTTAACAAATAAAATTAGTATTTTAAATTTGGCAAATAAATATTATAAAACTGTAAAAATTTAGGCTGCTCTATGTATTTCTTGCTAGTTTATATTTCCCACATTTAATGAATTTGAGTTTCAGAATTTTTACTGAACAAACAGCACCAATGCTCCTAATTTCTTTTTTTGTTTTGTTTTATTTATTCTTTTATTTTTATAAAAGAATAAAAATATACATGGTCTTTTAAAATTCCAATGCTCCTAATTTCATCAGTAAATATAAACACTTCAAGATAGGGTTACCAGAATTAGCAGATTAAAACATGGGATGCTCAGTTGAATTTGAATTTTAGATGAACAATAAACATTTGTTGAATATGAATTCTAAATTTCTCTTCAAAGAATTAATATGTCAGTATGTTCAATTCTTTGCCTTCTACTTTTAAACTTAACTTCTTCGTAAAGCAACCTTTTTCGATTACTGACTCCACCCTGACTCATTCTGATCACCTACTCCACACTAACTCATTCTGATCACCTGCTCCACCCTAACTCATTCCGATTACCTGCTACCTGCTCTGCCCTGAATCCGGCCAAAGCGCTCACCCCGTCATTCTCTTTAAATTAGCCAATCGGAATTAGTTTATCCTGTGTGGTCTAACCCTAGCCAATAGGGGAATGACACAGTAGCAGGGGCCACAGGCGCCAGGGATAAGAACCCCTTCCCCTCCCTTGTCCAAGTGTGCACCCACCATTGCTCCATTGGTGAGAGAGCACCCTTCTATAGAAGTACCTTGCCTTGCTGAGAAATAAAAAGAAAATTTTATATTCGAGTGCTATTTCTTTTGCGGCACCAAAACTTTATTTAAAACAATTTTTTTTTTAAGTTAAGTATGTCCCAAGTATTGCATGGGACAAATTATCCCAAATTATCCATGTGATTATCTGAAAGTTAAATTTAACTGGGCTCTTGTATTTTATCTCTGGCAACCCTAATTCAATATATATCTGAAAGAGACTGGCATGTACTAACATCTTTCTGGATACTTTCTAAAAGATAGATACCTATTATAAAACAGATTAAATTTTAAAATTAAAGAACTTTGAAAAAATATTGACTTTACTACAAAAGACCAACCTATCGTGACTATTACCTGTATAGGTAAATAGTATCACTATTTATTTTGTACCTTCCTCTTTCAGTCGTCTCTCCTCCTCCTCTTGTAGCAGCTTCAATCGTTCAGCTTTGGTGACTTTCTTTTTCTTACTGCCAGACTTAACAAAGGCCACATCATAAAAAAGGCTATTAACATGCAAGTTACTTGAAAAACACATCTTTTCAAATACTAATTATGAAAAACATTTTTGCTTTCATAAAACCAGCCTTTCATGCATTCATTCAACAAATAAGACTGCCTCTTAGTGTAAAGCTTTGACTCAGTGCACTGAAGGACAAAGTCTGGGAACAAGAAAAATAAGAATATAAATTATTCAAAGGCAAGGGTGACAGTGGCAAGTACATGCAATTTAAATAATTCTCATTCCCAGTTTCCATATCTTTAAAATGGTGCTAAAGAAAACCTCATCTTGTTGTAGAGAATAAAGTAAAACATATGTAAAAGCAGTTTGAAAACTACACTTATAAAATTGAAAAGTATTCTTATGACTAACAGGTATACAGAGAGTTATTTTGCAAGCTTGGAAGAAGGAGAGATTACTTTCAACAGTGAGGAGCAAGTAAAATATTTATAGAGTAGGTGGTATTTAAATCTGTGCTCAAATGATTTTTACCATTCAGAGAAGATATTCCAAGAAGAGGGAAATGCAGGTACAAGATAGGGGATTGAAAGAGCATTGGATGGACAACAAGTTCAGTGGGCCCTGGAAAGACTCCAAGAAGAGGTGGTGAAGAAAATGAGAATGTGAAAGAAGGCTAGAGCCTATGCTAAAGAGTTTGGACATCATTCTAGGAGAAATGGAAAACTCCTAAAAGTTTTTGAGAAGGGCTGTGGCTATAAAGAATATAATTTTGAAAATTAACCTGGTATCGGAGAAAAAAACATAAAGAGGATACCATTTTGGCAACAATTAACACAATTCAATAAATTGAAGTCCTGGCAGAGTGTTTATAGAATAGATGGCATCTAAATTTGTGGCCAAAGGATTTTAACATTCAAGGGAAGATATCCCAAAAAGAAGGAAATGAAGGTGCAAGATAGGGAGCTGAATGGGCACTGGATGGGCCAACAAGGTCAGTGGGCCCTGGAAATGTAGAGAAGATCCAATAAATATTTTATAAGCTAACTTACTTAGTAATGATTAAAATTGGAGGCAAGGAGAGGAAAGAGGAGAGAGTCTCACAGAGGGAGAATGGCAGTCCAGAACAGGTGAATTTGAATGAAGAATTGTTAAAAATAATTTACATATAATTAGTACAAAATGCTGGTAGATCATTCAGGCAATTCTTGCAGGCACTAGAATTGTAGAACTGAGGTTTAGCAAAGGTCAGTGCTACATAAGCAGATACGAAAGCAATTTCTGTGATAACGACCTCTCCTCCATTTTCACAGGGGAAAGCTAAAAAGAAGAGCACCATCTACATTTAAGAAGAATTCATAGAAAGAGTGGTTAATTCTTGGGATGTATAGACTCTTGGATCTTCTCTTTTTGGTTCACCTTCTCTAAGATGCTCATAGACTCCATTAGCTCCACTGGAATCTCTAATCCATTGCCTCTACCACTTTTTCACTGTTCATCCACCTCCTCCCACCTTCATTTCTTCCTTTCCCAGGTTAGATTTCACAGTTCATCGCCCTTATCACTAACTTATATACCTCCACTTCCTCTATCCTCCTCTTCCTCTAAAAAGCTCAGCTGGCTAAATCATAGTTCCAGTGAAACTCAACTTTCCATTTATTCTGTGCTAGCAATACGAGCAGCTGAACCTTATCAGAGAAAAACACACATGGGCTCAAATTTATCAACATAATTTTAAAATAGACTCCAGATTGTGAATTTTAGCTCCAGATTGACTACAAGAACAAACCAGCAATCCCAAGAGGACCCACAGACCCTGTGAAGGGAGCGATCTGCTCCTGTACGACCTGGGAGACACCCCAAATACGGTGAGTGCCCCAATTGCGCAAGCGGGAAAGGGAGACACTCCTTTCAGAAACAAGACCTATAAAACAAAAATGCAAGTTTAAAAGCAAAAACAAAAAACAAAACCAAAGTATACAGGCAACAAAGAGCATGATGAAAGCAATGGTACCTCACATTTCAATACTAACTGTCAGGCCTCTGAGCCCAAGCTAAGCCATCATATCCCCTGTGACCTGCACGTACACATCTAGATGGCCGGTTCCTGCCTTAACTGATGACATTCCGCCACAAAAAAAGTGAAAATGGCCTGTTCCTGCCTTAACTGATGACATTATCTTGTGAAATTCCTTCTCCTGGCTCATCCTGGCTTAAAAGCTCTCCTACTGAGCACCTTGTGACCCCCCACTCCTGCCTGCCAGAGAACAACCCCTCTTTGACGGTGATTTTCCTTTACCTACGCAAATCTTATAAAACGGCCCTACCCCTATCTCCCTTCGCTGACTCTCTTTTCGGACTCAGCCCACCTGCACCCAGGTGATTAAAGAGCTTTATTGCTCACACAAAGCCTGTTTGGTGGTCTCTTCATATGGACGAGAGTGAAATCTGGTGCCGTGACTTGGATCAGGGGACCTCCCTTGGGAGATCAATCCCCTGTCCTGCTTTTTGTTCCATGAGAAAGATTCACCTACGACCTCTGGTCCTCAGACCAACCAGCCCAAGGAACATCTCACCAATTTTAAATCTGGTAAGCGGCCTCTTTTTACTCTCTTCTCCAACCTCTCTCACTATCCCTCAACCTCTTTCTCCTTTCAATCTTGGTGCCACACTTCAATCTCTCCCTTCTCTTAATTTCAGTTCCTTTTCTTTTCTAGTAGAGACAAAGGAGACGCGTTTTATCCATTGACCCAAAACTCCGGTGCTGGTCACTGACTTGGGAAGACAGTCTTCCCTTGGTGTTTAATCACGTGGGGATGGCTGCCTGATTATTCACCCATGTTTCAGAGGTGTCTGACCATGCAAGGACGCCTGCCTTGGTCCTTCACCCTTAGCGGCAAGTACCGCTTTTCTGGAGGGCAAGAAACCCCCAACCCCTTCTCTCCGTGTCTCTACCCCTTCTCCGCTTTTCTGGGAGGCAAGAATCCCCCGACCCTTCTCTCCATGTCTACCCCTTCTCCACTTTTCTGCGGGGCAAGAAACCCCCAGCCCCTTCTCCTTCACCCTTAGCAGCAAGTACCACTTTTCTAGAGGGCAAGAATCCCCCAACCCTTCTCTCCGTGTCTCTACCCCTTCTCCACTTTTCTGGGGCGCAAGAACCCCCCACCCCTTCTCTCTGTGTCTCTACTCTCTCTTTTCTCTGGGCTTGCCTCCTTCACTATGGGCAAGCTCCCGCCCTCCATTCCCTTCTTCTCCCTTAGCCTGTGTTCTTAAAAACCTAAAACCTCTTCAACTCACACCTGACCTAAAACCTAAATGCCTTTTCTTCTGCAATCCTGCTTGACCCCAATACAAACTTGACAGTAGTTCCAAATAGCCAAAAAATGGCAGTTTCAATTTTTCCATCCTACAAGACCTAAATAATTCTTGTCACAAAATAGGCAAACGGTCTGAGGTGCCTGACGTCCAGGCATTCTTTTACACATCAGTCCCTCCCTAGTCTCTGTTCCCAGTGCAACTCATCCCAAGTCTTCCTTCTTTCCCTCCCGCCTGTCCCCTCAGTCCCAACCCCACGCGTCGCTGAGTCTTCCTAATCTTTCTTTTCTACAGACCCATCTGACTTCTCCCCTCCTCACCAGGCCGAGCTAGGTCACAATTCTTCCTCAGCCTCCACTCCTCCACCCTATAATCATTTTATCACCTCCCCTCCTCACACCCGGTCCGGCTTAGTTTCGTTCCGCGACTAGCCCTCCCCCACCTGCCCAGCAATTTCCTCTTAAAAAGGTGGCTGGAGCTAAAGGCATAGTCAAGGTTAATGCTCCTTTTTCTTTATCCCAAATCAGATAGTGTTTAGGCTTTTTTCATCAAATAAAAAACGCAGCCCAGTTCATGGCTCATTTGGCAGCAACCCTGGGATGCTTTACAGCCCTAGACCCTAAAAGGTCAAAAGGCCGTCTTACACTCAATATACATTTTATTACCCAATCCGCTCCGGACATTAAATAAAACTTCAAAAATTAAATTCCAGCCCTCAAACCCCACAACAGGACTTAATTAACCTCGCCTTCAAGGTGTACAATAATAAAGTAGAGGCAGCCAAGTAGCAATGTATTTCTGAGTTGCAATTCCTTGCCTCCACTGTGAGACAAACCCCAGCCATATCTCCAGCACACAAGAACTCCAAACGCCTGAACTGCAGCTGCTGGGGTTACTCTAGAACCTCCTCCCCCAGGAGCTTGCTACAAGTGCCAGAAATCTGGCCACTGGGCCAAGGAATGCCTACAGCCCAGGATTCCTCCTAAGCTGTGTCCCATCTGTGCAGGACCCCACTGAAAATTGGACTGTTCAACTGACCTGGCAGCCACTTTCAGAGCCCCTGGAACTCTGGCCCAAGGCTCTCTGACTGACTCCTTCCCAGATCTTCTCAGCTTAGCGGCTGAAGACTGACACTGCCCAATTGCCTCGGAAGCCTACGGGACCATCACAGATGCTCTGGGTAACTCTCACAGTGGAGAGTAAGTCTGTCCCCCTCTTAATCAATACGGAGCCTACCCATTCCACATTACCTTCTTTTCAAGGGCCTGTTTCCCTTGCCCCCATAACCGTTGGAGGTATTGACGGCCAGGCTTCTAAACCTCTTAAAACTCCCCAACTCTGGTGCTAATTTAGACAGTACTCTTTTAAGCACTCCTTTTTAGTTATCCCCACCCGCCCAGTTCACTTATTAGGCCGAGACACTTAAACTAAATTATCTGCTTCCCTGCCTATTCCTGGGCTACAGCCACACCTCAATGCCGCCTTTTCCCCCAGTTCAGAGCCTCCTTCACATCCTCCCTTTGTATCTCCCCATCTTAACCCACAAGTATAGGACACCTCTACTCCCTCCTTAGCAACTGATCATGCACCCCTTACCATCCCATTAAAACCTAATCACTCTTACCCCGCTCAATGCCAATATCCCATCCCATGGCATGCTTTAAAAGGATTAAAGTCTGTTATCACTCGCCTGCTACAGCATGGCCTTTTAAAGCCTATAAACTCTCCTTACAATTCCCCAATTTTACCTGTCCTAAAACCAGACAAGGTTTACAGGTTAGTTCAGGATCTGCGCCTTATCAACCAAATTGTTTTGCCTATCCACCCCATGGTGCCAAACCCATACACTCTCCTATCCTCAATACCTCCCTCCACAACCCATTATTCTGTTCTGGATCTCAAACATGCTTTCTTTACTATTCCTTTGCACCCTTCATCCCAGCCTCTCTTCGCTTTCACTTGGACTGACCCTGACACCCATCAGGTTCAGCAAATTACCTGGGCTATACTGCCGCAAAGCTTCACAGACAGCCCCCATTACTTCAGTCAAGCCCAAATTTCTTCCTCATCTGTTACCTATCTCGGCATAATTCTCATAAAGACACGTGCTCTCCCTGCTGATCGTGTCCGGCTAATCTCCCAAACCCCAATCCCTTCTACAAAACAACAACTCCTTTCCTTCCTAGGCATGGTTAGTGTGGTCAGAATTCTTACACAAGAGCCGGGACCACACCCTGTAGCCTTTCTGTCCAACTTGACCTTACTGTTTTAGCCTAGCCCTCATGTCTGCATGCAGCGGCTGCCGCTGCTTTAATACTTTTAGAGGCCCTAAAAATCACAAACTATGCTCAATTCACTCTCTACAGTTCTCATAACTTCCAAAATCTATTTTCTTTCTCCCACCTGATGCATATACTTTCTGCTCCCTGGCTCCTTCAGCTGTACTCACTTCTTGTTGAGTCTCCCACAATTACCATTGTTCCTGGCCCAGACTTCAATCCAGCCTCCCACAGTATTCCAGATACCACACCTGACCCCCATGACTGTATCTCTCTGATCCACCTGACATTCACCCCATTTCCCCATATTTCCTTTCCTGTTCCTCACCCTGAACACATTTGGTCTATTGATGGCAGTTTCACCAGGCCTAATCGCCACACACCACCAAAGGCAGGCTATGCTATAGTACAAGCCACCAGCCCACCTCTTAGAACCTCTCATTTCCTTTCCATTGTGGAAATCTATCCTCAAGGAAATAACTTCTCAGTGTTCCATCTGCTATTCTACTACTCCTCAGGGATTATTCAGTCCCCCTCCCTTCCCTACACATCAAGCTCGAGAATTTGCCCCCGCCCAGGACTGGCAACTCTTAACTCCCTCTTAGAGTGGATAGATGATCTCTGCTGGCAGGGGACCCTCCAATACTTCCACCCTGATGAAGTTCTATTGTTTAGTTTTATACTCACTCTTATTATCATTCCCATTCTTATGCCACCCTCTACCTCTCCCCAGCTATCTCCACCATACTATCAACTTTACTCATTCTCTCCTAGCCGTTTCTAATCCCTCCTTAGCGAACAACCGCTGGCTTTGCATTTCCCTTTCTTCCAGTGCCTACACAGCTGTCCCCGCCTTACATGCAGACTAGGCAACATCTCCTGTCTCCCTATACCTCCGAACTTCCTTTAACAGCCCTCACCTTTACCCTCCTGAAGAACTCATTTACTTTCTAGACAGGTCCAGCAAGACCTCCCCAGACATTTGACATCAGCAAGCTGCCACCCTCCTCCGCACTTACTTAAAACACCTTTCTCCTTATATCAACTCTACTCCCCACATATTTGGACCCCTCACAACACAAACTACTATTCCTGTGGCTGCTCCTTTATGTATCTCTCGTCAAAGACCCATTGGAATTCCCCTGGGTAACCTTTCACCTTCTCGATGTTCCTTTACTCTTCATCTCCAAAGCCCTCTTCTTGTTTACTTATACCCAGCCCCGAAAATAACAGTGAAAGGTTGGTCGTAGACACTCGACGTTTTCTCACACACCATGAAAATCGAACCTCCCCCTCTACACAGTTACCTCATCAGTTCCCGTTACAACCTCTGACGGCTGCCGCCCTAGCTGGATCCCTAGGAGTCTAGGTACAAGACACCTTTTTCAGCACTCCTTCTCATCTTTTTAGTTTGCATCTCCAGTTTTGCCTCGCACAAGGTCTCTTCTTCCTCTGTGGATCCTCTACCTACATGTGTCTACCTGCTAATTGGGCAGGTACATGCACACTAGTTTTCCTTACTCCCAAAATTCAATTTGCAAATAGGACCGAAGAGCTCCCTGTTCCCCTCTGACACCGACACGACAAAAAAGAGTTATTCCACTAATTCCCGTGCTTGTCAGTTTAAGACTTTCTGCCTCCACTATTGCTCTCAGTATTGGAATAGCAGGCATTTCAACCTCTGTCACGACCTTCCATAGCCTCTCTAATGACTTCTCTGCTAGCATCACAGACATCCCACAAACTTTATCAGTCCTCCAGGCCCAAGTTGACTCTTTAGCTGCAGTTGTCCTCCAAAACCGCCGAGGCCTTGACTTACTCACTGCTGAAAAAGGAGGACTCCGTATATTCTTAAATGAAGAGTGTTGTTTTTACCTAAATCAATCTGGCCTAGTGTATGACAACATAAAAAACTCAAGGATAGAGCCCAAAAACTTGCCAACCAAGCAAGTAATTACGCTGCACCCCCTGGGGCACTCTCTAATTAGATGTCCTAGGTCCTCCCAATTCTTAGTCCTTT
This sequence comes from Homo sapiens, assembly GCF_000001405.40. Lineage (NCBI taxonomy): Eukaryota > Metazoa > Chordata > Mammalia > Primates > Hominidae > Homo > Homo sapiens. The sequence continues at coordinate 25,168,794 of NC_000012.12, forward strand.
AATACCTGTTTTTCTCCTTCTCTTATTCTGTTTAGTTTTTCAATTCATACAAAACCATATCCAGGCCATCACCAATAATTCTACACGACAAAATGTTTCTTCTAACAACCCCACAATATCACCCCTTACCATAAAATCTTCCTTCAGCTTAATCTCTCCCACTCTAGGTTCCCATGCTGCCCCTAATCCCGCTTGAAGCAGCCCTGAGAAACATCGCCCATTATCTCTCCATACCACCCCCAAAAATTTCGCTGTCCCAAAACTTTACCACTATTTCATTTTATTTTTCTTATTAATATAAGAAGACAGGAATGTCAGGCCTCTGAGCCCAAGCTAAGCCATCATATCCCCTGTGAGGTGCACGTACACATCCAGATGGCTGGTTCCTGCCTTAACTGATGACATTCCACCACAAAAGAAGTGAAAATGGCCTGTTCCTGCCTTAACTGATGACATTATCTTGTGAAATTCCTTCTCCTGGCTCATCCTGGCTCAAAAGCTCCCCTACTGAGCACCTTGTGACCCCCACTCCTGCCCACTAGAGAACAACCCCCCTTTGACTGTAATTTTCCTTTACCTACCCAAATCTTATAAAACGGCCCTACCCCATCTCCCTTCGCTGACTCTCTTTTCGGACTCAGCCTACCTGCATCCAGGTGATTAAAAAGCTTTATTGCTCACACAAAGCCTGTTTGGTGGTCTCTTCACACGGACGAGAGTGAAACTAACATTGAATATAAATGGCCTAAATGCTCCACTTAAAAGACACAGAGGCCAGGAGCGATAGCTCATTCCTGTAATCCCAGCACTTTGGGAGGCCAAGGCAGGGGGATCACCTGAGGTCAGGAGTTCAAGACCAGCCTGGCCAACATGGTGAAACTCTGTCTCTACTAAAAATACAAAAATCAGCTGGATGTGGTGGCATGCACCCGTGATCCCAGCAACTTGGGAGGGTGAGGCAAGAGAATCACTTGAAACCTAGAGGTGGAGGGTGCAGTGAGCTGAAATCACACCACTGTACTCCAGCCTGGGTGACAGAGCAAGACTCTGTCTCAAAAAAAAAAAAAAAAAGAAAAAAAAGATACAGAACCACAGATGGATAAGAACTCCCCAATCAACTATCTGCTGCCTTCAGGGGATTCATCTAACACATAAGGACTCACATAAAGTAAAGGGGTGGAAAAGCATTTCATGCAAATGGATACCAAAAGCGAGCAGGGGTAGCTATTCTCACATCAGACAAAATAAACTTTAAAGCAACAGTGGTTAAAAGAGACAAAGAGGGATAGTGTATAATGGTTAAAGGCCTTGTCCCAGCCAGGCCCAGTAGCTCACACCTGTAATCCCAGCATTTTGGGAGGCTGAGGGGGGTGAATCACCTGAGGTCAGGAGTTCAAGACCAGCCTGACCAACATGGTGAAACTCTGTCTCTACTAAAAATACAACAATTACCCTGGTGTGGTGGTGGGTGCCTGTAATCCCAGCTTCTCGGGAGGCTGAGACAGGAGAATCACTTGAACCCAGGAGGCAGAGGTTGCAGTGAGCCGAGATTGCGCCACTGCACTCCAGCTTGGGCAACAGAGCGAGACTCCGTCTCAAAAAAAAAAAAAAGCCTCGTCCAACAGGAAAATATCACAATCCTAAACATACATGCACCTAACACTGGAGCTCCCAAATTTATAAAAACAATTACTAATAGATCTAAGAAACAAGACAGACAGTAACACAACAATAATGGAGGACTTCAATACTCCATTGACAGCACTAGACAGGTCACCAAGACAGAAAGTCAACAAAGAAACAATGGATTTAAACTATACCTTGGAAGAAATGGACTTAACAGGTATATACAGAACATTCCATCCAACAACTGCAGAATACACATTCTATTCAACAGCACATGGAACTTTCTCCAAGATAGATCATATGATAGGCCATAAAATGAGCCTCAATACATTTAAGAAAATTGAAATTTTATCCAGCACTCTCTCACACCAAAGTGGAATAAAACTGGAAATCAACTCCAAAAGAAATCTTCAAAACCATGCAAGTACATGGAAATTAAGTAACCTGCTGAATGAGCATTGGGTCAAAAACGAAATCAAGATGAAAATTGAAAAATTCTTCCAACTGAATGACAGTAATGAAATTTCCTATCAAAACCTCTGGGATACAGCAAAGATGGTGCTAACGGGAAAGTTCATAGCCCTAAATGCCTACATCAAAAAATCTGAAAGAGCACAAACAGGCAATCTAAGGTCACACCTCAAGTAACTAGAAAAACAAGAGCAAACCAAACCCAAACCCAGCAGAAGGAAGGAAATAACCAAGATCAGAACAGAATTAAATGAAATTGAATCAAAAAAATGCAAAAGATAAATGAAACAAAAAGCTGGTTCTTTGAAAAGATAAATAAAATTGATAGATCATTAATAAGATTAACCAAGAAAAGAAGATAGAAAATCCAAATAATCTCACTAAGAAATGAAATGGGAGATATTACAACTGACGCCACTGAAATACAAAAGACATTCAAGGCTACTATGAACACCTTTATGCGCATAAACTAGAAAACCTAGAAGAGATGGATAAACTCCTGGAAAAATACAACCCTCCTACCTTAAATCAGCAAGAATTAGATCTCCAAACAGACCAATAACAAGCAATGAGATTGAAATGGTAATTTAAAAATTACCAGAAAAAAAAGTCCAGGACCACACAGATTCACAGCAGAATTCTACAAGACATTCAAAGAAGAATTGGTACCAATTCTATTGACACTATTCCACAAGATAGAGAAAGAAGGAACCCTCCCTAATTCATTCTATGAAGCCAGCATCACCCTAATACCAAAATCAGGAAAGGACATAACCAAAAAATAAAACTACAGACCAATATCCTTGATGAACATAGATGCTAAAATCCTTAACAAAATACTAGCTAACCAAATTCAACAACACATCAAAAAGATAATTCACCATGACCAGCTGGGTTTCATACCAGGGATGCAGGGATGGTTTAACATATGCAAACGTGATACAACACATAAACAGAATTAAAAACAAAAATCACATGATCATCTGAATACATGCAGAAAAAAGATTTGACAAAATCCAGCATCCCTTTATGATTAAAACTCTCAGCAAAATCAGCATAAAAGGGACATATCTTAATGTAATAACAGCCATCTATGACAAACCCACAGCCAACATAATACTGAATAAAGAAACGTTGAAAGCATTCCCTCTGAGAACTGGAACAAGACAAGGATGCCCACTCTCACCACTCCTCTTCAACATGGTACTGGAAGTGCTAGGCAGAGCAATCAGACAAGAGAAAGAAATAAAGGGCATCCAAATTGGTAAAGAGGAACTCGAACTGTCACTGTTTGCTGGCAATATGATAGTTTACCCTGAAAACCCTAGAAAGCTCCTAGAATTGATAAAAGAACTTAGCAGTTTCAGGATACAAGATTAATGTACACAACTCAGTAGTTCTTCTATACACCAAAAGCAACCAAGCAGAGAATCAAATCAAGAGCTCAACTCCTTTTACAATAGCTGCAAAAATAAAATAAAATACTTAGGAATATACCTAACCAAGGAGGTGACAGACCTCTATAAGGAAAACTACAAAACACTGCTGAATGAAATCACAGACAACACAAACAAATGGAAACACATCTCATGTTCATGGATGGGTAGAATCAATATTGTGAAAATAACCATACTGCCAAAAGCAATCTACAAATTCAATACAATCCCCATCAGAATACCAACATCATTCTTCCCAGAATTAGAAAAAACAATTCTAAAATTCATACAGAACCAAAAAAGAGTCCACATAGCCAAAGCAAGACTAAGCAAAAAGAACAAATCTGGAGGCATTACACTAGCTGATTTCAAACTATACTATAAGACCATAGTCACCAAAACAGTGTGGTACTGGTATAAAAATAGGCTCATAGATCAATGGAACAGAATAGAGAACCCAGAAATAAACCCAAATACTTACAACTAACTGATCTTCGACAAAGCAAACAAAAACATAAAGTGGGGAAAGGACATCCTTTTCAACAAATGGTGCTGGGATAATTGGCTAGCTACATGTAGGAGAATGAAACTGGATCCTCATCTCTCACCTTATACAAAAATCAACACAAGATGGATTAAGGGCTTAGACCTAAGACCTGAAACTATAAAAATTCTAGATGATAACACTAGAAAAACTGTTCTAGACATTGGCTTAGGCAAGGATTTCATGACCAAGAACACAAAAGCAAATGCAATAAAAACAAAGATAAATAGCTGGGACCTAATTAAAGACCTTTTGCATGGCAAAAGAAACAGTCAGCAGAGTAAACAGACAACCCACAACGTGAGAGAAAATCTTCACAATGTATACATCTGACAAAGGACTAATATCCAGAATCTGCAACGAACTCAAGCACATCAGTAAGAAAAAAACAAACAAACCCATCAAAAAGTGGGCTAAGGACATGAATACACAATTCTCAAAAGAAGATATACAAATGGCCAATAAACATATGAAAAAATGCTCAGTATCACTAATGATCTGGGAAATGCAAATCAAAACCACAGTGTGATACTACTTTACTCCTGCAAGAATGGCCATAATCAAAAAATAAAAAGAAACACTAAATGTTGGCATGGATATGGTGAACAGGAAAAACTTCCAGAAGGCAGGTGGGAATGCAAACTAGTACAGCCACTATGGAAAACAGTGTAGAGATTCCTTAAATAAATAAAAGTAGAACTATCATTTGATCCAGCAATCCCACTACTGGGTATCTAACCAGAGGAAAAGAAGGTATTATTCAAAAAAGACACTTGCACACACATGTTTATAGCAGCACAATTCACAATTGCAAAATCGTGGAACCAACCCAAATGCCCATCAATCAACAAGTAGATAAACTGTGATATATATATATACACACACACATGCACACACAAATCATATATATACACACATCATATATATACACACACATCATATATATACATCATATATATACCACATCATATATATATACATCATATGTATACCACATCATATATATATACACATCATTCATATATATACCACATCATATATATGGAATATATATATCATATATAATCATATATATGGAATACATATATCATATATATGGAATACATATATCATATACATGGAATACATATATCATATACATGGAATACATATCTCATATATTTATGGAATATATATATCATATATATATCATATATTGGCCATTTGTATATCTTCTTTTGAGAATTGTGTATTCATGTCCTTAGCCCACTTTTTGATGGGTTTGTTTTTTTCTTACTGATGTGCTTGAGTTTGTTGCAGATTCTGGATATTAGTCCTTTGTCAGATGTATACATTGTGAAGATTTTCTCTCACGTTGTGGGTTGTCTGTTTACGCTGCTGACTGTTTCTTTTGCCATGCAAAATTTCTTTAATTAGGTCCCAGCTATTTATCTTTGTTTTTATTGCATTTGCATTTGTATCATATATGATATATATATGATATATATATCCCATATATATGTTATATCATATATATGGGATATATCATATATATGGGATATATGGGATATATATATCATATATATCATATATATGGGATATATATATCATATATATCATATATATGGGATATATATATCATATATCCCATATATATGGGATATATATATCATATATATCATATATATGGGATATATATATGATATATATATCATATATATGGGATATATATCATATATATGGGATATATATATGATATATATATCATATATATGGGATATATATCATATATATGGAATATAGATATCATATATATGGAATATATATATCATATATATATGGAATATAGATATCATACATATGGAATATATATATCATATATATATGGAATATATATATCATATATATATATGATGGAATACTACACGGCCATAAAAAGGAATGAATTAACAGCATTTGCAGTGACCTGGATGAGACTAGAGACTATTATTCTAAGTGATGTAACTCAGGAATGGAAAACCAAATATTGTATGTTCTCACTGATGTGTGGGAGCTAAGCTATGAGGACACAAAGGCATAAGAATGACACAATGAACTTTGGGGACTTGTGGGGAAGAGTGGAAGGAGGGCAAGGGATAGAAGACTACAAATACGGTGCAGTGTATACTGCTCGGGTGATGGGTGAACCAAAATCTCACAAATCACCACTAAAGAACTTACTCAGGTAACCAAATACCACCTGTACCTCAATAAGTTATGAAAAAATAAAATTTAAAAAATAAATTAAAAAAATAGACTCTAAGCACTGTCCAGAATTCCCACAACTATTTCATTCTCACTTCAAACCTCCAAAATCCTCTCTTCCACTCTACTCTCAGCTGCTGACTTTACCTCTTATGTCACTGAAAAAATAGAAGTTTTCAGAAGAGAAAAATCTTTACACACCAAATCTTTGAGCCTATCTATATTTTTGTCTGCCTTCCTTCCCATTGCAGTGGATGAACTATATGTTTTGCTTTTAAACTTTTCTTTTTTTTGAGACGGACTCTCGCTCTGTCATGCCAGGCTGGCACAATCTTGGCTCAGTGAAACCTCCGCCTCCCAGGTTCAAGGGATTCTCCTGCCTCAGCAGGATTACAGGTGCCTGCCGCCACTCCAGGCTAATTTTTTGTATTTTTAGTAGAGATGAGGTTTTACCATGTTGGCCAGGCTGGTCTCAAACTCCTGACCTCAAGTGATCCACCCACCTTGGCTTCCCAAAGTGCTGGGATTACAGGCATGAGCCACTGCGCCCGGCTCTACACATTTTTAAGGTGTCACTGAAAACTTTTTATCATGAGTTTAAATAGCTGTGAATATTGTCCTTTCAAGTATATGATCCTTAAAATAAAACTTTCACAGTACTCTTTGAAGTATATCCATCACTGCTTAAGATATATCCAATAGAAGGCTGGGTGTGGTGGCTCACACCTGTAATCCCAGCACTTTGGGAGGCTGAGGTGGGCAGATCACGAGGTCAGGAGTTTGAGACCAGCCTGGCCAACATGGTGAAACCCCATCTCTACTAAAAAATATAAAAAATTAGCCGGGTATGGTGGCAGGCACCTATAATCCCAGCTACTCGGGAGGCTGAGGTAGGAGAACTGCTTGAACCTGGGAGGTGGAGATTGCAGGGAGCCGAGATCATGCCACTGCACTCCAGCCTAGATGACAGAGCGAGACTCCATCTCAGAAAAAGGGATATATCCAATAGAATCTACATACCACAGAGATTTAATGACCAATTTAAAATATAAACAAGCTTTTTTAAAATAAAAATGTTAATCTGTTTTCTATTTGAGTTCATATTTCCACGCCACTTCCCTCACAGAATCTTATCCTAATGTAATATACTTGAAAAACTTTTGTTGATCCTTTTATATTTGTTATAAAAATATGAATAAAAATTTAAATTAAAAAATTTATTTCCTTTGTCTCTAAGTATTAAAAATTCTGTTCTAGATTGAGTTAATCTTATTTTCAGTACACAACTGAATAAAGTAACATATTATAAATTTTGATAACTAAATGTTAAACATAAAAACTAAAATTTTCCTGGATGTACATCTCTTGATGAAATGTTGGGCTTTTTCTTTTTTCTGGTTAGCTCATAATCCATGGATAAATGCTAGCTAGTGCTGAATGAAACAGAAATTCAGATTAATTCTATTTTTATTTTTTAATTTTTATAAATATGTGAGAGAGAAACCTGGTTTATATTTAAAAATCAATCAGAATAGGTTATAGTAACATCATGCAATTCTTTGAATTCCTTCACCTCCTATGCCAAAAATTATATGCTGATTTACAATAAAAATTACCCCTACAGATAATCTCTGACTTTTGTGATCATTTCCTTGTTTTTCTTTATAGTTTTCTAACGTATATATATGAAAAATATAGATTTTTGAACTTTCCATAAATTTAATGACTTTATGTATATTATTGTGATTTGCTTTTTTTAATTGTGACAAAGTATACATAACATAAAATTTACCATTTTAACCATTTTCTTTTTTTTTTTTTTTTTTTGAGATGGAGTCTCACTCTGTCACCCAGGTTGGAGTGCAGTGGTGCGATCTCGGCTCACTACAACCTCCACCTCCCAGGTTCAAGCAATTCTCCTGCCTCAACCTCCTGAGTAGCTGGGATTACAGGTGCCCACCACCCTGCCTGGCTAATTTTTGTATTTTTAGTAGAGGTGGGGTTTCTCCATGTTGGCCAGGCTGGTATTGAACTCCTGACCTCAAGTGATTCACCTGCCTTGGCCTCCCAAAGTTCTGGGATTACAGGTGTGACCCACCTTGCCCAGTCATTTTAACCATTTTCAAGTGTGCAATTCAGTGGCTTTAAACACATGCACACTGATGTACAATCATCACAATCCACCTCCAGAACTTTTTCAGCATCCCAAACTGAAACCCTGTATACCATTAAACAATAGCTCCCCATTGCCCCTAGCCCTGTCACTCACCATTCTACTTTGTCTATATGAGTTTGACTACTCTAGATATCTAAGTGGAAAAATACAATATTTGCCCTCATTTGTGATTTACTTCTTTAGATATACATTATGGTTTGCAAAATTCATTCATGTTGATGGACATTGCTATGGCTGTATATTTTCACTGCTGAATAGTAATCCATTGATTTATTTATCCTTTTTCTATTGCTAGACATTGGATTGTTTCTGGTTTCTTACTATCATTAATGCTGCTATAAACCTTTGAATATATCTATCCTGGTGTCCGTCTGCAAGGGGTTTTCTGTTGTATGTCCCTAGAAATAAAACTGATGGGTACGTACATTTTCAACTTTACTAAAGATGAACTGTCCAAAGTAGTTATTCTAATTTACACCTCCACAATCATTATTTCAAATTTACACTCCCACAATTATTATCCAAGTCAATATTTGCTAATTTCAGCACTTTTGCTCATCTAAAAGGTGTTAAAAAATACAGACATCTTTATCAGACTAAGAAAGTGCGCTGTAACCTATCAAATGGTAAAGTGCATTAAATGCATTTCTAATTCAATCTAATTGTATTTATTTAATTTCTCATATTAAACCAACTCTCCCTTCCTGGGATAAACTGAATTGTGTCATGATTTATTATCATCTTCCAGATTGAGCCTGGTAACATTTTGTTTAGGATTTTTGTATTTGTGTCATGAATGCACTTCCATTTTCCTTTCTCATAATATCTTCAGATTATCCATTTAACTCAAAATGACTTAAGGAGTGTTCCCCCTTTTGTCATGCTCTAGAAGAATCTGTATTAAGTGTGAAATTATTTCTTTACCTCTGAATGAAAAACTAGCATATAAAGACTTATGGACCTAGAATTTTCTTTCTGGGAATATTTATAACCACTGATTTAATTTCTTAAATGATTATAGGACTATTCAGGTTTTCTACTTCTTCATGAAAACAGTTTAATTTTTTTCTGGCTATTTGTCTAATTCATCTAAGTTTTCTAATATATTGGCATAAAAAGTTGCTCAAATAATGTCATTTATTGTTAAAGTCATGTCTCCCTTTTCATTCTTAATATTTATCATTTATGCCTTTTGTTCTTCTTGACATATCAGATAATTGTCAATTTTATCAGTTTTCAAAGAAATCTACTGTGACTTGTTCATTTATTTAATAAATACTGAGAGGCTAACATGTGCCTCTTATTTGAGATATAAAAGTAAACAAAAATCCTTGCACTTACAATTCAAATGTAAACAGGAAGGCAAAAACAATATACTAAAATTTAAAATAAATTATACAATATTTTAAGGAGTGATAAGTGATATGGAAGAAAGTAGGGGGACTCCAGATGGCTGGTGTAGTTGTGAAAGGGACGAAATCACAATTCTAAATACAGTGGTTTGGATTGGCCTCATGGAGAAGGCGGCATTTAAGTGAAGACTTGAAGGATATGAGGTTACTGACCCACTCTATTCTGTGTTTTCTATTAATGTCCATATTTGTTCTTATTATTTCCTTTCTTCTCCTTCCTTCTATATTTGTTCTTATTATTTCCTTCCTTCTCCTTTGGGTTTTATTCTTTTTCTGAATTCTTGAGAAGGATACCTAGGATCATTAATTTTTAGCCTTTTTTCTTCTTCTAATATAAATATTTAGGTCTACATATTTCCCTCTAAGTATTGCTTTACATACATTCCACAAATTTTTAAGTATTTTCCTTAACAATAAGTTTAAAATATTTTCTAATTTCCATTATATTACTTCTTGACCCATTTTAGAATGTTTTAAAAATTCCAAGCATATTGTACCTTCCTGTTTGCTACTGAATTATTTTTACCTTCAATATAATATTCATTATGATACATTCTCTGAATTGTTTTCATGCACTGAACTTTGAGAATAGTTTTGTATCATAGTATACTAGCAATTTTGGGGGAAAATGTTTGCGTGCTTAGAATCCTCTACTTGTTTGGTGTGGTGTTCTAAATATGTTTAATTCATTAGGTTTGTTTATCATGTTGCTCCAATCTTCTAAATCCTTACTGATTTTTTAAACATTATTCTATTAATTATTGAAAGAGAAAATCTTCCACTATGATTGTGGATGTGTCTATTTGTGGATGTGTCTATTTCTCCTTGTAGTTCCCTGAATTTGTGCATTGTATATTTCAAGGCTTTGTAAGTAGGTATACACAAATTTAAAATTAGATTTCCTTGGCTAATCAAGTCTTTATCATCATGCAAGGATGGTTCAACATACACAAATCAATAAATGTGATTTACCACATAAGCAGAATTAAAAACAAAAACCATATGATCATCCCAATAGACACAGAAAACCCTTTTGATAAAATCCAATATCCTTTCATGATTAAAAAAAAAAACCCTCAAAAAACTAGGTATCAAATGAACATATCTCAAACTAGTAAGAACCATCTATGTATGACAAACCCACAGCCAACATCATACTGAATAGGCAAAAGCTGAAAGCATTCCCCCTAAGAACTGGAACATGAAAAGGGTGTCCACTCTCATCATTCCTATTCAATAGTACTGGAAATCCTAGCCATACCAATCAGTCAAGAGAAAGCAATAAAAGGCATCCAAATAGGAAAAGAGAAAGTCAAATTATCTTTGTTCACTGACAACATGATCCTATGCCTAGAAAACGGTAAAGATTCCTCCAAATACCTCCTGGACCTGATAAACGACTTCAGTAAAGTTTCAGGATACAACATGCAAAAACAAGTAGCATTTCTACACACCAACAACGTTTAAGCTGAGAAGCAAATCAAGAACTCAATCCCATTTACAACAGTCATGCACACAAAAATAAAATATCTAGAAATATATTTAACCAAGGAGGTGAAATATCTCTACAAAGAGAACTACAAAACACTGCTGAAAGAAATCACAGATGGCACAAACAAATGGAAAAATAATCCATGCTCACGGATTAGAAGAATCAGTATCACTAAAATGATCACACTGCCCAAAGCAATCTACAGATTCAATGCAATTCCTATCAAATTACCAACGTTATTTTTCACAGAACTAGAAAAAACAATTCTAAAATGTATATGAAACCAAAAAAGAGCCCACACAGCCAAGGCAATCCTAAGCAAAAAGAAGAAAGCTGGAGCCATCACGTTACCAAACTTCAAAACTATACTACAGGCTGTAGCAACCAAAATAACATGGTATTGGTATAAAAATAGATCAATGGAACACAATAGAGAACCCAGAAATAAAGCCATACACCTACAACCAACTGATCTTCAACAAAGTTAGCAAAAATAAACAAACAATGGGGAAAGGACACTGGGTTCAATAAATGATGCTAGGAAAACTGGCTAGCCACTTGCAGAAGAATGAAACTGGACCCCTAACTCTTAACATATATAAAAATTAACTCAAGATGGATTAAAGACTTAAATATAAGACCTCAAACTATAATTTTTTTTTTCACTCTTGTCGCCCAGGCTGGAGTGTGTGGTGCAATCTCGGCTCACTGCAACCTCTGCCTCCCGGGTTCAAGAGATTCTCCTGCTTCAGCCTCCTGAGTAGCTGGGATTACAGGCGCCTGCCACCACGATCGGCTAATTTTTTGTATTTTTAGTAGACACGGGGTTTCGCCATGTTGGGCAGGCTGATCTCGAACTCCTGACCTCAGATGATCCGCCTGCCTTGGCCTCCCAAAGTGCTGGGACTATAGGCATGAGCCATCGTGCCCGGCCTATAATTTTTTTTAAGAGACAGAGTCTCGCTTTGTCATTCAGGAAAGAATGGGAGTGCAGTGGTGCAATCATAGCTTACTGTAATCTCAAACTCCTGGGCTCACGCAATTCTCCCACCTCAGCCTCAGGAGTAGCTAGAATTACAGATGCATGCCACTGCATCTGGCTAATTTTTTATTTTCATTTTTTGCAGAGGTGGGGGGGTCTCACTATGTTTCCCAGGTTGGTCTTGAACTCCCGGCCTCAAGCAATCCTTCTGCTTCAGCCTCCCAAAGTGTTGGGATTACAGGTGTGCACTATTGCATCCAGCCAAGACCTCAAACTATAAAAACCCTAAAAGAAAACCAGGAAAAACTCTTCTGGGCATTGGCCTAGGCAAATAATTTATAACTAAGACCTTAAAAGCAATTGCAACAAAAACAAAAATTGATGAATGGGACTTAATTAAACTAAAGAGCTTCTGCATAGCAAAAGAAACAACACAGTCAACAGACAACCTACAAAACAGGAGAAAATATTTTCAAACTATGCATCTGACAAAGGACAAATACCCAGAATCGATAAGGAACTTAATAAGAAAAAAAAAGCCCCATTAAAAAGTGGGGAAAGGACATGAACAGATACTTCTCAAAAGAGGACATATAAGTGGCAACACACATGAACAAATGCTCAAGATCACTAATCAGATAAATTTCAATTAAAACCACAGTGAGATATCATCTCACACTAGTCAGAATGTCTACTATTAAAAAATTAAAAAAAGGGACATGTTGGTGAGGATGCAGAAAAAAGGGAACTGTTGGTATGAATGTAAATTAGTTCAACCCCTATTGAAAACAATATGAAGATTTATTAAAGAATTTAAAATAAACCTACCATTCAACCCAGCAATCCCACTACTGGGTATCTGCTGAAAAGAAAAGAAATTTTTTTTTTTTTTTTCAAAGAGACACCTGTAGGCTGGGCGCGGTGGCTCACGCCTGTAATTCCAGCACTTTGGGAGGCCGAGGCGGGCAGATCACCTGAGGTTGGGAGGTTGAGATCAGCCTGACCAACACGGAGAAACCCCATCTCTACTAAAAATACAACATTAGCCGGGCATGGTGGTACATGCCTGTAATCCCAGCTACTCGGGAGGCTGAGGCAGGAGAATCACTTGAACCTGGGGGGCGGAGGTTGCAGTGAGCCGAGATCGCACCATTGCACTCCAGCCTGGGCAACAAGAGCGAAACTTCATCTCAAAAAAAAAAAAAAAAAAAGACACCTGTACTAGTATTTTATTGTAGTACTAGTCACAACAACAAAATCATGGAATCAACCTAATTAACCTAATCAACAGTGGATTGGATAAAGAAAATGTAGGGTGTGGTAGCACACACCTATAGTCCCAGCTACTCAGGCTGAGGTGGGAGGATTGCTTGAGCCTGGGAGGTCGAGGCTGCAGTGAGCTGTGATCGTGCCACAGCACTGCAGCCAGAGTGATAGAGTGAGACTGTCTACACACACACACACACACACACACACACACACAAGCCAGATGTGGTGGCTCTCATGCCTGTAATCTCAGTGCTTTCGGAGGCCCTGGTAAGAGGATCACCTGAGCCCCAAAGTTTAAGACCAGCCTGGGCAACATAGAATGATCTCATCTCTAAAAAAAATTTTTTTAATTAGCTAGATGTGGTGGCACACGTCTGTGGTCCCAGCTACCTGAGAGGCTGAGGTGGGAGGATCGCTTGAGCTCAGGAAGTCAAGCCCGCTGTAAGCCAAGATCATGCCACTGCACTTCAGCCCAGGAAATGAAGTGAAAAGAAGAAAGGAAAGAAAGGAATGAAAGGAAGGGAGGAAGGGAGGAAGGGAGGAAGGGAGGAAGGGAAGGAGAGAAGGAGAGAAAGAAAGAAAGGAAGGAAAGAAGGAAAATGAGGTACATATACATCATAGCATACTACACAGCCATAAAAAGAATGAAATTATGTCCTTTGCAGCAACATGGATACAGTTGGAGGCCATTACCCTAAGTGAATTAAAGCAGAAACAGAAAATCAAATACTAAATGTTCTCACTTATAAGTACAATGGGTACACATGGTCATAAGGGTAGAAACAATAGACACTGGGGACTCTAAAAGAGGGGAGGGAGCGGGGACAAGGGTTGAAAAACTACGTATTGGGACTAAGTTCACTATTTGAGCAATGGTTTCACCAGAAGCCAAAATCCCAGCATCATCCAATATCCCCATGTAACAAACCTGTACGTGGGTATATTGGGTAATGCTGGGATTTGGGCTTCTGCTGAAACCAATGCTCAAAACAAAACAAATAAACAAAAATCCTGATCACCACAAAATGTCCCTCTTTATTTCTAGAAGTGCTTTTTGTCTTAAAGTCTATTGTGTCTAATATTAATACAGCTATATAAGCTTTTGTTTTTCTAGTAATTTGTATAGTATGACTTTTTCCATCATTTCACTTCCAACTTTTCTGTATTTAAATTTTTTTTTTTAATTTTTTACTTTTTGTAGAGATGGGGTCTATGTTGTCCAGGCTGGTCTCAAACCCATGGACTCAAGCGATCCTTCTGCCTCAGTCTCCCATATTGCTGGAATCTTTATTCTTAAGGTGGCTGTTTGTAAGAAGATTACTGTTGGATTTTATTCTTTATTATTGACAATCTTTCACTTTTAACAAGAGTAATAGATCCATTTATATTCCATGTATTTACTGATATATTTGGGCTTAAATATACTATCTTACTTTTGAGTGTTATTCTGTATTATTTCTTGGTAACTTTTCAACTGATTTTTTTTTATTATTCCACTATGTTCTCTCTACCAGTTGAGAAGTTATATACTGTGTAATTTTAATGGCTACTACAGAAAGTCAACAAATATGCCTTCTATATCCAGACCTGTATCCTCTTTCCCAAGGACTTTAGAATGTCTTAACTCAATCTGTCCTTCCCCTACCAAATTATGGATTAGTATTATCATGCATGTTTTTAACAATAGTTTTATTGAGATATAATTCACATACCATGTAATTCACCCATATAAAGTGCACAATTTAATGGTTTTTAGTATATTCACAGAGTTGTGTAACCATCACCACAATCAATTTTAGAACATTTTTCATCACCCCGAAATAGAAATCTTATACTCATTAGTAGTTACTCTCCACTTCTTCCAAATACCTAGCTCATGGAAACTATGAATCTACTTTCTGTCTCTGTAGATTTGCCTCTTCTGGACACTTCATATAACTGTAATCATGTAAAATGTGGTCTTTTGTGACTGGCTTCTTCCATTTAGCATGCTTTCGAGGTTCATCCATGCTATATCATGCATCAGTACTTCCTTCTTATGCCCAAATAATATTCCAATGCATAGATATACCAAATTTTGTTTATTGATTAATCAACTGATGAACATCTGGGTTGTTTGTTGTCATGTATCTTAGTTTAATTACTGTTAAACCCACATGTTTTTTATTATGGTTTTTGTTTTATACTGTACAGACATAATCTGTTTTGCAGGTGGCAAACTCAGTTTTGGTTTGTAAGAAAATGTTTTTATTCCACCTTTATTTTTGAAAACTTATTTTAGCTGGTACAGAATTCTAAGTTGGCAGCTATTTTCTTTCAGCACATTGAAGACATCATTCCACTGTCTGGCTTTCATTTTTGCTATGAAGACCAAAGCTCAAGTTCTGCCCAGCTCTGCAAATACCCTCATGATAAAAATTGCTTTGGACTGGGCATGGTGACTCATGCCTGCAATTCCAGCACTTCGGGAGGTCAAAGCAGAATTGCTTGAGCCCAGGAGTTTGAGACCACCCTGGACAACACAGTGGGATCCCATCTCTATAAAAAAAAAAAAAAAAAGAAAGAAAAAGAAATTCCCAGGCATGGTAGCACATGGTTGTAGTCTCAGGAGGCTGAGGTGGGAGGATCACTTGAGCCTGGGAGGTTGAGGCTACAGTTAGCTGTAATTACACCACTGTACTCCAGCCTGGGTGACACAGCAAGATCCTGTCTCTAAAATAAAATAAAATAAACAAAAAACAAAAACAGTTGTAGTGCTTCCATTACTTCTTTGGTTTATGTCTTCACTCAGGTTTTTTCCTGATAATTTCTTCCTGTATTATTGCCTCTTAAATGTTTTTAAGATGATAGCTTTGATCTATCTGTATACATTGTAGTGAGCACTATTTATTGTTTTTAGCAGAAATGGCAGTCCCAAAAATCTTAAGCCTCAAATTAATGAAATCAGAAAGATCAAAATATTATTTCTGATAATTTTTTTATCATATCACTTTCACCAAAATCTTAAAGCTGCAGATTTAGCTCATTTGAAGTATAAAAAATGTCTACCATTTACCTAATTGGCAAAACTGTTTTCGAACTTAAACTAAATGGCCATATTAGACTTACTTTCTATCAGACAGTCTGACTTCATTTTTTGGTACAAATAAATATGTTGATATGCATGTTCATGGCAACCTATCTCATTTTTCATTATAAGCCAGATGTAAATTGATTTAATTCCCTCATATATTGTTTTTAAAAGATGCAATTTTAATGTCCTGAACTCAATACCATTTATATTTTAGTGTCAGCACTGAATGTTCCATGAAAACCAGGACTCACTCTTTGGCCACTGAAGCCTGTTTGTGATGACAGTGTTCCTAAATGAAAATAGAATTTAAAGTACAGACTATAGCAATAAGCACCCCCCTTTTGCCCATTCATTACAGTCCCATTCCTGGGGGTAGTTGAGCATGATTTCAATCAAATAAAATACAATCAATTCAAATAAAGTATTAAAAGTTTTGTAAAATCTCTTCACAGTTGTATTCCTAAACAGTAATTTGAACATCAAATTTGTATTAATAATGCCATTTTCTTCATTGGAAGAAAAGTCATAAATTATTAACTGAGACTAACTGGAATCATCTATATATTCATCAATTTGTAAGGCAATTCTTCTCATAGTCTAATCACTGTTTTCTGTATTTCATGTATTCTGTGAAGTACAGTGGTTTCTGATAAAAATATATTAATATAAATGTAGTGATGGGTTTTTTAACAGTACATCAGGTATCATAACCTTTTCTATAGTCTTACGCAATTTTCTAACTTTTGCAATGAACAATATTAATTTAAATTACGTGAAGTTTCAAAAGGCAACTTTGAAATCTGCGTAAAAATATTACACTCACATTTTTACTAATACACTAATCTTTCTTCATTAAAAAATTAATTACATTATCTTTGTAGTCTGGTACCAAAACATTATTATCAAATGATAGTACCAAAAAAATCTCTCACAATGTAACTTGATACACTCTTTGGTACCATAATTTGATAATAATCTCATGGGCAATGTAACTAAACAAAAATGATCACCACTTCACACTACCATGTGTATAAATTCACAATATCTCAGTACTTCTAATGACACATTTCACCACTTCCAAAAAGACAGGTAAGGCAGACAAAAACAGGAAGTCCTTAGTGTCTGATGTTAGCTTTGCCAACATCAATGTTTCGAATTGTCTAAAGGTTTCACATCCCAGTCCCAAGGGCAAAGAATCACAGAATGGGAGTAGATAACAGATAAGCTTTACTTTGTAAGAAGGGTGATTGTGACAGAGGAGGATGCAATGGTAAAAAGGCAGGGTTTTTTTTTTAATGTATGACTACATTTTCTCAGGAAAAGGTAAATATGGAAGTCAATCATCTGAAGATTGATTTCCATAAGACTGTGTCCTTGTATCCTTAGAAAACCTTTGTACACCTGTCAGAGTATGATTTACTTCTCAGTTTGAAGACTTCTAACCTACACTGCTGTGATGGATTCCTAAAGGGTACCCCTACTTTTACCCTTGTGTCCCCCTACAGTGAATTTTCCACATGGCAATCAAAGTGATCTTTTAAAAATGTAAATCAGATCATGCCACTTTTCTGTTTACAACTTTCCCAGGCTGCCCATCACACTCACAATAAAACCCAAATACTTTACCATGGCTTACTTGGCCATGAACTACAAACCGGCTCCTGATTAACCACGGTCTCCATGCCGTGTTTTTATCTTTCACTTTCTACCTCACTGTCTGTTCTAACCACACTGGCATTTCACCAAGGTCATTCTAAACTATGTCTGTTTCTCCTGCTTAATATACTCATTCCCCCAGGTAATTACTAACCTACTCCCTTGCTTCATCCAGGTCTCTTCTTAAATTTTACTTCCTTAATCATATTATATGAAATAGCATCATCATCAGCCCTACCCCACATTTTTTCATGACCTCTTAGTTTCTATGTATTAAAAGCTACCTGAAATTATATTATTTATATTCCTGTCTCACTTCCCACCCTCAAGTTGAATGTAAGCTTCATGAAGGCAGGAACTTGGTCTTGCTGCTGTTCACTTAATGCCTTGAACACTGCTAAATCAATGAAATAAATATTCTTCCATGTTTGCAAGAACTTATATATAAGGATCTTCATTCCTGCCTTGATTGTGATAGCAAAAAATAGGGCCAACATAAAAATCATGTAGCATACTTTCAATGAGATATGATGCAGCCATGAAAAAGAGTGAGGTAATTTCAATACGCCAAAACAAAAAGGTCCCCAAGGTATACTTACTCCATTGAACCTAAGATGTCATCAGATGTAAGATGTATTTATTATGTCCCAAAAAAGGAAATAATGCCTAAGATGGCAGTTAAAGGCGATACCTGTATAAAACTGGATATAGGGAAAGACAAACAATCCCACAACACAGTAATGCAGAGCAAAAAAAAAAGAAGGCTTGCATATGTCAACTCTGACACTGGTAGAAGGAAGAAAAAAAATTCCTGAGAATTTAAACCACAAGCCGGTTCATGTGGATTTGCAGTCTGACTCATACCATTGGTGTGGTCCAAAACCCTCAAGCATAGAATTTAAGTAGTACCAGACTGGTAATAAGCCCAACTGACAGATAGAAGCAAACATCTTCTGTTGAAGAAGTGGATGTCAATCCAGGACTACAATGATTGTAAGATACTATTATAAGACACATCTCAATTTCAGTAATGTTAAAATGTAAAAAGATTAGTATCCTATAATTAATAAAATATTGTTAAGTGAAAAACAGAAGGTGCAGAATGCTCCCATAGGCAGGGAGAAAAGGGGTCTCTGTGTGTGTACATATGTGCGCCCTTTAATGTTTAGAAAATTTATGAAAAGATGTACAGTGGTTCTAGGAAGGCAGATCAAATGTCTTGGGTTGAAGAAAAGTTTCAATTTTTTAATGCTATTTTAATTTTGTACCATGTGTGTTCATTAATTTTCCCTTAAGAAAACTTTAAAAAACCAGAAAGTATAAAATATATCCTTCAATGTTTTCCTACCTACACTGTAAATTCCCTTTACAGAACACCTCATCTCCAAACTGCAATATTTAAAAGTGAAATAATTAAAAAGTAAGTGATTTCTTTACTTGAACCCGGGAGGCGAAGGTTGCAGTAAGCCAAGATTGTGCCACTGCACTCCAGCCTTGGCAACAGAGCAAGACTCTGTCTCAAAAAAAAAAAAAAAAAAAAAAAGTAAGCGATTTCTTCTCTGGGTTTGGTTTCAAATTTCATAGGAAGAATCTCACCATTCTTTCAGAGAAACAATACTATCAACGTAATAGCCCACCCATGTATATCATGAAGTACCAAGGTAATTTAAAACAATGAGTTTTCGGATTTAAAATGATGCCTCTAAGATTTCATAGTCTAAAGCACAAAATGAATGTCCACACAAATCAATGAATGATTACAGAGACACACAGGCCCTCCAGAATGCTTGAATGCTTCCAGAGCCTTCATAAATTTTGTTCAGTTATATCCACAGTTTCTAAAAGAATATCAGGTTGGTCATGGGTCCAAGTGACTGACAGAAGCAAACAAAGAAGGCACTCAATGGTATTTCTTGAAGAAATGTTTAACTGTATAAATACTGAATACACTGTATATAAACATTTCCTGGAAAGAGCCCAAGTGTTTTTAAGGGTGGTAGATTAAATGGGGTTTCGCATATTCATTCAACAAATATTGAATGAATTTCTACTATGTGCCAGGCACTGTGCTAAACATTATGGATGTAAAAATATGACACGCTCCTGACCATGAAAAGCTCACCATTATAAATAATTACAATAAAATGATAAAGGGTTATAATTGAGGTATGCACGAATGCATGTGCTATGAAAACACAGAGTATAAGCCAGGCGCAGTGACTCATGCCTGTAATCCTAGCACTCTGGGAGGCTGAGGCCGGCAGATCACTTGAGGTCAAGAGTTCGAGACCAGCCTGGCCAACAAAGTGAAACCCTGTCTCTACCAAAAAATACAAAAATTAGACAGGCATGGTGGCGCGTGCCTGTAATCCCAGCTAATCAAGAGGCTGAGGTGGGAGAATTGCTTGAACCCGGAAGGTGGAAGTTGCAGTAAGCCAAGACCATGCCACTGCACTCCAGCCTGGGTGTCAGAGTGAGACCCTGTCTCTAAAATACAAAACAAAACAAAACCAAGAAAATACAGAGTATAATTGATCTGTAAAAGGGAACAATGGGAAAATTTACAGAGAAGTGACATTTGAGATATGCCTTAAAGCAGGCATTCCAGACCCAAATCCCTGTTGGGACCAAGCAGGTAAATAAACTAAGAGGTTTGGTTATGGTCAAGACTATGGCAAATCAAAGATTTTATGCATTCCTAAAAGGGGTAGCTGTTATTCAGCCCAGCCAATTGTTGCCTTACAGGACTATTTAGGCCCAATGTTATCAGGTTTCCAATTTCTTAAGAATAGATGGAAATCAGATTGTTGCATAAAAATAGGTTGGCAACTGATTTAAAAAAAAAAAAAAAAAAAGCACTTCTAAGGTCAAACAAAATATGTCTGTAGGGTAAATTTGGACTGCCAGCCAATGGATTATAAACTCTAATTTAAAGTATAAATCTACAAAGTAAAGAGAGAAAAAGGCATTCTGGAAAAAGGCATATAGAATGGTACATTGTTTATTGAACTCAAATTTCTAAACAGTACAAAAAAACCCACCAAGTATGTGTTACCATGCAACCCATTTAAAGTTGTATTACCTCAGATTTCACTTTAAAGCCATAGCACATTTTATAATTAAAATTTTATATATGTATCTAGAGTGAAGAAAAAGGGGTTCCTAATCCAACATTTTCTAGAGCAGAATTAACAAAAAGCCCCAAATCTAGACATAAGTAAAAATTAAAAGCTATTTTTAAGAGTATTTGTGAAATTAGAACTCTCTTATGTCAAATTTGAAATGCGTCCTACTGTTGTAAAGGATTATTCCATGATTTAAACTGCATTAATGTCTAAAAAGTAAGCTTAGTAAACTCTACAAACTAAAACTATAAAAATATTTTATAATTCTGTAAATATTCTGTTCATACACTGTAAGTGATTATACAACTATCTATTTTGAAAAAAATTCTACATACCTTTTTTGCTTTGGGACCCTAAAAGTTGGAAAACAAAAGAATTGATCAATTTTAAAGACAATTCTGATACAAAAGTATCATGATTATGTAAGATGTTAAAATTAGAAGAAGCTTGGTAAAGGGCATAAGGGAACTCTCTGTACCATCTTTGTAACTTTCCTTGCAAATCTAAAATTATCCCAAAATAAAATGCTTTTTTAAAAAGAGTTCAGACAAAACTACAAATAAGTATAGAAAAACTAAGTTCACCTACTGAACCATTTTTTTGTATGTAGATTTTACACTGTTTCTTAGGACAATCAATGATCCATGTTTAATGAAATGCCCTGTTACTAAACAGAGTACTAGTCAAGAAGGCACTAGTTTAAAGGGTTCAAAGGACAATAAATCATTGACCAATTATTGGCACTAATGTCAAATTTGCAAGTGTGGGAATGATCTCATAAAGAAATAACCTTTCCGTAAAGTTAGATTGATGATTTTTATAGAAAGGGAATCAGTTATTTAAAGCACGCAAAGTAGCCTCACACGGTGGCTCACTCCTGTAATAGCATTCGCGGAGGCCAAGGCGGGAGGATCACCTGAACCCAAGAGTTCAAGATCAGCCCGGGCAACACAGGAAGACCCCGTCTCTACAAAAAATTTTAAAAATTAGCCAAGCACATGCGTGTGGTCCCAGCTACTTGGGAGGCTGAGGTGGGAAGATCACTTGAGCCCGGGAGGTCAAGGCTGCAGCGAGCCATGACACTCAGCCTGGGCAGCCAAGCGAGACCGCATTTCCAAAAAATGAATAAATAAATAAAACAGGCGGCTGGGTGTGGTGGCTCACACCTGTAATCCCAGGACTTTGGGCGGCTGAGGAAGGTGGATCACGGGGTCAGGAGATGGAGGCCATCCTGGCTAACACGGTGAAACCCCGTCTCTACTAAAAATACAGAAAATTGGCCGGGCATGGTGGCATGTGTCTGTAGTCCCAGCTACTTGGGAGGCTGAGGCAGGAGAGTCGCTTGAACCTGGGAGGCGGAGCTGCAGTAAGCCAACATCGCACCACTGCACTCCAGTCTGGGTGACAGAGCAAGACTCAAAAAATAAACAAATAAATAAATAAATAAAGCAGGTAAAGCTATGATAAAATGAAGATTCTATTCAGCAATGTGTTTTAAGGCAGATCTATTCTTTTCTGGAAATTATTTTGGAAAGCACAGGATTTCAAAAAAGACTCACAGTTACAATAATATCACTTATACTTTCCTGATTAGGCTCATGTGTTTATCAGATTTCTGGTAAGGAATTTATAGGAGATCATGTGAACATAAGACACTTTACATATTTGAAGAGTTATACATGGGAAATATTAGTTCAACCCATAAGATTATACTGTGTAAAACTGAAGTTTAACACATATCAGTAGATTCCATCTTCTTGAAGAGTGCATATATTACACTAATTCACTCGGCAGATATTAATTAATGATTTACACACAAGGCAATCTGAGGCACTGGAGATAGAAAAGTAGAGACTTTGCTGCCATATAATTTTTACAAATAGATTCTATTTTTATCATAGCTTCTATCAATTAATAGTTAACATACTTCCATCGTGAAATAAGTACTAAACAGCTGAATATGTAAATAGCATTGCTCCAGTTCTCAATTAGCCATATTTTAAAGAGGGGCAAATTGTCACTTCTCACTTGTGCTTTTAATGTAAATCAGGTTTGGGGTAAGTACATATCCTCATTTCTCCTATATGTCATAATAGCCACTATGTAGTGAAGTAGTTCTCAAAGTTCAGAGGGCATAAGAATCATATGGGAAGCTTGTTAGAAATGCATATTTATGGACTAAACGTGTGTATGCTCACTTCTCTTCCTACACTGTGGTTTAGTAGATGTTATGGGCTGAATTGTATTGCTCAAAAAATTACATGTTGTCCGGGTGCGGTGGCTCACAGCTGTAATCCCAGCACTTTGGGAGGCCGAGGCAGGGGGATCACCTGAGGTCAAGACCAGCCTGGCCAACATGGTGACACCTCGTTTCTACTAAAAATACAAAAATTAGCTGGGCGTGGTGGCATGCACCTGTAATCCCAGCTACTCGGGAGGCTGAGGCAGGAGAATCGCTTGAAGGAGAATCGCTTGAACCCGGGAGGCAGAGGTTTCAGTAAGCCGAGATCGCGCCATTGCATTCCAGCCTGGGCAACAGAGCGAAACTCTGCCTCAAAAAAAAAAAAAAAAAAAAAAATCATATGTTGGCTGGGTGCACTGGCTTACTCCTGTAATCCCAGCATTTTGGGAGGTCAAAGTGGGAGAATCACTTGAGCCCAGGAGTTTGAGGGCAGCCTGGGCAACAAAGCAAGACCCTGTCTAAAAAAATTTAAAAATTAGCTGGGTGTGGTGGCACGTGCCTTGTACTCCCAGCTATTCAGGAGGCTGAGTTGGGAAGATTGCTTGAACCAGGGAGGCTGAGACTTCGATAAGCCATGATGGTGACACTGCATTGCAGCCTAGGTGACAAAGCGAGACAGTCTCAAAAAGAAAAAAAAAAAAGAAAAAAAATTCATACGTTGAAATTCTGATCCCCAGTACTTCAGAATTTGATCTAATTGGAGACAGGGTCACTGCTGATTTTATTAGTTAAATTAAGATGAAGCCATACTGAATAGGGTGGGCCCCTAATCCAATATGATTTGTGTCCTTATATAATAATAATTTTAATATACTCAGATGGAGAATGCCATGTGAAGAATGAAGTTTTGTTGCCACAAACCAAGAAACTACTAGAAGCCAGGAAAGGTCTGAACAGATCTCTCCCTAAGGCCCTCAGAGGTATCACAGACCTGCTGACACTTTGATCTTGGACTTCTAGTCTCCAGAACTACGAGACAATAAATTTCTTTTCTTTAACCACTCAGTTTGTGGCAATTCCTTACTTGGCAGACTTAGGAAACTAATACAGTAGATTTGGAGTTGAGTGGGTTCCTGGAATCTGCATTTTTAACAAGTACTCCGGGTGCATTAGAAATAAATGTTCCATGGGCCACACTTTGAGAAACATTGGGAGAAGGATCTAAGAAGAAGAAGAAACTCAGGTAACAAATTGGAAGGTAACAAGTAAGTGCTTACTGTTCCCCCAATTTATTAGCAATTATAAATTGACTTAAGGTCCATTTGCATTCCGCCAGGAATGCTCTCCACTCCCTATTTCTTTTTTTCTCTTTTTTTTTTGAGACGGAGTCTCGCTCTGTCACCCAGGCTGGAGTGCAGTGGCACAATCTCGGCTCACTGCAACCTCCGCCTCCCAGGTTCAAGCGATTCTCTTGCTTCAGCCCCCTGAGTAGCTGGAATTACAGGTGCGCGCCAACACGCCCGGCTAATTTTTGTATTTTTAGTAGAGACTGGGTTTCACCATGTTGACCAGGCTGGTCTCGAACTCCTGACATCGTGATCTGCCCGCCTCGGCCTCCCAAAGTGCTGGGATTACAGGGGTGAGCCACCGCGCCAGGCCTCCACTCCCTATTTCTTCCCACCATATGTGGAAAACTCGTATTTATACTTTAAAACAGGTTGAAAAGCACCACTCTCCTTCCCTTGTTTCCCCTCACTGAAATTTCATCATTTCCAACTGTGTGTTACCCCATTTTAGATGCTTCAATTGTTACAGTTGTAAAGCTGTATTGTAATTAATTTGTTTAATCTGTATCCTATAAGCAGAGTTGTCGTCATGTTCTTCTTGGTATTCTTGGCTTCTAGCCCAGTGCCAAGTACAAAGAATGCACTCCACATTTTTCCCTTAATTAATGAATTAAATAAGTAATTACATTCTCCACTTCCTCTGGTTTTAATTATAGAAAATGTCTTGATGGAAACCACATTTAAGAAAATCAGAGATACTCTCATAGCTACATGTTGGCCTGTCTCCTTGCTGAAAACATGGCAGTTGAGGAGTGCAGAAAAACAAAATGAGAAGCCTTATCATATTTAACTAATGCAGGATGAGAACCTTGAATCACAAAACAATTCATATTCCCACAAAAGACGACATAAAATATTTTTTCAAAGCAGAGTAAATTGCATTAGCTTTTAATTAACTGCTGGAGAAGTACTAAAACATTTCCGCCAAGTTGCAATAAGAAAATTTAGTGGGAACGTCTATCACTACTGAAAGTTACTAGGTTGGGACCAATTTTCAAGCTTAGCAACATTCGAGATCAGGATACCGTGTGACAGCTTTGACCATCTCCCGTTTGCAGAAACTGGTTTGGGACTCCTACCTGTCCGCCTGGTCCAGGTAAGGAAAGCCATTGCTGAGAAGAGGGCCGACCCACCCCAAGGTATGAGTTATTTCCCAAACCGACCCGCTTCGCTGTAAAATATGACTGGCTCTTGATTACATTATTTAACACTGGTGAAGCAGAATCAGTGGTCGCCCCTCCACCTGTCTGCCTCATTTGCCTTGCTCACCATTAAGAGTCAAGCTCCACTGCAGTAGTCCGCAGAGTCGGAGCAGAAATTGTGTGGACAAACGCTCCCGGGTTGCCCGGACGACAGGCCCCGCCCACTTGAGCTCCAGGAAAAGAGCGCAGCCGCGCGGAGGCTCTTCCGGCCGGCGCCCCGCCCCCTTTACTGACAGGTTGCCCACCTCCCCCAACGCCACCCCGCTTCGCAGTAGACGGACAGAGGAGTCGTAGCGGTCGAGGCTTTTGCGGCTCCGGCGTGCCGGAAAGTGCGTGAGTGCCGCCGCCGGGGAGTTTTGTTCCATTTCCCGGATCCTGGGGTCTGGAGGCGAAATATGCTCTGGGCGAGGACCACCGGGTGTGGGAAGAGGGTTCTGAGCGTCTCCTGACGTTGACGGTTTATTTCCTAGAGTGTGTTGGGTCTTTCTGTGAGGGTTTCGAGAAGGAAACAGGCATGCGACTGGTTCATGCAGCGGACACCCGGTGGGAGGCCTGGGCCTCTGCGGTTTAATCCAGCAGGGGGATGGGGCTCATTCCGCAATTTAAAGAGAGAAATAAGTTGGCTCCAGAGGGTTGGTTATTTTAAGATTAATGACCTTCGGATTCTTCTTTCTGCTCTATTGTTTACTTTCTGTGCAGCGTACGCGTCCTTTTTCCTAAGAGCGCCCTAAACAAGAATTGAAAATGAAGCAATTCCTGGCTAAAATATTCCTTAACATGAAGATCGCTGAGGCCCCAAAGACTCATTAGTTTCCCGAGGTCACAGACTAATTTTACTAACCACACAACCTTTAGAATTTCAGTCTCCTCCCACATGAAGAAACGCCGGCACCTTACACCGACAGGAAAACTACAATTAAGTGAGGCTGTTCTCCTCAAGCCCGACTGAGTTCTCTGTAATTGTAGGGCATACCTACACCCTGTTTTAGCATTATGAGACCTGAAATACTTTTAAATTACTGGCACCATTTCTCATCTCTGAATTATAAGTTTATAATGCTCTATCCCTTCCAGTGTTATTGACTACATGCATTATTCATAGATAAGTAGTAGGACTAAGCTAGTCTTTGTGGGTTAAAGTGTTATTATCCCTATTGTAACCTGTAACTATTATAGGTTGTGTAATAGTTATTAGCATTTTACATCCATATCCTGGTAGCAAGATAAAAACATTTTAATAGCGACTTCGTACAGAGTTCTTACTCAGTTTACCATAGCTGTTTGATATGAAAGTTAAGGCTTCCTTTTAAATTAGTTTCAGTAAAACTAATGTTTAATGATAAAACACCTCAGTCAACTCAAGTTAGGATTCATCGGGGTAAGGAGATAGTTCAGTAATCCCAAGTTACCTTAAAATAGTGGGCTTTTAGAGGAAAGGCTTTACTGAAGCTCTCACTGTATCTACCCCATGGGGAACAATGATTAACAACTTTGGCCACCACATAACCCCCAGTAAAATGACAATTTTCCATTAGCCTGGAACTGGAACTGGTTAAGTCCTAACTCCTTAGCCTAGAATGACAGGGGGAAAAAACTATCAATGGGGACTGCAACCGCTGTCTCATCCAGCGCACACATCCAAGTTTTCAGAATAATAGGGGGCTTCTCTTAGTCCTTAACTCTTGGCTCTTTACTTAAAACAGTAACCTCCATGACTTCATGCAGAGTTCAGGAGCAGCCTCAGGGCCCTGCTGAACTCAAAATTGTTTATTCACTACATTGTGAACCCAAGGAGACCTATTTCTCTTAGTGGCTAAAGTAAACCTAAATGCTTCAAGGTCAACTGCATAAAGATAAACTGCATTGCCTGGTGTGGTGGCTCACGCCTGTAATCCCAGCATTTTGAGAGGCCAAAGTGGGTGGATCACGAGGTCTGGAGATGGAGACCATCCTGGATAACACAGTGAAACCCCGTCTCTACTAAAATAATACAAAAAATTAGCCGGGCGTGGTGATCAGCACCTGTAATCCCAGCTGCTCTGGAGGCTGAGACGGGAATCGCTTGAACCCGGGAGAGGGAGGTTGCAGTGAGCCAAGATCGCACCACTACACTCCAGCCGGGTCAACAGAGCAAGACTCCGTCTCAAAAAAAAAAAAAGATAAACTGCATTAATTCATATAAGTTAACATATCAAAGAAGAACAAATTTGCCATAGCCACACTAGTTACATTTTTGCTGGGCAAGTGTTTTATGATACATAATTTGTAAAAAGACCAACAACTAAAAAGGACAACTTAAGCCAGGTCCCTGAAAGCTTTCACAAGTTACAAATTGTGAATTAAATGAAGCTGTGCTGTTAGGCATTAAACAGGTTATAGTTTGCAATTCGAAATTACATCTATGTATATTTAATTTTAAATTATGTGAAAAGAACATGGTTCCGAAGAGGTGTTTTTTGTTTGTTTTGTTTTGAGACAGGGTCTCAAAATGAATTTTGCCCAGGTTGGAGTGGTGGAACAATCACGGCTCACTACAGCCTCAACCTCCTGGGCTCAAGCGATCCTCCCACCTCAGCCTCTCAAATAGCTGAGACTACAGGCACACGCCACCATGCCTGGCTAATATTTTTTTACTTTTAGTAGAGACAAGGTCTCACTCACTATGTTGCCCAGGCTGGTCTCAAACTCCTGAGCTCAAGCCATCCTCCAGCCCTGGCCTCCCAAAGTGCTGAGATTACAGGTACAAGCCACCATGCCCAGCCTAAGAATCATTCTTAGTAAGATTATTTCACGCTGCTAATGGCTCTCTGCCAAAAGAAAAAAAAGGAAGTTTAAAGAATGAAGTAGTTAATATAGTGGGTTAAATACCCTCATCTAATTTTACTCCCTTCCAAAACTACTAAATCTACAGTAAAATGATATAAAAATAAATTGGAAAAATGGGGACAGGAGGTAACAGCAATAAAACTCAGAAGCTGGAAAACAGGTGAATGAATGTGACTTAGCACACCAGAAAAACCCAATTCACTCTGCAGAATTCTCAAAAGGCACTGAAACACGCACCCTGAAATTGGAAGTGGACTACATGAAAGCTATTTGAGAAACACCTCTAAGTAACTCTACCCCCTTACTC
This sequence comes from Homo sapiens, assembly GCF_000001405.40. Classification (NCBI taxonomy): domain Eukaryota; kingdom Metazoa; phylum Chordata; class Mammalia; order Primates; family Hominidae; genus Homo; species Homo sapiens. The sequence continues at coordinate 25,198,142 of NC_000012.12, forward strand.
CCATAGAAGACTAGAGGTTTATTTCTGGACAAAGTAATACTAGTCCCTGGACTGGGGCATCCTCAGGCATTCTAGAGAAGCACACTGGAAACAAAGTTAAGTGAATTTAGGAATACATAATGCTGGATGCAGGGCCCGCATTCCTCTTATCCTTAGAAGACTGGAAGACTCAACTCTGAGGAACTGACCAGCCCAGGAGGAGCAATCCAAGATAGTGACATCAGAGGTTCCCCAGTAAAGGCCCACCCAGAGCACCCTAAGTGAAGCCCAGAGTCTATATGCTTCACCCACGTATACAGATCTAAAAAGCTTTTTTGTCTTTTCATTCATAAGAGTAGACAGAAAAGAATGACCAGACTTTGGAAGAAAGCTCAGAAGTGATAGAGACAGAAGCAAGCAGAAAAGCAATTTGAAGTAAAACAGCTCAGAAGTGATAAGAGACAAAAGCAAGCAGAAAAGCAATTTGAAGTAAAACAACAGAAAATTTCAAGAAAGCAAGAATCAGTGAACTTGGAAAGAAAAAATGCCTACATAATATGCTTGTTATGTGAATTAGCTCATTAACTAGTAGTAAGTACAATTTAACAAGTATTAATGTAGAAGTATTTTTTTCCCTAGGAAAGAGGAGCCAGAAAAGCAGTAAATGTATGACCTTCAGTTAAGAAAAGGTCATGGCTTCACTGCTATGCTGGCGGCAAGTGTCTTTCAGATTTTTTCATTGATTCAAGTGTATATTCCAGGGTTCCTTCCCCAGAGAGGCATACCCCAAGTTCTGTGTAGCCATCGACTGAGGACAGGTAGAGTCACCTATCCTACCCACGAATTGGCAGCCTTGTGGTTTAGATGGATTTCTACTTCCATGTGTTATTTCAGCATCTCTTAGCTCTGTTCTTAGACTTTGGCTGGCATTTCTATTATTTTTTTAAGTTTTGCTGAAGTAGAATTGACACTGAATTACACTTACAAAGTATAATTCGATAAATTTGGTTCATATATATACACATCTATATATGCATATTTATAGATATATATGTGCTATAATATATACTACATATAGTATAATATATAGTATACATATTTTTGTTTCCATAGAAACAAAAATAAAAGGAATTACTATGTACTATATACTATATATATCTACTATATACTACGTAGTATGTACTACATAGTACATATAGTACATATAGTACATACTGTACTATGTAGTATATAGTAATATATATAGTACATAACTATATATGTACTACATAGTACATACTATGTAGTATATGGTAGATATATATACCATAGTATACTATATACTAAAAATGGCTGGCTACCTCTGTTTGTCAATATATATTTTAATATATTTTTGCAAGTAATAGAAATGCCAGCAAAAGTCTAAGAACAGGGCTAAGTGGTGGGAAAACTACATACTATATACTATATAGTATCTATACTAATTATATAGATTTGTATATATACATATATGTATACATACACACACACACACACACACACACACACAATGAAGCCATCACCACAATCAAGACAATAAATATATCCACTATCCACAAAGGTTGCCTTGTGCATCTTTGATTCCTTCCTGGTCTCCAGCCCCTACTCCCATTCCCAGGCTACTCTATTATAATTTTTGAGTATTTTTAACATCTCTATAGTAGTCTCCAGCTATGCTGAGAGCAATCTGAGTGGTCAAAATTAACTGTCCAGGAAGAGCAGAAATGAACAACTCAGTAGAACACTTGGAAGAAGAAAATGAGAAAATCCCCCATACAACTAAATAAAAGGCTGGGCGCAGAGGCACACACCTGTTATCCCAGCACTTTGGGAAACCAAGGAGAGTGGATCACCTCAGGTCAGGAGTTCGAGACCAGCCTGGCCAACATGGTGAAAAGCCATCTCTACTAAAAATACATAAATTAGCCATGCTTAGTGGCAGGCACCTGTAATTCCAGCTACTTGGGAGGCTGAGGCAGGAGAATCACTTGAACCCAGGAGGCGGAGGTTGCAATGAGTTGAGATCAGGCCATTGCTCTCCAGCGTGGGTGATAAGAGCGAAACTCCATGCTTAAAAAAAAAAGACAAATGGAAAATAGTACAGAAAAAAGGAAGAGAACATGTTTAGAAGTTCAAACATCCAAATAATAAAAGTTCCAGGAAGGGAGAAAAAAGAAAATGGAGGAGGGAGGAAATCATGAATGAAATCATTTAAAATTTTTTCCCAAATTGAAGGAAACAAGTGTCCAGATTGCAAGGGCCAACTGAGTGTCCAGTACAATGGATAAAAATAAATCCATTATCAACACATCACTAACATTTCAAAATCTTCATGGAGAAGATTCTGTAAGTTTCTGGGGAGAGAGAGAAAAAATACATCACATACAGAGGATCACTTACCAGGACTGCTTTGAACTTAATAGCAATGGTAAAAGCAAACAGACGAGCAACTACTTCAAAATGTTGAAAAGAAAATTATTTCCAGCTTTCAATTCTATACTCAGACAAGCTATCAAACAGATAGAGGGAGCCAGCCATTTTTAGACATCCAGGGTCTCATTTACCTTCCATGTACCCTTTTCAAGAAGTTAGGATGTGCTCCACAGAAACAAAAATAAAACCAGGAAATGGAACACTTTGGAATGTAGAAAATGGGATAATCAACATAGAGGATAGGCAAGAGGAATTTCTGGGAGCATGGTCAAGTAGGATTCCAGCACCACAGTTGTGCTTCTTGATGTAGAGAGCAGTCAGTCCAGAATCAAGCAGCATGACTCACATTGATGGCTATTATCACTAAGATCCCTGCTGCCATTGTATCATCTTTTTAATCTGAGGACATTATGCCCAGGCAAGCCTGGCTCAGATTCTTACCGGTATTTGCCTTGTCTTGACCATGTGGTGATGAAATTCCTGCTCTCTTCTGTGCTGTGCTGACTGGACCAACTGAGGACACTCATTTTTACCCTTCTTTTTCAACCTATTCCTGAAAGCTGATGTTGGGCGTTGGTGAGCTTAAAGCAGAAAATAGCCTTCCTCCTTCCCATTTTTGCTATGTATTGGCCAGAAATCAGGTATCAATTCTACACTTTGATCTTTCCACATGCTTCAGTTGTGAGGAGCCCAGTATTCACTCATGACATTGCAAATTAACTTCTCTAGAAGGGATCCAGAAAGCCTGGAGAAGGTAAAGCCAGACTAGGGCTGTTTGGCTTTAATTAACAGCAGCATTGTTGCCCTTTTCCTTGCTAGATTCGTGCTTGCTGCTCAAATTGCCAAAATTAAATATTTAGGGCAATGTTCATGAGTGCTGGGAAAACTAAAGAGAATAAGCAGGAAGTCATTAGAGGCTATCTTGGTAGAGATGGGGAAGGAGAAGCAATTGGAGAGGGGCACATGGGGGCTTCTAAGACTTTTGTTTCATAACTTGAATGATGGGTACCCAGATGTATATTTTACTTTAATTTGTACATTCATATTTTATGCAGTTTCTATGTCTAATACGTATAAAAATTTCAGATTAAATGAAATACATGAAGGCACTGGCACCCTGCCTTTCAAATTGTAAAAGGTGTAAATTTTGCAAAATGCCTAAAGGGGCAGGTGAGGTCACAATGAGAATCTACACTATTGTACTTCGGGGTTCAACCCAAACAGAAGTTAACAGGAGAACTTAAATTATGTAGCGCATGATTTTTAATTGAGTATGGTACTGTAATTTTAATCCACATTTTCTGCTAGTTAACTATAAAATAACCCTTAAAACTGATCTAAAAGCCTATTTTAAAAATATAAGTTGCGGCCGGGCACGGTGGCTCACGCCTGTAATCCCAGCACTTTGGGAGGCCAAGGTGGGTGGATCACAAGGTGAGGAGATCAAGACCATCCCGGCCAACATGGTGAAACCCCGTCTCTACTGAAATACAAAAAAAAAAAAAAAAAAAATTAGCCAGGCGTGGTGGCGCGCACACGTAGTCCCAGCTTACTGGGGAGACTGAGGCAGGGGAATTGCTTGAACCAGGGAGGTGGAGGTTGCAGTGAGCTGAGATGGCACCACTGCACTCCAGCTTGGGGACAGAGCAAGAATCCATCTCAAAAAAAAAAAAGTTGCTTCCTGCTTGCCTATCAGAGTAATTCAGTCCAAAAGTCATTACGTGGGGCTGAGCAAGGCAGGCATCTGGGGAAGGTGGGGGCGAGAGAAAGGCTGGCAAGGTAGTAGCCCAGCAGGGGATACTGGAGCCCAAATGCAGTGAGGAGGGCCTCTGGGGGTAGGGACTTGTGCACAGCAGCAGCCTAGCAGGGGATGAGGAGGGCATCCTATTAGGGTGAAGGAAATGGTGGCACAGGTTTTTGGAATGGGAACAAAAGGTGAGCCTTACCCAGGAGGGAGGAAATGGTGCAGTGTAAGTTGCTTGAGCCCAAGAAGGGTAGGTTGGGGGAAAGGGGGAAGAGAAGACCATGCATGTGGGATGGTGGCAGTGGCACTCTGGCATTAGGTGGCAGAGCTCAGAGAGTAGAGTGTGTGCGCCGAATGGTGACAGCAAGAGGATTTTGATTACATAGTGAGAGAAGGGGTGATGATTATAAAAAGTAAATTTATTAAGGACAAGTGGGAACCAGACTTCTCACTGTTCAGCAAGAGTATTAAACCCATGTAAAGAGGGGAAATGAAAATAAACCCTGTAGTATTGGAATTGAATGTTAGGTAGCAGATTATATGGAGATTAATATAAAAGTCATACACACATACAACACCTAAATCCGTATGTATATACACTTGCAGCTTTGTCACTTAGAGGACCTGGGAACAGTGACAGTCCCATGGTGATTAGCATTTTTAGCACCCAGACCTTGGTTTCTAAAGCATTCCATCCAGATTATAGTTTCTAAATGCTATTCTCCATTAAAAGGACTAGGTTCCTTGGAGAAATAATTTTACAATGGACAATCTTAGCAAATACATTAATTGGGTAATCAAAGTTATCAATCACAATGGAACAAATTGCAGTTGCATCCACCTGATAGGATGCAATGTTAAGAGCTTACTATTCAACTCTAACAGGTAGTGGGAATTATTTTCTAGGTTTAGACTGTCATGATGCCTTTAAGTTTGGAGCCTCCTCTACAAAGTAGAGTTAACACATTACACATAAAGAAGCATGATTTTGCCTGTTCCTCAGGGACACCCTCTTACAGGTTGTTCATTTGGCCTCTTCACCACCAATCTTACTGCCCATCTACTATTCCAACCTGCTTAACTCACCCAGTTTCTGCTAGTTTTCAGCCTCCCTTTGGATAAGCACCCATCAGCATTTGATCAGGCTTCTGCTCAATGTCCTTCAAGTGGCTCTGGCCTTGCCTTGAGAGCAGGGTAAAGATAATCTCTTGTTTGTTGATAAGGAAAACTCAGGCTCAGCAAGGTTAATTAATCTGTACATTATGCAACTGGAATTTAAATCTAGTTTAACTCATTCCACTGTGGCATAAAAGGAGGTACACGTACCTATCTGTGATGACAATCCACTTTCTCATTTCCTTCATGTGACTTCTCACAATCACAATTGTCTTTGCTTATGTCTCCCATAGGAAAACGTCAATTATGACAGCAGGTAATTTTATCGGAAGTGTTTATAACTATATCCCAGTACGTGGAACGAAAAAGTTATCAAGAAATATTTATTGAATGTAAAAAAGGTTACCATTTTCTCAATGTGTATAACCTTTTTTTATTTTTTTAAGACTACAATGCAGCTAATTGCAAAAAAATTTTCCTTTCTTTAGGTATGTTATGCATAAAAGTGGATAATTTACATGATAAATGAAAATGGCCAATTCTTTAAGAGGAGAAGTACTAAAACTTTATAAAAATGTAAGTAATTATGTTGCCAATTTTATAAAAATGTTATTATATGACATGGATTGTTTAGAAATATATAATCTTTCTTTTTGAAGCTGCTGTATCTTGGACGAGACTATCCAAAAGGAGCAGACTATTTTAAAAAGCGTTTGAAGAACATTTTCCTTAAAAACAAAGATGTGAAGAATCCAGAGAAGATCAAAGAACTTATTGCACAGGGCGAATTTGTAATGAAAGAGCTAGAAGCTTTGTACTTCCTTAGGAAATACAGAGCTATGAAACAACGCTATTATTCAGATACCAACAAAACTAATTGATCATTACTACTTTAATTTAGCTATCAGTGCCAGCTGTTTATGTATACCAGATGTTGTAAAATAATTCTAACTTAAAATGGGAAGATATACATGTTGTGTAAAAAATCCCTGAGCTGCCCTACTGAACTAAATAGGTTTCAACTTCTGTTCATACGGAGAAAGTATCAGCAACTTTATGCTCAATTTTGATACAAACATAGCAATTTAGCTATACTACCGATCATAAATTAATGAGCACCCAATTTTGAATGAAAATATAATACACTTAATCCTCTAACTTAATAGGACTTAGCCAATTATTTTTAGCTTATTTCTCCATTTTACTGACAAGAGAATGCCATTTACCGAACATTTAATAAGCAAAATAATTTCTTACACACTTACTTCTCTTAACTTTTGAAAGGAATCCCTTATTTTTTCACCCAATTTGGTATATTAACAGCACATACTCAAGGTTCACTACAAAACAAACAGTTCCTGGTAATGATTTAAATGTAGTTATAGAAATAAATAATATGTATGGAGTCATTACTTCTGACCTTGAAATAGCCTGCTGGTGACTGGCATTAACATACATAACTAACTATTCAATTATTTCCATTATTAATGTTGCTGCTGCTACCTTTGGGCCTAAAACCAAGTCACCTGTTGTGTATCAATTACCTTCTTTGATAAAAGGAAATAAATAAATAATGTTATCCTATTTTTTTGTCATAAAGGCAGATTTGTTTTGCATCTACTTCTAAATATGGTTTTAAGTTTAAGCAAACACGCCTTTACATAATATCCACAGCACCTTTTAGAAATAAAGGATACTTCTAACAAGCTGCATAAAAGATTCACTGGTATACTATAGTGTCTATGGCTTATAAAGTATTCCATATCCATTTCGGGGCAAACAGTTCAAATTTCATGAATAAATACACACTCATAGTCACTGTAACTATTTTTATTACATTACAATAATTAGGAGTAGTACAGTTCATGACAAAAATATTACAAATTTTAGATCACTTCACAGCACATACTCCTATAAACATTTAAAAGTTAATTTCAATTAAAAGAGTGGTCATTTTTAATGTTTGATATGACCAACATTCCTAGGTCAGCGCAACCAAATGATGGAAAACAACTGGATCACACTGCATATGTCCCACAAAAGAAAGCACAATGTACAAAATGTGCATGTTTCAGTTTACACTATACAAAAATAGTTAAAATACATTCCAGGTAAACATGTTACATTAAGAAATAGTACTAGTAAGAAATTGGCACTCAAAGGAAAAATGCAAAAGTATTTTCAACATGAAAACACAAGACAGTGGAATTGGAAACTTTCGGATAAAACACTGTAACCCAGTTAGCTCTGTGGGGGTGTGGGGGGAGAGATGGGCCCTCAACATATCTGCAGATAACTTTTTTTTCCCCTAAATTCATCTAAATTACCTATCATTATCCCAAACAGGCACTTCAAACTATTAAACTAAAACACAGATCTTAATCTAGTTATGACTATTCTTCAAGAACTCATGTGAGTATCTTTCTTTAGAAAGAAAGTTTCATTTTATGACAGCTATTCAGTTTCTCAATGCAGAATTCATGCTATCCAGTATTAACACAGAAGTTACTAAATATAAATTCAGCTTTAAGGTAACTGCTGGGTTCTAAAAAACATTACTACACAATTATCAAGAAATCATTACTTTTTGACAAATGGAAATCTTCAGATAGTTTTTGCTGTCTAAAAAAAAATCCCCTAAAAAAAGTTATATACTGTTTGAAGAAAAAATGTTTAGAAGAAAAAAAAAATCAATGGAATACAAATGAGATGAACTTGTGCAAACTGTAACTTAACATGCCCCACAAAGTTTCTATGTATATATTAGGACAAAATTGTGCAATGGTGACAACAGTTTTGATAACCTATAAAAGTTAGGTTCTAAATTCCTATGCAGTGTGACTCAGTTAAATAGAGCCTAGAATGCCTACTTGGGAACATTCACTCAAATGATACAATATACGTCTGCTATATTCTTCCACAAACATGTTAATGCCTAAGTCTATGTAATTTAGCTTTTTTTAAAAAAACTTCAACAAGGATTTTTGTCTTTAAGGCTGTAATAATTAGGTAACATTTATTTCTAGAATTCTCCCCCTTTAAAATCTCTACAAAAACAAATCTTTTGTTAAACCATTCAAAGTTCACATAAAGGTAATTAACCACTACCTTAAAAAAATGCCCATCTACATCAAAAATTCAAGAGGCCTAAATATCCCCTCATAAGCACTGCAGTTCCTGAAGTATGGCCATTTCTTTCTCTGTGTAGAAACGAGGTACTGTGTAAGTCTTAACACCCTACCTAAACAGTGTTCCAAAGATCTGTAGTTTCACATAGCAATTCAGAAATCATAGTGATTTTTACATAGAAGTTTCCTTGTCTGTGAACTAGTTCAGGCACCTGTTTATTTGTACCCAGATAAAACTATTAATTTTTAAGTATATTTTAATTACTTATGCAGAGAAAACTGGAATATTACACATTTGGGTCAATATGAATATCTGACATACACCTTAATGTGTACAGTAATTGTCCTAAAAGAATCACAGTTATGCCAAATAAAAAAACAATATAATCAAGTTTATTCCTTTAAAACAATGAAGTGATTTACATAAAGTAGCTTGATCGAAGAGTTTCAGTGGAATCGTAGCAAAACAATTATAGAGCTGGCACAGAGACCAAACCCCTTCTTTGCAAAACTAAAATACGCATCGTGTTATCTCTGGGTCGTATACCAAAGGCCTTAGTAAGATATTACAGACCACACTAGCACTACCTAAGGACCGGGATTATGTCTCTTGTTTGGGGATACCATATACCCAGTGCCTTGTGTGGTGACTGGCATCTGGTAGGCACTCAATAAATATTTGCTGAATAAATGAGTTCTGCAAAACAGGTTTATGAGGCCAAGGTGGGTGAATCACTTGAGGTCAGGAGTTCGAGACCAGCCTGGCCAACAGGGTGAAACCCCGTCTCTCCTAAAAATACAAAAATTAGTTGAGTGTAGTGGCACACGCCTGTAATCCCAGCTACTCAGGAGGCCGAGGCACGAGAATCGCTTGAACCTGGGAGATGGAGGTTGCAGTGAGCTGAGATGGCGCCACTGCATTCCAGCCTGGGTGACAAGAGCGAGACTCTGACACCAAAAAAAAAAAGTAAGCTTCATGAATTAAAGTATTTTTCATTGCATGAAGATTTCTGGTTACTAAAACAATGGAATGTATTACTGTTACCAGGAGTAGTCCTAGTTATAGATTACCTAAGGAATTCTTTCAGCACTATCTTTATTAAATTCTCCTTCCACTGGATAGGGTTCTGTCTATTCATACCAGGTTTGAAAAATCCTACTGTCGCTAATGGATTGGGCAGCAAAGAGATGTTCAAAGCATCAGCCACCACCTGAAAATTAGTGATTAGGTCAAATCCCTTTATGGTATCTGTCAGATTCTCTTGAGCCCTGAGGAAATAAGATGTAGGGCATTTCTGATGTGACTCAGTGGGAAAACTTCATGGAGATATCCACAGCAGCAGTAAATCTTATGGTTAGGGGAATTACAAGTATTAAAACTGCATCAAGTCATGGGGCATGTGGAAGGTAGGGAGGCAAGATGACACTAATATGGAAGAAGAGTCCTAAAACGAGAATGGATATTCAAATATAAACTTCACCTCTTGCACAATTTTGCCCAAGACTGGCACTGAAGATGGTGTAACATAGGTTAAAAATTTACAGATTGTGCTGAGCTTGACAAATAAGTGTATCCTTATGTAAATGGAATATAAATTACATAGTTGTAAAAAAAAAAAACTAAGAGTTTGAGATGACTTCTTTTAACATGAAGAAATGGATAGTAAGTGATGTCCTCAAAATCAGAGTCCTAAAAGACACCTATCTAGAACCTAAGTCACCTTCTTCCTAGTCCAGTGATACTTTCACCTCACCATGCCATCTCACTTCATTTATTTTAAAATAAGTAACATTTTAAATTTATCAAAAGGATTGTTTTTATTTTTATTTTAAAGCATTATTAAATATGGATCAGACTTGAAAAGTGTTTATGCAATGTTAATTTAACCAGTGTTAAGAGAACTAGCCAAACCTAGAGATTGTAAAACTTTTTCACTTCATTGTTTAAAAAAAAAATTAATGTCTTGGCACACCACCACCCCAAAATCTCAACTTTTGAGTTAATATTTAAAAGTAATTTTTAAAAAAGAGTTTGTTTTCTTAAGAAACAAAAGCAATGCTCTTGATTTGTCAGCAGGACCACCACAGAGTGAGATTGTATCTTGTTGAGCTATCCAAACTGCCCTAGTCCCTCCCCATTTTGACTAACCAATGCATGACAACACTGGATGACCGTGGGGACACAGTCCATGCTGTGAAACTCTCTATGAAAGCTCAAAGGTTCACACAGGGCCTGGCCTTGCAACCTTGGTCTCTTCAACACCTAATAAGCTATAACTGGCCCAAATAATCTTTTAATGTCACAAGCAGAATTAAAACTATCTTCAAAGACTCAAGTTGAAGAAAAGATTTAAAGTTATACTATGAAAGAGCAGTCTGACACAGGGAGACTACATTTAATTCCTATGAGAATTTTTTATACTTGTTAAAATCTTTTCAATTATTATAAAAATTTAGTAGCATGTAAATATAGCCCCAAAATGGTTGCTATAATAATCCCCATTTCATACTGGGTCTGCCTTAACAGGAAAAGCTATTAGGAGTCTTTATAGTAATTTATCTAATGTGAAAAGGAAATGGCCTTATAATAGTTTCCATTGCCTTGTAATTTTTTTCCATTTTTTTCTTTTTATAGAAAAAATATAATATTTTGGGGAGAGTGACCATGACTAATAGCAGTGGAAAGGAGACAAAACCTTTGTGAACAGTGTAACTTTACATTCATCAGGGATGACAAACTATAGGACATGATGCCTAGAAGAATCATCATCAGGAAGCCCATAAATTTGTGTTCCCTCAATGTTTCAGTAAAAACCAATTAGAAGGTCTCAACTGAAATTAGTAATTAATCCATTTATGTGACTAGATAAAACACAGAATAGGGATGATTCAAAAGCTTCATTAATTTGTTTCACACCAACATTCACAATTGGTAAGAAAAATAAGAAGTAATCAACTGCATGCACCAAAAGCCCCAAGACAGAAATCTTAGGTATTCAGTTTCTTTTTCACAGGCATTGCTAGTTCAAAAACCAAAACTCTGGGAATACTGGCACTTAGAGGAAAAAAAAACTTCCACTGTCATTTTAAA